>NC_000012.12:10209650-10834650 GCF_000001405.40 Homo sapiens | reverse complement strand
ATGTTAAGCAAGCGATGACCATTTTAGCTTTATCTCATTTAGTTTACATTATGTTGATTTGATAAAAGCATACACAAATATACAATCGACAGACTGACGATACAACCTCTAGAATAAGAGAAAATATTTGAAAACTATTCATTTATCAAGGAATTCATATCCAGACTATAGAAGGAACTCAGTCAAAAACACAAATAATTAGATTAAAACATGGGCAAATTAACTGTATAGATATCTCTCAAAAGAAGACATACAAATGGCCAATAGGTATATAAAAAGGTGCTCAATATAACTAATCATCAGAGAAATGCAAATAAAAACCTCAATGAGATATTATTTTATTCTAGTTATAATGGCTATTTTCAAAAAGACAAAAAAACACAAATGCTTGTGAGGATGTGGAGGAGGAAGTTTTACACACTGTTGGTACAAATATAAATTAGTTTAGTCATTATGGAGAACAGAATGGAAGTTCTTAAAAACTAAAAATATAACTACCATATGATTCAGCAATCCCACCACTGGGTATGTATCCAAAGGAAAGGAAATCAATATGTCGAAGTGATATCTGCACTCCCATGTGTTTTGCAACACCATTCATAATAGCCGAGACATGAAATCAACCTAAGTGTCCATTAACATTTGAATGGATTAGAAAACATGATATATACACATAATGAATGGAATACTATTTAGCCATTAAAAGAAGGAAATTTGGTCATTTATGGAAGCATCCATGAGACTGGAGAACATCTGTTAAGTGAAATAAGCCAGATACAGAAAGACAAACATGACATGTTCACACATATGTGGAAGCTAATAAAGTTGATTCCGTAGAAGTAGGAAGCAGAATAATGGTTCCTAGAGATGTGATAGGGGAGAAGGGAGAGGGAGATAGCCAAAGGTTGGTTAATGAATACAAAAGTATAGCCAGGTAGAAGGAACAAGTTCTAGTGTTCTATAGCACAGTAGGGTGACTACAATTACAACAATTTATTGTATATTTTACAAGAGCTAGAAAAACAAATTTTGAATGTGCCCAACACGAAGAAATGTTAAATATTTGAGAAACGGATATGCTAATTGCCTTGATTTGATCATTACACATTGTATAAATGTATTCACATATCACACTGTATCACATAAATATGTACAATTATTGCGTTTATTAAAAATAATAAAATAATGCAAAAAAAGAAGCAATCCAAGTAACAAAAACCAGACAAGCTAAAATACAGAGAAGTAGAGGACAAAACACAGTACAATGTGTGTATAAATAGATGTGTCTGTGTGTATTTGTATACATGTATATGTTTATGTATATGTAGCCATATATGTACCTATATCTGTGTATATGGATATACACATAACAGATCATCCTAAGTATATTCATGACTTTTTAAGCATTTTCCCCTCAAGACAATGTAACCTTAACAAAGTTCTGTGGAAATATTTGAAGACTCTTATATCTCAAAAAAAACATTTTTTTTTTCGTGGCTCACTACAGCCTCAACCTCCCTGGGCTCAGGTGATCCTCCCACCTCCACCTCCTGTGTATCTGGGATCAGAGGCGTGTGCCAACACACCTAACCTAGCTAATTTTTGTATTTTTGGTAGAGTCGGGGTTTTGCTACGTTGCCCAAGCTGGTCTCAAACTCCTGGGCCCAAGCAATCCGCCTGCCTCAGCCTCCCAAAGTGCTAGAATCTTGTTTTTGAGGAAACAAAAGAAGTTCACTTTTTCCATGTTTAGTTTGGGGTGCTTATGTTTCACTGAAAGACATCATTTTTAAAAATGTGTTTAAAATGCTACTGACAGATTATTTGAAAGGCCTGCATCTTTATAGTGGGGGGTGGGGAGCGGTGGGGGAAGTTTTCCTGATAATTATGATACTCATATTAGATTCATATATTGCCCACCAAGTTTCTTGAAAATTTCAAGCTCTGTATTTTACTTTGTAATGTAGCAATCTACACTGTGACTGCATTATAATTAATTAGCATAAGGATTGCTGGTTTTCCCTACATGTTGAATAATTTTAATGTGGTGAAAGGTTTCTGTTTCAAACTTCAGATTTGTAAATCAAATGAAACACTTCATTGGAAGAGGAGAACTAATTTTATTCAAAACAATGAAAATTAGTCTGTGTCTTTATTTACATGTTAGCAAATGATAATTTGGTTTGTCAATCATCTTTCTTTTTTTTTAATTTTGTTTTTATTTTTTTATTTTTATTTAATTTTTTAAATTATACTTTAAGTTTTAGGGTACATGTGCACATTGTGCAGGTTAGTTACATATGTATACATGTGCCATGCTGGTGCACTGCACCCACTAACTCGTCATCTAGCATTAGGTATATCTCCCGATGCTATCCCTCCCCCTCCCCCCACCCCACAACAGTCCCCAGAGTGTGATCATCTTTCTATAAAGAAATTTACAGTTTGTAGCTGACAGCTGGACCAAGACTGGAAATTCTTAGCAGAGGTAGTTAGAAATTTTCAATGAATGTTACAGAGAGTGATTTCACTGTCTTACTGCAGTTTGCTAAACTTTATAGCTAAAAAGAAAAGCCATGATAAAATAAAAACACTGCACAATCAAACATAAGATCTATGTTATTATCCAGTAAGTCATCTGAAAATTAGTCACACAACAAACTGCAGATCAGAATTTTCGCTTTGTAGCCATGTTGAATATATTGGAGGTTTTCATGACTGTAATAGGTAGGGGATTTATAAAAGGAATGTAGGAAATTAATTCATTGGACTCACAGATTGCATTGCCTGGATGAGAAATCAGAAGTTATGCATGGTTGGCTTCATTCTTACTAGTTTGGCCTTAGCCAGAATCAATATTCTTCTATTAGAAAATCCCTGATGCTAGGGAAAGAAACCATATCCTTACCATTGTCCGGAGACTGGCCAACCACTTGTGCACTTGATTTGCTACTTGTCTTGCTGTCTTTTATTTCCTAAAGATCGTCAATTTCTCCTATCTCTTTTACTTTTGGCTAAAATGGAGAATTAACAAGGTAGCTTTCATACTTCCACTGGTATCTGCCTTTTCTGTTTACCAACTTTCCTTTGACGTACACTTTTGATGTCTTCTGGTATCGTGTCCAAAAAAATATGAAAGACATATGACTGGATTACTCAATGTAAGTAATAATAAAAATGTTAATAATATAATAATCTTCTTTATTGGATCTCTCTCTTCTTTCTCTATTTCTTCGATTTTCTTTTTGTTGTTACTCCTTTCTTCGTGAAGACACATGAAACACATTAGGTTCAATTTCAGGGATTGCAGAACCCCAGTATACGGGCCCATTTCAGAGCCAAGAAAACGGTTTTCCTTTTTTGTCTTGTTGCTCTATAAAAATTTGCCCTTTTCTTGACATTTACAGGGGTATTTTTTGCTACAGAACAAACTGGTTGTGATATCTGGTTTATGATATGAAGTCAGTATTCTTTGGGTCACTCATATGTTGTGATTTTTGGATACGGCCAAATGAAGAAAACTTTCTTGGGGATTCTCTGGCACCTGAAATGTGGCCTGAAAGGACGGGCACTCTTAGCTACACAGGTAGGCCTCAGAGAGAAGTCAACAAGAAGTCTTGGTGTAATCTTTCTTGCTTCATCGTACTCTTTTTTTGTATATGTCCTGTGTCACTGAGTAAGTACCATTTAAATTCTTCCTGGGCCTGGCCGGGTGCGGGCTCAGGCCTGTAATCCCAGCACTTTGGGAGGCCGAGGTGGGCGGATAACGAGGTCAGAAGATCGAGACCATCCTGGCTAGCACGGTGAAACCCCGTCTCTACTAAAAATACAAAAAATTAGCCAGGCGTGGTGGCGGGTGCCCATAGTTCCAGCTACTGGGGAGGCTGAGGCAGGAGAATGGCGTGAACTCAGGAGGTGTAGCTTGCAGTGAGCCGAGATCGCGCCACTGCATTCCAGCCTGGGCGACAGAGAGAGACTCTGTCTCAAAAATAAATAAATAAATAAATAAATAAATAAATAAATAAATAAATAAATAAATAAAATAAAATAAATAAATTCTTCCTGGGCCAGGACTGACCTCTAAAATAGTTTTTAAAATATTTTAAAGAGAAAATAATCACCTATATATAAAAAAGAGGTGTGAATAAGTTGTAATCCACTCATTCAGATCTACAGAAGGTGGATGTTAGAAATTTAACAGAAGTAAGCAAAATAGAATGAAAACCACTTATTTCCTCTAGGTAACAATCTTGTCTCTGTAATAATATGGATTTAGCCAGTTACTTTATGTTTTTTGTTTGTTGTTTGTTTGTTTTGAGATGGAGTCTCACTCTGTCGCCCAGGCTGAAATGCAGTGGCACCATTGTTTTTGTGAATATTTTTGCTGCTGATGTAACTGCAGAAATTAGTCTAGAACTTGTGGAAGTTGTTAAAACCCTTTCATAAGAGCCCAGTTACTATTGCACAATCTAAGGCATGTAGAGTTAACATACCTAGAATGCACATCAAAATGGTCATTAATCTCATTCATGAGAGGTCTGCCCTCATTACCTCCTAAAGGAACCATCTCTTAATACTGGCACACTGGCAATTAAGTTTCAACATATAGACTTTGGAGGAGACACATGCAGATCACAGCAAAGGGGTTTTTAAATCTTTGCTATGCCTATCACTTGCTTTAGTTCTGTTAATTTTGCTTTATTTATTTTGAGTCACAATTATTAGTCTGATACACCTTCAGGATTGTTAAGTATTTTTGATAAATTGAATATTTTATCATTATACAACTTCCCTCTATTTTTCTACTACTTGTCTTGATAATATAGCCACTTTGAGAATAGAACCAGTCCTGCTTTCTATGGTTACAAATTCCATAGTATAGCTTTTTCTTTCCTTTACATTCAATCTATCTGTGCCTTTATGTTTAATGTTTTATCTTCTAGGCATAACATTTAATTGTGCTTTCATTTATTCATTCTGATGATCTCTATCTTTTCATCAGAGTGTTTAGTCAAATCATGTTTAATGTAATTATCAGTATGGTTGGCTGTAAGTCTTGCATTTTGCTCAATGTTTTTCATTTATCTCACTTATTTTTGTCCCTCTGTCCTTTTTCTGGCTTTCTTTTGTGTTAATTGACTGTATCTTCAATTATTTCATTTTAATCTCACAATTGGCTTTTAAAACTCCATTTGTTATAATGAATTATTCTTTTATATATCGCTGGACTCTATTTTGTTTGGAATTTTTGCATCTATGTTCAGGCTATATTAGCCTGTAATAGTCTTATAAGTATTCTTGATGAAATTTTGTATAAAGTTGTTCACAGTATTGTCTTATAATAAAAGATTATATACAAGGATATGTAACTATATTATATAGTATTATATATATATATATATGTATATGTATATATATATATGTATATATATGTATGTATAGAGAGAGAGAGAGAGAGACAGAGAAAGAGAGAGAGAGAGATGAGGTCTCACTCTGTCACCCAGGCTGGAGTGCAGTGGCCCAATTATAGCTCACTGCAAGTTCAAACTCCTGGGCTCAGGCAATCCTCCTGCTCGGCCTCCCAAGTAGCTGGGACTACAGGTGCACACCACCATGCCCTGCTAAATTATTTTTATTTATTTATTTTTTTTAGTAGAGATAAGGTCTTGCTATGTTTCCCAGGCTGGTCTCAAACTCCTGGACTCAAGTGATTCTCACACCTGGGCCTCCCAAAGTGCTGAAATGACAGGCATTAGCTACCACACCCAGGCCATATTTCTGATATCTCTAAGGACTGTAGTAATTTGTATTTTCTTTTGACCAACATTAGTATATTACTGTACCTAATTCTTTTCTATCGGTGATTTCTGCTGTTACTATAATTTCTTGACTTCTATTTTCTTTCACTCTTAGCTTTCTAGCTTCTTGAGATGAAAACAAAATTCATCTGTTTTTACCCTGCCTTTCTAAAAGATGCATTCAAGGCTACAAATTTCCTTCAAAGAATGGCTTTAATTGGATTATGTAAATTTTAATAGGTCATTTCTTTATTACACGTTGAGTATCCCTAATCCAAAAATCTGAAATTTGAAATGCTCCAAAATCTGAAACTCTTTGAGCGCTGACATGACGCTCAAAGGATATGCTCATTGGAACATTTTGGATTTCAAATTTTTGAATTCGAGATGCTTAATCAGTATGATGCAAATGTTCCAAAACTTAAAAAAAAAGAAAAAAAAATCCGAAATCCAAAGCTCTCTGGTCTCACACATTTCAGATAAGGGATACACAACCTGTATTATTTACTTAAAAATATTTTTGTAATTTTTGTTATTTCTTCTTTGACTCAAGAGTATTTACAGGTTTTTTGTCTTAGTAAATTGTTTCTTTCTCTAGTTATCTTTTTATTATTGAACTTCATTTTATTCCTTTGAATTCAGAGAACATTCAACACTTGTGAGATATTCTTTTGGATTCATGATCAGTCTTGGTAAAAATAGTCTATGTGCACTTGAAAAGAATATGAATTATTTTACCGTTGAACACAAGTTTGTCAATTGTTTTTTCATGTATTTTCCATCTATTGATTTTTGGTGTTTCTAAGATGAGTTATTGAGTTATGTATTTTACAGTCTTTCATTGTGATTGTAGATTTGTCTTATTTTTCCTTTTCTGTAAATGTTTGGTAGATTATTTGGTTCATAAATTTTTGGGATTACCCTACCTTTCTGTAGATTTGAGCATTTTTATCACTATAAAGTACACTCCCCATTTCTTCTCTAATGCTGCTTCTTACCTTAAAGTCTGCTTTATAGAATATTGTTATAATTATGCCAGATTTCTTTTGGATGATGTTTGCATGGCTTATTTTTCCATAATTTTACTTTAAAGTTTTCCTTTTCTATATTTAAATTGTGTTTCTTGTAAGCAGTATACAGTCAGAGTTTTAAATTCTTCTTTGTTACTATTAATTTTTTACTTGGAGTATTTAGTTCATTTACATTTTATATAATTATATTCTCCATTTCTAGAAGTTTTTTCCCCAAATGTTCCAATTTCTTTCTAACAGTCTCTTGCTGCTCTTCTCTGAAATTGCATCTTGTTTTTTGTAAACAGTGTATACATTAGCTAATTTATCTATACATATTCTTATCTGTCAATTTCAGTATGTGCAGCCCATGAGAATTTAAGTTTTCTACTTGCTTTTGGTTGGTTTGTTTTGTTTTGCTATCATTTGTAGTCTATTCCTAAGCTTAATTTAACTTCATTTTGAAATCATTGTGCAATTTTATTTATGGTAGTCATGCCAGGATAAGTGAGAGAAGGTCTTCTTTTCTCCAAAGCTTAGTTTATTCATATTTAATGTAAATACAAAAATAGCCCCTCTTTTAAAGGATTGAAGGCTTGTGAAATTAAGATGAGAAAAAGATACTTAACATAGCGCTAGGAATATAATAAAAGCTCAATAAATGTTAGATTTCACTTTTAATTTCACTTTTAATTCTTAGATCAGTATGTTGATTTACTTAATTGTTTCCCACCTCCCTCATTAGAATATACACTCCATAAATCACACAAGTTTTGAAATTCTGTCTACCACTATATTCCCTCAAAGATCAAAAGAGAGCTTGTTGTATCTAGACATTCAGTAAATACTTGTTGGATAAATGAATGGGTGCCAGCAAACAGTAATGTGTTAAATGAAGAGATTATTCCTAAGAGCCTTTCATGTCAAGGGTAGTCAACATAATCTTCTGCATTCAAGGGTGTAATAACCATAAGTATAAAACAACAGCAACAGATTTGTGACATATTTGTGAAACTTGTCATACCTAGAGTTGAGCTTAAATTTTAATTAAAAATTAAATCGATCATTTAGAGTAAGTATCTACAGTGGCTAAATTTGTTTTTCATTTCTATATAGTATTTTCTGTACATATATAAATTGATTATAAATGACATAAATAATGATTTGATATTTTAAAAGATAAAGTCAAAATTTTTGTTTCTGTTTTGCATTACATTCTATAGGTATATGTTTGGCACTCCTCCTCCACAATTCAATTTATTAAATGCAAAATAGTCTCAGGAGGACATGTAAAATCCATGAAACAGAAACTTTCATTTGCATTTTAACAAATTATAGATAGGCATTCAGTCTGAACATACATTCTCCAGACTAGCTATGTTTTGTAGACATATTTGGAAAGGTCTTCATTAAGAAATTTCTGATTCCATCTCAAGCCATTACTGGGGCAATTTCAAGTCTTTATATAATGAAAGAGAAGAAAGTCACACTTCCGTCGAGCAGCCAATATATGCCTCATTCTGCAGCAGGTAATCTAAGATAGATGTAACAGAAGCAATATTAAGAATTAGCAGATATGCTACGTGTAGTGGAAGGCATCTTCATTTTTGTTGTAGTTAGTGAGTCAGTGTTTGGGGTTTTGGGGAATGGATTTATTGGACTTGTAAACTGCATTGACTGTGCCAAGAATAAGTTATCTACGATTGGCTTTATTCTCACCGGCTTAGCTATTTCAAGAATTTTTCTGATATGGATAATAATTACAGATGGATTTATACAGATATTCTCTCCAAATATATATGCCTCCGGTAACCTAATTGAATATATTAGTTACTTTTGGGTAATTGGTAATCAATCAAGTATGTGGTTTGCCACCAGCCTCAGCATCTTCTATTTCCTGAAGATAGCAAATTTTTCCAACTACATATTTCTCTGGTTGAAGAGCAGAACAAATATGGTTCTTCCCTTCATGATAGTATTCTTACTTATTTCATCGTTACTTAATTTTGCATACATTGCGAAGATTCTTAATGATTATAAAACGAAGAATGACACAGTCTGGGATCTCAACATGTATAAAAGTGAATACTTTATTAAACAGATTTTGCTAAATCTGGGAGTCATTTTCTTCTTTACACTATCCCTAATTACATGTATTTTTTTAATCATTTCCCTTTGGAGACACAACAGGCAGATGCAATCGAATGTGACAGGATTGAGAGACTCCAACACAGAAGCTCATGTGAAGGCAATGAAAGTTTTGATATCTTTCATCATCCTCTTTATCTTGTATTTTATAGGCATGGCCATAGAAATATCATGTTTTACTGTGCGAGAAAACAAACTGCTGCTTATGTTTGGAATGACAACCACAGCCATCTATCCCTGGGGTCACTCATTTATCTTAATTCTAGGAAACAGCAAGCTAAAGCAAGCCTCTTTGAGGGTACTGCAGCAATTGAAGTGCTGTGAGAAAAGGAAAAATCTCAGAGTCACATAGACACCTTGGGAAGAGATGGATGTTCCACGAAAGGAATCCAGTGAATAAATCCTTGAAGATCTGTTTCATTGCACTGCATTCTTGCATTGTCTTTTTAACTGTGTCATTAAAGATCACTGAAATCTTCCATAATTGTTTTGACTATGTTTCAGGGAATCTCAGTCTTTGAGGAGATTTTAATCTCACATGCAAATTCAGTGGCTTAGTCAGCTTCCCCACCCTGCAACTTCTTCCTACAAACTTCCTAGAGGAAGACCATCAGCCTGGAGACTATTCGCTGTAAAGATTATAACGGTGAGAATAAGCTCTAAAATAAAACTTCTTGTTGTGCTTTACCTGACTTTTCTGAAGCAAGGACACCCATTCTCCCAGAAAACCCAAAGGAAAAAAAAGAAAGAAAGAAAATTAGATCAATCTTGACATTTAGAACATGGAAGTGAGGATAGATGGTGGTACTTCTTTACAGAATGCTATTTTAATTATTTAAAGGTTTTTTTTTCATTTTTTAGAATCTAACATCCTTTTTTACTGGTGTACGATGTGTAGCAAGTAGTCAGAGGAGTAGATGTAGTTCTGTGAAATATAGTTAGGGAAACAAGGGTCTAGTTGAGGGATATGGGATCAAAACACTGATGAAATAAATATGCTCTTCAAAATCAGTGATTTGAGATAAGGCAGGTTATGAACCAATTAAAGTTGAGTAAAGATTTTTCTAGAAGCATCGATCCAAAGGCTGCAAGATTCAACACAGTCCCTGACCAAAGGACACAAGATGAACACAGGATAGAATCTGGGTGAAATATGAAATGTTCTGTCTTCAGGCTTCATACACACACACACATAAACATGCACACACACACATTCATATACACAAACTTGCACTCACAGAAACGTTTCAAATTTTGAGTTTTAAAGTTAACTTTTATGTCCAACCCAGGTTATAAACTCAGTGACTTATTTTGGCAACTTCCGAAAGTGCCTTGATCTCATACTTATGGCCTAATGAGTGGAATATTTCCAAATATAAGGACTTAATTAATTTTCTATGTCAGGTTTCCAAATCAATATTTTTATATTTTTAAACTATTGTGTTTAGAATGTACAGATAGTTAAGAGATAACAGAAAAAAAAACCTAATGCTGCTGCCTATTTCAACCAAATATACCAGGTTGGCTCATTTGAAATTATATTGTATAAAGAACTATGTTCTCTGTATAGATTATGTTGATTATGTAGAATTTATTCATTTTCCCATGTTTTCAAAAATTATTTGTAATAATCTTTTTAAGGGGTACATAATAACTCCCCTTGCAAATATACAATAATATACTTAGTGTTTATCATATCGTTTACGTTTAAGTTGTCTTCAGTTTTCCACTTTTAGAAATAAACATAATATGAGTATTATAGAGAGTGAATACTATTCATTCATATGAATACTATTTGAATGCTAACTTGGCTAGGTATTGAGGATATAGTAGTGAACAACATACCAATATAATGGATAATATATTCTAATAGAAAACAAATGAATAGCTAGCTAACTTAAACAATGATATTTATGATATTGGGAGAGAAAAACTATAGGATGCTGACCTGACCTGGTCATGAGAATGGACAAGATGTCACTGTGGTTAAGATGGTTTAATTTGATATCTTAATAATGTGTAGGAGTATGGTGGACAAAAGAGGAGAAATTTGGGGTGGGAAACCATCATGTCAAGGCCTTGAAGCAAGAAGGAGTAGAGGGTAGTCCAGAAACTAAAGGTCCAGTGTGACTAATATATAGAGACAGCAGTATGTAAATTATTTTTAAGGAAAATTCCAATGGGGAGAAACTTGATAAATTCCTTGCAGAATTGATAAATTGCTCTGTAGATATAATAAACCTATATGTTAATAGTGAAAAAATATCCGTCCTGTTGCAGTCTCAAAATCAAACAGGTTATTATTTTTAATGTCACTACTTTGATTGCAAAAATATCTTTACTTCACATATATTTGATTACTAGTGAAGTTAAGCATTACTACGGGATTAACCAATAGCATATACTTTTTGGGAATTGTTCATTTGTTTTCTCCTTATTTTTTCATGTCTTATAGTTTTTCTTACCAATTTTGTGACTAGTTTATACATTAACACTATGCCATATATGTGTTATGATTTTTTCTTAATTTGCTGTTTAGTAAGTAACTAGTTTGTAATGTTTGGGGCAATAGGTGGGTAATTTACATGATCTCATATTGATTTATGTTTTCTTCTGCTATTTTTGCCAATATTAGCTTATTTTTACTGATACCTGTTCCTTTCATCAAAAGCTCCATTTTGTACTATAAAATACAGTTTCATCTAAAATTAGCAAACACAAAAATATATAAAGAAGAAATTGATTATGCACATTTGCAGTACTCAACTAACCATTGTTAACATGTTTCTACATACGTTGTAAAATAGATCTCAACATAGATAGATGACAGATAATAAGCATGTTACTTAAAAAATCTGTTTTGATTAGATTTATACATAAACTGGATGTCTAGGTTCTTTACCTGTAGATATTGGGATTATAGATAATTTTTATTTTCTTGTAGTATTATGTAATTTTCTATGCAATAATTTATGTCATATGAAAAATATAATTAAATAAAAGATGAGGCCTGTGAAAAAATATCTGTTTAGTCATACTTGCTTTGAGAAACAAGGGAAAGAGAAAGAACCTTCCTTAGCATTTGCACAGACTGCAGAAGCTCTAATTCTGATATCTGCTGCCTTTGTAGCTCTGATTACTAACTTTGTTGTTTGTACTAACTTTCAATTATATTGGTTTGGTCCTCACATGTTTTATGATTTTATTTTGAACTCAGTTTTATTAGAATATTATCTGTGGGAATTCTTTGAGATCAGGTTTACAGTGACGTCTGCCAGAAAAAGTTTGACTTTGTAAAGGCTGACTGGGATCACTTCCAGTATCAACTTCTTTAAGCTAAACTTTTCAGTTTGTAATGATTTAGGCTATGTAGAATTCAACTTCTAGCCCCAAATATACATGAGTGAAAGGCTATTATAACAAATTCTTAGAGCAACATTCCTCTTTCATTCCCCTTTACATTCCCCTTTCAATTCACTGCCCTGGCTGAGTGTTAAGTATTCCTACTTTAGCCTTTTGTTGGACGTATATTATTTTCTCATTTGCCTATTAAGGGTTTGCCTTTCAGGGATCTTGGCTTGTTGATAGTATCCAATCTCACTTCTAACTTTGGAGAAGTCCAAACCAGGTATCTTATCCAACATGCATATGGTCTTTTAAAACATAAGCACTGGTTTATGAATGGATGAAGAAAATGCTGTATATGTACACAATGGAATACTGTTTAGCCATAACAGTTTTTTTTAAAAAATGAAATGTCATTTGCTACAACATGGATGGAAAGGAAGACATTATGGTACCTGAAATAAGCCAGAAACAAAAAGTTAAGCGCCACATATTCTCGCTCATATAAGGAAACTAAAAAAAGAAGATCTCATAGAAGTAAAAAGAAGAGCAGAGTATACCAGAGGCTGGGAAGGATAGGGGTTTGTAAAAGTATACAAAATACAGCTAGATAGGAGGAATACGTTCTAGTGTTTTATAGGACTATAGGATGACTATAGCTAACAATAATACATAGTTTTAAATACCAGGAAGGAGGATTTTAATATTCCCAACAAAGAAATGATAAACGTTTAAGATGATAGATCTTCTTATTAACCTATTGAATCACTATACATTGTATGTTTCAAAACATCACTATGTACCTGATAAATGTGTACAGTAATTATTATATAACGTAGGAAAATAGCCTATTGCGTAGAAAGAGTGATGCCATCCTGAAGCGAAACTACCACAACGACTGATGTTTAACTCCTGCATGCCAATGTGTTCTGCAGCAAGTTCTTTAAATAATTCCTGTGACATAGAGAGCCCCTCATAAAGATGCTTATCTAACCTTCTTAATGGTCATAAGTTTTAGCAAGAGAGCCTGAGGTATGAAGAGCTGCACATGTTTTACCCAAAAAGCTTAATATATAAAGGATATTTTCTGGAGGGCGGCTGTGGGGATCCAATATCTTGCGGCCACCCAAGACATTGCCTCTGTTTATAAGTTCCTATTAAATATTGCTTTCTTTTAAAAAAGATTGTGTGTGTATATATATGTATAAGATATATATGTATAAGATATATATATGTATAAGATATATATATGTATAAGATAGATATATATATGTATAAGATATATATATCTTTTGCAGCAACTTGGATAGACCTGGAGGCCATTATTCTAAGTGAAGTAACACACATGGCTGGAAAACCAAAACTGTATGTTTCAGTTATAAGCGGGAGCTAAGCTATGAGTGTACAAAGACATACAGAGTGATATCATGGTCTTTAGAGACTCAAAAGGGGGAGGCTGGAAGGGAGGATAGGGATAAAAAAGCTACATATTAGGTACAATTTACACTACTCAGGTGATGGGTGCACTAAAATCTCAGAATTCACCACTATATAACTCATCCACGTGACAAAAAAACACTTGTACCCAAAAAGTTGTTGAAGTAAAAATTATAAATAAATCAATAAATATTTCTTTTTGAGAAACTGGAATTGTTAGACTCTTTCTTTGGCCTCTCAGCTCCCTCAGCCTTTAGGGATAGTTTTGCATATACCTTTTCACTGCGGAACATCAATTTAAAAACATAACAAAATTAAAAAATACTTACACACTGGTTTAAAGGAGAGTGACAATGCCGTCTCCTCGATAAACTCCTCTATCCAACTCCAAGATAGTTAGTTAGGGACTAACTCTATCTTCAGCACTGTTTCCTCTCATGATTTGCACTTTCCTACTATTTTTGGCATCTGAGGATTCTTTTTTAACTCTCTTGACAGCTGGACCATACACTTTAAAAATATTTCTGAAGGCTTCTTTTTCAGTATCTTTATGTTTTCCTGACTGGAAGGATTTTTCCAGACATCTGGTTTTTCATATATTTTTATACAGATTTTTTTAATTTATAAAAATAATTTTAACTTCTATTTTAGATTAAGGGGTACAGGTGCAGGTTTGTTAGTAGGTTATATTCCTTGATGCTGAGGTTTGGGGTATAATTGAACCCATCACCCAGGTAGTGAGCATGGTACTCAATAGGTAGTTTGACAGTCCTTGCCCCCTGACCCCTGCCATCCCTCCCTCTCCACTTAGTCGCCAGTGTCTATTGTTCCCATTTTTACGTCTGTGTGAACCAATGTTTAGCTCCCGCTTATAAGCAAGAGCACGTGATAGTTGGTTTTCGGTTTCTGTGTTAATTTGCTTAGGATAATGGTTTGCCATACTTTTGAAGGCAAAAGTTGTTTGTTTCACTAGCTTTGTCCAATCTTTCTTTTTTTTTTTAGTAAAGGTATTCAAAATTGTATGTTTTCTGCCCAAATATCAACTTATATGTATTCCACAAATGTTGGCACATGGTTCTTATATTGTATTCAATTCAAATAATTTCAAAATATTCTTTACACTTTCCTTTTAATGCAAGAGATATTTAACAATAATGAGATTTTTAAAGGTAACTTTTGTATTGATATCTTATTTTATTTGAGTCAGACAGCATATGTGTATGATATTTGGCCTAGGATAAGATTCATTTGGCCCAATACATGATCCATTTTTGTGAATGATTTTCTTTAAATGAGTTTGATGTGTTAAAGTTAAATGTATATGCATTAGATGAACAATATTAATGATATTACTTGTTTACGTCTTTAATATATGACAATTTCCAATAGTTAAATTAGTAAACCTACACTTACAATTACTGATTTATTTCTTTATGCTCATAATTATTTTATTTGTAGTTGCATTTAATTTGAAGCAATGTTGATAATTGCATTTTTATTCATGGTCATTACTTTTTTATGGTTATTTTTACTGATATTAAAAAAGTTTGCCATGAAAATTTTTGCTTTAAATTTTATTTCACCCTTGGTAAATTCCCTAATTTTGTTACATTTTATTTTATTTTATTTTGATACATAATATTTGTTCAACTTTGTAAGGTATATGTGATATTTTGTTTCATGTATATAATGTGTAATAAAAGTCAAGATATTTAGGATCCATCACTTCAAGCATTTATCATTTCTAAATTGTGTGTTTTCCACCTCTGCATTTTCAACACTTCTGCATTTTATTTTTAAATGTCTCTTGTAGAAAACAAATATTTCATTTTTGACACTTTATTTAATAATGTAATCTCAAAATTACTATTGAGAAACATTTTTACACTCAATACAATTGTGATTGCATTGTTTTCTATCTTCTCATTTCTTCTTTTTACTCTATTTTAATGCTTTATTGCAGATCTTTTTCCTTTCCTGTTTCTATTGATATCAAATTTTCATGTGCTGGGTTTAAAATTGGTATCTTTATGTTCATTTCATATAAAATTAAAAGTTTAACCTGTTCTTATCTAATGACAGTCATTTCCATGCTGCATGTTTTTATGGTCTGGAATATTAATTTTTTAATTTACACATTTATTTTGTTTTAATTTTATTGTGATAACATTTATATAACAAATTTGTCATTTTAACCATTTTAAGTGTACAATTCTGTGGCACTAACTACATTCACAATGTTGTGCAAGCATCACCTCTGTGTCCAAAACTTTTACATTACCACAGATAGAAACTCTGGACTCATTAGGCAGTAACTCCCTATTTTTCCTTTCCCACAGTTCCTGGTGACCTCTGATCTCCTCTTTGGCTTTATGAATTGGCCTAGTCTAGGCAATTCATATGAGTAGAATCACACAGATTTTCTCATTTTATGTCTGGTTTAGTTTACTAAGCATGTTTTTAAGGCTCACCAATATTTTAACATGTATCAGACCATCATTCTTTTGTATGACTGAATAATATTTTATTGTATGTATACACCACAATTTGTTTAGATATTCATCAGTTGAAAAACACTTGGGTGATTTCTACCTTTGGGCTATTGTGAATTATGCTGCAATATACACTGGCACATAAGTATCTGTTTGAGTTCCTGTTTTCAATGTATACTAGGAGTGAAATTACTGGATAATACAGCAATTCCTATGCTTAGCTTCTTGTGGAGTCACCAAACTGTTTTCCACAGTAGATTTATCGTTGTACATTCCCACCAAGAATGTACGAGAGTTCCAAATTTTCCACATCCTTGCCCACCCTTGTTATTTTCCAGGATTTTTACTATAGCCATTCTAGTGGATGTGAAGTAATACGTGACTGTGGTTTTGGTTTGCATTTCCCCAATGACTAATGATGCTTAGCGTCTTTTTATGTGTTTACTAGACATTTGTAAATCAATGGAGAAATGTCCGTTGAGATCTTTTGCCCAATTTAAAATTGGATTTTTTGTTGGGTTGTAGAGGTTCTTTACATATTCTGAATTTTAAGCCCTTCGCAGATATATGATCTGCAAATATTTTCTCCCAGTCTATACATCGTCTTTTCACTTTCTTGGAGTGGCTTGTGATACACAAAAGTTTTATTTTGCGTGAAGTCCAATTTAAGTATTTTTTCTTTTGTGGCTTACTTTTTTCATGTCATATGTAAGAATCCATTGCC
This sequence comes from Homo sapiens, assembly GCF_000001405.40. Taxonomy (NCBI): domain Eukaryota; kingdom Metazoa; phylum Chordata; class Mammalia; order Primates; family Hominidae; genus Homo; species Homo sapiens. Next base: position 10,817,699 of record NC_000012.12, on the reverse strand, counting down.
AAATCCAAGGTCATAAAGATTACCACTAAATTTTCTTCTAGGTGTATTTAGTTTTAGTTGTTATATTTAGGTCATTGATCCATATTGAGCTAAGTTTTGTATATGACGTGAGTTAGGGGTCCAACTTCATTCTCTTGCATGTGGATATCTAATTGTCCTAGCATCATTTGTCAAAAAGACTCTTTATGCCCTAATGAATTTTTACACACTTGTCAAAATCAATTAGTCATAGATATATGGGCTTACTTCAAGACTCTCAATTCCATTACATTGATCTATATGTCTATCCTTATGCCAATAAAACACAGTCTTGATTACCATAGCTTTGTAGTAAGTTTTATACTTGATCTTAGCCAAAAGGCTGAGAAGTAATGTAGTGAATTTTTAAAATATTAAGTGTGAGCCTTCCAACTTTGTTCTCCATTTTTAAGATTGTTTTGGAAATTCAAGGTTTCTTGTAATTTCTTATGGATTTGAGGATCAATTTTTCTGTTTCTGAAAAAAAAAGTCTGTGAGAATTTTTAATAAGGATTTGAATGAATCTGTAGATTTCTTTGGCACCTCCTCTTTCTGTCTGTAGAGCAAAAGCAGATGAAAAATTAGGAGTATCTGACTTGAGGGTCCCAAGAGCCATATCTGAGGACAGGATGTAGTGAGCGGTCTTGGATGGAGAAGAGGCATAGTACCTCCCACCTGCCCTAAAGGACATGGAATTCCATGATGCCACTCTTTCCTGCTTCTGGGTCCCTGTAGTCTTAGAGCCAGAGCCCACAGAGCTGGGGGTGGTGGCATTGGGGCAGATCTGGATGCAGCCCAAGGTACAGCCAGGAGTGATTATGACTCCTAGAGAAGCTCCTAAGGTGGGGAACAGAATATGTCAAGGTGCAAAATTTCTCAGCATGTCATTAAAGGTTTTTGGTTGCAACAGAAATGAATGTAAGCAGGAAAGGAGGAAGGAGTTTTATAGTTAGGATGTTGAGCCATCTGTCCTAAAGTTAAGAGGAGTCCAATCATCTTTAGAAAGAGTCAGGACTCAGTCATGACTGAGATAGACCCGAAGACCTCAGACATGGGAAGGAGTGGGTGTTCTTTCTAGCTTATGCAGCCAATGTGACTCAGTTTCCACAACTGCCATTCTCTGTGTTTCCAAGGTCAAAATTCCAAATTCCTCACAGAGACTTATTTATTCATTCATTTGTTCATTAAATATTCATGTAGCCCCTACTGTGTGGTAGGCAGAATTCTAGACACTAAAGATACAGCACTGATCCAAGGAGACAAAAATACCTATTTTACATCTTACATTGCAGTGGGCACAGAATAAGATTGGCTCCACTTGGGTTAGGTATCCACCCCTAATTCAATCAGCTGTGGCTAGATGGAGTTCCTGAGCCAAAAGGCTTCTCCCAGTGGGTTCTACTACAATGAACAATTGTTGTTTAAGACACACATGGATTCTTGATTGTCAATTCAGAAAGCAGACAGTGGGTTTTAAAATAACAAGGCATAGTTGAGTTCATTCAGTCACCTTGAGAGCACCCATTTTTTCTAGGAGACTGGATGTTCTCAAGGAGCAGCCTGTCCATCTTGCATCCCCCAGGTTCTCCGGATTCTCCATTTCCAAGCAGAAGAAGCAGGACTGGAGCACCCTTCCATATCATCAGCCTTCTCCTCGCACCAGACCTTACTCACCAGGGCCTGGGACTGTGGGTTGGACTTCTCCCTCTTTTGCTATCTTCAGCTCCTGATCTGGCTAGCATCTTCTGTGAACAGGGACAAGCCTTGCTTCTTCTGCTATCTTCCATGGAAGAAGCCAGCCCAGGGCTCAGGGAAGACTTAATGAGGCATACAGGGAAAAAAAAAAAAAAATATATATATATATATATATATATATATATGTGTATATATATATATATGTATATATATATATGTATATATATATATATAAAATAAAAATATTAAATGTGAGTTTTCCAACTTTGTTCTCCTTTTTAAAGATTGTTTTGGGTATTCGGATTCCCTTGTAATTTCACCTGAATTTGAGCATTAGTTTTCCTCTTTCTGAAACGAAGTCTGTAGAAATTTTTGATAGGAATTTTAATGAATCTTTAGATTGCTTTGGGTAGTATTGATATCTTAACAGTATCAAGTCATCTTATCCATGAACATGGGATGTCTTTCTACTTACTTGTGTCTTCCTTAATGTCTTTCAGCAATGTTTCATCAATTTTTGTATATAAGTATTTTGCTTCTTTGGTGAAATTTATTCCTAGTTATTTCATTATTTTGGAATTGTTTTCTTAATTTACCTTTTATATTCACTGTTCAGATTGCTGGTGTGTAGAAACACAACACAGTTTTATGTGTTGATCTTCTACCTACAACTGGAGTTTTAAGATTTTTATAGTATACAAATGTTCTTTTCTTATTTTTAAAAAATTTTTTGACATCCTAAGCCTTACAAAATTTCTTATAAACTTTACTCCACATATTCATATAGGTATCTCCTCACCCCATTATAGTTTTTGTTAATGTAGCCTCCAAAATGTTGAAAAAAGTTCTATGTTTAGTAAACGTCTGAAACCTATATATCTGAGAATATTTTTACTTAACCTGAACATTTAGATGTGTTGTCAAATATAAATAAATAATTTATTGTGTTTAAGTTGAAATGCTGTTAAAATCATTTTATTTATGCCATTGCAGAGAGAAACAAAATAGTCACCTGTCCATTAATATTATGAGATGCACTGGGCATTAATATTGAATAAAGAAAAGAACTACATATGAAGGAAAAAAACAACTAAGTCCATTTAAGTTTGTTTACATTTTCAGTGAGTAATGGAAAACAAAACAAATTGTTAAACCATAACTATTATGTTGCCATATTTTATGATTTCATGTGACTGGCATTGTCTTAGTCCATTTTGCTGCTATAAAAAGTATCTGAGATGAGGTAGTTTATAAATAACAGAAATTTATTTTTTCATAGTGCTGAAGGCTAGAAAGTCCAAGACTAAGGCAGTGGCAGGTTTGGTGTCTGGTGAGGGCTTCGTCACTGCTTCCAACATGGAACCTTGAATGCTGTATCTTTTCATGGCAGAAGAGGGGAAAGGTTAAAAGACCTATTTAGTTCCCTTCAGGCCTTTTAATCCCATCATAATGGCAAACCCATCATAATCATCTCCTAAAAGGCCCCACCTCTTAATATTGTTGCATTAGGGATTACATTTCCACATGAATTTTGAAGAAAATACAAACATTCAAACTATGGCAATCATAAAATGTGAAATTTGGCCAAATATTATGGATAGGAAATTGTAATTAAGACACATTAATAAAGGCTCTATAGCAAAACAACTAGATAAGAGAATCGTGATTTATTGAATGGAATGCCAAAAAATTCAATAATAATAGTACCTAAAATTTTTTGAGTATATATGGTAAGAACTATTCTAAGTATTTTAAATGCAAGACTTTATTTAAGTATAATATTTCTATGAGATAGATAGCACTATGATCAATGTTTTACACATTGGAGAAAGAAAAGATTCAGCACAATTTAAATCACACAATCATTAAAACTGAGAATAAGCTTCAACTCCAGCTGTCTGGCACCAGAGCTGAAGCTCTTAACTGTTATATATATTTCAAGCCTTGTCCAAATTTTGTTATTTAGCAAATAAATTATTTGTCTCCATGGATCCCAAATATTCTATTTCTTCACCATTTTTATACAAATAGACAAGACTATTCCCAATATGCTATTATAATAAAGTGTTTTATGCTTGAATTATTGACTCTATATAGTTATCCATTAATTAAGACTGTTCCTCTTCTTAAAGAGACATGCATATTTCTCATTCATGTTATCCCTTCTCAACAGGGGTCTTTATATTGCTCTGTTTTCATGAGGTTCACATGTACCCCCATACATCTGTACAACTATTATATGTCCATAATTAAATTTTAAAAAAAGAAAAATACAACAAACAAGATTACTGAATGAATTTTTTTAAAAAATAGAAGATTATTTCATCCAACAAAAAGATAGGGGAACTTTAGCAAAAAGAATGGTGGTGAAATTTAGTATATTTAACTACTTAATTTCAGGTAGAAAGCAAAAATCAAGGAAGGAAGACTGGCTTATGATTGTGACAAGGAAAGGTAATATTTTGTATAGAGTGATGACAGGAGATAATGAACTGCTGTATGTCTTGTGAGGAATTAGACGGAGAATAATCTGGCCAGGCACAGTGACTCACACTTGTAATCTTAACATTTTGGGAGGCCAAGGCAGGAGGATCACTAGAGGCCAGGAGTTCAAGAACAGCCTAAGCAACACAGTGAAACTTTGTCTCAAAAAAAAAAAAAAAAAAAAGGAAAAAGGAAAGAGAGTAGAGTAATCTGAAAGTTACGAGAGGGAAAGAAAAACACCCATCCCAGCTTTAGACCCACTTCTATGAGGGTGTGAGAGAGAAAACAGCTGCCACAGGATTTAATTGTAGAGTATTAAAATGAAAAGATTCATGGACATGAGTGATGAATGAACTGGGAGGGGCACCAAATTATATACTTATTTTTATTAATCCTTAGCTTAAGTCTAGTATTTCTTCTGTCTTGAATGTAAGTAACAAGCACATACCATACCAGCAGTATCTGTAATTTTTTCACTTCAGGAAGCCAAAAATTTTTGTCGTTACAGGTACCTCCTATTGTCATTTACTTTCACCACTAGTCTTTATCTGCCAGATATTTTTGTTATGTCAATTAAAAAGCACATAAATTCCTATATTATATTAACAATATATTTCATACTGCAAGAAAAAGGCATATATATATGGATTCCTTATACATTTCAAATATTTTTATTTCATGCACTTAAAAACATTATTCTGAAATTATAGCATGCACCAGACTGGCAAAGTAGTCCATTGAACAAAAAAGTTCCAGAACCTCGAGTTCAAATGAAGAAAATAAAGTGAACTGTTAGAGAAACAAATGAGAATATATGGCTTCTGCTAATGGTTTACTAGGGATCCCAATGGATATAGTGAAGAGTTTAGAATGGGGTAGGAGATAAAGTCAGCAACTATTCAAAATATAAGTTGTCAGAAAATAGGACAGTATCGCAGTATCCTGTTCTTGATTTATAAATCTGAAGAGTATAGTCATTTCTCTTGATCAGTAATAATCAGTGGCATAACTCAAGGACAAATGCCTGTAAAAGATGTAAGGTTCTAAAGAATGGTAAAAAGTATTTAAACAAAGGAAAGAAAATGAAATTTAAGAAATATCTGCCTAAGTAGGTTTGTGTTTGCTCACTTCTCATAGAAAGACATACAGGAAATGATGTCATAAGTTTCCCAGTATTTCATCTGTTTTCTAGTAGAGACAGAAATAATCAATAAACTAACATTCTAGATTAAAGTGTTTCTGCAATGAAAATAGATGTTAAAGTCTGTCAGCTAGGATCCCTCTTTAACTTCTCAATGCTAAGATAAAATCCAAAGGGCAAATAACACATAAACTCACACACACACACAATACACACAAAAAAAACATATTCAACGGTGTCAAATAAATTGAGATCATTTGGGTTTTATTTATAGCAAGGAAAGATAAAAGAGGGTGGCATTTTAGTAAGTATAGGCCCTTAGGTAACTCTGGTCATATCCTATAGCATATTTTCGTTTACATTTGAATATAGGCATAACTTTCTTAAATTGATCAGTATTCCACACGGCTAAGGAAAAGAAGTGAGGTAGTGGGAAAGACCATGATTCAGAAGGCAAGCTTGGATTCTATATCTGGATTTACCAGGAATTTTTAATATGTCAGTTATTAATCACCCTCCTACATGATATATTTTCATCTTCATCTTTTCTGGACATTACAAATTGATCCCAGAGTAGTTCCATTTCCAAATAATAACCTTGAACCTACTTTATTCCCCTCCACAAAATTTTATCTTTCAAAAAGTTTAATTAAAATAATGAAATATTGCATTCCCTGAGATGTGAACATGGTGCGACCTTGTCTGTCAGTTGCATGCAAATCAATTTCTTTACTCTAGTGAAGTCCTTCTCAGAATATTACCTGTTTTATGGCTTTGGTCATGACAAGCACAGTGTGTATTTTTGAGTTGTATAATCTGATATTTCTTCAGAAACAAAATTCACAGAGAAGCATGAAAGAAACCCCAAATTTCACTGAATAGAATAACAATAGCTATTTACTTTCTCATAAAAATCTGCAAGATTAATTTTTATCTCTTTATTTTGTCTAAAACCCTGAACATATGACACATTATCTCATTAAATACTTTGTATTGTTGTGTTTGTTTGATAAGCAATATTTAATATTGCCTTAAAATTTAATATTAGTTTCAAAATAATATTTCTGGGAACTGTGTATTGCTGTGTGCCTTTTTCTATTATTTCAAATATGTTCTACTATGCCCAATGACATGTTTCAATATGTCCCAATGAAACAGTGTGTTTCCAATGTGTGTATAATTAGCATACTAATATTTATAATACACCTGCTGCCAAAAAATAGAGCTAAGAAAATTCAGAGCATGTATTCTTATCACTCAGTTCAGACTGAAGAGTCTTGTATATCTATCACGCTTTTTAGTTCCAAAAATATCACTTTCTTGCTCTTTGTCCTCCTCACTGTTCAGGCTGATCTGTTTCCATTCTAAAGATAAGTGACCAGTATTTTGACTATTTTTTCTATGTATGGAAGCTACATTCAGGTACAAAGCAAGAACACTCTAAGAAACCCTAACATCTAAACCAGAATTTTCCGTGTCTCATTTGCTGACAACACTACAATGTCATGTTTATTTCCCTCATTGTATCTTCAGTTGAGAAGACAAACACTGCAGAGCTTTTTGAGGATATTGGGAATTACCTAATTAATGTATTTCTCAATGCCCTAGTGAATGGAGTGTCCTTTTGGCCCTCTTAAGTCATATAATGGGGAGAAGGTGAAGTTCGCATATGATAAATTCACCTTAATACTCCTATCTTCCTACACCTTTAGATTCTTTCCTCTACATTCCACCAGTTATGCCATTTAAGCCTCATTTAATGTTAATAATAATTTGTTTAAAGCTTTAGTCAACCAAGCAAGCAAACTGGCCACACAAGCTAACACAGTAAACCTAGAATCTGTAATAGCAATAACTATGTCAATATACTAACAAGGATGGATAGTCATCCAGCAAATTAAATTCTAGCCATATTTTCCAAGTAATTGATACCTTCTTGAAGTTCCTGGTCAACAGCTCAGATTGATAAATCCAAAATATACAGAGCTTAAAATAAGAAAGAGTGTGCAAATTTAAGAAATCAGATCCATTCCCATTTGCATCCTAGAGGCTTTCAGTCATCACTGCACCAAAGGAAATTACTGGCCCCAATCATTGAAGTCTTTAGGCAGCTCTAGCCCAGAGCAGGACTGGCTATCTTCTTCATCTGCATCACAGCTAACAAAAAGGAGAGATAAAGACAACTATATCATGGTCTAAGAGGCAGACAGATACATTGTTCTTCACTGGTCAGCTGAAAGTCAATTCATCATCAGTGATATTCAAAAATCACAAGTCTTTGCTGGCATGCCAAGTGCAATAGAGGCAATATATATTATTTTAATTGCTGGTGAATTGACCATAGGGATTTGGGGAAATGGATTCATTGTACTAGTTAACTGCATTGACTGGCTCAAAAGAAGAGATATTTCCTTGATTGACATCATCCTGATCAGCTTGGCCATCTCCAGAATCTGTCTGCTGTGTGTAATATCATTAGATGGCTTCTTTATGCTGCTCTTTCCAGGTACATATGGCAATAGCGTGCTAGTAAGCATTGTGAATGTTGTCTGGACATTTGCCAATAATTCAAGTCTCTGGTTTACTTCTTGCCTCAGTATCTTCTATTTACTCAAGATAGCCAATATATCGCACCCATTTTTCTTCTGGCTGAAGCTAAAGATCAACAAGGTCATGCTTGCGATTCTTCTGGGGTCCTTTCTTATCTCTTTAATTATTAGTGTTCCAAAGAATGATGATATGTGGTATCACCTTTTCAAAGTCAGTCATGAAGAAAACATTACTTGGAAATTCAAAGTGAGTAAAATTCCAGGTACTTTCAAACAGTTAACCCTGAACCTGGGGGTGATGGTTCCCTTTATCCTTTGCCTGATCTCATTTTTCTTGTTACTTTTCTCCCTAGTTAGACACACCAAGCAGATTCGACTGCATGCTACAGGGTTCAGAGACCCCAGTACAGAGGCCCACATGAGGGCCATAAAGGCAGTGATCATCTTTCTGCTCCTCCTCATCGTGTACTACCCAGTCTTTCTTGTTATGACCTCTAGCGCTCTGATTCCTCAGGGAAAATTAGTGTTGATGATTGGTGACATAGTAACTGTCATTTTCCCATCAAGCCATTCATTCATTCTAATTATGGGAAATAGCAAGTTGAGGGAAGCTTTTCTGAAGATGTTAAGATTTGTGAAGTGTTTCCTTAGAAGAAGAAAGCCTTTTGTTCCATAGAGACCCCTAAAGAGTATCCTGACTACAAGGATGAAAGAAATCAACAAAAGGCATTCTCCCTTCTCTTGTTTGCATTCATTTTCTCTTATATGCTATTGGAAGTCATTAATATCTGTCATGATTCTGAAGATTTGTTTTGTGTTCCTTCACACTTTTGTCTTGTTTAATGGATAATCTAATGTTATCATTGCACCGTATATTCTTTGTCGTTGCAGAAAAAAAAAATGCATCTAAATCCCACACTAACATTTCATCATTTTATGTCATTGACTAAATACAAAGAGGTTCTACTTCTTTTCTGACAAATACTGGCAAAGGCCTTGAACTCAATGAGTAGAAGAATGTCAGGCAAACAGGCTTTGGGGAAAAGATTTTAGAACTCATCAACCCTTGCTATAAAATCAATCATGCAAAACAACTCTCTACTTTGAAATGAAGGCCGGTCCTTATCTTCACCGCCCTTTCCTCTCCATTTCTGGAAGGGTTTGTCTTGATCAAGAAGGGAGAAAAACAATCTTTAATGAGATTCTATCTAAGATGATATATGATGTGGGAAAAGGAGTATAATCTCAAGAATGAAAGTTTGACAGAGAGAGGAGGCACAGTTATGTATAGCAGAACCACCTTGAGAAAGAAGGTTGAGGGTCCCAGTAGTCAGCGTGTTCATGAGTACTCTAGCTGGTGATGGCAATTTTAGAAGTCATTTCCCAAAGATTCCCTGGAATGTTCTCTCTAGCCTTCTAACTCAGAAATCTCTGACATATTTTTTTCCCTCTGCATCATTTTCTTTTCTATTTTGTTTCCAGCAGTAGTTTATAGATAACTAGGTTTCTTTAAGTTATTAAGTTTATGCTTTCCTGTTACACATTACACACATGTAAGAAATAGAAAAAATCCTGCATGTGTTGTATACATTGTAGAACTATTTAAATACAAGAAGCCCTAGGGTATTGTGATTTGTATTACCTACATTCAAATGTATTTTGGGCTAAGTTGTACTTTCCCTTACCCCAAAACAAATAAATCTAATTTAATAGTAGAATTAGTCCTATTCCTTGGAAATACTGGTATGTAAAAAAAAAAAATTATTATTATTATTTTGAGACAGAGTCTCACTGTATCGCCCAGGTTGGAGTGCAGTGGCACGATCTTGGCTCACTGCAACCTCTGCCTCCCGGTTCAAATGATCCCCCTGCCTCAGTCTCCCAAGTAGTTACTTTTTTATGTGTTTGCCCTATCTAGAAATATGACTATAATATGCACTGTGAGATTACAAATCTTATAAAAGGAGTTGATTGGAACTAGAATAATGTAAAATTTAAATTTTCTTAATTTTAGATTACAATGCTTATTATACAAGAGACAGTGATTCAGGAAATGAATTGTCTTCAAGGGTATTTGTCACATTAAAAAAAAACTAAAGATAACAAATCTTTACCTGGCATATTTCACTTCTGAGGAACAATTGAAAAGAAAGCAAATTCTTAGTAAATATTATCATGTGCCTGCCTAAAAAAAAGTCATTTCTAATTAGATTTGTATTATATCCTTCCCTAATTAGCCGTTTAAATGAAGACAAGAATTATTATCCTCTGACTAAATGTTAAATATCTACAATCTAATTGTACTAATTACTTCCAAAGTGAAAATTTCTTTGCATCTGGGAGAACTGATTTGTGGCTTATTTATAACTTACATGATGAAAATGAAGTTTTATTTACACAGTTGGGTTTTTATTAAACATTTATCTCTTTTTTTATGACTCCCTATTCAAAACTCAATTTGAAGATCCAAATATAGAGCTACAGCAAGAAGCCTGTTGCAAATTCATGATATAAAATCTCTTTGAATTTGCATGGGAGCAATTTCAGCCAAACATTTCAGGTATCACTCACTAAAGGATAATAATTATAATTTTTCCAGGCTATAAATAACTAGTCAAGCTGCTCATTAGTTGGTTTCATCTTCAGGAGTGTAGAGACAATCCTATTTCAGAGGAGAGCTGAACACTTCCGGAAGAATAACAACGTCGAAATAACAGCAGATGAAAACATTATTGCATGATTCGAAGAATTGATCTATCATGCTTTAACAGGTCACCTGTAAATTAGCTCATCTACAGTGATATTTGAAATCAGATTGTTCTCTCTACAAACATGTTCAGTCCTGCAGATAACATCTTTATAATCCTAATAACTGGAGAATTCATACTAGGAATATTGGGGAATGGATACATTGCACTAGTCAACTGGATTGACTGGATTAAGAAGAAAAAGATTTCCACAGTTGACTACATCCTTACCAATTTAGTTATCGCCAGAATTTGTTTGATCAGTGTAATGGTTGTAAATGGCATTGTAATAGTACTGAACCCAGATGTTTATACAAAAAATAAACAACAGATAGTCATTTTTACCTTCTGGACATTTGCCAACTACTTAAATATGTGGATTACCACCTGCCTTAATGTCTTCTATTTTCTGAAGATAGCCAGTTCCTCTCATCCACTTTTTCTCTGGCTGAAGTGGAAAATTGATATGGTGGTGCACTGGATCCTGCTGGGATGCTTTGCCATTTCCTTGTTGGTCAGCCTTATAGCAGCAATAGTACTGAGTTGTGATTATAGGTTTCATGCAATTGCCAAACATAAAAGAAACATTACTGAAATGTTCCATGTGAGTAAAATACCATACTTTGAACCCTTGACTCTCTTTAACCTGTTTGCAATTGTCCCATTTATTGTGTCACTGATATCATTTTTCCTTTTAGTAAGATCTTTATGGAGACATACCAAGCAAATAAAACTCTATGCTACCGGCAGTAGAGACCCCAGCACAGAAGTTCATGTGAGAGCCATTAAAACTATGACTTCATTTATCTTCTTTTTTTTCCTATACTATATTTCTTCTATTTTGATGACCTTTAGCTATCTTATGACAAAATACAAGTTAGCTGTGGAGTTTGGAGAGATTGCAGCAATTCTCTACCCCTTGGGTCACTCACTTATTTTAATTGTTTTAAATAATAAACTGAGGCAGACATTTGTCAGAATGCTGACATGTAGAAAAATTGCCTGCATGATATGAAATCTTAGCTGTATAAATGGAATTTAAAACCAAATCTTCTCTAACAAAAAATATAGTTTTCTTAATAGTCTATTCTCATTTTTCCCCAGTTATCTCATTTATTTTGGATGCATATCTTTAAATATTATTAGGACCTAGTAGCAAACTACTGAATACATCTTTTCTATCCCTTTACAACTCAGAAATGCTCATCTTTACACTCCCTTTCCTCGAAGAATTTCAGAGCTCATGCTTCTCTTCTTGTCTCCTCAACGCAAGTGTTAGGCCTGTATTGCCTAGTTAAAGTCTTTTTAGATTTTACTTTGGCTCATGGTAAAGTGGACCTGAGCTACAGTAACTGGTTTCTCATTTTTCTTTGTCATACATTTTTATTGCCGCTCCTTAATTGTGCTCCTTTCATGGCTCTGCTGAGTCACCCCCATTTGGCTTATTGATTAGGAACTCAGATGTTCTCTGGTCTGTCTTTGGTTTTCCCGAATGATGATTTCCATGGTCTCCTAGGTAATATTTTCTGGTTGACCTTATTCTGATGATTTCTATTGATTTTCCTTGGAATTAAATTTCCTCTCAAACAACTTGCTTTTCATGCAGCACCTAGGTGGGAATCGAACCCATTCAAGTGCCACCCACCAAGGGGTGTTCCTAAGCCCTCTTCACAATCTGGATAAAAGAATGGGGATAACAAATATTAGTCAGACTGCTCAATCAGGTTCTTTTCTCTAACCAGACCCTGCAAAGGTTTTCACTCAGGACTTAACAAAAGAAATAAATTGGGAAGAAAATAGCGTATACCATGGAATAAGCACATACTGTCCCTGGAAGAAGAAACGAATGTTTACAAAAAATACAGATAAATTTTTATTAAAAAAAAAAGGAAAATAAGTCACTAAAATTTTTAATTTTTCTGTGAACATGAAATCCATCCTCACTATAATATTATTGAAACGTTTGGTCTGGCATATCTCAGGTTGTGTATGTACTAATATGGCTGTACATTATTGCTTTTACTCCCATTACTTTCTGTTTAATTCTGATGTATTTCAATCTACTAATTTCCTTTTATTATAACTAAAATACTAATTACCGGAAAATTATCAGTTGTTTGTCTTATTATTATGTAAAACTCACTCTGTAAAGTACTAATATTTATAGCCCCAAGTATATAAATTTTATGAACTATATTTCTAATATGCTAGCTGTATATGTTACTCTTTGTTTTACAAGACACAAGAATTCATGTTCTCTTGATGAAATATATTAATGTATTCTACAAAATACAGGTAGATTTTATACTAGGATGAACTTTATATTTTTCCTAAGGTTTAAGTGAAATAAACGTTTTATTGAATTAGTACTTTTGGGAAGGTTTTACCCCATTAGGGTTAAGTTTTTTTCTTCCATATTTTGTTTCCTGCCTCTCTAATGTTTCAAGCATCTCTAGTGACCACAGTGACTGGGGTTCAAAGTAGTAAGCTTTTGACAAAATGCTCTCTCATAGAACTTTTTTTTTAACTATATATTCACATAACTTCACGCTATACAACATTGGTATTCATAAAATCTACATTTATTTCCAAAACTAAACAAAAACAAGTCTAAAAATTATTTGAGAAAATACATCATCATAGTTCCCATGAGCACTTCATTTACCAGGATAAACTGTAGGGTAAAAATGATGAGTCTAGGCCAGGCACAGTGGCTCACACCTGTAATCCCAGAACTTTGGGAGGCCAAGGCACACGGATCGCCTGAGGTCGGGAGTTCAAGACCAGCCTGACCAACATGGAGAAACCCGGAATCTACTAAAAATACAAAATTAGCCAGGCATGGTTGCACCTGCCTGTAATCCCAGCTACTTGGCAGGCTCAGGCAGGAGAATCACTTGAACCTGGGAGATGGAGGTTGCGGTGAGCCAAAATAGCACTCCAGCCTGAGCAACAAGAACGAAATTCCATCTCAAAAAAAAAACAAAAGAAATGATAAGTCTAGGTCAGGGATCATATCCAAGATCGTCCTATCATAGGTGATGTTCCAGTTGCCTGTGAACATGGCTACATAATCATACAGATTGTCCAAAAGTTAAGGCTACATCTCCGGAATGATGGTTTGTCCTTTAAGGAAGGATAAGAGAAGACATGCATTCCCAGGAAGGTGTGAATACCCAAGAACTATTCTATGGAACCCCATGTAGTAAAGCGCTTCTCAGTAACTCTAAATTAGAGAAGCTATTTCAAACTAAAAATTCATCTCTAGAGATGTGGAAAGTTTAATCTTCAGTCTCCTGCTAGAAGGGTTGAGGATCTAGATACTCATGCAATTTGTATGGAGGACAGTGGAGAGAATGAAATACAGAATTTTACTATCTCCTCTCTCATGCATACAACTACCCTTGAGAACATTTTTTAAATTTTTGAAATCTTTATGAAAGTATAATTGGTATAAAAAGAACCGCATATATTTAATGTATAAAATTTCAAACACCCATGATATCTTCACCACAAACAAGGTAATGGACATATCTAATACCTCTCAAAGTTTCCTTGAGAACATTTTAAGTGAAAATGAAAAATTTAAGGTAATCAATAGTCTTTTTTTATTACAGGTCCTCTACCTTATTATATATAACATTGCTAAATAACCATTAAAAGTCATTTAGTCAGTAAGACAATGTGTTGTATTAAGAGACACTATGCCATGTAATTGTTCATCTGAACAGCCAAAATAATGACCTAAAGTTTCTTTGGAATCAAATAACCTACATTTAGTGTTAACTTTTTAAAGTTCCTGAAAATATATAACTCTCACTATGGAACCAAACTTTGGATTCTTTACTAATTATCAATATTAACATTCAGCAAAATAAAAATTCTTCAAGAACTTTCCAATTTTACCAGTTTTATACTTGCTACCAAATTCTTGATGTTCAGGTTGCCAGAATGGAACACTCAATCTAATTTGAACTTCAGTACTTCCTGAAAGCACTGATCTTAAGTAATCAGGGACATACACTAAAAAATTATTGATTTTTTTACCTGTAATTCAAGTTTAACTGAGTGTCCTGAATTTTTAGTCGCTAAATCTAGCAACCCTATTGAGGTTACTAGCATACATCACAAATTAATGAATCCAAAATGCGTACACCTTAGCCTCAGAAAGACAATGCAGGACCATGAAAGGGAATTGGCCCAATTTGCATCTTAGTAAACAGTAGCTCAGCCTAAATTAACCGTATGTGGAAAATTACAACCTGCTGAGTAGGTAAATGGGCATACAGTGGCCAGGCCAAGGATCGCCAAACACATTGTTTGTCAAGACTAATTAGGATTTAATGAAGATAGCTCCAGTCTTCATTTATCATTCCAGTCTCCATCACAAAACAGACTACAACAAAGAGGTAAAGAAAACTACATCAAAATCTAAGAAGCAGGTGTGGATGTCAAACTCCATCAGGTCAACTAGAAACTAATTGCATATTTAAACATGGCAGATAAAGTGCAGACTACTTTATTGTTCTTAGCAGTTGGAGAGTTTTCAGTGGGGATCTTAGGGAATGCATTCATTGGATTGGTAAACTGCATGGACTGGGTCAAGAAGAGGAAAATTGCCTCCATTGATTTAATCCTCACAAGTCTGGCCATATCCAGAATTTGTCTATTGTGCGTAATACTATTAGATTGTTTTATATTGGTGCTATATCCAGATGTCTATGCCACTGGTAAAGAAATGAGAATCATTGACTTCTTCTGGACACTAACCAATCATTTAAGTATCTGGTTTGCAACCTGCCTCAGCATTTACTATTTCTTCAAGATAGGTAATTTCTTTCACCCACTTTTCCTCTGGATGAAGTGGAGAATTGACAGGGTGATTTCCTGGATTCTACTGGGGTGCGTGGTTCTCTCTGTGTTTATTAGCCTTCCAGCCACTGAGAATTTGAACGCTGATTTCAGGTTTTGTGTGAAGGCAAAGAGGAAAACAAACTTAACTTGGAGTTGCAGAGTAAATAAAACTCAACATGCTTCTACCAAGTTATTTCTCAACCTGGCAACGCTGCTCCCCTTTTGTGTGTGCCTAATGTCCTTTTTCCTCTTGATCCTCTCCCTGCGGAGACATATCAGGCGAATGCAGCTCAGTGCCACAGGGTGCAGAGACCCCAGCACAGAAGCCCATGTGAGAGCCCTGAAAGCTGTCATTTCCTTCCTTCTCCTCTTTATTGCCTACTATTTGTCCTTTCTCATTGCCACCTCCAGCTACTTTATGCCAGAGACGGAATTAGCTGTGATTTTTGGTGAGTCCATAGCTCTAATCTACCCCTCAAGTCATTCATTTATCCTAATACTGGGGAACAATAAATTAAGACATGCATCTCTAAAGGTGATTTGGAAAGTAATGTCTATTCTAAAAGGAAGAAAATTCCAACAACATAAACAAATCTGAAGAGAAACTATGCTTTTCTAGGACAAACAAAGATAAGATGTTTCTAAATTAACTTCAGTTCTTGCATTAATGTTTTATGTGATTAATTACTCCTAAAACTTAATTAGTGTATCTGTAATTGTAATGTAGGGAATCTTATGTACAGCTGGCTGGATCTCTTTATCTCTGTCTCTGTTTCTGACTCTGTCTGTGTATCCCTGTTTCTCTCTTCTGTAACTCTTCCTTTCTTTAGAGTTGCTGTTTTTTAAAACATGTTTCAGAGCAAATAGAAATTAATATCCTAATATCAACTATCAAGAGTAGAGGGCATTTTCATAGTTCTAAACCGTGTTTCCAGATGCAAAGTTGTGTGACTAATTCAAAACAACTGTAACAGCATCTTGCTGTTATTTGCATCTTTATGAAAAGCAACTAGTTCCTTCTCATAGTCCGCGTTAGATGGTTCCTCTTGGATCATCCAACAAAGCTCTACTTTTGGGAAAGACTCAATAAAGTGACAGTTCTTAATAAATGCTGTGGAATTCTATGAATAATCTTATAATCACAGAAAAGGTATATATTATGGCTAAATATATTGTCACAGTAAGTTCAAAGATTATTTGAGAATTGCAGATCAATGAATGAAGGACAATCTATAAGTAAAAGTGAGAAAAATTATGTAGAAAATGTCTATAAAATAAGAAGCCTAAATTGAACTATTAATTATTTATTGAAGAAAATTTCTCCACAAAAGACGTATGTCCACGGACTGCACCAGGCAATGATTATCAAGATGCTGTGACAAGACATTCAATCAAAAGCTAATACATGGTTATGCTAAAATGTCAAAACTCTCAAAGGATATATTGCCTCAATGTAGATCATCTCTACATCCCAGAGAAATATTGTTTGGATTGTATATAAGACATCTTTTTTTAAAGGGTTCAATGATTCTATTTCAGTAATTTGTTGAACAACAGAACATCTGTAAGAATATAGAATACATTAACAAACACTATCAAGCAACCTGATCTGATATTTATGAAAGATTCCATAAAAGGAAGAGACAACACATTCTCTTTTCAAGCATATATTGAATATTCTCCAGACAATGCCATATGTCAGGCCACAAAAGGAAATATGTATCTGGGACATACCATCAAAAGCACATCATTCATATTGTGGCAAAGATATTTTAGGGTGATCAACCCTGTACTAACCAGCCTAGAGTAGCCAGGAACTTTGTGTACAAAAAAGAAAATATTTGTAAATAAAGAGAGAAAAAAAGTTTTCATGGTTAAACATGATTATTTGTATTACAGTAAAAACTTGTAGAAATGTTTTATTAGAACAGTAACCCAGAGGTTCGTTGAATCCATTTAGAACAATTCTTAATAACTTAATTGAACTCAAAATAGCTCACATGGTAGTTAGGTCTTTTCATCTTCCTCTTGAAAGCCTCCTTCAAAGAAAGAAGAGAAAAAGAATGAAGTTTGAAATGACATCATAAACTCAGTAGAAGGGTCATTGACAAGTCAGAAACAGGGGAAAAAAATCATTAAGCATAAAAGTTTTCTTTGAACAACAAAATTGTTGGTTGACTCACTTACTCAATTCTGCCACTTCTTTGGTGGCATAATTCATTAGCTCTCTCATGTACTCTGGGCATGTATTATATCCTTCCTCCTACACAGAGTCTCTCCCCAGGCCATTAGAATGGACTTCAAATTTTTCATGTAAACTGTGTGTGACTAATGGTGGCTTTAAATTTCACTTACTCTGTGACAAATTAGTGTTTAAGCAGTTATCAGGACTTGAAAACTAAAGAATGAAGCATTTGTGTTTTAATTCAGAGTGGCAAAAGAAAGTGCAATGATACATTCACTGATTGACTACAATAATGTAGGCAAATTTTATGTATCTTTATGCTTCAAATTAGTTATATGTCAAGGGAGTTATTGCTCTTGCAAAAATGGGAGATTTGTGTTATTCAATCATTAGCCATTGGTTGTAGAAAGATTTAGAGAAAAGCATTTACAAATAAGTACTGTGTCTATATTCTGCTGATGTTCAAATGCTAATTACAACTCTGACACAAGAGATTCTAATGTGAAAATGAAGGAGATGGTCCATATTTAACATTATTGGGCCAAGTATGGTGGCTCATGCCTGTAGTCCCAGTACTTCAGGAGGACGAGGTGGGAGGATATCTTCAGCCCAGGAGTTCAAGACAAGCCTGGGCAACATGGTGAGACTCCATCTCTATAAAAAATTTTAAAATTAGCTGGGTGTGATGGTGTGTGCCTATAGTCCCAGCTACTTAGGAGGGTGAGGTAGGAGGATAGCTTGAGCCCAGGAGGTGGAGGCTGCAGTGAGCTGTGTTCATGCCACTGCACTCCAATCTGGGTGACAGAGGAGGCTTGTCTCAATCAATCAATGTTATTATTGAGAACCACTAAAACTTTCAGATTTTGTAATTCTCTTTTTCCCTTTGGGACTCCCTAAACTCAATTTTGAGAATGTTTGAGAATTTTGAGAATGTTTATTAAACAAAAAAGAAAACTATGGTAGCTTCTGAAGAACAAAGAAAAGAACACATCCCTGAATAAAGGTTTACCTTACTCTTGAAAGAACTCTTCAGCAACAGTACTTAGGATTTTAAGAGAAAAAAAAAAATGAAAAAGAAGACAAATTTAAAACATGATTTGATAAAACCCCAGCTGTGAATTTCTAGAAAGACACTTAGGTTTAGACACAAGAGATTTAAAAATGCCTAAGAGAGCTTTAGGGAAAAAAAATTATAAAGATTTGGATACAATAAACCAAAGTTTCCCAAAGTAGAACCCTAGTCCCAATCATTGACTCTGAATGAGGGGTGACCTGTATTTTAAAGGATTAAGGAATGGAATAGAAAGAATTTAATAGTGCCTGCTTAGCATCAAAATTTTGATTAAGTACAAATTTAATCAAAATTATCAATATTTTTAAATGTTCAAGAGTTTGATGTCAAGGAAATGCGATATCTAGATGAATTATAGAATTATAGAATTCTATTATAGATTATAGAAATGAAAAATATAGATTTTCCGTTCAATTTAGATGCCCTGATTCACACAAACAGAATCAACAACTGAAAATCCATATACATTAGAACGGCAAAATTACATCATGAAGACGTTGACTTAAGACTTAGGCCGAGATTTTCAGAGAAGTATCTGCAATCAGTGAAAAATAGAAATTAAGGTTTCCTCCTCTTTTATTGACCTACTCTCTGAAAATAAAGTGCTTAATTTCTGAAAGGGTCAATCTAACTCTAGTACTTTCCATGCATTTTAACCCCGTTATCCATTGTATTGTCCCCATTTCCTCCTCTTGCCATCA
This sequence comes from Homo sapiens, assembly GCF_000001405.40. Classification (NCBI taxonomy): domain Eukaryota; kingdom Metazoa; phylum Chordata; class Mammalia; order Primates; family Hominidae; genus Homo; species Homo sapiens. Next base: position 10,798,253 of record NC_000012.12, on the reverse strand, counting down.
TCTATGCTCTGAGCAGAGCTCAGGGTCACCAAAGCCTTTGAGAGCAGGACTAGCAGCACCTTGATGGAAGCCATGGTATCCATCTCCCTTGATGCTGTAAGAACCTCAGACACAGTCCTTTATGGGTTGAGGTTGGGGACTTCTTACCCATATCTAATTGTCCCTTTGCACATCATTCAGACTTGCTGAGTTGGTTTAAAGGGCTGGTCAAGCTCCTCAGAGGAAAACCATAAATTTAGTAAGGTTCCTGAAAACAATTGTTCATCCTCCTCAACTATTACTTATACGTATTAATAATTGTCTTTCATTAATTAACATTCCACTCAGAACTATGGTTCTCTTTTCTGTTACCATATTCAACATGGTTCAAGCTGTCCAAACATCAATTACTTCTGGTCCCTTTCCTATAGAATGAGCCAACAGAATCATCAGGAAATCAAAGGCTAAAATGACAGAAATGTAATCACAAGATGAAAGAACAATAAGGCCTTGAGAAAGATTAGCATAAGTTATGTAACATGGCTTGGATAAATGAAAGCAATTGCCAGTAAGAGACTAAAATCAACTTCAGACTCAGAAAACTATAGCTATTCAGAATGTGCTTGAGTTCATGATTTGAATGGACTGTGCAATCTTAACACTAAACATAATCAGAATAATCAGTGGGTTGGAAAACAATATCATTCAAGAATCACTGAGTGAATTAAGAGTGTTCAGCTTGGAAAGAGAAGAATGTGAGTAAGCATGATAGTTCTACCTAGTTACATAGAACAAACAGTAATCCTGTTTGTGTAGTTCTGGAAGATACAAAAAGAGCAATTGATTTTAAAAGGAGGATAATTTGTTGATAGTATAAAATAATTTGTATAATTATTTATCTTAAATAATTTTGAATTTTAAATTTATTTTTATCTTAAATAATTTTAATTACTTTAGAATAATATTAAAATAAATTTCTTAGAGTTATTAAAACTTGAAACGATTGATTGAGTTATCTGGGGATAATTAGTTTCTTATCCCTGAATGTGCTCAGGCACTAAGTGATCTATAACTAGCATGTTAAAAAAAAAATAAGTTGAGACTCATTGGAATAGAATCACTGTGTCCAACTATCTCTTTAAAATATAGGTAATGAAAGAAAGGATTCTTTTTCCTCTGGATGAAAATTTCGTATTTTGTTTTTACAATTTTGTGTTCCCTTCTTTACATCTTCAATCTTCACTAATTCTGCTACCTATAGCCAAAAAATTCTCAAGTTTCCGTTAGCCTAAAAAAAAGTCTTCCATAAACTTTCTAACTTTCCTAACCTATTGAGTTACCCATTGCTCTTACTAAAACAATTGCTCACTTTTAAAAGAGTGTCCTGAAATTACTCTCCCTGGAGGTCGCAGCTTGTCTCTGATCATCAAACTTAGTAATATTTTCTTAGACTTTTTGTCCTTAACCTCTTTAAAATTTTGTATATTACTATATATTTCTTCCCTCTTACAGTTTTTTTTCTTCTGACTTCTGTAACACTGAAATCTCTTGATTATTTTTACATCTTTTTTGTGTCTGCTTTACTGAATATTCATTTTTAAATTATTACCTACAAGATGGGGCAGGTACCACTGTCTACTTACCCCGTATTAATTTTTACCATTTTCTTTGCAGAAACCCAATACTGATCAGGGTGGCAACATTTCCTGTTTATAAATATTTATTTTCAGATTCTTTTGCTGCTGGGGGTGACAATGTGGTGTAATTCCAGAAAGCTAGATGTTGGTTGAAGTCTACTGGATGGTGCTCCTGAGAGCCACTTTACATTCGGGTGGGGAGTGGAGGAAGAGCAGATACCTGTGGCATAATATTTGACCATTTACCATTTTTATTTTTGTTTCTCACTGTCTGAAATGCAGACACACTATCTTAAATCTTAACGGCCATCTTGCAATATGGGACCACAAGATGATGGTGAATATCAACACGTTTTGTATGGTAGAAATGAAGATAGAAAGATCCCTAATTCCTGATAGCATAACTAAACTTCCATACCAGCCCTGGCTTGGGACATCTTGTTGCTTAGACAAAAATAATTGGTTAAGTTGCCAGTAGTTAGAAATGCAACAAAATGAATGCAATTTCCAGCTGACCCTTCAAGTTTCTAACTTTGACCTTATAGATATCAATCATTTTCATCATTTCAACTGTCACATCTACAGGAATCATTCTTGCAGTAGACTCCTTGTTGGGATGGAATGCAAAACTTTATGTGTGCTGCTTAGATGACTAGAGGTTAAGAAAACAAGAAGACTGGGAAGCACAACTCCTTATTTTCATGACTCCTTATTTTATAGGACTAGTCACTATTTTTTATTTTATTTATTTATTTATTTATTTATTGAGACAAGGTCTCACTCTGTTGCCCAGGAGGCTGGCGACTGAAGTGCAGCATTGTGTTCATGGCTCACTGTTGCTGTCCTTTCAAAATTCTTATGTTAAAATACTACCCCAATATGATGGTACTAGGAGGTGAAACCTTTGGTAAGTGATTAGATCACAAAGGTGGAGTCCTCCTGAATGGGATTAGTGCCATTAGGCCAGTACATACAAATTCAAATCATCAGCAGTAAATGGAGCATTCACGTCTGCCTGTGGAAATCAGAGAAAATTTCATAAAGAACATGGCATTTCCAAAGAAGTAATAAATTAACAGTTAAACATCAGGTAGATAGCTGAATGATGAGTGTATTTCAGGAAATGTGTAAAGGAACAAAAAGAGTGAAAGGACATATCATATTTGAGACCTTGAATATAGTTCAGTATTTCTGAATTACAGTGTCTTAAGTTAGAAAAGATTTGAAGTGAAAGGAGAAAAGACTGGATATGTAGGCAGGGACCAAATGATAAAACCAGATGACAAAAGTTGTGTGTGCCATGCAAAGGTGGTGGTATTAATTATACTTTATGGAATGGGAGATAATTAACATATATCACACAAAGAGTAAGCTCATTAGAGCGCCACATTTGAAAGATGACTTTTATGACTGTTGAGAACAAAGTAGACTACTGCAATTCCCCCAAGAAATACACAGTGATAATTCAAATGAAGAGAAATACTAAATGAGATATTCCAGAAGTAGAATAAAGATGACAGAATGAAAAGGCAAGTAAATAGAGTTTTCTGGGATTAATTTTATATTTTGGTTTATACAACTAGCAACATTAGAATTCACCAAGATGGGTAATCAAAAGAATAAAAAAGCAGATTTGGAGAAAAGCTTAAGGTTGCTGGATAACAGTCATGTGGAATTTTCTAGTGTCTCACATGCACCTGGAAAATAGGTGTTCAACCAACATTACAGGAATAAATATACTGCTGTGTAGCTCAGGATTCGGCTTGGGGTGAAATATTTACTTTTGAGTCACAAATGTATAGGTGCTTAAAGCCGTAGCAGTGAATGAAATAAACCCCAGTGTGTAAGTTAGACAAGAAAGGAAGAAGACAGTTAAAGACTCCCCTGAGAAAACCAAAGTTTAAGATACAGAAAAAATCAAGGAGCCCAGGGTGGGGATGCTATCAGAAAGTACTTAGTGACATCAACAGAAGAAGAAGTTAATTAAGATTAAGAATGAATAGCAGGCATTGTGAATGAGTAGCACAAAGTCTGCAGAAGAGAACATTATGATATAAAAGTAGAATTGGATCAAACAAGAAAGCTTTTATGGAAAGTACAACTAGAAAAGCACAACTGAAATCCACAGTAGAGGCAGAAAGAGGCAAAAAATATTCACCAGAAAATCAAATAGCATGTGTTGTGGACTATGTAAATATGTAGGACAGACAGTATGCAGTGGAATGTTGATTACAAGTCAACAATTCAAAGCCAGCCTGCTTGGGTTAAAATCGTGACTGTGTCACTTCCTAGTCACATAAACCTGGGAAAATTACTCAGTCTAATCTGGCCTCAGTTTCCTCGTGTATAAATTAGAAATGGTAATAGAGCTCACTTTTTGGGTTCTCATGAAGACAGCATCAAAATATGAAAAGGTCATTTAGTAAATGCTCAAAATTAATGCTAGTTATTATTATAATAAATATGTTTCTAGAATGCAGTGGGAAAGAACATAGCATAAAAATTGTAATGCAATAACAGAAAGGAACAGAGAATGGGCAGCCAACATACAGACAATTTGGCACAGAAGCAAAAATGAAAGATTAGTAGAAAAAAATTTTCCTAGCTGAGAAAGTCACATGAAGACTGAAAGAGCAAATCAATAAAAATAAAAGTCCAAACTAGTTACATCTCATGAAAAATTTAAAACTACAAATATAATTATTGTCATGTGCCACATAATGACATTTTTGTAAATGACAGATTGCATACACAACAGTGGTCCCATAAGATTATAATGAAACAGAAAATTCCTGTTGCCTAGTGACATTGCAGCCATCCTAACATCATAGGACAATGCATCACTCACCTGTTTGTGATGATGCTGGTGGAAGCAAGCCTACTGCATTATCAGTTGTATAAAACTATAGTGCACACAGTTTTTTATAACACATAATATTTGATAATAACAAACAACTGTTACTGGTATATGTATTTACTATACTTCTATGTATTTACTATACTTCTTATCAGTATCTTAAAGTATACTTCTACTTATAAAAAGAAAGTTAAGTGTAACTTCTGCTTATTTAAAAAAAAGAAATTCATTGTAAAAAGACCTCAGGCAGGTCTTTCAAGAGGTATTCCAGAAGAGCGCAGTTATCCTAGGAGATGGCAGTTCCATGCTTGTAATTGCCCCCAAAGACCTTGCAGTGGGACAAGATGTGGAGGTGGAAGACAGTGATATTTGTGACCCTGACACTGTGTAGACCTAGGCTAATGCGTGTGCTTGTGTCTTAGTTCTTAACAAAAAAGTTTAAAAAATAAAAAAAATTAAACAATAAAAATTTTTATAAAAGAAAAACTTATAGAGTAAGGATATCAAGAAAGAAAATATTTTTGGACAGCTGTACAATGTGTTTGTGTTTTAGCCTAAGTGTTACTACAAAAGAGTCAAAAAGTTTAAAAAATGATCAATAAAAAAATTCATAGTAGGCTAAGGTCGATTGATTACTGAGAAAAGATAATTTTTTAAATAAGCTTAATGTAACCTAAGCATACAGTGTCTATAAAGTCTACTGTAATGTACGGTAATATCCTAGGCCTTCACATTCACTCACCACTCACACATTGACTCACCCAGAGCAACTTCCAGTCCTGCAAGCTTCATTCATGGTAAGTTCTTGATGGTAAGTTCTCCATTCATGGAAAGGCCGTGTCCCCACCCAAATCTCACCTTGAATTGTAATAATCCCCATGTGTCAAGGGCAGGTCCAGGTAGAGGTAATTGAATCGTGGGGGTGGTTACCTTCATGTTGTTCTTGTAATAGTGAGTGAGTTCGCACGAGATCTGATGGTTTTATAAAGGACTTTGCCCCCTTTTGCTCAACACTTCTCTTGCCCGCCACCATGTAAGATGTGCCTTTGTTCTTCCTTCACCTTCCATCATAACTGTGAGGCCTCTTCAGCCACCTGAAACTGTGAGTCCATTAAACTTCTTTTTCCTTATAAATTACCCAGTCACAGGCATGTCTATTAGCAACGTGAGAACAGACTAATATAATAAATTGGTACCAGGTCGTGGGGCACTGCTGTAAAGATACCGAAAATGTGGAAGCAACTTTGGAAATGGGTAACAGGCAGAGGTTGGAACAGTTTGGAGGGCTCAGAAGAAGACAGGAAAATGTGACAAAGTTTGGAACTTCCTAGAGGTTTGGAGTACTCAGAAGACAAAAAGATGTGGGAGAGTTTGGAACTTCCTAGAGACTGGTTGAATGGCTTTGACCAAAATGCTGATAGCGATATGAACAATAAGGTCCGGGTTGAGGTGGTCTCAGATGAAGATGAGGAACTTTTGGGAACTGAAGTAAAGGTCACTCTTGCTATGCGAAGAGACTGGTGGCATTTTGCCTCTGCAATAGAGTTCTGTGGAACTTTGAGAGAGATGATTAAGGGTATCTGGAAGAAGAAATTTTTAAGTGGCAAAATGGTTCAAGAGGAAGCAGAAAATAAAAGTTTGGGAAATTTGTAGCCTGACAATGCAGTAAAAAAGAAAAACCCATTTTCTGGGAAGAAATTCAAGCCTGCTACAGAAATTTGCGTAAGTAATGAGAAGCCCAATGTTAATCACCAAGACAATGGGGAAAACGTCTTCGGGGCATGTCAGAGACCTTTGCAGCAGCCCCTCCCATCTCAGGCCCAGAGGCCTAGGAGGAAAAAAATGGTTTCAGGGGCTGGCCCCAGGGCCGCCCTGTTGTGTGCAGCCTAGGGACTTAGTGCCCTGCATCCCAGCTGCTCCAGCCATGGCTAAAAGGGGCCAAGGTACAGCTCAGGTCATGGCTTCAGGGGGTACAAGCCCCAAGTTTTGGCAGCTTCCATGTGGTGTTGAGTCTGCAGGTGCACAGAAGTCAATAATTGAGGTTTGGGAACCTCCACCTAGATTTCAGAGAATGTGTGGAAATGCGTGGATGTCCAGGCAGAGGTGTGCTGCAGGGGCTGGGCCCTCATGGAGAACTTCTGCTAAGGCAGTGTGGAAGGGAAATGTGGGGTTGGAGACCTCACACAGAGTCCCCACTTGGGCACTGCCTAGTGGAGCTGTGAGAAGAGGGTCACCATCCTCTACACCCCAAAATGGTAGATCCACCAACAACTTGCACCATGTACCTGGAAAAACTGCAGACACTCAACACCAGCCTGTGAAAGCAGTCAAGAGGGAGGTTGTACCTTGCAAACCCACAGAGGCGGAGCTGCCCAGGGCTGTGGCAGCCCACCTTTTGCATCAGCATAACCTAGATGTGAGACATGGAATCAAAAGAGATCATTTTGGAGCTTTAAGATTTGACTGCCCCATTGGATTTTGGACCTGCATGGGGCCTGTAGCCCCATGCTGTGGGCAATTTCTCCCATTTGGAATGGGTGTATTTACCCAATGCCTGTACTGCCACTGTATCTGGAAAGTAACTAAATTGCTTTTAATTTTACAGGTTCCTAGGTGGAAGAGACTTGCCTTGTCTCAGATGAGACTTTAAACTGTTGACTTTTGAGTGAATGCTGAAATGACTTAAGACTTTGGGGGACTGCTGGGAAGGTATGATTGGTTTTGAAATGTGAGGACATGAGATTTGGGAGGGGGCGGGATGATATGGTTTGGCTGTGTCCCCACCCACATCTTACTTCGAATTGTAATAATCCCCATGTGTTAAGGGCAGGCTCAGGTGGAGGTAATTGAATCACTGGGGCAGTTACCCTTATGCTGCTCTCGTGATAATGAGCGAGTTCTCACAAGATCCGATAGTTTTATATGAAGCTTTTCCCCCTTTTGCTCGGCACTTCTCTTGCCTGCCGTCATGTAAGAGACGTCTCTGCTCCTCCTTTACCTTCCACCTTGATTGTGAGGCCTCCCTAGCCATGTGAAACTGTGAGTCTATTGAATCTCTTTTTCTTTATAAATTACCCAGTCTCAGGTATGTCTTTATTAGCAATGTGAGAGCACACTAATACAGTTCTCTATATAGGTGTATTGTTTTTTAATCTTTTATACTATATTTTTACTATACCTTTTCTATGCTTAGTATGCACAAATACAACTCTGTTACAAGTGCCTACAGTTTTCAGTGCAGTGACATGCTGTACAAGTTTGTAGTCTAGGAGCAATAGGCTGCACCATATAGCCTAGGTGTGTAGTAGGCTATGCCACCTAGGTTTTTGTGAGTACACTAAATCATGTTCACACAATGATAAAATCACCTAACAACACATTTTTCAGGTGTATTGCCATCATTAAACAATGCATGACTGTATTTTATTTTATAGAAGTATCCAGGTAGTAGAGAGAGGTGGGTACAGTTATTCACAAGGAAATAAAATTCAGGCTTGCCTAATAAACATAAAAAACAATAATATATGACACATAAAGTTAAGGAATTGTACACTAAAGCTAGGAGATGCCATTTTCTAAATGTGAAATCAGCAGGGGTGACGTATTTGGTGAAAAGTATCAATTAATACAAACAACTTGGAAAAAGATTTGGCAGTAGGTACTAAAGCCAAACATGCCCATATTCTATGACCTAGCAATTTTTGTTCCAGAAATAGACACAACAGTAATGTAAGATATGTGCACTAAAAAATGTGTATGATTATTAACAGTATGATTTGAAATAGCCCAAATTAGAAATAACTCATATGCCTGTCAGCAGGAAAATAGATGAGTAAATTGTAGTATAGTCATGGAATGGAATATTATATAGCAATGAAAATAACACTACTCCTACCATACTCATAGAAAATGCTGAGTGAAAGAAACTGAACTGGGAAGAGTAAATATTATATTGTTACACTTTACATAAAGTTTGAAACAGTAAAACTAATCAACATGAAAGATATGTGTACAGGCAGTGGAGAGTAGTATCTGAGAAACAGTACAAGGGATTCCTTTGGAGTGTTATAATATAATGTAAAATATTCGTGTATGACTTAGTGAGCTGGACTGCATTACATAGATGTGTTTGCTGTATAAATATCTGTAAATCTGCATAGTTATAATTTGTACATTTTTCTAGAGGTATATTACATTTTAACAATATTTACTTAAAAATTATTAATTACATGATATACATTTGTGTACACTATATAATTTGTTTAAAACTTTGTTAGTAAGAATATAGGAAGCAGCCATTCTCTTATACCTTTGGGGAGTTCAAATTGATGCAATTTTTGGAAGACCAGTTGTACAAACTATCAACATGTAAAGTGTGCCTGGTGTTTTATCCAGAAATCTCAGTCTTAGAATTTATCCTGCAACTATTATTGCATAATAGGTAAATAAATGAATAAGAAATTTTATTGCAGCACTGCTTATAATAGCAAAATACTGGTAACAATATAAATGTTCATCAAATTTGTTAAATAACTTATAGATCACCAATACAAAAAATATATAATTCAGTTATTAAAAAGAATTCAGGAGATATAAATGTGTGGCATGCATATGGAATTATATCCTAACTATATTATTAAATAAAAACAAAGATTAGCATGATCCCATTTCTACATAAAAGGAATATGTATACACATATATATAATGATTTTTTCACTCAGCATTTTGTTGAATGTAGCAGTAGTGTGTTCATTTTCATTTTTATTAATAGCAGTGACCATTTTTCTTTCATTTTCATTAATATAAATTGGTGTAAAACTAAGTGCAGTTTTGCCATCACTTACTTTTGCACCAACCTAATATATGCATATATATATGAGACAGATTTGTGTTCAGAAAATATTTCAAATTACAGACAAAAATGTTATTAGTGATGTATTTCTGGAAATGAAATTGTGGTGGAAGTCAGTAAGACTTTTTCTGTTTATGCTCCTATGTTGTTTAAACATTAATGATAAGTTTTAACATTTTTAAAATACTGTTAAAAATGAAGACCCTAGCCAGCAAGCTGTAGTCTAATAAAATGAAAAAGAACTACCCTGCAATTTGCCTTAAGTCTTAACTTCCCACTTCCTGATTTGCTTCTGCCAGGTTCAGATCTTGGCCTTTAAGCATCACTTGAAGTCTAGTTTTTGCTCCAGTAAACACTTGACACCTTCCTTTCTATCATCCAATAATTAAATTGTTTTAGCCTTTAATTCCACATGGCTCTATGAGGCTTTGACCTTTACCTGCTTTCACTGATAATTGACCTTCATTTTACTCCCTAAAGCCTTCTTCCAAATGTAACTTTTACCTTCACCCCCTGCTCTTTAGAATTAATGAGTCATGATCTTGATTTTAATATTCATATGCCCAAACTTGAGACTGACAATATATGCCCAAAGTATTGTGTAAGCCCTTTTAGCCATCTTATTATTTAATCTAATCCTGACAACCTTGCAAAATAGGTACTATTATCATTCCAATGTTGTAAGAAATAAATTGAGGTATAGATTATATTTATCTCTATTACAAAGCAGCAGTAATCAAAACATTATGGTGCTGGCATAATAACAAGCATATAGACTAATGGGACAGAATAGAATCCAGAAAGAAATTCATGCATTTATATTCAACTAATCTTTGACAAGGATTTCAAGAACACACAATGGGGAAAAGGATAGTCTCTTCAATAAATGCTGTTGGGAGAACTGGATATCCACATGTGGAAGAATGAAAGTAAACACTTATCTCACACCATCTATAAAAATGCACTCAAAATGAACTAAAGGTGAGATCAGAAACTGTAACCCTACTTTTAAAAAAAACATAGAGGCTGGGCGCGGTGGCTCATGCCTATAATCCCAGCACTTTGGAAGGCCGAGGTAAGTGGATCACAGGGTCAGGAGTTGAAGACCAGCCTGGCCAACATGGTGAAACTTGGTCTCTACTAAAAATACAAAAATTAGCCTAGTGTGGTGGCACACACCTGTAGTCCCAGTTACTCGGGAGGCTGAGGCAGAAGAATTGCATGAACCCAAGAGATAGAGGTTGCAGTGAGCTGAGATCGCACCACTGCACTCTAGCCTGGGTGACAGAGCAAGACTCTGTCTCAAAAAAAAAAACAAAAAAAAAAAAACATAGAACAAAACTTCTTGACATTGGTCTGGGCAATGATTTTTTGGATATGATCCCAAAAACACAGATGACAAAAGCAAAAATAAGGAAGTGAGCCTACATCAAAATAAAGACTTCTGCACAGCAAAGGAAAATAATCAACAAAGTGAAGGAAACAGCCTGCAGAAAGGGATAAAATATTTGCAAACCATGTATCTGATTAAGAATTAATATCCCAAATACATAAGGAACTCAAACAACTACCTAGCAAAAAACAACCCAATAACCCGATTAAACAATGGGCAAAGGACCTGAATAGACATTTCTAAAAATACAACATACAAATGGCCAACAGGTCAATGAAAAGGTGCTCAACATCACAAAGCATTAGGGGAATGCATATCAAAACTGCAGTGAGATATCACCTTATAACTATCAGAATGACTATTACCAAAAGACAAAATAAAAGTTTGAGCAAGGATGTGGAGAAAAGGGAACCCCTGTACACTGTTGGTGGAATTGTCAATTAGTACAGCCATTATGGAAAACCATATGGATGTTCTTCAAAGATTTTTGAAAAAGAAGTACCATATAATCCACCAATCCCATTTTTGAGTGCACATGCAAAGGAAATCAAATCAGTATGTTAAAGATATATCTGTAGTGTCATGTTAATTGCTGTTCTAGTCATAATAGCCAAGATATGGAAACAACCTAAGTGTCCATGGATGAATGATTTTTTCAAAAACGGTAAACACATACACACACACACACACACACACACACACACACACACACAGGAATAGTATTCAGCTTATAAAAAGAAGAAAATTCTACCTTTTGCAACAGCATAGATGAACCTGGAGGACATAAGCCAGACACAAAAAGACAACTACTGCATGATCTCACTTAAATGTGGAATCTAAGAGTCAAACTAAAAAATCAGAGAGTAGAATGGTAGAAGAAATGAAGAGATATTGGTCAAAGGGACAAAGTTTCAGTTATGTGGATGAACAAGTTCTAGAGATCTAACATACATTGTGGTGACTATAGTTAATAATACTGTTTTGTATACGTGAAATTTGCTAATAGAGTAGAATTGTCTTATCACAAAACAAACAAACAAAAGGTAACTATGTGAGATGATAGATATATTAATTAGCTTCATTGTGGCAATCATTTCACAATATATATGTATATCAAAACATTAAGTTGTATATGTTAAATATACATAATTTTTATTTATCAGTAATACCTCAATAAAGCTGGGGAAAAAAAGCTGGAATATTTGGATTCATCAAAAGACATCATAAACACACACACAAAAAAAGATACAAAATGGGAGCACTTTTTTTTTTTTTTTGAAACGAAGTTTTGCTCTTTTATCCACCTGGTAGAGCCAGAATTATGGTGGAGAAAGAGAAGCACTTGCCCTGGGTACAGAATTTCAGGGGGTGTCAAAAAACTCAGTAATCAACAACAATGCTCTGTATTTGTTTATTATTTTTATCAATAATTTTAATGCAACATTTAACAATCAAAATTAACACAGAAAAATTCATAATTAGCAAAATGTTGAAATTTTAAATAAATACCAGTGCCATACTATATTAGATACTACAAATATTTTCATACTATCTATATTGAAACTAGAGGCAAAAGGGAAAATATATTCTCCTATATACATGTTTTTATATATTTTTAATGACTTTTTTTGTAGAACATTAAAGTAATGGGAAAATATGCTGAAAAATTGAAAAGTAGGTATATTGAAACTTACAAAATTATTTTTAAGTTTAAATTTTTTTTAACATCACAAAAACATAATTTGTTATAATTTTAATTTCCTGGCTTTCATGGAAGCAAATACATCATAATATTTTTAAGATGTCTTTCTCTGATTGTCTTGTTTTCAGTTAAGAGAATTGCCATGTTTGGATTCCTCAAGGATCCAGAACTAGAAATACCATTTGACCCAGTGATCCCATTACTGGGTATATACCCAAAGGATTATAAATCATGCTACTATAAAGACACACGTATGTTTATTGCAGCACTATTCACAATAGCAAAGACTTGGAACCAACCCAAATGTCCATCAATGATTGACTGGATTAAGAAAATGTGGCACATAGGCCGGGCGCGGTGGCTCACGCCTGTAATCCCAGCACTTTGGGAGGCCGAGGCGGGCGGATCACGAGGTCAGGAGATCGAGACCATCCCGGCTAAAACGGTGAAACCCCGTCTCTACTAAAAATACAAAAAATTAGCCGGGCGTAGTGGCGGGCGCCTGTAGTCCCAGCTACTTGGGAGGCTGAGGCAGGAGAGTGGCGTGAACCCGGGAGGCGGAGCTTGCAGTGAGCCGAGATCGCGCCACTGCACGCCTGCCTGGGCGACAGAGGGAGACTCCGTCTCAAAAAAAAAAAAAAAAGAAAAAGAAAATGTGGGCACATATACACCATGGAATACGATGCACGCATAAAAAAGGATGAGTTCGTGTCCTTTGTAGCAACATGGATGAAGCTGGAAACCATTATTCTGAGCAAACTATCGCAAGGACAGAAAACCGAACACTGCATGTTCTCATTCATAGGTGGGAATTGAACAATGAGAAGACTTGGACACAGAGTGAGGAACATCACACACTAGGGCCTGTTGTAGGGTGGGGGGAGTGGGGAGGGATAGCATTAGGAGAAATACCTAACGTAAATGTTGAGTTAATGAGTGCAGCAAACCAACACGGCACATGTATACATATGTAACAAACCTGCATGTTGTGCACATGTACCCTAGAACTTAAATTTAAAAGAAAATGATCACAGAATGCTATTCTAAAATATGTACATGAAGTATAAAACAGACTAGTTCCTTTTTGCTAATACTTCTATGAGCATCTCAGAATGACTCCATGAAACTCTTGGTTTAATTTTCAGCTGGGTAGAGAATTGTTAAATAAACTCTTAAAGCATCGAAAAAAAAAAAAAAAGAAAATCGCCATGTTTGATGATTTCACTTGACCAAATGATTAAATAATTTTTAGTTAACTTCAGTTTATTGAAACTTGTTTTACAAGTTGTCACTGGGACACAAGCTGAAAGCTGCCCTTTCTCTTATGGGTTTGTTTATTTATTTATTTTTATTTTTATTTTACGTGAGGGGCAGTGGGTGAGGTGCGGGGTGGGTGTGAAAGAGTGATTCCCCTTCCCCAACCCTGCAGCCTCTGATGGCAACTCCCTTGACATGGACAGCACCCTGCCTTCAGCTGACAATTTCTGATCATTCCCACTCCTTTCCCAGATTCTGCCCCAGCCTCTCTCTGCTGAGTTGCTTCTCCATTTCAGAAAATCTCCTGGGGAAGTTTAGTCTGTCTTTGCTAGGTAGCCCACAGCTGCTCCATAGAAAACATGCACCTTTCATCTACTGCGGCTAGGCATGCGGTTTCTTCTCAAATGCTGCCTTCTACTTTGCTGCTGCAAAAGGGTTGTTCAGCCAACCACTCGAGGATATTTCCCTCAGGGGTAATTTCGACAATGATTAACATCCCCAAATTCCAGAGAGCCATATTAAGCTCTTGAGCCCCTCTTACTAAACTGTCAGTGAGAAGGAAGCATTTTCTTCAACTCATCTCCATGGGGAGAGAGGAAAACTGTCACAGTATTCTCACCACTTTTTCCCCAAAGAACTTCTCTCTCTCATCTCCAGTATGCTCCGTATATATTACCTGAAAGTAGGTATGGCACATTAGTTTTAAATAGGTTTTCAGCCACATGGTTTGCAAGTCCTGCTCAGGACATCTAGTACTTTGTTTGAAAGGTAAGCAGAGTTAGTTTTAACCATCTAAGGGAGTTCATAAAACCGAGAGTGTCATTTTAATATTATTACATAAGTATGCTTGTACTTTACCTCTATAGAAACATGGCAAAGAGAATCACCTAAGAGGACCCACATTTCCTCATAGACACTACACAACTTGGAATGCCAAACTAAAGCCTGTATCCATCCTTCTACCATAAATTCTCGAGCATTTTAGGAGTTAAAATTTCAACAAGCATCACCTGTTGTCTTTCTGAAAATTCTCTGGGCATTACCATAGACTAAATTATTTAGACTTTAGGAAACGTACTTCAGTAGGAAGAGAAGGTTGCATCCCATGACGCAATCAAACCCAGACATAAGCAACATGATATCCTGGGATTTACTAGAGGTTTAGAAGATCAAAGAAGCCAAACTATTATAAAATTGATGGCAAGGGAATCAGGTTAGAAATTGGCCTATGGGAATTGTAACGACCTGCATTGACGTGACATAGATATTAGAACTAAGAACTGAAACCACCTGCATTAATATGACCTGTTTATTCTGAGAAAACTTAGTCTGGGAAAAATAAGCCTGTAATACTAATAAATCACTTCACTTTGTGCTTCAGGAAATTCTTGAAAATCAACTTTTCTTAGGCAACAGTCTGTTCACCTGGACAAATAGCTTATTTAAAAACATTCATGGGCCAAGTGCAGTTGCTCATGCCTGTAATCCCAGCACTTTGGGTGGCTGAAGCAGGATAAGGAATGGTTGAGGCCAGAAGTTCAAGACTAGCCTGGGCAACATAACAAAACCTCAAATTCTCATCTTTTAAAAAAAAATAAGAAATAAAATAGCCAGGCATGGTGGCACATGCCTGTAGTCCTAGCTACCTAGCCCTCAGGAGGCTGAGGTGGGAGGATAACTTGAGCCCAGGAGTTCAAGGCTGCAGTGAGCTATGATCATGCCACTGCACTCCATCAGTCTGGGTGACAGAATGAGACCTTGTCTCAAAAACCAACAAACAAACAAACAAGATTGGCTTCAGGACCCTCACTTTGATACGTCCACCAGTTCTAAATTATTATGCCATGAAATTTGCCCAAGTCCAATCACTTCTCTATCCTGAAATACCTTTCTTAAATCATTTGAGCCCATCTTTTAATACGTCCCACCCTGAATTCTTTCTTCTGAGATACTGCTAGAACTCTCTTAAGATGAAAAGATTCTCTCATTTTGGAAAGGTCAGTAGACAGAAACTTTCAGTGATTCTTTGTCGAAAGTTTAATTTCCTCTATGCTTTCTCCTTAGGACCCGGACAAAATTACTTTTAGTGCAAAGTTTAAATATTTTCCAATTCTACATTGTAATTTCTTCCATTTAGTCTAAACTTTTCCTTTTTAAAAATGTATACATCAGGAAAGAGAATAAAGGGAAAGATTGTTTTGACTTTTTTATTATTATACTTTAAGTTTTAGGGTACATGTGCACAACGTTACATATGTATACATGTGCCATGTTGGTGTGCTGCACCCAGTAACTCGTCATTTAACATTAGGTAAATCTCCAAATGCTATCCCTCCCCACTCCCCCCACCCCACAACAGGCCCCGGTATGTGATGTTCCCCTTCCTGTGTCCATGTGTTCTCATTGTTCAATTCCCACCTATGAGTGAGAACATGTGGTGTTTGGTTTTTTGTCCTTGCGATAGTTTGCTGAGAATGATGGTTTCCAGCTTCATCAATGTCCCTACAAAGGACATGAACTCATCATTTTTTATGGCTGCATAGTATTCCATGGTGTATATGTGCCACATTTTCTTAATCCAGTCTATCATTGTTGGACATTTGGGTTAGTTCCAAGTCTTTGCTATTGTGAATAGTGCCGCAATAAACATACATGTGCATGTGTCTTTATAGCAGCATGACTTATAATCCTTTGGGTATATACCCAGTAATGGGATCACTAGGTCAAATGGTATTTCTAGTTCTAGACCCCTGAGGAATCACCACATTGATTTCCACAATGGTTGAACTAGTTTACAGTCCCACCAACAGTGTAAGAGTGTTCCTATTTCTCCACATCCTCTCCAGCACCTGTTGTTTCCTGACTTTTTAATGATCACCATTCTAACTGGTGTGAGATGGTATCTCATTGTGGTTTTGGTTTGCACTTCTCTGATGGCCAGTGATGATGAGCATGTTTTCATGTGTCTTTTAGCTGCATAAATGTCTTCTTTTGAGAAGTGTCTGTTCATATCCTTTGCCCACTTTTTGGTGGGGTTTTTTTTCTTATAAATTTATTGGAGTTCATTGTAGATTCTAGATATTAACCCTTTGTCAGATGAGTAGATTGCAAAAATTTTCTCCCATTCTGTAGGTTGCCTGTTCACTCTGAAGGTGGTTTCTTTTGCTGTGCAGAATCTCTTTAGTTTAATTCGATCCCATTTGTCAATTTTGGCTTTTGTTGCCATTCTGTTTCTTCCCCTAAAATAACATTAAAGAAGGAGGTAAGAGTCAAAACAATCGCTTTTGGTAGGCAAGGACTTCATGTCTAAAACACCAAAAGCGATTGTTTTGACTCTTACCTCCTTCTTTAATGTTATTTTAGGGGAAGAAACAGTAATAATTTGAGAGTATTATATTCAGGGCATCCTGGTGTTATCCAACAGCAAAGTGAGCAGTGGTTTACTATGGAATTGAAAGATATGGGACAAATATACATTGCTAAGAGCAACAATTAAGACAACAACCAAGATCAAAATTTCTACTCACCACTGTATCCAAGAGAAAGCTGTTGTTGAAAGATTTGCAGAGGTGTGGGTGGTCAGCCTAAGTTTGGATAACATTAAAGAGCTTCCTTATGATTTCTTTCCTTCTGCTAATAAGCTTTTTCCTTAGCTCTGCCTTCTAGTGCTACATATTTCTCAGACTACTCTTTTCCAGGTGGGCATTCTTTTCTCTTTTTTGGTCATCCACTGGTTCAAACTCAGTTGTTTTCTTACTGGTACTATAACTTGTCCTAAATTTACTGTAAATTTATATTTACAGTAGTGGCTAGAGTCAACCCTATTAAAAATTTATTTTGTCTCAAAATGGCTCATAGGACCATGCCTTCAGCACTTTTCTGGGAACAAGCACTGTTTCCACTTCTCTTGTTTCTTGTTATTTGTTTTTGCTCACCACACCTCAGCTTGGAGTGTAGAAGTCTAAAAGAAGGCACTTAAAAATAGTTTCATGAGCAAATATTTAAAGTGATAGATAGCTCAATTACAATGATTTGATCTTAGAAAATTATTTGAATGTATTTGATTATCATATATACTTTTAAAATATGTACATTGGTCATGTATCAATAAAAAAATTAATAAAAGTCTCACAAAATCCCCTACAAACATTATTACAACTGAAATATTTAAAGTTTATTTTTTCTTTTCTGTTAATGGCATTCATCCTACAGTCAATGCGTATTTTAAGGAAGCTAGCTGTTTTTCATTATTAAAATTACGTGACATTAAAGTGATGTTGTATCTTACAATAAATGAAATCATAGAATTGAGGAAGAACATATGTACACACCACTGCCATTCTCCCTGATGCGATAAGCAAAAACACTTGCTTCCACTAGTTTATTGGATTTAAGAATGATCACCTTGCTAACTGTATCAGAATTAGGATTAAAGTAATGTAACCTCAAAAATGTAAATTTTATTCCATTTATTCTACGAATAAAATTTTTTTTTGTTTTTGCTAAATGAGAAAAAATGCATTTGCCTTAGAGAAACAAGCTTGGAGAAACAGAAGAGTTACTCTCCCAATATGTACTTCTGTCTAGAAGTATAAAATATTGAAGAACAGGCAGGTCCAGAAACCGAAAAGCTATAAATTCAACCACTTAAGGCATGAGAGCATCTTATTGTCTAAGCTGGTAACGTGGAAGAATATTGATTATTTCTCAGTGTATGTTGTTTAAAAGTGGAGATTTAATAGTAACTGAAATAGAAAATACAAATTTTTCACAATTTGTACCAGTCACCATGGCTTTATTTTTTAAACAAATATTATAAATAAATATTACATACAAAAATTTCAAAATCATTGTTAGGCATGTGTTTAATATGATTGACATAGAAAAGCTTTAATCTGCTTTCCTTTCTTCAGTTCCATTAGAAGCTAACATAGGGAAATAAAATGGAAGCATATTTAAAGAGCAAATGGCTTTTATTTTCTGCGTGTCAACGCCTTGACATCTGAGGCCTTGCTCACCCTGGAGAGACCATCCTTCCCAGGATTAGCCAATTCTTAGAGTTAGCAAACAATCCATCCAGTGAGCTTGCTTTACAAAGGCAAATCAATTCAGTGTCCACACCCCACAACCAGCTCCTTTGGGCTCTCACACTCCAGACCGCTATCCACCTGTCCTAATCACCCCAGGGTCTCAGACAACCAGCAACAGTCTCTATACCCCAGAGCCCACTGAAACAAACTAGCTAATCCTTAACCTTCTTATCCTGCATCAACCATTCCTTCCCACAGAAACCACAATAGAAGATCTTGCCCACAGTCCTCTCCTGCTCCCTCTGCCTCCTGACTGTCATGGAGGCTTCCATGTGTAAACATCCACAGCATGACATGGTGTGTCCCATTCTCTTGGGATCTGCAAATAACACACTATCTCTTCAATGGTAGTCATCTTCTGACGTGTTGGTCTTACCATACCTACATAATAATAATGCTTATATTAAAACATGTATATTTAAATATGGTATATATTAAAAATTATTTGTTATAGCAAAAACATTATAGCCATTTACATGGCCCCCAGCAGAGGATTGCTGGAGTTAATTCTAATATATCTATTGTATAAAATCCTAAGCAGCAGTAAAAAAAAAAAAGGCAGTTCTTTATAAGTTGACGTGGAATTACCTCCAAGACATATTGTTAAGTAAGAAACTAAAGCTGGATCACAATGGATATGCTATGATGCATACTTTATGTTTAATTAAGTACACAAAATAACAGTATATATTTATAAATGTTCTTAAACATAAAGGCACCCCAAAAGGCCTGTGCAGATAATAAACCAAATAGATTATAGTAGTTATTTTTAGGTAAGTCAAGAAGGATTTTTAGTTTGTTCATAATTTTTAAAAATATGTTTACACTGAGAATGAATTTATATATTAATTGTGGAATTCAAAGTAAATAAAAACAAATTTTAAAAGTTGATAGCTACACTACATAGCTCATGGTGGTAGGAAGTAGTCTTACTTAGTTAGCAGCTAAAGTGGTCAATTCCAATTTTTGACTATCATTGTCATCAACCTACCTCTTGATATTCAAAATGCCTAAGGCCCACCATGTTTAGCGGCAATTAGACACTACCAGCAAGATTAGTCTCATCTCATCACTCCAGCTGCAAGCTCACTTTCATTTCAGTACTACGGGAACACAATAATTTTCTTCTTCATTGACTCAGTAAAACAAAATCAGAATTACAGCTTTGCAGAGGAGTATATTGAATGTAAGCCTTGAGCAACATAATACAATGCTGAGCTATATGCAAATTTTGGCTACTACCTTTTAGTAAACATAATTTTTCTTTTTTTTCTAACAAGTTTTCTTTGAAAAAGTATAAAAGAAACATCCTAATATATATGTGGAATTCTTTTTTCTGGAGTTTCTTCTTCCCCATCACTGAATAAAATATAAAAACAAATGAGAATATTTGCCAGCATGGTCAGCTATAGCGTATACCAGCAATTTCTTTGTTCATTGAATTCATACAAGTTACTATCCATATGATTCATGCATTTTCATGCCATATTACGAAGCACATCTGTGCAAAGATAGGCTTCATTAAAGTTCATTAATTATTTCTTAAATTAACAAGTTCAAATTATACAAATGGGAAAAATCTGTCATATTGAAGTGGACATCATAAGAGATGACCCCCATGGATTTCACTAATCTAATTTGTGCTTTAACTTAAGCAGATTAGTAAATGTCATTGGCATGGATTTCTTCCGTATATTTCTCCAAAACAAATAGTAAAAGATTAGATCAATATCAAACAAAAGATTAAAATAATACCAATTACATACAAAACAAAACAGGAACAAAGAACCTGTATGGCATGTGGACTTTCAGAATTATCTGCAGGCCATTTCAATGATTAAATTGAAATGTGTGTCTTCTGAATATTTTCCAGAATCCCTTAGATTTCATCTTCTAAAGAAACTTTGGGTATACCCCATTGGTCCATAGGTATCCCAAGAGAACAGCAGAGAAGACCATATGCTTTGCTAATCCAGTTATTTCCAGTACCCTTAGAACTCAAAATTAATCAAAACCCCTGAATGAGACACAGAGCTCAAAAATAGTTGATGCTGAGCTTTTAATATGCAGATTTTAAGAACAACGATTGACAGAGTAATGTTTGGACTGAGATGAGTCAAGAATAAGCTCAATGATGCCTCCATCTGAATCCATTTCTCCATCCAATATCTGGGAGGAAAACAGAGAAGAAAGTAATTCAACCAAGGCTTAAAAACTGATGCCTAACTTTTAAGTGATGTGAGATTTATGCTTTCTTTTCCTTAGAGATGGAAGGGGTGCAGAAGGGAATAAAAGAAAGGAAGAGATCTGGTTGCTTAGTGAACGATAAAGACCATATGCTAATATTATCAACTGCATAACCATAGGGGTTCCAATCTGTCACTTCCATCCCTGCATTCTCACTGTGTGACATATTGTGGGCATCCAATAAATGTTAATTGAATGAATAAATAATTGAAATCAGGTGGCATATATGCAGAATTTCTTCTGAGATGGCATGCCTTTTTATATGCCATAGAGAAAGTGGACTATATTCTAGACCATTCTAACTATAAATTCTATACTATAGTTATAATAGAATATAAAATATGAGGTTGGGTTGGAAGACTACTAAGACAAAAGATACAGAAAGTATTTTAAGAGAGTCAGAGAACTGATGAGGGGATCATGTTGCCCGATACTTACTTATGCCTTGGATTGTGGAGGTGAATTGAAAAATACAGGGCCAATCATAAGAGGATGTATGCACCTCAGGCCACATCTAAAGGTACCACAGCACTTCCTAAGATCTCTGCAGTCATAATCATTTATACAAGGAATGCCAGAACAATAGGTGGAAATCTTAGATTGTTGCTTAGAGGCCTGTTTGCCCAGATGGGGTCTAAATTTCTTTTGACTTGAGTCTTGACTGTGGCTCTCTTGCTTTGTGTCAAAAGATTCTATAAATTCAGGACACGTACCCCGCTTGCCCTCAACTATGAAAGAAAAAAGGAATTGTGAGCTTTTTACCTTCTCTTATTTGTACCAGGAATTTAATTTCTTTAAAAGATATGTCTATAATCTCCTTAATTATGCTCTTCTGTTAGCTGATTTTGCTCCTTAAATCATGTTTTAAAAGCACTATAAAGCACTACTGGGTATATTTCTAAGGTATAATTATAAACTGGCTCTTAGACTAAATCCAACCTGTTTAGTGTAATAATTTGATATATATTACATATGTATGGAATATATATATTTAGAAAATATATATTTGAAATATTTATATACATATTTGGGAAGGATATATTCAGAATATATATAGATTTAGTATATGTATGTTTATTTGGAATATGTGCATTTGAAATAAATTGGGGCCAAGAAATTACTTATACAATATGGAAAGATGTTCAACTCATGTTTTTCTATTTTAATAGAGTTTTATTGCAGTGCTATATATTAAAATATTTTCATAGGTGTACACATTTTTAAAATTACCAGATGTGTTCAAATGTAGGCTTACTTGGAATGTAGTATAGGACGTCTAAATTGTGGATGATCAGCAGATACAGACAGCTTTAATTCATTCATTTACTCCCTTGTATGTATTGGGTGCCTACTGTGTATTCCAGAGTTGTCAGCACTCCAGATACAGCAGTAAATAGAAAAAAGAAAAGAGTGGACAACATAGATAATAAACTAGTAAAATTTACAGTATATTAGACAAAGATTACTGCTAAAGAGAATAATTAAATCCAAGGAGATTCCTAAAAGTACCTTGCAATGCTAAGGGTCCCTAATTCTTTAACTCTAGTTATGTAATCTACATAAATGAGTTATTTTCAGAAGTTTTTGCACACTGTATATGTTATCTGTTCACATTTACTGTAATTCAAGAAGCACTGATCAAATTTCACTAGGACTAACCGGAATAGCTTTCTTCCTTTACATGAGGTCAGTTAGGTTACAGGCTTCTTATTAAAATGCAAATAAATATCATCAGTAATTAGTAAATGACAGGGAGTATTATAAACTTCCATAATGATTCTATGCCATTATGACACTATAGAAAGTTAAGAAAATTTAACATATGAATATATTAACTCCTGATGTTCATTATACCATAGACTTGGGAACACTGTACATAAGAGAAAAGAGTAAAAATATAGTGTCAGAGGCTGGAGGCAGGAGGATCACTTGACCCCAGGAGCTCAAGACCAGCCTAGGCAACATAGCAAAACCCTGTCTCTACAAAAAATACAAAATTAGCCAGTTGTGGTGGTGTGAGCCTATAGTCCCAGTTACTTGGGAGGCTGAAGTGGGAGGATCACTCAAGTCCAGGAGATGAAGGCTGCAGTGAGCTGTCATTGCACCACTACACTCCAGCTTGGTTGACAAAGTAAGATTCTGTCTCTCAAAGAAAAGATAAAACAATACACACACACACATAATCTGTAAATTAAACAATAAATAAAACTAACATGGTTGTCTGAATTGACTTCCTAAAAAAGAAAAAAAAAGGAAAAATAGTAGAATTATAGAATCAATCAAGTATTAATTTCAGCTTAAAGATGAATTTTTCTTTTCTCTATAACCCTTAGTTTCCTTTAATAGGAGAGTAACAGAATTGGAGCAGCTTACCACACTTTTCGTGGAGGAGCTATACATATTACAATGTTTTCTTTCATCAGTCTGATTAATTCTGGAAAAAAGTTTTGATAAAATGTCCTGCATAGCTCATTTTTCTGTGACATTTTCTTTCACTATGACTTTGTTCAATCCTCTCAATTACCCTGTGGGTAATTATTCTCCAACTCTTGCTTGTTTATCAGATGATAGTGATGTCTTTTACCTTCCTTTCCCTCACTCCCTCTTTGCTACGTGTAACATGGTCGCAGTTTCAGGTGGCAGAATTACATTATGTTACATTACTTTTGCACATTGCACAATGTACTCAGTAACTAATTTCCAATGCAGGTCAGTCCCTGATCTGAGAGTAAAAGTAAATAAATGTAATGCTGCCCTTTGTTTTCTACTTCATTATCTTCTCTGGCAGGGAGTGCTAGCCCAAGTTCTCTTTCTCCTCTTCTTTGCTAATAGAACCCTGATTTTGTTCAGGGGAATAATGTGCCCAGTGGATCTCAAGTGGGAGCATTTCGGAACTCTTTGCTGGCTGATCTGACTGTCACAGCACTGGAGCTCCCTAACTATTCAGTAAGTGAGGCAGGGCTGCTGGGTATCTTGCAATGGGTGGAGCACCCCCAAAGGAAGACAGAGGAGCCGAAATACAGGAGCCTGTCTACCTCCAGACTTCCCATTATATACAAAAATGAAACTGCTATTTGTTTAAGCTACAGTTAGTCAAGAATTCTATTACTTACAGCTTAACATAATTCTCAATAAGCCCTCCAGTCATGAACATCTGTCCTCTATTTCATATCATTCACCAAAAAAATGCAGTAAATCTCGTATTCCACTTAGGGAAACAAATGCTAGAAGAAAAAGAGATAACCAGGATCTCACCTTGCCATTGCGCATCCTGGTCTTCCCAACCACCTAGGGGAAATGGAGAATAAAGTATAAAATAAGTGCTTTCTTCTTGCCCAAACATCTTCTTGCAGCAAATTCTAAACTGACTTGATAATATGTTGTTCTCATTCTAAGGCAATTACTATAGTAAGTGACTGGAAAACAAAGTAGCTCTTTTCTATTTGCCATACTACATCCATTTGTCATGTATCATCTCAGTGAATATGTAGCATAAAATTATGCTTGACATACATATTCCTTTATGTTATTGATTTTTCACTGTTCAATAGGAATATTATGTTATTGATTTTTCACTGTTCAATAGGAATATTATTTTGTCAACTATATGCACTTGTAATATGGCAGAATGGATTCTTCTTCATCACAAACCCAGTCCCTCATTTATAAGTAAACAGAATAAGGATTTGTAAAGGAAAAAAATATTTTAAGTTTTGGATGATTTTAGATTTCGGAGTGGTTGCCAAAATAATAGAGAGTGCCTGTATACCTTTCACTTACCTTCCTTTTATGTTTGCCTCTTACATAACCATGGTACAACTATCAAAATGAAGAAGTTAGCAGTGGTAGAATACTCTCAACTACACTATAAATTTAATTTAAATTTCCTTTTTTCCACTAGTGTTCATTTACTGTTTCAGGATTCCATGCAAGATCCCACCTTGCATTATTTATAACTTCTTAGTTTCCTCTAATCTGTGAGAGTGTCACAGTCTTTCCTTGTCTTTTATGACCTGTATATCTAAGAAGAGTACTGGTCAGCTGTTTTATAGAGTGTCCTTCAATTCGTGTTTGTCTGATTTTTTTATAACTAAACTGCAGTTATGGATTTTGGAAAGAGTACCACAGAGGTGAAGAGCCCTTCTCCTTGGATCACATCAGGGGGTGCCTGATATCACTGTGTCTTGGTACTTACTGATGCTGTTAACTTGATTACTTATTTAAGATGGTATGTGCCAGCTTTCTCCACTGTAAAGTTTCTACTTTTTGTTGTCCATATGTAAATGGAGTTTTTAAAAGTGACTAAACACTAGGACAAAGACAGAACGTGTCTACCTCTAGGATATTAGCAAGGATTAACCTTTGCAGTGAAAAAGTATGATTTGCTTTCAGATCCTCCATCTGAAGACAACAGGTAGGGAAATTATGGGAGCCCTGCCCTCATCCCCTTTACTGGCCAGTGGCCATCGACTTGCTGTTGAGTATTGGCTACTAGCAACTCACAGCTACCCCATTCTCCAGGTAACTACCCTTAGCAGTGGCTCTCTGACATGAAGGTATAAAAGTCTGGCCTCCCTGCCTCAAGTGAGACTAACTCTATGGAGCAATAGGTGTTCCAGACTTTTCTCTGTGGGGTTAGACTAAGCTAGTCTGCGCGTGAGACCACATTTTGCTTAGCTTTATTCCTTATCTACCCTGCTTCCTAAATCCCCTCTCGGAGAGAGCTCTCAATAAATATTCTTAAAAGCAGTCCCATTTAAGGATTGGCTTCTGAAGAATCTGACCTAACACAATACAACACTTGGAGTTATTTTCCTCTCCACCTTCACATGCAGGATCCAAGACCGCTTTTTTCTCCCTACCCAACAGTAGAGCCCAGCAGTAGAACCACTCGTCAGAATCAATGCAAGAAGAGACAAGTGGTGGCAGTGGATAAGTTGAAAAGATAGAAGGATGAGCCTGAAAAGGATTCAGAGGGGAAGCCGCCTGCCATCTGCCTTGAGTGTTCTCAGCATCAGGAACTAAAACCTTAAATCTTGGATGGAAACTCAAGAAAAAGATGTGCATGCCCCAAAACCCACCACCTTATGAAATCAATACTGGCTGCATTGTGTTTCTTAAACTCGAAGGAAAGGATTGAGAAAATAGTCTCTGGGCTACTCTACAGAAAACTGACTGGCTGACAGATCTTTTGGTGGCAAAATTCTGGAGGATGCAACCATATAAGGAAGAGGCTAAGGAAGAAGAACTAATAAAATAGAATAGCAACAACCTAACAGATAACAACAAATTTAGAAGAGGCTAATGCCATCAAACCTTACTAGAAGAGAGTTTCCGAAGGAGGAGGATGAACAGCAGTTAGTGTCAAATGCAAGCTCATTTTGATACTCATTGAGCTCATTGAAACTTTGAAAGCTAGTTTTAATAGAAAGATGGCATTGGAGACAAAACTCCTGTTGATTGGAGAGTAATTAGAAAGTGGATTCTACAAATCAAGGATTATTTTTCAAGAACTGAGTGAGCTGATACATAACTGGCTTGAGGATTAGGTAGGATTCATTTTTCTCTTTAAATAAAAGAAGATATGACTAGGAGGAAAGGGCAGATGCCAAGAGAAGAAGTACAATTAGATGTTAGAATTATCTAGTTTTCTCTAATTACATAGAATCATTCTGGATAATTATTTAGAATTATTTAAGATAATTTTTTAGAATTATCTAAAATCTAGAGGTAACTAGAGTCAGGGAAAATTAAACTTATAAAATACTAAGCATAATGCTTAAACCCTGGTTCCTCATGATGATTTCCTTGAAAGAAAGAACTTGTAATAATTTGAGCTAGTTTTCATCATATTGTGATTATGCTTCTGTATGTATTCGAGTTTTATTTTCATTAATGATGCTAGGGTGTCACCCTGTGGTAAATGTAAGTATAGCTTTGATGCAACCCACTTTATACATCATCCTATTTCTAGATATCAATTGCAACCATTTTCATGGTCCTTTTATTTTGTTCATAATGTGGCTTCCTACTTTAAGTTTATTTTTAAGTAATATATAACATTGAAAACATATAAGACCAAATATAGAATGTAAGTTACAAAAAGGAATATTAGATAAACTAACAAGAATGAAAAAAATAGGTTCTTAAAACTAAAAACATGATTTTAAAATTTAGCTGAAAACTTTGTAATGACACCTGAGGTTGACTTGTAAATATTTCAATTTTAAATTATGTTTTATATTATTTGTATGTGAAAAATGGTACTTTTTAAAATAACAAAATCCATAAGCATGGAGAGGTTCAAATGATAAATGTACAATAGTTACTATTAATCTTATTCCAAGCACTACTCTTTTAATGTTCATTGCAATAGCGTGACATATAATAGTGCAAACATAACTATGAAAAAATAATTCAATCAAGTATACTCCATTCTTGTTCATTTCATCTGGCTCCTTTTAATCTCTTTTTATTTGATTCAAATAACTTAGTCATTATTATTTGTGTCATTATTTATCATTAGCTTAGTGTAAAAGAGAGATATATAAATTATTTACATGATGAAAGATTTCAGAACTTCAGTGGAATGGGAAGCTTCGTGTCGATGCTATTTCAACAGGATTTATTTCAGTCTACATACTTCCCAAGAATGTCACCATCTCTAAATGAGAACTAATCCTTGTCATCTACTTTGGTGCCTCCATATTCTGGAAGAAGAACATTATCTCTAACGTTCACACGAACTGGTTGAATCTCTCCACCCTTTCCTTTAGAGCCTGATCCAACAGCTACTACTGTGGCTGCCAATACTTTTCCTTGAGATTTTTCCAGAAGCATAATGGCTCCTTTGGTTACAGTTTTGGCGGCACACCTTTCAACCAATACTTAGTCAAAGAGTGGAAGTAACTTTCTAAACACTTGTCCTGCCATGAGCCCTCTATCGCCGACTTTTACTCTGCTCTCATACAGTACTGCAAAGAGAGACTGACTCCCTTGGTCATTATCTTAATCCTGCGGGTCTATGGAATGTGTATCACTTGTTTGTATTACATAATCTATCAGTAAAGACGTCGAATTTAGTACTTCTTTTATGTACTACCTTACTAAGTATATTCGACCCTTACTCAGATGGTCTGTTACCTAAACGCAGTAAGTCACATCACATGTTTCTTTTGCACCCTCTACATAATAGGTATTCAGTAAATACATTCTTAATTTAAGATTAGTAAGTTGAAGAAGGCTTATCTTTACAATTCTATAGAAAAAAAACTTCTTTAATCAATTTAATTAGCATTCTAAAATTGTATTTTAATTGACCAAAGTGACAAGTGTATCAACAAGAAATTGTCCTTTGATTATTTCAATTAACTATTAGAAATGCTATTCAAAATAAGCTAAATATCTCCCTGAAATTTCAATACCACATGATTAAAATAATAAGGCAAGACTCTTGAGAAAGGATAAGAGAAATCTTAGAAATGTTAGGGTGTAGTCGTTGTTAATCTGTACTACTGATTAGAAGAACTGACATCGTATGTAACTGATAAGAGAAATCAATAGACTAAAAAGACAAATATGAAGTGGAATCATGATTTAACAAGTCATGTGCTGAGTAGATTGTCTAGTCAGTTGTTATGTTGGAATTAGGGTTGAAATTGTAATATAATTCTGTTACATCTTGTTCTCTATGGTCTAGGAAAAAGGAAAGGAAAAACATGACTGAAGCAAAAAAGACAATTTAGTTGCTAACATGTCTCAAAACTTTATAACTGTCATCATATCAGACTTACCATTTTCTTGGTTTCAAACTTCTTCCTGGGTTGTGCTCAAAGCCAGCGAGGTAGCTAAAAGAAAGAAAGAAAATATCTTTAAATCAGACTCATACTTCCCTCTCTGCTGTAGAAATTTGGGGATCCTCACTTATATAGCTTGTAGAGAACAATAACAGCATTGCTGCTACCCAGGAATGGCCCCTGGAGTTTGAGGTGGCTTTAACCGGAACATTTCCTTCCTATGATTTACCACCTATTTCATGGTGTTCTGTGTTACTAACAATTGTCAAATGATATATGGATTCTGCTGTCTTCCTTAACTGTGACAAGAATGATAAACAACAAAAGGTTAAGATAACACAAATGTAATTGCCTGATGACCCAAAAACTCTTTTGGGAAAGGATCTAGGAGAACTTTCTGATTTGTCAGTAGAAAAAAAGGAGTCACAAAGGAGCATCAGAGAAAGCATCTATAATAGAGAGACCCACGTTAATGTATAATATCTAATGTAAGATTTAATTTAGTTCATAGAAATTCAATTTAAAAATAAAGATGGATGACACGTTATGCATTCCCTTAGCAAAAACGTTGGAAGTGAGATGTTGGAAGTTGTATAGAGGATCCAGAGAACAATGTGGTGAACAATGGCATTTTTTCACAACACCTCGAAAGGAAAATTAAGACAAACTTGCCTCCATAGAAGGAAATTAGGAAGTAAAAAAAAAAAAATGTTGGTTCTCACATAAACACAAAACATCAAATCCAGTGATTTCCATGAACTCAGGACTTGGCTCCTCCATTTGACCTGGAGCATTATTAAAACTGAAAGAACTTAATTAATTGCTTTCTAAAGAGTTATGCTTGTCTCAAACACTGCATATCCGAAAAAAAGGTTTCTAATGGTAGAAATTGATACTTTACCAATTATCTATGAAAAATTACAAAAATAAGAAAGACCATTTTATAAGCAGGAGAAAGGCTTGATTGAGAGAATACACCCAAAGAAGAAAACTTTTCTTGAGTAACAGAACCCAAGGGTTAAGTGTTTATGTTGTGAAGTCAGATGCAGTGTCAAAATCAATCTTCATCACTTACTAGCTGTGTAATTAGAGCATACTAATTAACCTCTCTAAGCTGCATTCATTCTCTTTATCTATGAAAGAGAAACAGTAATTAACTCATAGCATTTTGTGATAATTAAATAACATTACATGTATAAAGTACTTATCTTGGCACATTCATAAATATTCAATAAATATTAGTGATAATGATGAATGATATGAATGTTCCTTAGAATGCATGCATTTCTTCTTTGGGATATTTACAGCAGGATGAAAGAAAAGATTGCCTCCCACATACTGACAGCATGTATTGGTATATGGAGGGTGAGGATGAGTTGGTAAGACAGCCAAGTAGTAGGTTAAAACCAGAGACAGGATCCAAGGCAGTGGCAGCCATGTCTTTGGCATGCAGAGGAAGACATTAACAGAAAAGAATCAGAGCTATTACAGACAGGAGGCAAGATTGTGACCAATTATCTTCTTTTATACAAGATAAGGGCAGAAATTAGAAAACAAATAGGATAGTCAGTGTCAAAGAGAAAGTTGATAGCTGTATAGTATTCAGAATGAGATGTGGGGCGATGGTAGTGGGGCACAGGAGCACACTGCAGAAATAAATAATAGTGGCTGTAGGAAGGAAGAAGTGACCAGATCATGACTGTAGTATTTTTTAAAAGTAACACAAAAGCAGTCTTATCAGGGAACAGGACAACAGTTATTATAAACATAGACTAATTTCACATTATTATTCCACTACTGTCTTCTCTTAAGCCCTTATGTGAGTTTCTGCAAATATAGCCTTATCCAAACATCTACTTTGTATTTTCAACTTTTTTCTTTGCCCTGACTCACACAATTTGGATAGGAAGACTATTAGAATTTCAGTTTAGAAAATTTTAAAAGCTATCTACTTCAAAGCAGTATGAATGGAATAAGAAGAACAGTCGTAGAAGTTGGGGAAAATCATTAGCTCAGCTTGGCACTCTGTTTATCCAAAGCCAAGTTAAAGTGCATTGAACTTCAAGAGAAGAGCTTTAATTCCCTTTGGATTTGTATGAGGATTGGAATCTTCCATTTCAAATGTGAATCCTCAAAATTTCATCTCCTGAAATGTTATTCCCTCAAGGGCTCCATCTAATGATGCAAATTTGAGAAAGAGCAGTATGTTCTATTCATGGGTAATCAAACATGGGCTTCTAAACTGACATCTACCATTTGTGTCATCTTTACAGAACAATATTGTTTGTAGGTGAAAACAATATTCATGTAGGTGAAAAATGTATCTACGATATTATTAAAACTGGTTATCTCCCAATAGATATTGCTCTTTTATTTTCTCCTTTAAAACCTAAATTTTTATTAATCTAACTTTATAAAACTAAACTTTATCTTAAAATAATGAAGCAAAAAATATCAGGGAATCTTTTTTTCCTAAATCTTTAATTTGAAAATGAGGAGAGTGAAGTGAAGCCCAGAGTGTTTTAATGACTTTCTCAAGTACTTGTTATTTGTTATGGGAGAAAAATTAAAAGTAAAACTTGAGTTTTAATTCTTGAGGTTGCTTTCTTTTCATGTGCCACATATATTCATGACAATTTGAAACAGATGTTATATCAATGACTTTGAAATATTTCCTTGAATAAAACTTATTAACTTTGTTCTGTACCTTCCATTTTTAAATAGTAAGCCTTCATCACAGCCCTTTGGGAATTGGTAGGTATACAGAAATAATCAGTGAAATGTTACCTATCCCTCAACATTAAATTGAGTCCTACAGGGATCCTAAAACACAAAAACAGGGAGATAAAGGAAAAACATTGTTATCTTTATTATTTTATTGCCATAGATTACTTATGATTGATAGCTTTATTCTCAATGACGCAGAATGTGCCTCCTCATTATAGAAGGTTTCCATCACGGGATTTAGAAAAAGCTCCTCAGTCAGATTTCCACTGGTTGTTGAGATTGGCAGTAAAGCTAGATATTCCAGGAAAGGTTAAAGCACAAAAGTCAGTAACACTAAGTGGAACAGCAAGAGAAACACTAACAAACACTAATGGCTGTCTGATATTCCTGATCGGGAGAGGAATTTTCTAAAAAATATATTATTCAAACTTTCTTTAGATTACGTTGATCTATGTTAGGCATCAGTCTTTATATACAAGGGTTAAACATTTAAGTTCGTTTTGCCTTTTTCCCCTTAATACTTATACCACACAGAGCTTCTGAGAGTTTTCTTAGGGTCAACCACCATATCACTCAAATAAGAAAATAGAAAGTCAAGGGACTGTGATTATTTTTGTTGGTTAACAAAATGTATCGTTTAAAAGGATTAGAATTTTGAGAGAAAATAGTTTCTTTATTGATGCCAGTGCCCATTTAAATGAGGTATGCTGAGCTTCCTGATATGTCTTCCTATTTTATTAAACAAATAATATATAGGTCTAAAGTCTTATTTCTCATGAATTATAGTTTCCCTTTATGAAAACACGTAGAATCAAAGGTATACAGGAACAATGCAATAGCATCTAGCGGTCTGTTCTCCTGCCTTAAAATGGTTATATGTCTACCTGCTAACTCAGATATATTTATAATATCCTTACAACATATAAGGACATGGATTCTTCACTCTCTTTTACTCTGGAATAAACAAACTTCATTATGGAACACTGCTCAGAATTCTTTATCTATTGTTAATTCTTCGTGATGCCATAGAAAGGTTTAATTTCAAAAAGTTATATGCAATGTTTACATATTGTATTTTGGATAAAGCACAATTTATATTTAATGGCCTCACTTCATTTTCAATAGGTCAGGATTGGTTTAATGGAGAATGAACAACAAGATCCTACACAGTGGAATAATTGTTCTAGTAGGAGCTATTTGCAAAACTTATTGAGAGGTGGCCTCCAAAAGTGTTCTAGGAAATCATAAAAACAGCAATTGACAGGACACCAACAGAGCAGATCATAAAGAAGATATTTGCAACATAAGTCTTTAAAAAGGGCTGTACCAGAAATTAGAAAGAACTCTTACAAATCGATAAGAAATGTGAGATAACCATTCAATAATAGGCAAATAATTTGAACAGACACTTCACAAAGCAGTAAATTGAAATAGCCAATAAACACAAGAAAAGATATTCAACTTTGTTAGTCATTATGGATACAAAATGAAAACAAGTTAGATATGCTTTAGAAAAAAAAAGTAAAGCCACATCTGCAAAAAATCTTAGAACACCAGAGGCCAAGTCCACTGCTTCAGAATAGGATTAGGACTACAGAGCTATATCTGCTTCCCTTGAAGTAGGCAATATACTCATGGCCTGAAAAATTTAGCAGCCAGAAAAAAGCACTTTTTGGGAAAGAAGAGAGCTTACAGAAAGGGATATATTGTTCCTCACCTGGATCTGGGGGCACAGACTTTGCTCCAAAAACATCAAGAGTTCAATTTAAGAATAAGCTAACAGAGTTGTTCTTTATCTAGCTCTCATAAGCAGTTACACAAGTTTATTTATATGTAAAATTTTATCAAGCTATGGAATTAAGATATGCACTATAGTGTATATAGGTTATGCCTCCATTAAAATGAAGAAGTGAGCCAATTAATTAAACTCTTCTAGTGGACAGGACTCATAGGCATAAAGAATTTTGCTATATTTTTTCAGTGAAATCTGGTACCAGGTTAGATCCCATGGCCCAGGATCCAGGCTGGCCCACATAGACTCAGACTCCAGGTCTGCCCAGCTCCAGACTGGTTCCCATGACACCAGTGTCCAGGCCAGCCCCTGGAACCCCACACTACAGATTTACTTGAACAAACCCAGGGTCCAGAACTGCTACAGTACATCCCAATACCAGGCTGACCTCATGGACCCAAGCTCCAGGACCACTGCTACAGATCCAGGATCCAGGACAGACTTTGTGGATCCAGGACCAAAGACCCAAGCCTACTATTATATCATGGACCCAGGTCCCAGGTCCACTGCAGCTTCTAGCTGGTTGCTATGGATCCAGGCTTCAGGCTGGTCTTTGTGGATCCCACCTCCAGGCCTGCTTCTGCAGACCCAGACTAAAGGTCCACTGCAGTAGACCATGGTGCCTGGCCAGCTTCTGTTTTTCCAGGTGCCAGACCTGCTCAAATATTAATCCAGACACCAAACCAGTCTCTCCAGAGATTCTGTTACATGGCCCACACAGAATCTCTAGATGAACTGACTGGTGAAGGGTTTTCCCTGCTGAAGCCAGTCTATAAAGAATGGAAAAGGTACCTACTCCATCCAAAGCACAAACTCTAAGGAAATAGAGATCTATGAGCTACCTGTAAAAGAATTCAAAACAATCATCTTGGCCAGGTACAGTGGCTCATGCCTATATCAGCACTTTGGAAGGCCGAGGTTGAAGAATCACTTGAAGCCAGGAGTTTGAGACCAGCCTGGGCAACATAGCAAGACCCCTTCTCTAAAACTTTTTTTTTAATTAGCTGGCCATGGTGGCACACACCTGTAATCCTAGCTGCTCAGGAGGCTGAGGTGAGATGATCACTTGAGCCCAGGAGTTTGAGGCCACAGTAAGCTATGATCATGCCACTTTACTCAGCTTGGATGACAGAGCAAGATCCTGTCTCAAAAAATAACAGTTATCATTGTCATTAACACCATCATCTTAAAGAGGCTCCGTGAGAAGAAGAGAACACAAATATACAACTAAGCAAATATTAGGAAAATAATACATGAATAAAATGAAAAGTTCCAAAAAATGGAAACTATTAAAAGTAAAATCAAATAGAAATTTTGGAGCTAAAGGACACAAAGATTGAACTTAAAAATATCATAGAGACTTCAACTACAGACTTCATCAAGCAGAAGAAAGAATCTGTGAGCATAAAGACATGTCATTAGAAATTATCCAGTTATAGAAACACAAAAAATGAAAAGGAGTGAAGAAAATCTACAGAATTTATAGTACATCATCAAGAGAGCCAATGTATGCATTATAGTAGTAACAGAATGAGAGAAGAAAGAGAAGAAGCAGAAAGTTTACTTAAAGAAATAATGGCAAAAATCTTCCCAAATCTGGAGAGAGAAATTAATGTCTAGATTCATAAAGCCAAAAGTAACCAAATAGTCTAAATATAAAGAAATCTTCACAAGACACATTATAATTAAATTATCAAAAGTCAAAGACAAAAAGAAAATTTTGAAAGAGAAAAGTAATGCATCACATATAGGGAAAACCCAAAAACATTTTCAACAAATTTCTCAGCAGAAACCCTGCATCCAGAAGAGAGTGGAATAATATATTCAAAGAGCTAAAATTTTAAAAAGTGGCAACCAAGGATACTAACCCCCTAAGACTGCCCTTCAGATATAAAGGAGAGAGAAACATTTTCCCAAACAAAAGCTCTGGTAGTTCATCATCACTACACCTGCCTTACAAGAAACGCCAGAGAAAAATTTTAAAGTTGAAAGGAAATAATTCCAACTATAAACATAGAAATATATAAAACTATATAACTCACTGTATAAGTCTACTTTTATAAGTATGTTACAGTGCAAATAAAAATTTATTAAATTATGCAGCACCAATCCACATAATTTAAATCATTTTATTGCACAAATTGATTTTTAATTATATTCATTTCTTTTCTGTTCATTATACTAAAATTGTATATCACTTAGTCCTTTTGATGGATAAAAGTTAAAGCAGTCATTATGCATTTGGCAAAATCCATGGAATTGTATAATGCATAGTGAATCCTAATATAAAATAGGAACTTTAGTTAACAGTAGTGTGTCCATATTGATTCATCAATTGTAACAAATGTGCCACACCAACACAAAATGTTAATATAAAGGTAACTGTGGGATAGGAGATGAATACATAGGAACTCTATATTTTATGTTCAATTTTTCTTTAAATCTAAAACTGCTCTAAGAAACAGAGTCTATTAACCTTAAATAAAAATAAAATAAAACTCACTTAAGGGAAGAATATAGTAAAATTCATATACTCTAATATAATGGTAGTGCATAAATAGCCTTCAACTCTAGTATAATAAAATACAAAAGTATTAAAAATAACTATAAGTACAATAATTTGTTAATAGATATAACAATGGTTATATTATTTCTATATTTATTATATGGATATAATAGGTATATATTATATAATAGATATATAGATTAACAATAATAGATTTGTTAATAGATACATTAAAAATGTAAATTGTGGCATCAATAACATAAAATCTGGGAGGGGGAGGAGAAGTCAAAGTGTAGAGTTTTTTAATGTGGTCAAAGTTAAGTTGTTATCAGCTTAAAATAGATTATTATACTATAACATGTTTTATGTAAGCATCATAGTAACCACAAAGAAAAAAACCTATAATCAGTATGTAAAAGACAAAGAGAAAGGTTTTAAAGTATATCACTACAAAAATACCATCAAATCACAAAGGAAGACATCAAGAGATGAAGAATGGAACAAAAGAACCACACAAGTCAGAAAACAATTAAGAAAATGGCAGCAGTAATTCTTTACCTATCAATAATTACTTTGAGTGTAAATGGATTGAATTCTACAATCAAAAAACTTAGAGTGGCTGAATGAATTAAAAAACACAAAATTCAACTACGTACTGCCTACGAGATACTCACTTTACCCTTAAGAACACATATGATTGAAAGTGAAGGAATGGAAAAAGATATTTCATGCAAATGATAACTAAAAGAGAGCAGACATGGCTATACTTATGTAGACAAAATAGGTTTTAAGTGAAAACCCATGAGTAGAGAAAAAGAAGGTCATTATATAATGATTAAAGAGTCCTTTCATCAAGAGGATTTAATGATTGTAAATAGACATGCACCCAAGATCAGGGCACCTAACTCTGTGGAGCAAATGTTAGCAGAACTGAAGAGAGAAACAGACAACAATACAATAATAGAAGGAGACTTTAATAACTTACTTTCAACAATGGAATGATCTTACAGGCAAAAAATTAATAGGGATAGGGAAACCAGCATATCTAAATACACTACAGACCAAATGAACCTAATAGACATATCTAGAACATTCCATCTAACGGCAGTAGAATATGTATTCTTTTCAAGCACACATGAAGCATATTACATGGTAGATCACATGTTAGGTCAGAAAACAAGTCTTAACCAATTTAAGAAGACTGAAATCATATCAAGTATCTTATCTGACCACAAAAGCATGAAACTAGAAATTAATAACAGTCAAAACATTGGAAAACTCACATAATGTGGAAATTAAACAACACACTCTTGCACAGCAAATGGGTCAAAATATATATTGAAAGGGAAGTCTTAACCAAGGAAGTGAATAGTCAGTGCACTAAAAGCTATAAAGCATTGACAGAAGAAATTGAGCAAGACACAAATAAATGGAAAAATAGCTTGTCTTCATGGATTGGAAGAACTAATATTGTTAAAATGTCCATAATATCCAGGGTGATCTACAGATTTAATGCAATGGCATTTTTTTACAGAAATAGGAAATCATAAAATTTCTATGAAAAAAAAGTCCAAAATACACTTGAGGAAAAATAACAAAGCTGGAGGCATCACACCATCTAATTTCATAAGGTATTACAAAACTATGGTAATTAAAATGGCAT
Organism: Homo sapiens; assembly: GCF_000001405.40. Classification (NCBI taxonomy): domain Eukaryota; kingdom Metazoa; phylum Chordata; class Mammalia; order Primates; family Hominidae; genus Homo; species Homo sapiens. The sequence continues at coordinate 10,760,755 of NC_000012.12, read as the reverse complement.
GGTACTGGCATAAAAGCGACATATAAACCACTGGAACAGAATAGAAAGTCTAGTAAACCCATGCATTTATAATCAATTGATCTTCAACAGAGGTGCCAAGAACACACAATGGGGAAAGAACAATCTCTTCAATAAATGATGTTGGAAAATTGAATATCCACATGCACAAGAATGCATTTGGACCACATCATATATAAAATATTACACCATATGCAAAAATGAAATCAATTAAAGACAGACACTATAATGAAGAGCTAAAAGTTTTGGGATTCTGCTGGAAATAAAGACATACAGAAGGGATACTGGAAGCTTTTGGATGATGGCTGAGTCTACCTGGACCTATATTTTTACAAATAAGAGTGCCCTGCTTATAAAAAAAATACTGTAGAACTCATGTTCCATTTAGTATTATGATACTAGGAATATGAGCTTCAAAAGGAAATAGAAATTCAGATTTCTCATAAACTAAGGGGAAGAATTCCTTAAGTAAACTGTATACAATGTTTATACAATTTTAAAGAAAACAGAGAGTTTCACATTTTATTCTCTGAGAGTGTAGATAAGGCATAAACTCACTATTAACTTCTTAAAGGTGATATTTCTTCCTGTGGAGTTTAAGTTTACAGTTCATGGACTATGGACATCTGTTAGAAATTGACTGATAGCTTAAGTAGAAAACAATATTTTCTTTTTTTCATTTTTTCTACTTCTGTAACTGATAACAGTATCAAAGGAACATTGCTTTTGCTCATTAAATGGTATTGCTCAAGGCAAATTTTCAAAACTTAACTGTGGAGATATTTTTGTAATATTTTTATGTGTAATCATCCTTCTTATCACTTGGAAAATGAATATGTGTGAGACTATTGGTGGAAAGCAACGGAATATTTTTCAACTTTGGAGATTCAAGCACCTATAATTGCTTAAGTGAAAATGACTCAGTCTCAGCTACAATGAAAGGAAAGTGGAATCTAATGAGGTATCTGAATGGCCTGAATAAAATGAGCAGAAGATGACATTGGAGAGCAGACTAATGTGGAATTTAGTTTTTAAAAATTTTAATTGATAACACGAGATATTTTATTTGAAAAATTAATAGGAGATAATTTTTCCTCTGACAGTGTTTTTATTGTAAAATTTGGGTTCGTTTTGTAACTATAGGATAATGTATTTGCAATGAGGTACTTACAAAAAGAGAGGCATGCTTATCCTCCATACACTTTTGTCCTTCATTCCATGTTTCTTGTCTCTGCCCACCTCCCTTTCTGTTCCCTCCCAGGAGATAAGGATTTTCTAATCTGAATGTTCAGAACCAAGGATATTAGGATATTAACTAGATTATATTTTAGGGATAGGTTTGCTGTTTCAGAATCCTTGTGCAGCTCACACTATTGGTCATTTACCTACTGGAATATATTCTAGCTGGGCTTTCTCCTTTAAGGCAAACAGATTATTCTCTTCTCTCTTCATTATTTGGCTAGGTCAATAAATACTCAAGGGTCCCTTCTTGTGCTCAGCCTTCTCAAGGAAGAAACAGAGTCAAAGGGCTCATTTAGGTACTTGTAATCTGCTCTGTACCAAATAGTCCTGCTTTACCCAGTGCTTACCCAGATATTTCAAATGTTACAATGGAAGTTTTCCATTTACACATCAAAATTTCTGAAATGTAGCATATACTACGCTGATGATCACCTTTTCTAAGTACAATCAGGCTGAAAAAAGTCAGTATACAAGTGAAAACCTAAGGAAATAATAAACAATTGATTCTAAGGATTTTTTGAGATAGAGTCAGAAAGAAAAAAAAGAAGAAAAGAAATGAATGGTTCATATGAACAGATATGTAATAAGCAGTGATGGATTTGTTAATATTCTTGAGAGAGCAACTGGAGAATTAACTAACGGCATAGAAGACATTGACTAACGAAAGGTTACAGGAGCTGATATGTAGTTGTAAAAATAAAACAGATACCAAGTACTTGAACTTGGGCAATTATGGGATCATCAAGGGTAATTCTCTCAATCCACAATTTTTCCCCTGGTGTCCTAACTTTGGTTCTTAAGTTTATGTTAGATGCAACTCAACAGAAGTGTGCTTTTCTTTTTTCCACTATTGTTTTCATATAAGCTCCTACAACAGGAATTGTGTGGCAAAAATCTGAGCAGCAGGATCCTGAATGATTGTTGTAATGCCACTGAAATCTCACACTGTCATCTAAGAATACTTCTTTGGCAATCGTTCACTTCTCAATCCATTGTAATCTGGCTTCTCCTCATGCCCTGAATATTCTGCCTAGAAATAGAGATGACCTGAGATGCAGGGGATAGTTCGTGACTTCACTTGAACTGTACACCTAGTGGCAAGTGAGCCTACAAGTGTAGTTGCTTGTTAAGGGGTAAACAGTGACGATATCTCAGGTGAGCAAACATCATTGGAACAAGAATGAGGAGCATGTCATGACTATGTCATGACAGCTGTCCCTTTCTTTGACTGGAGCTGAGCTACCTTTAGTTTGCCCCCAGTTCTATCCTCAGAAGCAGGGTTCTACTCCTCCCCCATTTCTCTCCACAAAGACAGGGTTCGTGGAACACAGTGGGTATTTTCTATTGACTTATTTGAGCTGCATTCAGGTTAGAGATATTTTGCTTATCTATTTTGCTCACTAATCCACCACAAATACCTAAAATGGTGCTTAGGACATGGTAGGCAATCAGAATATATTGGATAATCTTGTATAATGTTAAATGTTAGAAACCCCAGAAGCTGTTTTTATTAGCTCAACTTTTGAGTTAAATATGGATTAATGACACAAGTAATGGAAGAATTCTTGTGTATAGCAATCGCTGATAAATACATAGAAAGTTTTTATTTTTGCCTTCCTAACATACTAATTACAATCCATGAACCTACTAATGCATGTTTACTGTTTTAGCCATCTCCCCACTTCCAGAATCTTCTAACAACAATAACAATAGAACATCTGTCATTTTCGCAATGGAATACATGTCTCCAAAGTCCTGAATTATCCTGCCTGTTAGATTCTTTGTTTTTCTCATTTGTAGAGTAAAAATGGAAATAAAAAAGTTCTAAGTTTTCAATTCTTCTAATAAGAGTTGTAAATATTCTGCTACCACATTTTTTTTAACAATTTAAAAAGTAAGTACCATATTTTCCAGGTATAGCTTAAAGGAGATAAAATTGCAGTCATCATGATTGAACTTGATTCTTTTGAGCAGTACATTGCCAAATGATTTATTGCTTTAATGTCTTTAATACAATTATAATGACTTTGTTTTAGTATAATCATTTTTTTAACATTTGACTCCTCTTCTGATGTAAGTTCCATGAGAGGCAGGAGTATCTGTCTTTTTCAACACTGTTTTCCTGATACATTTTGTTGTCTAGAACCTCTGAGGCACCAGGTTGAGCTACCACTGCAAATGGATTGACAATACTTTTATATATGTGTACATGTACGTGTTTGTGTATATTTGCACTTTTAGAGTTCTTTTCTTTTTTTCTGGGCTTATACGTAAATTCAAAAGGACTGAAAATTTACATTTATGTAAAATGTCTTACATACAATATTATAATACAGTAAAAGATGCTGGGCAAAATTGTAGCAATAATAACTACTACAATTATTGAGTGCATGTTATATGATTTTTTTTAAGTAATTTTATTTTTTGAGACAGTCTTGCTCTATCATCCAGGATGCAATGCAGTGGCGCAATCTTGGCACTACAACCTCCACCTCCCAGATTGAAGCGATTCTCCTGCCTCAGCCTCTCAAGTAGCTGGGATTACTAGACTACTAGTCTAGTAATCAGTCTGGGTTCAAATTTTATTCCAATTACCAACTAACTTGTGTTACCACTGCAAATTACTTAATTTCCCCATCTCTAAGTTTCTCATCTACAAAATGTTGTTAATCATAGTACTGCTCTCAAAATATAGTAAATATTACATTGAAAGAGCTTAGAACTGTTTCAATCATGATATGGTTTGGCTGTGTCTCCACCTAAATCTCATCTTGAATTCCCACATGTTGAGGGAGGGACCGGGTAGAAGGTAATTGAATCATGGGGGCAGGTCTTTCCCATGCTGTTCTCATGACAATAAGTCTCATGAGATCTGATGGTTTAAAAAGGGGAGTTTCCCTAAACAAGCTCTTTTTGCCTGCCACCATCCACGTAAGATGTGACTTGCTCCTCCTTGCCTTCTGCACGATTGTGAGATCTCCCCAGGCACGTGGAACTGTAAGTCTACTAGACCCTTTTCCTATATAAATTACCCAGTCTTGGGTATGTCTTTATCAGGGGCATGAAAACTAACTAATACAGTAAATTGGTACCAGGAGTGGGGTGCTGCTGAAAAGATACCCAAATATGTGGAAGTGGCTTTGGAAGTGGGTAGCAGCCAGCTGTTGGAACAGTTTGGAGGGCTCAGAAAAAGACAGGACGATGCAGGAAAGTTTGATACTCCCTAGAGAGTTGTTGAAGGGCTTTGACCAAAATGCTGATAATGATATGGACAATTAAATCCAGGCTGAGATGGTCTCAGATGGAGATGGGAAACTTCTCAGGAACTGGAGCAAAAAAAAAAAACTGAACTCTCATTACGTTTTAGCAAAGAGAATGGCAGCATTTTGCTCCTGCCCTAGAGATTTGTGTAACTTTGAACTTGAGAGGGATGATTTAGGGTATGTGGCAGAAGAAGTTTCTAAGCAGCAAAGCATTCAAGAGGTGACTTGGGTGCTGTTAATGGCATTCAGTTTAAAAAGGAAACAGAGCATAGGAGTTTGGAAAATGTGCTGCCTGACAATGTGATAAAAAAGAAAAACCCATTTGCTGAGGAGAAATTCGAGCCAGCTACATAAATTTGCAAAGTAATGAAGAGCCAAATGTTAATTGCCAAGACAACAGGGAAAATGTCTCCAGGGCATGTCAGAAACCTTTGCAGCAGCCCTTCTGATCACAGGCCAGGAGGTTCAGGAAGAAAAACTGGTTTCGTGGGCCGGGCCCAGGGTCCCTCTGCTGTGTGCAGTCTAGGGACTTGGTGCCCTGCATCCCAGCTACTCCAGCCATGACTAAAAGGGGCCATGGTACAGCTCGGGCTATTGCTTCAGAGGGTGGAAGTCCCAAGCCTTGGCAGCTTCCATGTGGTATTGAGCCTGCAGGTCCACAGAAATCTATAATTAAGGTTTGGGAACCTCCACCTAGATTTCAGAGGATGTATGGAAACTCCTGGATGTCCAGGCAGAAGTTAGCTGCAGGGTCTGGGCCCTCATGGAGAACTTCTGCTAGGGCAGTGTGGAAGGGAAATGTGAGATTGGAGCCCCCACACAGAGTCCCTACTGGGACACCACCTAGTGGAGCTGTGAGAATAGGGCCACCATCCTCCAGACCCCAGAATGGTAGATCTACCGACAGCTTGCTCCATGTGCCTGGAAAAGTCACAGACACTCAACACCAGCCCATGAAAGCAGCCAGGAATGGGACTATACCCTGCAAAGCCACAGGGGCGGAGCTGCCCAAGGCCATGGGAGCCCACTTTTTGCATCAGCATGACCTGGATGTGAGACATGGAGTCAAAGGAGATCATTTTGGAGCTATAAGATTTGACTGCCCCTCTGGATTTCAGACTTGCATGGGACCTGTAGCCCCTTTGGCCAATTTCTCCCATTTGGAATGGCTATATTTACCCACTGCCTGTACCTCCATTGTATCTAGAAAGTAACTAACTAGCTTTTGATTTTACAGGCTCATAAGCGAAAGCGACTTGCCTTGTCTCAGATGTGACTTTGAACTGTGGACTTTTGAGTCAATGCTGAAATTAGTTATGACTTCAGGGGACTTTTGGGAAAACATGATTGGTTATGAATTGTTAGAACATGAGATTTGAGAGGGGCTAGGGGCATAATGATATGTTTTGACTGTGTCCCTACCCAAATCTTATCTTGAATTTCCACAGGTTGTGGGAGAGACCTGGTGGAAGGTAATTGAATCATGGGGCAGGTCTTTCACCTGCTGTTCTAATGATAGTGAATAAGTCTCATGAGATCTGAGGGTTTTAAAAAGGGCAGATTCCCCGCACAAACTCTTTTTGCCTGCCACCATCCATGTAAGGTGTGACACAGTACTCCATGCCTTCTACCATGATTGTGAGCCATGTGGAACTGTAAGCGCATGAAACCCTTTTTCCTGTATAAATGACCCAGTTTTGGGTATGTCTTTATCAGTAGTGAGAAAAAGGACTAATACAAATCATATGCTATGTGGCCAGGCATGGTGCTCACGCCTGTAATCTAGCAGTTTGAGAGGCCTAGGTGGGTGGATCACTTGATTCCAGGAGTTCAAACCAACCACCACACCTGGCTAGTTTTTGTATTTTTAGTAGAGACGGAGTTTCACCATGTTAGCCAGGCTGGTCTCAAACTCCTGACCTCAAGTGATCTGCCCACCTAGGCCTCCCAAAGTGCTGGATTATAGGTATGAGCCTTAATGCCCGGCCACCATATTATGTAATTGAAATGGTTCTAAGCTCTTTCAAGTTAATCTTTACTATAATATTTTAAGAATTAATAACACTTTGTAGATGAGAAACTAGGAGAGGAGGAAATTAAATAATTTGCAGTGCTAACACAAGTTAGTTGGTAATTGGAATGAAATTTGAACCCAGACTGTCTGGCTGCACATCTTGTGCTTTTAACAGCCATGCTACCCTGAGCATTGAGACATTCTGTTACATTCTAATAGTGTGAATCTCATCTACTCTTTGGATCTGTTGTTCTCTACTTGCAATTACACCAATTGTCCCAGGCTTGTGGGGAGAATTTCGTGATATGATTTATGAACGTTTTGGAGAAATGCAAAGTGATTTCAGTTAATATACAATAGCCTATGATCATTATTCATTTTTTTTCAAGTCACTGTTTCTCTGATCTATGTATTGATCGGAGGTTGATGAATACAAATATTCTTTTATTATTTCTTCTATTATTGGTTGTTGTACTAGCAGTTCAGCCAGTAAAAGATAGCTAAGAATAAGGAAAACAATTAATAAGTAGGTTTAATAAAAATTACATCAATGAAGCAGGATGGACAAATGCAACAAACTTCACCTCACAACTAATCTTTGAGAAAGAATTTTAAAATAAAGAACAAAGTCTTAACCATGCTGGAACAAAAGAAGGAAATGTCACTAGAAAACCAAATATATTCATATGTATCTAAAAGATAGAAATCTGACAGGATCAAATTGAGGAAGAAAATCTGGGCCCAAAAATAGAAATCAGATAAGATGGCTGATATGGGTGAGATGAATTCTGCAGATTCTGCTAACTTGCAATTAATGAAAATAAAGAGGAGTCTGGAGCCAAGAGTAATCATCCTTCGGATGACTGCTTAGAGATGGAATGTAAAACAGTTAGGCAGGTTGGCCCCATTTCCACACCCCCACGCAAACACAAACATTTACACACACACACACACACACAGAGAGAGAGAGAGAGAGACTCATGCAGTGAACAGTGTAGCATTTGCTTCCAGACTGGAGACATTAGTATGAATAACTGGGTCACAGAAGTAGCACAGTGTTCCAGGTGGTTGGCAACACCCAAAAGGAATGGAAAAATCTTTGTTCCTGCACTGGAAGGTCTTGCATTCGTAGATTCCAGCTGCCTCCACTAGAACACCGTAGGCAGGGGAAGAGGAATTAAACTTGATGCTTTTGAGCAGTGCATTGCTAAATGATTTATTGCTTTAATGGCCTTAGTACAATGATTATGACTTTGTTTTAGTATAATCTTTTTTTTCTAACATTTGATTCCTCTTCTGATATAAGCTCCATGAGAGATGGAAGTATCTATCTTTCAACACTATTTTCCCAACACGTTTTGTATTGTCTGGAACCTCTGAACCATCAGGTTGAGCCACCACTGCAAATGGTTTGACAATACTTTTACATATATGTGCATGTGTGTGTTTGTATATATTTCTACAGAACAAATCTCACCCATAGCCATCTTATCTGATTTCTATCTTTGGACCCAGATTTTCTTCGTCAGTTCAATCCTGTCAGATTTCTATCCTTTAGATTCCAACTGTCTTCATTCGATCATTGTAAGCAGGGGAAGAGAAATTCTCAAATGCAAATATAAAACTGCAATCAAGAGTGACAACCCACACAGTGCAGGACAATATCATTAAAGAGAGGCACCAAATAGACAAATAATAAGAAAAAAAGAATGAATAATTATATAAAGAGCACAGGTACTGAAAAGAAATTGACAAAAGAGTCAATGACTATTGATAATATAGTTGCCTTCATTGAAAATTCAAGAGAAACCAAATGACAGACCATTTAAATCAATAAACAAGTTCACCAGGTAAAAGATTACTAAAGGATTTAAAATGATTTCTGCCACGTAGTAAGTACTATGTAAGTATTAGCTAGTTATACAACAGTGACAAATAAAAAATGGAAGTTAAAAAAAAACCTGTTTACAAAACAGCAGCAAAAGATATTCAAAGGAAAAAACATAAACATTACTGAAGGGCATAAGGACATAAATAAGTGAAATGATAAGTTATTTTCAAGAATGAGAAGCAAGAGTATTGTAAAGATATTAATTCCCCTGGAATCCTCCAAATTTAGTGAAATTCTAATCTAAAATCGTAACAGAATTGTTCCATGAAATTTACAAACTGATCCTAAAATTAATCTAAAAGTTTCAATGAGTGATCACTGTGTACTTCAAGGACAACGATCTCAACTCAAAGAATTTAAGATTCTAGCTGTAACATGAAAAAATACGGTTAAATGCGTGGCTGATCTGGTAAAAATAAAAGGAAATGTTCATAGATTTAACAAAAATAAATAGAAAGCAAAAATCCAGGAGGGAAGTAAAGCCTGAAATTTGGTCCTGTCCTAAGGGTATATGTAAATCAAGGATAATCTGAGCCTTCATTGATATAGCACATGAGGACAAAGGACAGCCACAAAGTCCACATTCAAGTTGGACTAATGAACAAACATTCGTCAAATTGGAGACTAATTCATAGAAACTCCTCCAGCACACATGCACCTCGGATACAATAAAACTACACCCTGGTTGTGATGGAGAGCTACAAGCAAACAAACAAGCCAACAAAAAGGGAACAACAAATGTATTAAAGGTTTCAACCTCGGAAATGAGGGGAGAGAGGGAAAATCATTGCCATTAAGAATTCATAACCATAAGCCAGCCTTCAAACATGTTTGCAACATTTAGTCCCCAAAACTTCAACCTGAAAATTTATTTTAAAGTGATACCTTCAGTTTGCATGTAAGATGCAAAGGAAAACCTTTCCTGTAGAGGAAAGCAACTTCCACACAGATCCCAAGGAATACTTATAGATAAAATCCTCCCAGCAGAAGGTTATAGGGGAATTAAACACACACGTACTTAGGATGCACACACATGCACAGTGAGGAAACAGGTTGCCACAAGTAAACACCTGTAGAAACAAAACACAATAATCTGCCACTACCTAAAATAGGCCATAGATTTTTTTTTCTGCTTGTTTGGGAAGATAGAAATATGATAGAAAGGGGAAGAGAAAACAGGGATGCCCACGATGGATCCAGAAATAAGTATTAATCATGTATGTGTTGGGAATTGGAGTGCTCTTAGTAATCCAATTAAGACATTAAAATAATTCATATATGTCAATGATATGAGCCTCAGAAAGAACAGCAAGAGTTACTATGGCCTGAAAGGCTCAGAAGCAAGCAGGACTTAAATTGGGCTTAGAGGAAGTAAGATTTGCACAGTTTCTGAGAAATGAAGGGATATTTCAGGAAGTAGGAGAAATACACAAAGGTGGACATTCTCAAGGAGTCTCCGCAAATAGGGACAGGCCTTTGGACAATCACGCAATACTTCCACAAAAAAGAATGGCAGAAAATACTTCTAAAGGAAGATGATTGACAACCTCCAGAAAATAGACTAGAAAGGGGCAGGATCACATGTAAACACAGTGCCATAAGGCCAGTTGGTCAATTGATTAATTATGTACTACTTATAAAATAAGTAAATACTGAGAAATAATTAGCTAATTGTAAAAACAAACATCTATTATCCAATTGGGCAAGTGGGAACTATGTTTGATTGGAAGTCAGGAGACCTTAAATTCTCTTCCTAAATTTACCACTGACCAGTTTTGAAATTAAAGCTACCTGGGAATCAGTTTTTATATTGAAAATTGGGGAGGAGGAAGGTCTACGGAGAAGGGCAGATTAATTAATGATCTCACTTATGAACGCAGCTCTACAACTTTACAAAACCAAAAGAATGAAGAACGGTGCTCATTCCTCCGGTGCTCAAAAGAGGGCGCCCACAAGAGCAGCAGAGATTTACTGGAACCGATTTACTGAAAATCCCCGTTTTCATTTCCCGGTCTGAGTTTCATTACCCAAGAAATCCACAGGGTGGCGATAACACTGAACGGAATGTGAATTCAGAGTGGAAATTCTCAGAAACCGTATTCTTCAACGGCCAGTGTTTACAGATTTCCCTTTCCCTGATTTTATGATGTCACCAATGACACAGAAGCTGGCGAAACGCGTGAAGGCCGTACACAAGGCAATGACGGTGATGGCAATGATTCCCACGGGAGAACCAACTGTGATCCAGACCTTTGGCAATCCTCACAGTAATGCAAAGGAGACTTTACCATTCTCTTCCTCATTTTACAGAAAAAGAACTAGAAAGGGAGAAATCAAGTAAATTATCCAAGGTAACTGAGGTAGTGAGTGACCTCGGCGGAATTCAAACCTTAGTCTAGGGTCAGTGTCATGGTTCTTTCATCACAGCCCGCTGACAGCTCTGAAGAAAGCCTGTTTGACTAACACAAAGTGGCCTTTCTTCCTAACCATCTTCCTCACTGATATAGAAAGGAGAAATTTTGCCATTTTTTTCATAACTGAAAAGAAGCCTTAAAAGATTCTATTCATCTTTAGCACAGGATAATATTAGTAACTCTTTAAGCCACTATTAAATAATGATTGTATAGCTACAGCAGTTTCAATTTTAGTGTTTATATCAGGGTCACTGACTTTTCTTCCCTAATGCTTAAATGGGGCAGGAACATTTCTTCATTGAATGTCACGTTAAGGTGTGTTGAATTAGAAATAACAGAATTCTCTTCAAATTGAGTTAAAGGGAGGAAAAAGATGGCTTTTCAGTGTAATTACGGGTCATTTCAAAGAAAACAAGAAGTTTCTTTAAGTGATACAGGAGATTAGAATCAACAACTGGAAAACTATAAGAATTACACAGTTGTTCAAACTTTTTTCTTTCCACATTCTCTAGTCCATGGTTTTCTTGATATCTTTGGACTATTGCCTCTTTCTATTGGCTGACTTTCTCCTCTCTAGACCCGACAGCTCCTGAATTCCCACATCCTCAGCTTAAGTGACTATCAGAGACTGACTTATATCTGTGAATTTTGGCTCCTAACCTCTGAGAAAGAGAATTCAATATGGCCTGGCAACAGCTGTCAAGCAGCTAAACATAAACAAGGGTGATGATTATCAAAGCAGTATGTACTGAAAAACACAGACACCCCAGGAGACATATGTTATGACTGGCTAAATGTCTTTTTGAGAAGTTAAAAAGAAATAATTCATTTCCTGGATGATCAGGATGAAATTCTAAACCATTTGGCATGTCCACATTTCCCCCTGTATCTATGGTAATAACACTCATAAAACCATAATTTGGGATACAGATTTTAACAGTTTTTCCAAATATTTAAAGATAGGCCAAAATTATAATATTCTGAATTCATATTTCCATCTATACCTCAGTCTGACTATTTTTAGAATAAATTTTTTTTTAAATGTACCTTGCTGGGTGGAGCCTATAATCCCAACACTTTGGGAGGCTGAGGCAGGTGGATCACTGTGAATCCAGGAGACCAGTTGGAGACCAGCCTGGGCAACATAGCGAGACCCTGTCTCTACAAAAAAATTAAAAACTAGCCAGGTGCAATGGCACAAGCTTGTAGACATAACTACATGGGAGGCTGAGGTGAAATGATTTGTTTGAGCCCAAGAGTTCACGGCTGCAGTGAGCTATGATCATTACGCTGCGTTCCAGCCTAGGAGACACAGTGCGACCCAAGATGGAGTCACTGATATATGTTACCATTTGCGACGAGTACTTTTTTCCTGGAAAACAGTCCTCACATAATAAAGCAGGGCCAGGCAAGGTGGCTCATGCCTGTAATTCCAGCATTTTTGGAGGCTGAGGTGGAAAGACTGCTTGAGCCCAGGAGGCTGAGGCTGCAGTGAGCCATGATTGTGCCACTGCACTACAGCCTGGGTGACAGAGCAAGACTTTATCCAAAGATAGCTGAATAGGAACAGCTCCAGTCCGCAGCTCCTAGCATGATCGACACAGAAGACAGGTGATTTCTGCATTTCCAACTGAGGTACCTGGTTCATCTCACTGGGACTGGTTGGACAGTGGGTGCAGCCCATGGAGGGTGAGCCGAAGCAGGGCGGGGCATTGCCTCACGTGGGAAGTGCAAGGAGTCAGGGAATTCCCTTTCCTAGCCAAGGGAAGCCGTGACAGACTGTACCTGGAAAATCGGGACATTGCCACCCGAATACTGTGCTTTTCCAACAGTCCTAGCAAATGGCATACCAGGAGATTATATCCCGTGCCTGGCTCAGTGGGTCCCACGGCCACGGAGCCTTGCTCACTGCTAGCACAGCTGTCCAAGATTGAATGGCAAGGCGGCAGCCTGGCTGGTAGAGGGGTGTCCGCCATTGCTGAGGCTTGAGTAGGTAAACAAAGCAGCTGGGAAGCTCGAACTAGGCGGAGCCCACCTCAGCTCAACGAGGCTTGCCTGCCTCTGTAGACTCCACCTCCAGGGGCAGTGCATAGATGAACAAAAGGCAGCAGAAACTTTGCAGACTTAAACGTCCCTGTCTGACAGCTCTGAAGAGACCAGTGGTTCTCCCTACACAGTGTTTGAGCTCTGAGAATGGACAGACTGCCTCCTTAAGTGGGTCCCTGACCCTGTGTAGCCTAACTGGGAGACACCTCCCAGTAGGGGCCGACTGACACCTCATACAGTTGAGTGCCCTTCTGAGACGAAGCTTCCAGAGGAAGGATCAGGCAGCAATATTTGCTATTCTGCAATGTTTGCTGTTCTACAGCCTCCACTGTTGATACCCAGGTGTGGACCTCCAGCAAACTCCAACAGATCTGCAGCTGAGGGACCTGATTGTTAGAAGGAAAACTAACAAAAAGAAAGGAGTAGCATCAACATCAACAAAAACCACATCCACACCAAAACTCCATCTGTAGGTCACCATCATCAAAGACCAAAGGTAGATAAAACCACAAAGATGGGGAGAAACCAGAGCAGAAAAGCTGAAAATTCTAAAAACTAGAGCACCTCTTCTCCTCCAAAGGATCACAGCTCCTTGCCAGCAACAGAACAAAGCTAAATGCTCCAATTAAAAGACACAGACTGGCAAATTGGATAGAGTCAAGACCCATCGGTGTGCTGTATTCAGGAGACCCATCTCACAAGCAGAGACACACATAGGCTCAAAATCAAGGAACGGAGGAAGATCTACCAAGCAAATGGAAAACAAAAAAAGGCAGGGGTTGCAATCCTAGTCTCTGATAAAACAGACTTTAAACCAACATAGATCAAAAGAGACAAAGTAAGCCGTTACATAATGGTAAAGGGATCAATTCAACAAGAAGAGCTAACTATCTTAAATATATATGCACCCAATGCAGGAGTACCCAGATTCATAAAGCAACTCCTTAGAGACCTACAAAGAGACTTAGACTCCCACACAATAATAATGGGAGACTTTAACATCCCACTGTCAATATTAGACACATCAACGAGACAGAAGGTTACCAAGGATATCCAGGACTTGAACCCAGCTCTGCACGAAGCAGACCTAATAGACATCTACAGAACTCTCCACCACACATCAATAGAATATACATTCTTCACAGCACCACATCACACTTAATCCAAAATTGACCACATAGTTGGAAGTAAAGCAGTCCTCAGCACATGTAAAAGAAGAGAAATCACAAGAAACTGTCTCTCAGACCACAGTGCAGTCACACTAGAACTCAGGATTAAGAAACTCACTCAAAACCGCACAACTACATGGAAACTGAACAACCTGCTCCTGAATGACTACTGGGTAAATAACGAAATGAAGGCAGAAATAAAGATGTTCTTTGAAACCAATGAGAACAAAGACACAATGTACAAGAATCTCTGGGACACATTTAAAGCAGTGTGTAGAGGGAAATTTATAGCACTAAATGCCCACAAGAGAAAGCAGGAAAGATCTAAAATCGACACCCTAACATCACAATTAAAAGAACTAGAGAAGCAAGAACAAAGAAATTCAAAAGCTAGCAGAAGGCAAGAAATGACTAAGATCAGAGCAGAACTGAAGGAAATAGAGACACAACAAAACCCTTCAAAAAAATCAATGAATCCAGGAGCTGGTTTTTTGAAAAGATTAACAAAACTGATAGGCCGGTAACAAGACTAATAAAGAAGAAGAAAGAGAAGAATCAAATAGATGCAATAAAAAATGATAAAGGGGATATTACCACTGATCCCACAGAAATACAAACTACCATCAGAGAATACTATAAACATCTCTACGCAAAGAAACTAGAAAATCTAGAAGAAATGGATAAATTCCTGGACACACACACCTTCCCAAGACTAAACCAGGAAGAAGTTGAATCCCTGAATAGACCAATAACAGGCTCTGAAATTGAGGCAATAATTAATAGCCTACCAACCAAAAAAAGTCCAGAACCAGACAGATTCACAGCCAAATTCTACTAGAGGTACAAAGAGGAGCTGGTACCATTCCTTCTGAAACTATTCCAATCAATAGAAAAAGAAGGAATCCTCCCTAACTCATTTTATGAGGCCGGCATCATCCTGATACCAAAGCCTGACAGAGACGCAACAAAAAAAGAGAATTTTAGGCCAATATCCCTGATGAACATCGATGAGAAAATCCTCAATAAAATACCGGCAAACCGAATCCAGCAGCACATCAAAAAGGTTATCCACCAAGATCAAGTTGGCTTTGTCCCTGGGATGCAAAGCTGGTTCAACATATGCAAATCAATAAACATAATCTATCACATAAACAGAACCAAAGATAAAAAGCACATGATTATCTCAATAGATGCAGAAAAGGTCTTTGACAAAATTCAACAGCGCTTCATGATAAAAACTCTCAATAAGTTAGATATTGATGGAACGTATCTCCAAATAATAAGAGCTATTGATGACAAATCCACTGCCAATATCATATTGAATGTGCAAAAACTGGAAGCATTCCCTTTGAAAACTGGCACAAGACAGGCATGCCCTCTCTCACCACTCCTATTAAAATAGTGTTGGAAGTTCTGGCCAGGGCAATCAGGCAAGAGAAAGAAATAAAGAGTATTCAATTAGGAAAAGAGGAAGTCAAATTGTCCCTGTTTACAGATGGCATGATTATATACTTAGAAAACCCCACTGTCTCAGCCCAAAATCTCCTTAAGCTGATAAGCAACTTCGGCAAAGTCTCAGGATACAAAATCAATGTGCAAAAATCACAAGCATTACTATACACCAGTAACAGACAAACAGAGAGCCAAATCACGAGTAAACTCCCATTCACAATTGCTACAAAGAGAATAAAATACCTAGGAATCCAACTTACAAGGGATGTGAAGGACCTCTTCAAGGAGAACTACAAACCAATGCTCAACAAAATAAAAGAGGACACAAACAAATGGAAGAACATTCCAGATTCATGGATAGGAAGAATCAATATTGTGAAAATGCACATACTGCCCAAGGTAATTTATAGATTCAATGCCATCTCCATCAAGCTACCAATGACTGGAAAAAACTACTTTAAAGTTCATATGGAAATAAAAAACAAGCCTGCATTGCCAAGACAATCCTAAGCAAAAAGAACAAAGCTGGAGGCATCACACTACCTGACTTCAAACTATACTACAAGGCTATAGTAACCAACACAGCATGATAGTGGTACCAAAACAGAGAGATAGACCAATGGAACAGTACAGGGGCCTCAGGAATAACAACACACATCTACAACCGTCAGATCTTTGACAAACCTGACAAAAACAAGAAATGGGGAAAGGATTCCCTATTTAATAAATGGTGCTGGGAAAACTGGCTAGCCATATGTAGAAAGCTGAAACTGGATCACTTCCTTACACCTTATACAAAAATTGATTCAAGATGGATTAAAGACTTAAATGTTAGACCTAAACCATAAAAACCCTAGAAGAAAACCTAGGCAATACCATTCAGGACATAGGCATGGGCGAGAACTTCATGACTAAAATACCAAAAGCAATGGCAACAAAAGCCAAAATTGACAAATGGGATCTAATCAAACTAAAGAGCTTCTGCACAGCAAAAGAAACTACCATCAGAGTGAACAGGCAACCTACAGAATGGGAGAAAATTTTTGCAACGTACCCATCTGACAAAGGGCTAATATCCAGAATCTACAAAGAACTCAAACAAATTTACAAGAAAAAAACAACCCCATCAAAAAGTGGGCAAAGAACAGACACTTCTCAAAAGAAGACATCTATGCAGCCAACAGACACATGAAAAAATGCTCATCATCACTAGCCATCAGAGAAATGCAAATCAAAACTACAATGAGATACCATCTCACACCACTTAGAATGGTGATCATTAAAAAGTCAGGAAACAACAGATGCTGGAGAGGATGTGGAGAAATAGGAATGCTTTTACACTGTTGGTGGGAGTGTAAGTTGGTTCAACCATTGTGGAAGACAGTGTGGCAATTCCTCAAGGATCTAGAACTAGAATTACCATTTGACCCAGCGATCCCATTACTGGGTATATACCAAAAGGATTATAAATAATGCTTCTATAAAGACACATACACACGAATGTTTATTGCGGCACTATTCATAACAGCAAAGACTTGGAACCAAACCAAATGTCCATCAATGATAGACTGGATTAAGAAAATGTGGCACATATACACCATGGAATACTATGCAGCCACAAAAAAGGATGAGTTCATATCCTTTGTAGGGACATGGATGAAGCTGGGAACCATCATTCTCAGCAAACTATCGCAAGGACAGAAAAGCAAACACTGCATGTTCTCACTCATAGATGGGAATTGAACAACGAGAACACTTGGACACAGGTTGCAGGACATCACACAGAGGGGCCTGTCGTGGGTGGGGGGATGGGGGAGGGATAGCATTAGGAGAAATACCTAATGTAAATGATGAGTTAATGGGTGCAGCAAACCAACATGGCACATGTTTACATATGTAACAAACCTGCATGTTGTGCCCATGTACCCTAGAACTTAAAGTATAATAGTAAAAAGAGACTTTAGCCTAGGGAAAATTAATAATAATAATAAAGCAGATGTAGCAAGGATATTTAATATCTTGATTAGAAGCAAGTCAGTGAATTTTTAAAATGACATTCTGAAGTTGTTTACAACCAACATTTATTATTATACTTAGCAAAAAAGAAAGGCAAAAGTTACCAATGCATTATAAGTGTAAGCTATTATCAAAAGCTAAATTACATGCTGCTTATGCCCTACATCAGTGCTTCCCAAACTACAGTACCCTCTAGAATTGCCTACAGGGCTTGTTAAAACATAGACTTCTGCCTGCCAGACACCTTCTTCCCCTTCAAATTTCCGATTCACTAGGTCTGGGGTATATGGTCCAAGAATTTGCATCTCTCGCAAATTCCCTGATGATGCAATGCTGCTGATCTGGGATTGCACTTTAAGAACTCTTGCTCTAAGCTCAGGACAGAGAAACCATTTCTAACTGACATTTTTCTAGGTTTATAAAGAGTTATACCAAACACAACCAAATGTAACAAAAACCAAAATCAAACAAATATATACAGCAAAATTTTTAACTGGCCTCCTTCTCAAGGTCCATTTACGATTTGGTACAATGGTGGTCTGGAGAGTTAAGAAATACATAGGTGCATTCACAAATGCCATCTACATACTCTCAAAGGTAAGTGAAAGCTCAAAAGCTGGAGTCAAGGCTAGTACTAGACAAAATGAAAAGGGAAAAAATATGTGCTCAAATTGTCACATGTTTGTGAAGGAGCATGGTATAAGGGAATTATTACAGCTTTGTTGCCAGGCCATCCAGTCTTTAAGATCTAGGTCTGCCATTTACTAAATATGGAATCTGAGGATTTACCTAACTCTCTGAGGACATTTGTTTGACTGTATCCTGGTTTTCTTAATACCTATTAAAAGTGATGTTGAGAACACTATCAGATAACATATACTAAAATGCCCAGTGCATAGAATATGTTATAATGTCTAGAACTCAGAGAAGGCACCATACATTACTTTAGGGTCCTATTATGTGCAAGGAACTCAATTAGGTTACTTAATCCTTACAAAAGTTTTTTCAGTCATCATCATCATAACCATCATTATTCCTATTTTGCAAACAAAAGAAACAGAACTACAAGATCATCTAGGCAAAAATTCAAAGTCAAACCCACAGTAGTTTCAAGCCAAATGTTTCTACAAATGTTTCTACAAAGTTGAGTTATCTTATACCTCTTATAGTTCCCATTTCAAGTTCCCTGGCAGTTATGAAACAGAGGTTTCATTGCAGAATAACTTCCTCATTTTGTCAATATTCCATGCCTTGCCCTCTTTAGCTTTACTTTTTTCTAAGTAATGATCACTACTTTTATTTATTATTCCATCAGGACCTTGTTGGCAGACCTAATTCAGCAAATGTAAGATGCAGGAAAGTTTATTTTGGGTAACTTATCTCCATTTTTTCTTTCATCATTCCAATAATTCTTTAGTGTTTCTGCTCTTAGATTTGTTCCCAGAGGGAGGGTGGGATCTGACCTTGAACTTCCACAAAATAGATTCTCATCTTCTCTCACTATTTATTCAACACAACAGAGGCTGTTTTATTAAACAGAGGCTGTTTTATTAAACTAGTTTATATTATACTGTCAGTGATATAAAATGGCATAAATGCCTTTTTGAGGACATTTTCATCCTTACCTACACTGCCTTTATGCCAATGATCCTTGCCATCTCTCCCAAAATATTATGTTTGTCAAAGTATCACTCAAATGTCATTTCCTCCACACTTCTTTGCCTTATCCCCAGATTTTTCTTTGCCTCCAAATACCTACAATACTGCAAGTCACTTTTTTGTGTTCTTTGCATGCTTAACTTCCTATATTAGATGCTGCTTGTCTTCTGTTTTCCTCCACTAGATTGTGTTTTTTCTTGTGTGTGAACATTTACTCCCTTATCATTCTTTTGGTGCTCACTTTTAGTTGGGCCCTCTTCAGGTGCTGCAGAGATTGGTGAGAAACCAGAAGTTCACAATCAGTAATGTCAAAAGAAGCTTTGAGAAGCTGGGAGAGGCTGTGGAAAAAAGGTACAGTGTGAACACAGTCTTGAAAAAAGAAAGCTCTCAGGTGTGCAAACAAGAAAGGGTATTCCAGACACATGAAACAGTCTGTAAAAACATATGAAGCCGTGACAGCACATGAGTAAAAAGAGGATTTGTAGAGGGGGCGATACATTTACCTATAGATGGAAGATCCACACAGGAACGCCCCCACTAATCCTATGTGGACATGTTTGGTATCACTAACCCGTCAACGTTCTCCTTCATGCTGAGCTCAGATATGACCCCAGAGCTCTTCTTAATGAAACAGTCCAGGCAACCACTGCTAACCCATTGAAGTTTTCACAAGCTATGAAATCTCTTTACAAAAACACACTAACTAAAATGTATGTGTTTCTATTTGTTAGAATTTCAGTCTACTTGGGGCATATATTTTATAGTAGGTGAAGTTTTAATGTGAATAACTCAAATTAGTTCTCATTGGTGACAGCCTTCTGTGTATATGTAAGTAAGAGAAGGGTAACAAGATGCTAGTGTTGCTGAAGAGAGGGCCAGAGCCTGGAAAAGAGAGGGCCAGAGCCTGGAAAAGAGAGGAAAAAATGATAAAAGGGGAAAAAGACCTGCCTTTCCAGCACTTTGGGAGGCCAAAGCAGGAGGATTGCTTGAGGCCAGGAGTCTGAGACTAGTCTGGGCAACAAAGCCAGACCTTGTCTCTACAAAAAAAAAATTATTCATAGCAGGGTGTGGTGATGCATTGCTATAGTCCCAGCAACTCAGGAAGCTGGGGTGGAAGGACTGCTTGAGCCCAGGAGGTCAAGGCTGCACTGAGTAGTAACCAGGCCACTGTACTCCAGCCTAGGTGACAAAGCAAGACTTTGTCTCAAAATAAGAAAAAAAAAAGTGGGGGGTGGGGAAAGAAAGGGCATGCTGAGTCAAGCTTGGGGAATTCCATTACCTCTTTGCTTCGTATCATTCAGAGGAGTGATAACAAACAAGCCAAGTTAACTAGAGTTGTAGGTAAGCACCTGAAATAACCTTCCTGGGCTCTGTAAGAACTTTACCTTTTGGTAGGTGTTTCAAAATTTTGCTACATTATTCATTTGATTCTGTTTGGTACATATTGCATTGCTCCTGGAATTACATCCCCAAATAAATAACAGTAACGTATATATCTTTACTGTCACAATGTTCACATGCAATATTTCTTAAAGCTCTTTACTGCCTCCAGCCAGTCTTGAGACCTCCCACTCACTCCACTCTTTACAATCTGAGACTACAGAGTTGTATGTGACAGAGATATCCGGTTGTCTTAGTCAGCTCAGGCTGCCATAACAAATATAAACTGGGTGACTTAAAGGACAAGAATTTATTTCTCACAGTTCTAGAACCTGGGAAATCCAAGATTGAGGTACCATCCCACTTGGTACCGCAGTGAGGGCTCTCTTCCTGGCTTGCAGATGGCTGCCTTCTTGCGGGTACCATCCCACTTGGTAGCCCAGTGAGTGCTCTCTTCCTGGCTTGCAGATGGCTGCCTTCTTGCTGGTACCATCCCACTTTTTACCCCAGGGAGGGCTCTCTTCCTGGCTTGCAGATGACTGCCTTCTCGCTGAGTCCTCACAAGGCAGGGAGAGGGAGGGTTCTGGTCTTTTCCTCTTCTTATAAAGATACTAATTCCATCATGGTGGCCCCATCCTCATAACTTCCTCTGAACCTAATTCCTTCCAAAAGGCCATATCTCCAAATACCATCACATTGATGGTTAGGGCTTCAACATATGAAATTTGGGGAGGAAGGGAAACAAACATTCAGCCCATAACACCTGACAGTATTAACTTAGCTTTATAAGGCATTCGTAAGTTATTGAAGTCCTTAGACATTGTTTACAAGTTACTCCCCAGAGAGCTGCTGAGAAATGAATCAGCATTATTATGGCCTTTTAAAGATAGGGAAAAGAAGGTCAAGTGTGGTGGCTCACGCCTGTAATCCCAGTACTTCAGGAGCTTGAAGCAGGAAGGTCCCTTGAGCCCAGAAGTTAAAGACTAGCCTGGGCAACGTGGCAAGACTCTATCTCTACAAAATATTTTAAAATTAGCCAGGTGTGATGGTGCACACTTGTGGTCCCAGCTACTTAGAAGGCTGAGGCAAGAGGATCCCTTGAGCCCAGGAAATTGAGGCTGCAATGAGCCTTGTTTGCACCACTGCACACCAGCCTGGGTGACAGTGAGAGACCCTATCTCAAAAAATAATAATAAGAGGGGAAAAAAGCCCTCAAATTTAGCAGGTTATATTCTGAAGGGCTCACAATCAATAGCAGAGTCTTTCTACAACTAATGTCTCTTTTGCGTTTTGGTCATGAGCATTGTGATTGACCAACAGAACCTAATAAAATAATGTTATTTTCTTAGTTATCTTAAAATTTTATTAAATCTCCACAATATGCTAGATGCTGCATGGATTACAAATCTGACATATATTAAGATGAATAAGTGACAAAATATGCCAAATGTATAATGGCCCATATTTATCATACATATTTAATGTGTTTTATATTTTGATTTGGGTGTTCAGACATAGTAAGATATTCACATTATGCTCTTTATCCTTATTTTGCTCTGTTCCCCAACCTGCCAGGTGACCATAGGAACCATAGCCAATGACAAAGATGCCATACTGTCTACTTTGAGGCCTTAGGCTTCTTGGTGCACCACTAAGAACCTCTCTAACTCCTCTTCAGTGCCCAGTTCTGTGGTTTTATCATAGCAATTGGTAGATTAATAAATTTTTAAAGTAAACTTTATTTATAATGACAGAAAATGCATTTGAATATATAGTATCTATATATATATACATGCACACAAACATTGTAAATGTATAGAAAAATCCTGAAAGGTTAAAAAAATGCTTTTAGAATATTTAACTTTTTTAGTAAATAATTTCAAATGTACAGAAAAGTTGGAAGCAGGAATACAAAAATAATGAAATACATGCCTTTTACTCAGATTCACTTATTAAAATTTTGCACCATTTGCTTTATTATCTCTCTTTTTCTGCCTGAACCATTTGAGGGTAAGTTATATAAATCATGGTCCTTTACCCCAAACTTTTCAGGATGTATTTCCTAACAATCATAATCATCTCTTACATAACTACAGTACAGGTGTCAACTTAAATAAATTCCACATTATATCATAGTGTTAAACATCATGCTTTAATCTACTATCTGAATTCCAGTTTTGTCAATTGACCCAAGAGTATCTTTTATAGATTTTTTTCATCTTCCAGCTCACAGGTCCAATTTACTACTGCATTTAGTTGTCATGCCTTTTTAGCCTCCTCTAATCTTGACTATATTTTCAGCATCTTTTGTCTTTTATAACATTGGCGTTTTTTAAGAATATAGACCCCCCCTTATGTTAATACAGCATTCCTCATTTGGGTTTTGTTCAATATTTCCTCATTATTAAAGTCAGGTTATGCATTCACAGCTGGAATCCTACGTAGGTGATATTGTATCCTCACAGGACACCTCATCTAGAGACACACAATGTCCATCTACCACTCATTGATGGTGTTAATTTTGATCACCTACCTAGTCAGGGTATTCTTCAGTTTCTCCAATATGTAATTATTATTTTTTCTCTTCCAACTAATAAGAAATCTGTGGGGAGATACTTTGAACCCATGGAGATATCCTGCTCCTCATCAAATTTTCTTCCTTGATTTAGTGTAAGTTGATGAGTCTTACCTTGATCCAGTCAGTGCCACGATGGTTGCTGAATGATGATTTACAACTCAGTTTGCCTTTCACATTCACCAGTCAGTACTTACTCAGCATTTTGTTCTCAAGCAAGAGTCCTCTCTTCTCTCCATTTATTTGTTTATTTTTTTAATCACCATGACTCTCTAGCCTCCTATATTTTCAATGGCCTATAAGTCATTACTGTTCCTAATTATGTTAAACAAACTTTTAATAGTGGTTATCTCTGGTGAGTGGGATTTGGAGAAAGGCTTTGAAAGGAAGATTTTCACTTTTTATAAACTCTTTACTTTTTTTTTTTTTTTTTTGAGACAGAGTCTCACTCTGTCACCCAGGCTGGAGTGCAGTGGCACAATCTCTTCTCACTGCAACCTCTGCCTCCTGGGTTCAAGCGATTCTTCTGCCTCAGCCTCCCGAGTGGCCGGGATTACAGGCGTGTGCCACCACGCCCAGCTAATTTTGTATTTTTAGTAGAGACGGGGTTTCACCATGTTGGCCAGGCTGGTCTCAAACTGCTGACCTCATGATCCACCCACCTCGGCCTCCCAAAGTGCTGGGATTACAGGCGTGAGCCACTGCGCCCAGCCAAACTCTTTACTTTTTAAGCTTTTCACAATAGCGCATATCCCTCCCTCTGTTTAAAAAATTGAATGAAAAAATTTAAAAATGGTAAAAGAAAGTATTTCCCCAGGGACACTGTAGAGGCAGAAGGAAGTAATAGGAAATCAGCCTTGAGACAGTGGACACTGTTAATACCTGTCTCTTTTTTAAGATATGCACATAAGAAAGGCAAATTTTTGGAGTTACACTGATGACTCATGACCTGTAAACTAATCTTCTTGTGATCAGCTGGCTGGGTGTACATATTAACTAGTTAGAATTAGCTCTGTAGTGTGGGGCTTAACACGTGGTAGATACTAAATTAACTGTCACCAAGACATCTACACTTATTACAGAACTTGATATGGTTTCAAGAAAATAATGAGGACATGAATCTTTACAAAATGAGATATCCATGAATTGTCAAATTATTTTATTTTCTTTAAATGAAATTAAATCAAATCCAACCTGTCACTCAACCAGGCTGACAAAAAGATATAATTTAATATTATATTTCAGTGTTGTTCTACCCCATTTTCATAATCAATTCACATATCTCTATAAAGAAAATTTACACCTATTTTGTTGTCCTCTTCACAGCATACAAAAAGAAACCATTTTTTTTAGCCTGAATGAGAGATGTTTCAAAGACAGGAACCATCAGAAAAATCAGTGGCTGGATGGAGGGGCGATAAGTTCCCCGAGTTCCTCAAGAGCTGAATATGTGAGCTGAGCACAGGGGACATTTCTTGCCTGTGCCTTTCAGAAACTGAGTCTTCTTGGAAATTTTTCTTTCTTCCAGAACAGTTCCAAATCCACTTATTGAGAGGGCTACTCAGAGTCTTTATTAGTCTCAGAGAACTTGGAGTCTCAGATAATGGAGTAGCCATGTGGGGCTTACACAGAGATATGAGGTTTTTTTAATTGGTGGGAAACAGTGAGTTACTCATTCAAACCAAATCTTCAGTCAAGCCTCTTCATCCTTGAAGCCATTCCATTTCTCCTTTCCCCCTGACCCTTGGGTCATAGTCCCCTGCTCACATCCATCCATGTTTGGGAAAAGAATGAGAGGGTGGTCCCACTCTCCTTGCTCTTCATCCATTACCAGGTGAAGGTTTAGACTGTACTTTCCTCTCTCAAATTTCCAGTTTATTATTGTCTAAAAATCTTTCCCAAGCACAACCAGTTCTCTGTAAGAGAGAAAGTACCTGGTAAGAGCTGGTTCACTTTTCCCAGTTCCTAAGCACAGTGTGTGAGTCAAGCAAAAGAGGTGTCAATTGCATGTGGCTTCTACTGAGACAAGAGTGGCCCCACTGGAACTCCCCCTCTTAAAGAACCCCAAAACACACTCAGCTTTTTCATCAAAGCACTAATTGTGTGGTTAGTTGTGAGCACATAAATTTTCCTCAAAAGCACAATAAAAGAAGGGTGATTGCACACCCCTAAACTCTAAACACCTATCTTATAAATGTGTCCCTTCTGATGATGAGGATAAGCACACATTTACTGGGTATTTTGGTTGTGACAAGTATTATTCTAAGCACTTTATGCACTTTGTCTCATTTAATTATCACAACAACCTTACTATTTTTTAAGAGCTGGGGTCTTGCTCTGTCACTGACACTGGAGTCTAGTGGTGCCATCAAAGCTCACTGCAGCCTTGAACTCCTAGGCTCAAGTGATCTTCCTGCCTCAGCCTCCCGAGTAGCTAGGACTACAGATGTGCGTCACTGCACAGCGAATTTCTTTTCTTCTTTATTTTGTAGAGTCAGGGTTCTATTATGTTGCCCAGGCTGCTCTCAAATTTCTTGGCTTCAAGTGATCCTCCCACCTCAGCCTCCCAAAGTATTGAAATTACAGGCATAAGGCACCATGCTCGGCAAGAGGTACTATCATTATTATTTCATTTTACTGATGAAGAAACTGAAGAAAAGAAATGGAAATTTTTCCAAAGTTGCACAGCTTGTAAAACTGAAACCCAGGACATATGACTTCAAATCTCCATTATCCAGTCATCCATTTTGCCTGGGACTAAGGCATTTCCCAGGATGTGGGACTTTCGGTGCTAAAATTTCAAAATGATACTGGTAGAGCTAGTGTCGCTATGGGGCCAGTCTCTTTGAGGTCCCAGGCTCTCTCCAGGTGCCTCAGGCCACCACATTAATGGTAGGTTAAAGTCTGTGACAATTCAGTGGGGGTACCAGCAGCATCCAAGCATTCACAGAAGTTGATTCTCTGGTGAGAACGAGAGAAGCGTATCCAGTGTGGATATGCAGGGGCCCCAGTTACCTAAAACTTTGAAAAGTAGCATTCAGACATTTTAATTGCCACCTTAATTCCCCATCAACTCTCTCCTGGGCCTTGGGCCAATCCACAGAAAAGGATCTATTTGCCTGCACCCTGTCTCCTGCTATGGAAGGAAACAGTTTCTTTTACCAGATTCACTAGTTGAGAGAAGTTTGGCAAAGGGATTGAGTACAGTCAGATTAGGCTTTGCAGACAGAAGGACGCTCAGCTTTGCTCCTGCCCATACCAGGGCTGAATGGGCCAGCTAACCTTACTATGAATATAGTCAGCTTCCCCGAGCTTTCTGGCAACATTTGGGATGTTTACCTACAATCTTCTCTGGTTTTAAGAACCCAGAACCAGCTGTCAAGTATCTTGAACTAGTCTCAGAAACACATGACTTGAGAGCAGTAGTGGCTTCCTGAGGTTGACATCCCCAGAAGTTCCAGAGGTCATCTTCCTTTCTCAGCTACCTGCAACCTCATTATTGAGCCTTAATCAAGATAGAAATGTCTTCTCTCTTGGGATGGAAATTGTGTCTCCTAAAAACACTCTCGGTTTCTGGTAGGTAATCATCTCCAACTTAATCTAAGTGGCATTTCCAGGTTCTGTCATCTGTCCCATCATGTTAAACCATGTGTCAGATGGCATGTCCAAGTTTGAGGAAATGATGTTTGCCTTGTGCCCAGGATTCTGAAAACATAACGCCACCACCTTAGAGCAGAAGTTTAATTTTTAACAGTCCATTCTGAAATGATGGTCTTATAGTCAGGCCCCCAAAAAGTACTCTCCAGGTAATGCTAAACACCAGAACAGGATTGTATTTACCCTCATTTAATTTCTTTATCTTCTGCTGGACAATCTTATATGTGTAATTGTGTAGTAACTTTCAAACAGTCTCACCATGGTCTGCTAGACACATATCACTAGGGACTTGTGAAAGTGCACACCCAAATCTATACCAGAGTCACAGCTAGGCTGACCAGTCATCCAGTTTGCCTGGGACTAAGGCATTTCCCAGGATGTGGGACTTTCGGTGCTAAAATTTCAAAATGATTTGGCTTCAGTGTTAAGAGTTGTAATCTACCCATGGCTCCGATATGGACCACACAAATACTTTGGTAATTCCAGTGGCAGGGGGGCCGGGGGGAAGGCATATATAAGAGACATGAATCGTAGTCCACATATTTGGGTGTGGTGGGAAAAAAAGTCATATCATGTATCAGTCAGGGCCCTGGCAGGAAAAAGCATGATAAAAGGCAATTAATTGAGATTTTTAACAACAACGACAACAAAATACCGTAAAATGTGTAGGTAGGATTAGGGGAAATCAACCAGGAATGGTGAAGCACCCTCAGGGAAGCTTATAAAGATCCTAGGGTTTGAGAGTGCAGAGAGGAAATTGTTTCCAGAACCCAACCCAGACTAGACGGGGCCGCCAGACGGTATTTGCTGCCTTCAGGAAAGGGACTCTGAAGAGAGGGATCCTTGGAAATAAATATCCCAAGTCACTCCATTCTCTTCTTCTGCAGTGCCCTCCAATGATTGGACCCAGCTGGAAGCCAGAGCAAAGAAGCCTGTAGAAGCTGTTCAAAGTGGTTCATTCTCTGGGGCACAGAGCAGGGAGAAAAATGGTAAAGAATGGATGTCGGAGACAAAAAAAAAAAAAAAAAATCAGCCGACATTATTTTCTTTCACTTAAAATTAATTTTGTTTGGGGGAATCCATCCCAAATCCATCCCCTCCTCGTCACGTCCATCCCATCTTCAATAGAGCATGCTGTTTAGTCTTTAATCTAGATTCTGACCACTTACTGCTGAGATGAACGCTGTCCAGCTTGCAGGAATGCCCAAGTCCAGTGGTTCTGTGGCTCTGCACCACAGTGTTCATGGGAATCTTTGCTAGAATTGAGAGCCTTGAGGAACAGGGTGCTACTCAAATGTGCCTACTATGAAGATATCCTCCACATTTCAAAGTCCTTCCAGGCAGCACCAGAGGGAACAGCCACAGTCCCAGTTACACAGAGGAGCTTACTGTTTTTTCCCCAGGCTTGAGACTCTTCTTAACCTGAATTCTGCTTTCGCATATCTTCCTTCAGACACTAACTCTTTTCCCCTTCCACTCTGAATTTCCTGGCATAATTTCTCCAGTGGGCTTGGATTCTCACAAAATTAAGAGGGCGGTTGGGTGGGGGGGTCTTCTGGAAGCAGCTTCTGCTTTCAGTCCTGCAAACTACCAACTGCCAAAAACTTAGCTTTCTGGAATAAGGAAAAAGAAAATCACGGAAACAAATCCAGTTAGTCAGAATTCTCTCTGACTCTTCTATTGCAACATAAATAACATGCAATTTAATTTACATAATCAAGTTGGAAATTTAAATGGAGTTGGGGTAGCATAGCAGAAGGGGAAATTTATGTTAATTCTAGCTTGTATGTAAGATAGAAACAAGAAAAAATATACACATAAAAAATCAATGTATATAAAAATAGAAAAACAGCCCTAGCCTTGTCACTTGTCTCACTCCACACACATCCTTTCCCCTCCACTCTTTGCCTCCATATTTCTGAGCCTCGGAGCTTGACAGAGATGGAGGGAGACAGGAGGATTAAGGTAAGCGTATAATGATGTAGCTTCCCCTATAATTTTTAAACAAACTCGCCTCTCTGAACGTGTACTTAATTACTTTCCAGAACTGATAGTCTCACATAATCCGCATGGATAAGGACAAGAGGAATGAATGTCAGTATAGAGTTGAGGAGATGGTCCTGACTTTGGACCCTGATGAGTCTCAGTTTGAATCCCTATTTTATGACCTACTAGCTTTATGATCTTAAGCAAATCTAGTAACCATTCTGAGTTTTGGTTTCCTCATCTGTAAAATTATGATAACACCAAACTTGCTGAGCTGGTGTAAAGATTAGAAATGATAAATACAAGGTCCCCGTTTAGTACGCAGACCATGGTAGGTACCAGATGAAGAGTGCTTCCTGTTCATATTCAAGTAATTGTGCCACCTTCAAAACCACAGAATACAACAAACCAGAGAAAGGCCTGAGAAGTTGATGGATTAAAAAAATGAACTGGCCAAGTGTTGTGGCTCAAGCCTGTAATCCAGCAGTTTGGGAGGCTGAGGCAGGAGGCTGAGGTAGGAGGATCACTTGAGGCCAGGAGTTTGAGCAACATAGCAACATGGTTGTATTCCCAGCTACTCAGGAGGTTGAGGCAGGAGAGGCAGGATCTCTTAAGCCTGGAAAATGCAGTTTGCAGTGAGTTATGACGGTGCCACTTCATTCCAGCCTGGGTGACAGAGCGAGACCCTGTCTGTAAAGAAAATAAAAAAGTAAAAAAGAAAAATGAACTGGACTGAGAGTTAAGGACAAATGAAATTATAAGAGTCTCTACTCATAAGATATTTTTGTCTCTTCTTTCCAGTTTTTGTTTGCAGGAAATGAGAGGGATCCTCTGATTACCAAATTTACTCTCAACAGGCGTTGGTCCCCATGTGGAGCAAAAGGCATCAGTAACCCCAATCCAGCTTTTTCTCGACAGACTTCTAACTCAAACAGCACTGTGGCCTATTTCTGCAGGTATGTACGGCTTGCTTAAGAGTTCCAGCCATAATAAAGGTCAGGAAAGTGCCAACTAATCTTGAAGGACCAGAATACACTGAGATTGGAAACCAAGAATAAGGTGTGCCCAGTTATACCTGCTGAGCCTTCATAGTGAATCTTATTTCCTAATCTATAAAGAAGAGTTGAGTGATGCAGTGGAGTGTGGATAACCCTCCATAGCAGATTCCTACTCCTGTCAAATCTGGACAGTCAAGTCCTAATTGAGTATATTTTAATGGCCTTTTCACAGACAGCCCAGACTACATCCAACCATTAATCAACTCCCTGCCCACAAAGATTGTAGCTACCTCAAAGGGATACCTCAAAGTCATTTTGTCACATGATGGAATTTCTCACCCTCTCACATTTTGATGCTACCAAACCAAGTTCCTTCTTGGTACAATTTAACTTCTGTTCTTCTGTTTTACACTTATTAGATACATTAAAATAGCTAGTTATACACATCAGTGCAATTCAAATAAAATGGCATTCTTTTATTTTCTTAGGCCCCAGTATGCCTAATGGGTCCTTTTAGACATCAGGTTCCATACTTTGGGGAAATATTTTATATTTCATGGTAGTTATAGGTTATGAATCCTGAATTTGAATAGAAATTCATGAAATTGACATACAGGAGAATGGGAGTAGCCATAGCCAAACAGTACGTGTCTTTACTGGAACATACTTTTTAATATTGTCTTCTATTCTAACATACAGGTTTTTAGCTTAGTGCGTTTTTTTTAGGATGGCCCCCAAAATAATAATAATATATATATATATATAAATCATCACTCAACTCACCAACAACAAAAAAAGTAACCCCCTCAGAAAACAAACCAAACCATTCCAGCTGATCCTTGCAATCTTGTTTTTACAAATTAACCTACCTGAATTTAAGTTTATCCCTTTGATATTTCAAGACTCCTAGTTTTGTTTCTTAATTTTCCATGTAAAATTTCACTGTGGGTACTTCTAGAGTAGTATAGCTTCAAACTCTAAAACATTTATCTTGAAAAACTGTAAAATTGATCTGTCTTTATTAATAAAACCATTCTATTATTGATTACTCTTTTTCATCTTAAATTTAATAAAAAGTCAAAGAGAAGAAAAAGCTGGCTTGAGAGTTAATGTTGCAAATCACTGCAGGTTGCAAAAAAAGAATACAATAGAATAAAAATTATTTTACTAAAACTATTTTAAAACTATATTTTATGATTTAAAGTAAAATATCATTAGGTTGATGTGTTTCTGGAAATTTGCAGCAAGCTGATCTATAAATGGAAATGGTAGTAAAATACATGCTAGTAAAGACATAGGTTCCATGGTCTGAATGTTTGTGTCTCTCCACAATTCATATGTTGAAGCCTAATCACCAAAGCGATGGCATTAGGAGATGGGACCTTTTGGGGGCATTTAGGTCATGAGCACAGGACCTCACCAATAGGATTGGCACCCAAAAGAGACCCAAGGGAGCTTGTTAGCCTTTTTGTCCTTCCACCATGTAAGGACCCACTGAAGGCAACATCTATGAAGAACAGGCCTTCACCAGACACCAAACCTGCTGGTGCCTTGATCTGCAACTTCCCAGCCTCCAAAACTTTAAGCAATGCATTTCTGTTGTTTAGAAAGTACCCAGTCTAAGGTATTTTTCTATAGCACCCCAAACAAATAGTTATCCCATCATAATACTCGTTTTTGCTAAAATTCTGCTCCCTACCATGCCACGCTTACGAAAAGACCAACAGTGATGGATGCAAGGGATTTGGCAAAAGCAAAATAAAAGAAAATA
Organism: Homo sapiens; assembly: GCF_000001405.40. NCBI lineage: Eukaryota > Metazoa > Chordata > Mammalia > Primates > Hominidae > Homo > Homo sapiens. The sequence continues at coordinate 10,729,204 of NC_000012.12, read as the reverse complement.
AAAAACTAGAAATATTTTGCTCACAGTACAGTAAAATTTCTGGAGATCTAAACCCTTGAAAGAAGCAGATATTATACTTCTTGTTTATATTTAGTCCATAATGTCAAAATAAATACATATTCAGATATACATTAGCAAATACTACTATTTTGTGGTCGTCTGTGTGTGTGTGTGTGCATGTGCACATGCATTTTTTTGAACATATATATATATATATATATATATATATATATATATATAATTACCTTATCATTTGGAAGTTAAAACTTGGATGGAATTTTAACAAATCTTTCTCTCTTGGAATTTTCTTAGGAACCAGTTTTCTTTCTCCCAAATTTTCTCATTCTCAATTTCTACTCCAAAGTTCCCATGTTAAAGGAACATCAAAATCCAATTAAACAGATGTCTCCAAAAGATGAGTATTTAAATAGATCATTACGGTGAGCCACTAGGGATGCTAATAGAGATCAAATGAAAGTCTGACTAAAAGGAAGAGTTCAATTCAAAGAGAAGAGAAGGAAGAATTTTGAAAAATTCTTTGAAAACTGAAGAAGAGACACATTGGATGATTTTCCTCTCTGTTTGCTGTTTGAGAGTCCCTTTTCCTCTTTGTTTGCTGTTTGAGAGTGCATTTTTAAGAATTATGATATCTACCAAGAAATAAAAGACACTATATCTTCTAGACAAGAATCTAGACTTGACATTCTCTGAGATTTAATTCCTAAACAAGTGAGGACATAAAGGGAGGTGACAAAGAAAGTTAAAAGAATAAAGAAAGCAGATTAAAACAGAAAAAAAGAGAAAAAATAGTATGTGCAAAAAGAGACAGAATAAAGCTTTTTTAGGAAGAAGAGAATATATTTTATTCATTGTTTCAGAACGTTCCAAAATGCTGTAAAATAAAATTGCACACAGCTGTTTGGTTTCCTCTCCAGAGGTCCTAATTGGAAAGATCTGAACATTACCTTCAGTGGCCAGAGAGCCTTGCTTTATTTCTTTTCTTAAGACAGGATCTCACTCTGTCACCCAGGCTAGAGCACAGTGGCATGATCATGGTTCACTGCAGCCTCGACCTCCCGGGCTCAAGTGATCCTCCCACCTCAGCCTCCTGAGTAGCCCTGAGTAGCTGGGACTACAGGCATGCACCACCATGTCCAGCACAGCTAATTTTTGCTGGTTTTTGTTTTGTTTGTTTGTTGTAGAGACGGGGTTTTGCTATGCTGTCCAGGCTGGTCCTGAACTCCTGGGCTCAAGTGACCCACCCGCCTCGGCCTCCCAAAGTGCTGCCTTGCTTTATTTTTGAGGGGACTCAATGCTACAGCATTGACATTTTGTCAATCAGAATTTTATGGTGGCAAGGGCGCTGAATTGGGTATAAGGAGACTCAGGTTTTGGTTCTAGCTTTGCCACTAAATACATAAATTAGTTCGAGAAAGTCAGTTAATCTCTGAACTGCAATTCCTTGTTTTTAAAATGAGTGGGGTTGAGATGGATACATTTCTTTCTAGTTCTTACTTATCAGATAATCTTGTCAAGTTCTTCCACCAAAACTGTACCAATCTCCTAGTCTTTAAACACTAAGAACACATCTAAATAGTTAAGAAAATAAGTAGAAGCAAAACAAATGCAACAAAGTCACTTAGAAGCTGGAACTTTTATATAAAATCAATATATGCTGAAATAATCAGGTTTTTCAAAACTTCTCAGTAATCGCTTGTTTTTTTTTTTCCTCCTGCTTAATAATTTCAGGTCTAGAGGTGCAACATTTTCTGAACTCTAAATCCAGCTTCCCATAGGGGAGAGTAAAGTCACAGCCAATTCCCCACCATATTCTCAGTTCTCTTAATGAAAAGGAAGAAATCCTATAATACATCTTCATTATGGTAGGCCAATATATGTGAAAGTTAAAGAAGAAGCATAGTCCATAAAGGCAGTGGTGACAGGGAATGGATATTGTAAATTCACTTTGTTTACATGCCCTAGAGATCATCAGTGACATCATTATAGAGTTATTCAGAATTATGGCATTATGGTTCATGTAAATTCTTTGGATATTATATGTCACAAAGGAAGCTCAAACCAGCCCAACAGGTAGCATTATCTTGCTGGGTAGCCACAGACTGATGTATGGTCCAGCTTTCAGGCCCAGGACTTTTTCCCAATGGAATCCTGAAGAATTATTCAGGTTAAACTTCTAATTGTCTAGAAGGCTTGTGCTACTCAATATGGTAGTCATCAGCCACACCGAACTCTTTAAATGTGAGTTCAAATTGAGATGTCTTAGAAGTGTAAGATACACACTTTGAAGATAGTACCAAAAAAAAAAAAAAAGAGGAATGTAGAATACATCATTCATGGTTTTACCCTTGATTAAATGTGGAAATAATATATATTTTATATTGATTAAGTTAGGTAAAATCTATTAAAATTAATTTCATCTGTTTTTTACTGTTTTATTGTGGCTGCTTGAAAATTTAAAATTAAATATTTGGTTCACATTTGGGGCTCAAATTATATTTCCAATGGGACAGTATGGGTCTATACCATTAATTCATTCAATACAGGGGCATTCCTGCCTGTTTTGCATGATGTTCTTAGCACCAAATTGCAATGATTAATAAATGTGCTGAATGCATTACTACTGAGTGCCAAACAGAGCGTGATAACCAAGGTCCACTCTCCCCCTGAACATTGCTGGAGACATCCTGAAATACCTTTACTCTCTTATTCTTGCACTTTTTTGTTCCAAACTGACCATTTCCCTCATGTTCTTTTTTGTATCAATTAAGTTGAGATTAATACTTCACTGTTTTCCAGTTTCAAATATGCTAATACACAAAGCTTCCTTATTTTAAGCTCCAGTCCCTTGAATAACTTGAATTCTCCTCAATCTCCTTAGTCAATTAATTGCATTTTCTTCCTTAGGGTGATATGCTGGATAGCCTCCTGTCAATTTAGCATCAACTTTAGCTTCTTCAAATGCAGAGACTACATTTCCCAGAATCTCCCTCCCGGCCTGTATATTTCCAAGTTGGAATCTAACAATGAGAGCCTTTCGCTCAAAGTTTAGAAGGAAGAAGAGAAGACCATTATATACCAGAGTCAGTTATAGAAAGATGCATCGGCATCAAAGCTGCTTCCAGATGAACTTCTTGAGGACTTACTGCATCGGTGTTGCTGACTGAGATAGCAGGTGCAGGAGTAAAGCTAATGAAGTTTAAATTTCAGGGCTCCTGTCTTGCACGGACCCTTTCGAAGACTCTGGGAGCAGTCCTAGCATTTTAGTATTCATAACTTTATTTTATCTCAAAAAGGGCTCTCTAAATTGTATTAGTTTTAAGCATCACAAAACCTGAATCCAGCCCTGAATTGCTGAGAACTTCCGAAAGATCTTGTGGCTCCAGTGGCTTCAGGAGAACTCCTGAGAACCACTGTCTTGGGGACTGGAGGCTGAGATCTTCAGTGGAGCTTCTCTGAGTTTCCCTCCTTCAGCCCTTCCAACAGTTGTGAGAGCTTTAACTTCCTCCATACTAGGAACAGAGTGGCATTTGTTTTTATGATCAAACCAATAATTGCTTAAAAATGACTGCTGTCAGCAATTAGATTATAATTCTTTGTTGACTTACTCTTAAACTTAGTAAATGATGATATTGTCTTACAATAGAAATGTTGATAGTGAAAAATAATTTTAACATCATATCAAAAGACCTTACAACCGGCTCCATTTTGGTCAACATTGGATACTCACAATGGTGTACTTTGTCCGGGACATAGCATTTGCTTAGCAAATATGAGTGTATGAATTAGTGAATGAAGGAATGGATAAATTTATGTGTATCTGTATCCAAGTTGCTTCCTACTTATGATTATTAAAACATAGATCATATTTGTTCTAATTTTCTTTAGATTTATTTAGTACAATACCAACAACTTCCAGCTGCTCACTGCTTTGTTTGGATGACAATGATGAGTAGTTTTGGAAGCCAGTCCAGCACAAATTCTAGGAAATCCCAGGGTGCATCTGTAATTATTTTAGGGTCTTCCAGAGGTTGGAGATCACACCTGTTAGTTATGAATTACTTCCAAGGATGAATTTTTTTAAAAGGCTTTACTGTTGGATCGGTTTGAAGAGTTCAATCTCCTTACTTTTTTTTCTTGTAATGTAATTCTGAAAGGTAAATAGCAATGATAATCATTTTGCTGAATAAGAAAGTCAATGGTCAGTCCTCACCAGAATAAATCATGTTTATAATTTAATTGTAATTAAGACCATAATCTTTCACATGAAGAAATAATTTAATCATTCTTAGAATTAGACCAGCATTTTAAAAGCATCTACATTTATATAACATCACTGTATGCTCCATACTGAAGTCAAACTAAAATATGAATCTAACATTTAAGAGTTTGTAATTTTTTAAATATTGATGAATTACATAGAAAAGCTCAAAATTACATAATTTGCTATTTTTTCAAATAACTTATTTTCTTTGTGTTTTTTGTGGATGAAATAAGAAAGTAAGAATTCAGGAAAGTTTCATAATAATTGATAGCAAATGTGCAGATAAGTAATTGAGTTTGGAAGAATTTGGTCTGTTTTCATTTTGTAAACATTCACTATGTCCAAACTCTGTGCTACGTACTGTACTAACCAGTGGAGATACAAAGATGAATTACACTTGATAGTTACCCTACTGATGTTAAGGTAGACATCGACATTACAGACATATTCCTGGAAAAAAATTTGGTAAATTGTTTGAGGGAACAGGCAATAACTTAAAAAACAAACAAAACAAAGGAGCTTTAGGTGGACCGGACACTGGAGTGACACATGATAATCTCATCTACTTTTCATGTCACCTTTGAGAACCTCTCATAAAGCAGGAAACCGACTCTGGGACATTGAATCTCTGTCCCAAGTTAACCTGGTTAATAAAAAACAAAGCCAGAATTTATACCTAGTCTGTCTGAACCCTAGGGGCCAAATAGTCCTGTATTCCAGACAGTCTTTGGGTACAGATCCCAGACCCTCTGGCCCTGTGTTTACTACCATCCAGCCCATTCTCAAAGGGCATGTGGGCTCTTCAACTTGGGAATAATGTTTATTGGGTGATCTGTTTCTCTATACCTCTCATCCTCGAGGCTAAGAGGGCTCAGTTCCTTAAGCTTTCACCAGCTGGCAGAGGCAACTGGAGCAGAAGGTAGGAAGTGGATTTATTCAGCTTTTTTTGTGTGTGTTCCTTATTAAATATATATTGACAGCTCCTTATTTGTTGCGGTTAAATTGGTGTAAACTCTGAATTTACATTAAATCTGTGAGGTCAATTTCCTCATCTGCGTGTTACAGATGAAATTATCCGTATATTACCTTTCAGGAGTAAGTTGCCAAATAGTCTTAAGGTTTTATTATTCCAGGTCTTAACAGCTGTGCTACGAATAGCTGCTGGTGCTTGATACATGTTGAATGACTGACTAGATGCAAAGGATTTAAAAACAAGTGTTTGAGAGGGTAAAGCGCAGAGTAGTTTGGGTGCCCTATTTTACCTCTCCTTGTCAGCTGCGGGTGTCAAGACGGGTTGAGGGAGGAGAGCCAATGCACCCCGCTCCAACAAAGGGTCAGCAGCGCGGGCTCCTCGGAACGCTCCAGAAGACAACCCGGGCGCCCCGTTCACCCTGGCTTTCCTTGGTTCTGCAACGCGACCCGCGCGCTCGCGTCCCGGCGGATTGGAGCCATAGAAAGCGCACCGGGCGCCTTTAAATGCTAATGAGAGTCCAGGGCCCGACTCCCGAGCCAAGTTTCCCCACCCTCTCCCCTCGCCCGCCCTTCCCTCCCGGGCCGGTGCGCCGCCTAGAAAAACTTGTGCGGGGCCATTTTTGGGGCAGTAAGATCGAGCGAGGAGCCCAAGAGAGAGCGCGCAGCACGAAGCTCGAGCCGCCTCCGCCGCGCGACCCCACCTCGGCCGCCGCCGCCTGCGCCGCGAGATCCGCCCCGGCCTCCCCGAGAGCGAGCCCCGGCCGCCGCGACCACCAGCCGCGCTAACCGCCGACCAACCGCCACCGAGGCGCCTGAGCGAGAGCAGAGGAGGAGGAGGCATGAGTGAGGCGGGCGAGGCCACCACCACCACCACCACCACCCTCCCGCAGGCTCCGACGGAGGCGGCCGCCGCGGCTCCCCAGGACCCCGCGCCCAAGAGCCCGGTGGGCAGCGGTGCGCCCCAGGCCGCGGCCCCGGCGCCCGCCGCCCACGTCGCAGGAAACCCCGGTGGGGACGCGGCCCCCGCAGCCACGGGCACCGCGGCCGCCGCCTCTTTAGCCACCGCCGCCGGCAGCGAAGACGCGGAGAAAAAAGTTCTCGGTGAGTCAGGCCAGGGAGGGCAGGGGCTGCCGTAGTGGGGCGGGCCCAGCCGGCCGCGGAGCACGTGTGGGCAGCTCGCGCTACATCTCCCACCCGGGCTGGAGACGCTGACAGCACAGGGTCCCCAGGGATCTCCGGGTCCCCAGGGGTCTCCGGGTCCCCAGCGCTGGCCGCCTCCCTTGCCGGCGCTCCCAGGTGAGCGCGCTGCGCCCTGCGCTCCTGGCGGCCGTGTGCATCTCCCTTCTGGTTCCGGGCCAGAAAGTTTAGGTCTTAACTTCTGTCTCCCAGACGGGCACTGTTGCGGATTCGCGTGGTGGAAAATGCCTGCGTTTGGAGAAGAAAGGAGAGGCAGTCTGGGAGAGGGGACCTTGGGTAGGGATGGATGTAGGGGAAGGACCGACACGTGGGCCTGGCGCTTTGGGGTCCTTGCTTGGGATCTGGGAAAGGAGAGCATTTCCTTTGGGGAAGAGGAGGGCGCTAGAAGGAGACGGGGAGGGAAAGATAGAAAAGCTTCTTGCCAGGAAGGGTCAGGTGTCTGTCCCTGACGCCCTTCCCACATGGGCATGGGAAAGACGCCATGCTCCTGTTGGCCACATGCCAGCAAAGAGATGTTGCAATCGTCTCCGGGAAACTTGGGTCTTAGTCCCACGTCTTCCTCCCCCTCTCTGTGCCCACGGCTGCAAACAGCCATTCAGTGTCCACCAATGGCTACACGCTTCCCTCTTCCCGGACTGTGGGAACGCACGTGGTGTAGCAGCTGAAAAAACTTTGTCGGAAGTGGGGGTATGACGTTAGTTCAAAACATTGTTACCTTGGCACTTGTAACGTAGGAAGGGAAACAGGAAGATGAAATGTTGAGATTTGGGGGGGCAGTGGATGGAAAGGGTTTCTGTGATGGTTGTTGGTTTAGTCACATAACAAGCGTTCTTTTCGTAAGTAACGCCCCTGTGTGAGTTCTTAAACGCTTGCAAAGCAGGTGGGTGGTGAATAACCTCCCTAAAGGGTGTGTGTCCATATCGTTCGCTCTTATAAACAGGAACGTTAACAGATGGTGTAGGATGCTTCGGAGACCTCTTCACTATTTGGGGTGGGGCATGTTTGTCTCATCTCTCTGAGCCCTACTTCCCCTTTGGGAAGAAAGTTGAGGGAGCAATGTGAGAGAAGTGTATTCAATATTCCCCACCTTGAGAGGACTATTTTCTTGTTTTTTTTTTCTAGGGCTTTTACTAAGTCCCTACCAAACAACATGCTAATTGTAACCTGTGTAGGTTAAGAAACAAAATAGGCCTGATTTTGCTGGACTAAAAGTTGCTTAAATCTAGTCAGTAGTACATTGTGATGTTGTTTCTAGCAAATATTTCTTGGAACACTTTCTGCCAGATGTCTGAGAGAGAAAACCTTGTGTTCTCCAAAGCAGTGTTAGGATAACATTGTTAATGATACCTTATTTTGTAGAAAGCTTTTGCGGTTTTTCACTTAATCCTGTACTGTTCTGAGATTGGGAAAGCAGATACTATCTTTAAAGATGAAGGAAACAGATAAATGAAGGTTAATTTCCTCAAGCAACTGCCTCTGCAGATCCCTGGTGATGAGTCTGATGCCTTTTATCTTTCCACTCTTACTGCGTCTCTCTAAAAATGAAGGACAGCCCTTTCTACGTGACACCTCAACACTGTTTGTCTCTGTCTAGTGTGTCCTGCCATCCCCTTTCCTTTGCCAAGCAAACACATAGATGCCTAAGATGTACTAGGCACAATGCTGACTAAAATGGATATGTTCTAGTATTTGCAAATGGGCCTTCACTTGAGTTTATAAGCACATAGGCCAGGAAAAATAGTTTTCATGAGTGCAAAAAAATTTTCCTTCTGATAAATGTTATGGAAATCTATGGTCTTCCTCCCCAACCCTTCCCCTTAGTGTATATGAAGTGGGTTTATGGTTTAAAGCAAGACGTGGGAATGAATTTGATCATAAGAAGTCCTTGGAGAAGTATTTGCGGAATTACGAAACTTTTTTAAACTACATTGGAGAGTAAAAATAACCTTCAGCTTGGATTGAGGTTAGACCTGAGAATTATTTATCATCTTTTTCCTTTATTATTAGTATTGTCATTTTAATCAAGATTATTCCTTCAACAATGCTAGATATTAAAAACAGTTCCAGTCTTTATATTTTCCCAGGTAATTAATTTTTTGGGCAAATGAAAAGAGGCACTAAACGCATATTATTTGGAATATTGCCTGACTTAAATGCATATAATGTATCAAAAACAGGCCTCTACTGTGTACATTTGCATCGAAAACATCAACTGTTTTTTTCTCCTTTGCCTTGCTGCTCCAATCAGAGTGGCCTCAAACGTAAGATGGCCTGGGTTTGATCTCTCCTTTGGAGAGATGAGAGATCTTTGGAATTAAAGCTGGAGAATGCCTCATCAGTGTAGACTGCATAACTTTGGAGATATAAAGACATGTTTTTTTTGTTTTGGATTTTCTTTCCCCCAACAAAGAGAGCTAAAGTATTTTCCCAAGTGTATCAGTCTAGCAAACTTCAGAACTACCCCTGCCTACAACAGAGCAAGTCTTAATTACTATTTTAGTTTTGAATTTAAAAGTGAAGCCTTATTGTTTATCCTTGGAAATTATAAACTTTGTATCTTATGAAAAGACAGTATGGATTGATGTTAATAATTACTTTCATTCTCTACTGAGGCTTTTTTCTTTATTTTTTCTTTAAGGTAATCTATTATCAGGTTTCCTGTTTCATTGAGTCTTTATAATTGCTTTTTGCACTTCCTGAATTGAGACAGGGGCATTTCCTAGAAGTACTGAATTTGTCATTCATAATTGATTCCAAAGATCATATTTGAAATAGTTGAGATAAATATAAACCTACAAAATACAAGTTACATGAAGTTTTATTTTGTTTAGATTCCTTCTCTCAATTCTGCTAAAATCAGGCATTGTAGAGAAGTGGTCCTGCTCATGAGGTAGAGACAACCATTATGGTAAAGAGGGGGATTTTATGGAAAAATGCTTAAGTTTGATTCGCAAAACTGTAGAGAGCAAGGTAAACAAAGAAACAAGCCCAAATTCATCATGTGATTTGAAAAGACCTGTTATATCACGTCTCAGAGTGGTAAGTACAGAACTGGATTGAGACAGCAGCAGTTCTATAATTATTCTTGACTCCTCTGATGAGCTCCCACTTGGCGACTGGACAAGTTGCTTTACGTCTTTGTAGATTGCCTGTTAACAAGGAGCCACCTTGTTTCTCATTAAAGTTTGCCTAATATTTCCAAGTATGAAAGTGATGTGTTAAGGTCTTTCACTCTTTTATTGTAGCTCCTATTTTGAACTTATAAAATTTGTCTAGGTTAAAACTTGGAACATTCATCTTGAACATTCTTTTTTTCCTTCAGTGTTTCTCAATTTTAATGATTACAGAATTGTATAGACTTATAACCACTCCTTATCTTGCGAGTTTCCTGAAAAGTTGAATAAGGAAGAAAGGTTTAGTCTTCTGAAAAGTATTTCCTTATGAGATCTTGGCTTGCTCCATTTTCTTTTTCTAAAGTATTTTGGAATTAAGCTTTTAATGGTTTCTTTAGGTATGTTTAGGCTTTGTCTAATGTTATCAAGATCTTAGTGATATGAGCTATATCTCTCTGTAGGTCAGATACTAATTTATCTGCTTAATCCTATTTTAGCCACCAAAGTCCTTGGCACTGTCAAATGGTTCAACGTCAGAAATGGATATGGATTTATAAATCGGTATGTGTGTGTGTATATTTGCATGTTTTAAGTTTATACTTACATTGTGGCACCAGGAGTTATAAATCCCTTAGCCTTCATTAATGGCTTATATAAATTTTTTAGGTTTCTAAGCACTGTAAATATTCTCATTTCTAAGCTACTGGTTGTTAAATATTACTTAAAATACATTTCCAGGACACTAATAAATAACTTATTTCATAAAATCTAGTCATTAAGGAAGAAAAGGAGGGGGAGATAAAATCAGAAATGGGAAGGGCCTTAGGATAAATGAGACCATATCCATAATTTCACAGATGGAGAAACGGAGTCTTACACTGGTTAAGCAGCTTTCCTAAGGTCACCCAACTAGTGAGTCATTGAGCTGGATCTTTAACTCACTTCTGGTCCAGTCCTATGTAGAAACTGTAAACTGTGGTAACTTTTAACCGTACAGGAATGAGAACATAACTACAAGATGCTGGGAGTATTATGAGGTTTTCACATGATATCGGCATTTTCTTTGCTTTCCCACCCCTTCTTAAAGTCCTCCAATTTCTTGTCTCCTTTGGTGGGGTGGGGGTGGGGGGCTGTTTTAAGTTTCAGTGTAAGGAGAGCCTAGTTCACAGCTGTGCCCTGTCCTTTTAACTGTCTTGCTTTGCTTTTGCTGGGAGGAAAATCTGAGGCTCTGATTACACACCATGTGATTCAGAAAGAGACAGAGGAACGGGATGTTTCTGTATGTTGAGTCTGTGAGCTTGGATCTAAGCACTGTGGCAATGTGGAGGAGGAAGGTGGGTGGCCTGTGGAGTTAGAAATGTTTAACAAGGATTTTAGGTGTCTGAATTGAGTGTAGAAAATAAGTGAAAATATATGTTGTGTTTTGAGGACTTGGGAGTTAAATTCATAACACATAGGTTCTTTTAAGTTTTTCCACATACGTACTACCTTTAATTGTGAGCTTTTTGTCTTTCAACAGAAATGACACCAAAGAAGATGTATTTGTACATCAGGTAAGAGGGATTATAAATACTACATTTGCTATGTGAGGAGAGGGTGTGTAATCTTCTGTCAGCCCTTTCCCAAAAGTAAGTCCTATGGATTATTATTTTAATCTAAACTCTTTCTGTGATTTATTTTGCAACAGGAGTTCAGTTCCACATTTTAAGATTGGCAAATAAGTTCTTCTACCCCATCATATTAACTGTTTTCAAATAGTTTTATTTTTGCAGTTGTATAAAGTGATATTTGGTTAGACCACTTTCTAATTTTTAAAGCCTTTGAGTCCTTAGCAAAAAAAAGAAAAGTCTGTTTCCCTTTTAGCATCCTGTTCTCCTGATGTGGTTCCTCCTTAGTGTTTGCCTGGAGCCAATCTGGCTTCTGCCTGGGTAGGTATTGGTTAAAGCTCCTCTGTCAGAGCAGCTCTCAATTGAAGTAAATAGCGCAGAGAAGCAGATAGTAAGATGAGAAAACTTCCAGTTCCCAGGGTAGCCCTCACTCTTGTTAAATGAGGCATGTTAGGACGTGTCCAGGTCAAAAGCTGCAAATTCCCTTAGATTTGCAGGAAATAGAGGAAATGGGTAAGATATGGAGCTTCTCTGCTATAGGTGCCTCAGTTTTTCTTTGCTTTATTAGCCTAGGATGTTATTTATTCTGTTATTAATATGTCCTAGACTTCCTTTATAAAATAGGTTAAGAGAAGGAATACTATCCTTAGTGTTCTTTTTGTTTATTTAGTTTTCAGTGAATTGTCTGAAATATGCGTTCTCAGAGTATAACAATAAGGAAGATAGAGCAGCAGGTACTAATGCCAGCCCATTCTCTTGCAGTGCAGAAATCCAGAATACATCTGATTTTCTGTGTTTTTGTTTCCTTCTGTTTAGGTTTGTGTGTGTATTGGAGTGACCGTAGGAGTTGGAGATAGTGGTATCTAGCTGTGGTTTCTATTGTTTATATTTCTACTTGACTGGATATATCTCAGTTGCATTTAGATAATTTGAGTAGATTTATTTTGTTCAGATACAGTGACTTTTAGGGTCATAATAGTGTTGTTTATAATACTTGGAGGTTTGAGGTTAATAGACCTTTTAGGGTAAGAATTCTGAAGACTGCTAGAGTCAAGGTCCTCAGAAGTTGCTGTATTGGTGGCTGGCTTTATTAGCCTGTGAGTATATGACCCGATTCCAGCCCCCGTGAGGTTGTGTGGTGAGTCACCTCAATGTGTTGAGGCTTGCCCAGTTTAACAGGAAAAAGGGAGCGAGCCGGCAGGGAGGGGCTGTTTTTGGAATGGCTGAATGTTCATGCTGCGTGCCTGTCCTGAACTGCCTTTTTTCCTCTATGGGTGAGGTCTCTGCTCTGTTGGCTCACTATTTCTTTTCCCTCCTACTCAGAGTTAGGGGACGGGCTGGATTACACATGCTTAATCGCTTTATAAAATAAGGTTGACCTAGTTCCATAGAAACGCAAGCCCCTTTAACTGTTTAGAGATACCAGCCAAAGAAATGGAAATGCATGGCAGGAATTATTTTCTGCCTTCATTGATGGAACAAGAGAGAGCAGCACCTATTCATAAGCAGATATTTAGGTGTAGATGTTTAATGAAGAATAGCATCTTCACTAACCTTTTAATGTATTATCAGGGAATGTAGGATTTGTTGACATGAATTGTGTGATGGGAGAAAAGTTGAATAAATATCATATAGGTAGAGTACAGGGATATGAATTCCCCCTCCTCCACTTCCCCCATCATCCCTGGGGCTGTTACGGTTGTGACTTCAGATAAATCACTTTAACTGTTAGCCTCGTGTTAACTCATCTGCAAAATGGGAGGAGAGGGGGGAGGCCAGATTATTACTAATACGTTCTGATTCTTGAGATAATTTTGTTTACTCGTCAGAAATATTTATCCCCTTGGCATTTTAATTTGTTTTTCTTTATCACTGCCTCCTTTCCTCCTCCGGAGATTCAGAGAATCTCTGAAGCTTAATGGTTTGAGGTAATTAATACATCTGATATGATCAGGTGATCAGCCTGTAACAGTAGTGTGTAGTCACTGCACACACTGCAGTTATAGAAAAAACATGTTCTGTTTAATCCACCTGTCAAGATGAATAGCACAAATCAAGGAAGTAATGTGGAATATAGTTTTATAGTGCTTTCTTGTTGTTGTGTTGGAGATCCAACTTAGTGGGAGAATGGTGGAAAAATAAGAATCGGTCAACAGTTTCTTCAAGTTCACTCTGGTGTACTTGAAAGCAGTGAAATCTGTGGCCAATATTGAAATATACATCGAATAAAATTTTCTGTTCTCTTTCCAGACTGCCATCAAGAAGAATAACCCACGGAAATATCTGCGCAGTGTAGGAGATGGAGAAACTGTAGAGTTTGATGTGGTTGAAGGAGAGAAGGTGAGAGGAAATTGTGGTTGGGTATCAAAGTGCTGGCACATAGTACTGTTGCACAATAAATTATCTATCAGCCCCTTATGAATTGACATGACTTTGGAATTTTTGTACAATAGCAGGAAGTGACTTTTAAACAGAATTTTTTTTTTTTTTAAGATGGGGTCTCCCTCTTGCCCAGGCTGGAGTGCAGTGGCGCGATCTTGGTTCACTGCAACTTCCACCATCCAGGTTCAAGTGATTCCTCTGCCTCAGTCTCCCTAATAGCTGGGATTACAGGCATCCACCACCACGCCCGGCTAATTTTTGTATTTTTAGTAGAGACGGGGTTTCACCATGTTGGCCAGGCTGGTCTTGAAACTCCTGACCTTAGGTGATCCACCTGTGTCAGCCTCCCAAAGTACTGGGATTACAGGTGTGAGCCACCACACCCAGCTAGCAGAAATATTTTTGACATTGTCATTATAAACATTCTGCAATAAAGATACTTTAATTTCTTATTTAATAAATGATCAACTCTGATTATGGAAAGAAAAGCTGATTTCTCAATTTAAAAATAATTTATATTTTTATACCAAAGGTATGTATTTCGAAATGCAGATTAAAATTTAACTATCTTATGTATTAACAATATATTAAAAGTGCTTTGCAGCTGGGCGTGGTGGCCCACACCTGTAATCCCAGTACTTTGGGAGGCTGAGGCAGGCGGATCTCCTGAGGTCAGGAGTTCAAGACCAGCCTGGCCAACATGGTGAAACCCGTCTCTACTAAAATTACAAAAATATCTGAGTGTGGTCGCACTCCTGTAATTCCGGCTACTCAGGAGGCTGAGGCAGGAGAATCGTTTGAACCTGGGAGGTGGAGTTTGCAGTGAACTGAGACATTGCACTCCAGCCTGGGGGACAGAGCAAGATTCCGTTTTTTAAAAAAAAAAAAAGAAAAGAAAAACTGCTTTGGGGCAAAAGATTTCTTTTATCAAAGTAAAGTTTTCAGGCTGACTTGTAAGCACTTCTACCTACAAATAATACATGGTAAAGAATATTTTAATCCCAATAAAAGGAGATCGAAATTGAATATTAATCATTTTGTTTTCTGTTTGGCTTGGATTTTGGGAAGCTGAAGGTACCCTGATAGACCCTAAGATAGCTTCGTCCGGGTGAACTGAATCCAAGAAGTTAAGGGATTTTCCTGAAGACTAGCTACAGAAGTTTTTAATACTGTTATATATTTAATTCCGTGTCTGTAATGCCCTTTATGCTTTGTGTTTAGTCTGTTATAGATACTAGTAAAACAATATTGAGTAAGATTAAAAACACGCTAAAACTACATATAGCACAACTGCCATGGCAGCTAATCATGGCAGCTGAATTATAAATTAACTGGATGAGAGGTTAACTCCCTGTATGTGCTCCTCCCATATACACATATACCATTCCATAGGTCATGTTCCTAATGGCTCTCAAACCATTGTGTTTTAAAAGAAAAACAATTTATTTCATTGGATGCAGAAATTTAAGTGATTATCTTTACCGGTGTGATCCCCAGGGTATCTTGTAAGTCTTTTAGATTTTCAAATCACTCACCAGCACCTGCCACTCTGTGAGGATCTCTGATATCCCATCCAATTTTTAAAAAATTGTTTTGGGTTGATTTTTCTTCTGTATGTTTTCAGAACTCAGGGTTTTACAAAGTGATGTAGGGTGTGAAATACACTCTCTGAAATCTTCTTGGTCTACATTTTTTTAACATTTTTGAAACATTTTCCATTTGTCCATATGAGAATAAGAATTCTAAATCTGTTTCAAGGATAATAGGAAAGGCTAAAGAAGGACTACATGTGTGGAGAATATTATTCATCAAAGACCCTTTCTTCTTGTTGCTGCCAAAATAGGAGAAGTTTCACTCAGTACCTTTGTGCTGGACAGAGAATCATATGAGCCCATGAATAGGGATTGTCCTCTTGGTACCTCCTAGACTAACATAGGTTTCAACACATTCTAGGAAAATAACAGTATCTCAAGTCTTTCCCATTGAGGAATATTCTTCCTGGTCTAGCATTGCTTCTACTTTGACAGTTGTATATTTGCTAATTTATGTTCTTTAAAGAGGTTACACATTGCTTTTGCGATTGACATTACTAGACAAGAAAGCAAAACTCAGGTTGTATGAGCAAACAAGCCATATATGTTTAAATCAGGATGTGAAGTACCTTGCTCACTTTGTTTAAAACCTAGATCTGTTTTTAAAATCACAGTGGGAATTCTTAGTATGTTCTGCCAGTCTTATACTCTAGCAGTCCAAGGCTGTTTTTTGAGTTAGTGTATATTCTTTTTAATTTTGAGGCCATCTTTTTATTTTCTTCTCAGGGTGCAGAAGCTGCCAATGTGACTGGCCCGGATGGAGTTCCTGTGGAAGGGAGTCGTTACGCTGCAGATCGGCGCCGTTACAGACGTGGCTACTATGGAAGGCGCCGTGGCCCTCCCCGGAATGTACGTTGTCTCTGTTACTTAACCAGTGATTGAGAAATTGTTCATGCATGGAATTAAGTGTATGTACTTGGAGCAGATAAATGCCTTGTCTTCTCCTGGAGACAAATGATTTAAGTGATTTTTATTTTTTCTTTAGAGGAAATTTTTATCTTATTTTTTAAAATGTGTATTATTGATTTCCATAGGTTTTTGGGAAACCGGTGGTGATTAGTTACATGAATAAGTTCTTTAGTGGTGATTTCTGAGATTTTGGTGCACCCATCACTGGAGCAGTATACACGGTACTCTTAAGGGGAAATTTTAGCGCTCAGAACTTTTCCAGAGCCGCTGGTCTCATTAGACACTTGCCATTCAGAAGTTGTATCAGTTAGGATATATTTGGCTACAAGTAATAGACATTTAATTATCTTTTAACAGGAAGACTTAAGGGAGACAGTGCTGAGGTTTTTTTTAACAAGGTTTCTCTTCATTTGGCTCTTTTTTCTGGCCAGAACCTAGTCACAGACATTCACTGGCAAAGGGGAATGGATTTCCATCATTGACTTAACCTTGTTGTTCATTCTTTGGTGCCGACACTGTTGACCTCTAAGAAAATCAAAATTTGGTTGGTGAAAGAGTGAGAAATAACTTGTGAACAGGCAATAAAAGTACAGGCCACAGAACTATTAACGAATTTGCCTTGGTTAAGAGGCTGTTTTATTTAGCATAGCATTTTTCCATTATTTCAAAGTAAAGAAGCAATAAGTGATTCTGTGGATTTTTAGTTCTTTAGGTTGGTTTCAATGCAGGGGAAAGAGTTTGTCACAAATCTGGCTGGAGCTTTCTTGGGAGGCTCAGTTTATAGGAGTATTCTCAAGGCACCCAAAACGGACCCAGTATATTTGTGGTCATGAGAAACTTACTAGATTTGAATCATTCTTGGTGTTTCTAGAATTAGAACCAGGTATTGGCACATTGAAGAAAACTCCGAATGTTTGTCAGCACAGGATTGTGACTGCCTGTCTCATCCAAAGAAAAACTCATCAGAATTAAATATCTGCAGATTGAGAATGACCTATCTTTATGTTTTGATAGCTTTATATCTTTCTGTTTACCTAAATGCTTTTCCTCCTTATTCTGCCATCATCACATCCTGCCCAAATTAATTCTGTCAGATTCCTTAGGACTTCCCACTTGTTTCTTTGTTTTTGCTTATCTTATTTGGTTTTTAATAAGCTATGAGGGGGATAGCTAGGAATGAGCTGCTGTAGCATTTCCTACATCATGTTCTCTTTGAAGTTCATCAGAGTCACAGAGCGCTAACTGTGATTATTTTGACTCCCAGGTTAATTCAAAAGCAAAAGTGGTAGAAAAACATTCAGTGAAAAATTTTTCTTAAAGACTTTTCCTGTCCAAAACCTGAAAATTCCAAAGTCATGCATATAAAAGATATTTAGAAACAAAATTGTTAAAACGCTTAAGAAACAAAATTGTTAAAACTCTTAAAGTATACATAAATGAGCTTTTTTGTTGTAATATCTAAGTCCCAACAACTTGTTCAGTATCTCTCAAAAGAGTGTGTTCAGCATTGCTGGTGCCATTATTATGCTTTGTAAAACTCTTAAAGATTTGATTGTGTGAAATGCAAAAGAGGAAGATAAGCCCAAGAAGAAAAACAGTTTATGTTGTCTCACACTTAATATTTTGGTAAGCATTTTCTGTGCAAATAAACGTTTACATAATTGTGAATCTCATCTTTGGTAGAGGTTTTATGAAGAGTAGAATGACTTGATTTTTTTTGAAGTTAGACTAGTTGAGGCTTTTTTGGAGGGGGAGTTTGGTTGCACATGTGGACTTGTTCTGGAAGGGTCCAAAGCTTAAATACACTCCTGTAAAAAAAAGTAATGGGTCATTATTTTGCTTTTTTTATTTATTCATTTTTAAAAACTAGTTACTTCCCATTAAAGACATTTGCATATCCCCTTTAAAGTAAGACTTGAAATCACAGTCTTTGTAGGATGTTTGGTTTTTTAAAATGTAAAATGGTAGTATATGATATAATTTAAATAGAAGAAAAATATAAAATGAATCGGTAAATTCCTTTGTGAATATTAATAAGATCTATTATTTAGAAACCTCCAGGATTAGGGCTTACTACCATCAAAGTATGATTAAAGCTTTACTCCTAAACATATAAAGGGAGTCATGCCTTAGGTCAGTGGTTCTCAAACTTCCTGATTTTGGGATCTGTTTATATGCTTACATGTTATTGAGGATTCTAGAGTTTTTGTCAATGTTTATTTATATTAATATTATATTAGAAAGTAAAATAAACTTAAAATGTTAATTGATTAAAAATAACTATATGTTCATGAAAATAACAGTTTTTATGGAAAAAAAATATTTAAATTGAAAAGAGTGGTATTGCTTTATACTTTTGCAGATCTCTGATGTATGGTTTAATAGAAGATAGCTGGATTCTCACATCTGTTTCTGCATTCAGTCTGCTGAGAGACCACATGTCATTGTAGCCTTTGGGAGACCCCACCATATACTTCTGAGAGAATGCCTGGGAAAGGCAAATAGCATCTTAGTAATATTATGGCAATAGTTTGACCTCGCTGACCCCCTGGAAGTTTTCAGAAATCCCATCCACACTTTACAGACTTGTAGGAAGAATACCACTTGGGTCAAATATGTTGGTAACATCATAAAATGTATTCTTTTTTGGCTTTTCCCTGACATTGCCTCAGTGGATGGTAAATGCTGGGAGACACGCATTTGATGGAGCAAAAATTATAAACCTTGCAGATACTCTTCGGGTGGTTGGTTAGCTGATACGAGTTCTAATGAGATGACTATTAAATTGATTGTAGATTGATTGCTCTTGCTTTTCTGCTTCTTGGTATTTTATCTGCACAGATCTACTCTAATCTTAATGTAGTTTATCCCAGGCAATCACATGATAATCTGGGTTAAATGCATTTTGTCTGTATAATGGAAAGGATTATATTGCTTTGGGGAGATTTTATTTTGGTGATATTCATCCTAAATGGTGTTCTTTGGTTCTTTCCTTGCTAAAACTTCTTCTGAATCTCTGTTTCTTTGCTTCGCTAGTACGCTGGGGAGGAGGAGGAGGAAGGGAGCGGCAGCAGTGAAGGATTTGACCCCCCTGCCACTGATAGGCAGTTCTCTGGGGCCCGGAATCAGCTGCGCCGCCCCCAGTATCGCCCTCAGTACCGGCAGCGGCGGTTCCCGCCTTACCACGTGGGACAGACCTTTGACCGTCGCTCACGGGTCTTACCCCATCCCAACAGAATACAGGTAAAATTGCAACTGAGACTTCTCTTCAGCAATCCTCACCCTTCCGTCCTTCTCTGCCTCCTCTTCCTCCTCCTCCTCCAACATCAGCTGCCAGAAACCTTGCTTATGGCTTCCTGATGCTACAAAAGCTGAGGCAAGGCCTTCAGTCTGTTTTTTCAAAGCAGTCATTCCGGTAACACTTCTAAAAGCAAAACCACGTGATCCATGCCTATAATAGGGAACCCTTATGGCCAAAGTTTCTAGTTGATAGAAGAACAAAAGAATTAAGGTAACAAGACAGGTGGAATGTGTAAGAGCTTGGACTCTGAAGTCAGGCTGGATTTGAATCCTGTTTCTGCTACTTATTTGTGAGGTTTTGAGAAAACCAAGTTTTAGATTAAGTTCATCCATTAAGTGGGGGCATTAAATGCCTGCACCATAGGGTTATGATGATTAAATATAAAGGATTTAGCAAAAGAGATGCCTGCAGCATAAATAACATTTTTAAAGTATTGGTTTTAAATGAGACAGTGCTGATTTTTAAAGGCAACCTACCAGAATGGAGGTTGTTGATTATTGATTCTCCTTTTTCACTGCAGAATATTAGTACAGCTGTTTTGAGTTTGTTTTGTGCTTAATAAACCTTACATCAATTTTGCAGTTCCTAGGGAACTTGGAAAACTAGGGATAGATCATCATTTTTGTTATCAGTAGCCACAACTTTTTTCTCCTCAGTGTCGTTGGGGTTTCTTTTTTTTCCCCTCACCGCTAGATGTTTTGACCGAACATTATGTTCAGTCTGTTCTTTGCTACCCTTCTCCTGTCCCATCATGCATGACTGTGTTCTTTCTTGTTTTTTTCCTTCTACTCTTCAACAGCTGCCCCTGACAAATGTGCTAAAAATAACAAGTAGACTTACATATATGGAGAGATTGGGTACATGAGACATAGTAGCTTTAGGGCAGCACTCTGGGCTTCTAGGAAACAAGGACAGGAAAAGTCAGTGAGATTGTAATATGCACTTATTTTTAGCGTCTTAATAGTGCTTTCCTGAAATACTCCTCCTTAGTGTTTGGCTTATACAACATATATCACGTTTGCTGAAAGCATGATGATTCTTTTTCATATCTTTTGAAATAAAATGTATTTCACCTTAGGAATTGAAGTTTCAGAGCAAAGTCGTTCCTTAGTGCCACGTAAAACATCATATGCAGAAGCTGATCGAAAGCTGCTTTTGAACATGTACGCTTATTCCTGTAACTTAACTGCATTTAGTTAATTGACTGAATGGCTGACTTTCCTACCTATTCCATGTCAGAAGTAAAAGTTGTCTTGATCCTTTAAACCATATTTTTTAATAATCTTTATAATATCTACTAGCTCTCTGACTAAGTAGTCTGGTTAAGCCAGTCAAGAGCATCAAAAGAAAATTCCTAAAGCTCTCATCCATATAACTAAGCTACTTCAAGGTTGTCAGTGTGTTCTCTTAAAAATATATAGATGGATCTCTAGGATAGTAAAAATTATTGAGATCAAATATAAAAGTCTTCGCCAACGTTTTCTACTATTACAACGCTATGAAATTTATTGGGCATAATAGAAAAAAAAAATAGGAATATATAGGCCAGTGGTATTTGCCTTATGCACTAAGGACATAATATAGCATGATTTATTAGTGACTGAATAACTTCCATTTTTAAAGAAAATAGTTCTATAGATTTGAAAATTAAGTAGAATCATTCACTGAGCTACTATGTGCTTGTTGTCTTTGAGAAAATAATTATATGATGGAGGGAAGGGAGCAACATTGTGGCATCTACCAGGTGACAGATATTTGGAATCGGTTCTTACTTTAGTTGTCTCTAGAGCCTGAGGGAAGCAGTGGTTTCCATATTTTTTGTTGTTGTCACAAATGAAGGAATTTGATTACTTTTAAAAATCAGCAACTTTTATTTTACATGGACAAGAAGTGGTAGAACTTAATTTTAATTCATTTTGTTCTTGTCATCCAGTCTTTCTGGCAGACTCTCATCCTTTATACACGTTAATTGCTGTTTCTGTCAGTCTTTTTTTGTGACTCAACAGTTTCTGAGGAAGAAATGGCCGAGCTTACTTAGGAAACTAAAGAGAGGCTCATGTGATGGGGATGATGTGAATGAAGGGGGAGAG
The DNA here is from genome assembly GCF_000001405.40 of Homo sapiens. NCBI lineage: Eukaryota > Metazoa > Chordata > Mammalia > Primates > Hominidae > Homo > Homo sapiens. The sequence continues at coordinate 10,707,759 of NC_000012.12, read as the reverse complement.
GGTATGAGGTGAGATCTCAGGGGAGGTCAGACATGCTGGTAGACCACTGTAAAGACTTGACCTACTGTAAATGTGATGAGAAGCCAGTAAAGGGATCTCAACAGAAAAGAAACATTGAAGAGATTATTGGACTGTTTTGTTGGGACTAGACCACAGGAGGTAAGAGTATAAAAGCAGGGAGAACAGCTGCTATAATCTTTTCAGTAGAGAAATGAACATGGGTTGTATTAGAGAAGCTGGCAGTGGAAGGTCTGATTAAATGGTTAGATTTGGAAAATGTTTTAAGCATATAGAGGTGTTGGCATTTCATGATGGATTGAGTGAAGAGTATGAGGAATGGTAATATATTGTATGAGGAGTAAATAATACCTCTGCAGTTTTGATTTAAACAAATACGGGAATACTGAAGAAAGATTGGGTTTGGAGGGAAAGGTGAAAATTCTTTGGAGGTCTTTTTCTCATATTAAATTCACGTACAAGTGGAGGTGTTAAGTAGGCAGAAGAAATAAAGCAGAGGGAAGAGGTAGAAAGTGGCTGGAGGATGGAAGGTGTAGTCTTAGATACAGTGGTTGACAACATTTTTGGGAGTTCATTAAGTTGTATTTGAGAAGAGACCTAAATGGAGCAAGGGATCAAGTCCATCAGGTCCCAGGAAAGGCGTGAATGGGAGTCTGAAGGGGAGAAATGGAACTGCAAATAATTATTTGGAATTATTTATTTATTTATTTATTTATTTATTTTTTGAGATGGAGTCTCACTCTGTCACCCAGGCTGGAGTGCAGTGACACGATCTCGGCTCACTGCAAGCTCCATCTCCTGGGTTCATGCCATTCTCCTGCCTCAGCCTCCTGAGTAGCTGGGACTACAGGCACCCGCCACCACGCCTGGCTAATTTTTTGTATTTTTAGTAGAAACGAGGTTTCACTGTGTTAGCCAGGATGGTCTCAATCTCCTGACTTTGTGATCCACCTGCCTTGGCCTCCCAAAGTGCTGGGATTACAGGCGTGAGCCACCGCTCCTGGCTGATTTGGAGTTATAAAACAGGATGTTTAAAGCCGTAGGGGCAGGATGATATTAACTATAAAGTGAGTGTAGGTGGAAATAGGGTCCTAGGATCAAGTTCTGGGACACACCAACGATTAAAGATTAGGAAGATGAGGATTGTCTAGCAAAGGACAGTGAGAAGGAGCAGCCAAGGAGAATGTATTTCAAGAAAGAAATGTGTTAAATGCTTGTTGATAAGTAGAGATTAAGCTGAGAATTGATTATTAGATTTGGTAACTTGGAGGTCAGTGGTTTGGTGAAGACAAAAGTTTAAATAGAATGAACTTAAGAAACAGCAAAGGGCGGGAAGAGGAGACATATTCCCCATTGAGGTTTCTGTAGTGGTGGTCATGGTGTTTGGTTTTTCTTTAGTATGTATGTCTGTAAAGAAATGGGGTAGTAGCTGGAAGAAGATAAGGGATCAGAGCAAGATTTTTGCTTGATTTGATTTGCTTTTTACAATGCAGAGTTACCCCTGGTCTCTCCCTTACCCGTTACCTCACCAACAACTTCTAAAGCCATTAAATGGGCAGATCAAGGTAGGCACGTGTGTTTGCCATAAACCCACATATATATATACACACATACATAGACACACATATATGTGTAACATTGTGTGTGTGTGTTCCATGGTTCTGTCTACTGAAAGGTCCTGAAAGCCGTGATATCTTAGTAACAGCATTGAGCATACCTGTCCCCCAATTTTTTGTTTTTAAATAACATTCTCAAACAAAAAGAATTCCCTTTGGAGAAATGGCTGATTTCAGAGCTGGGACAGAGAAAGTATAATATGAGCCTGGAACATCTTGTTGTGCCAGAAAGCGAAGAAGTACTCAAAGAATGTTGGAAACACATCAATAGGATATGAGCCAGCTTGAAGGGGTTCCCATTGGCCAGTAATGATAGTAACAGATTACAACTCATTGAAAAAAATAGAAAACCATGAGTCCATACAAATATAAATAAATAAACCAATATATTGAAAAATTTGATAACGAATAGTATATTTATGCACTTTGTAAGTACTTCCTCACAAAGTACTCATTAATTACAAAGAAGGAAAGAGTCAACTTACAGTGGAGGACTCTGGTGGCAGATACCACCTTAACCACTTATCAAAGTGAACATTATCAGTAATGGCACAAATTGAAACTATATGCCACCTGACAGGATGCAGTGAGGAGAATGCAGTGTCACTTTTGTGACATCCCCCTGGGGATGCAAAAACAATATCTAATCATTAGTGAACACCAATAACCCAAGTTGAGGGATATTTTACAAAATAACTGGTTTGTAATCTTTAAAGAAGTATCAGGGTCATGAAAACCAACGTGGTGGCTCATGCCTGTAATCCCAGCACTTTGGAAGTCTGAGGTGGGTAGATCACGAGGTCAAGAGATTGAGACCATCCTGGCCAACATGATGAAACCCCGTCTGTACTAAAAATACAAAACATTAGCTGGGAGTGGTGGCACATGCCTGTAGTCCCAGCTACTTGCGAGGCTGAGGCAGGAGAATCGCTTGAACCAGGGAGGCAGAGGTTGCAGTGAGCTGAGATCGCGCCACTGCACTCCAGCCTGGCGACAGAGTGAGACTCCATCTCAAATAAATAAATTAAAAAAAACTGCTCCAAACAAAAAGATATAACTTACTTTAGTGCATAATTCTAAACGGTGTTTTTGCTATAAAGGGCATCATTGGGATAAATGGTGAAACTTGAATGGGATCTGAGAATTACATTTAACTTTTCTGTAACTTTGTGCTTATTTCAAAATTTTAAAAAATTGAAAAGGATGGGTGCTATTTCACTGGGTATATATGCTTGGATGGAAATGATAGAAAAGGTGAAAACATAGTGAAGGGATAGCGTTAACATGCTGTGTCTAGTTGATGAGAATAGAGAGGCTGTTGGTTTCAGATATGAACTTGGACCACTTACCCAGGGTAATGGGAGAGAAGAAAATTCTAATGTAAATACAGGGAGCTGGGTAGATTTGCTAATGAGAACGTGGAAATTGTCTTCTGACTGTTTCTCTTTCTTGATGAAATAATGAAGGACAGTATTTGGCTCTTAGGGGGAGGAAGGGATGTTTTGAGAAAAGAAAAGAAAGTTGAGTTATGGCTGTATGGTCAAGAATTGCAGACATTGTTGGTGGGTTTTTTTGTTTTTTTAAGTTGTTCTTTCTTTCCCCTGGAAGTTGTACAATAAGTTAATTTTATTCCACTGGCTTAAAGTAAGTTTGTTGTAAAGAAAAATAAAAGAGTATTTTATTTAAAGAGATGAATGAAATGTATCCGATTTCAAAATGTTAAATTGATAGGCGAAAATAAAGTTAGGTGCTCTGGGACTAAGCAAATGAGTATTCTAGTCAGACTAGGTTTGTCTTCCTTTTCAGTCGTTCACGAAGATTTACTCATAAATAGTTTGTGTTGCAACTGAGAGTGCCTAATTTTGTAATGAAGCATTTTGTTTTTTACTTCTAAAAAAAATTCTGAACATAGCTGTATGCACTGTATCTTATCCCCTGTGCTGTGACACTCACTGTCAGCTCTCATTGCCTCTCCAGGCTGGTGAGATTGGAGAGATGAAGGATGGAGTCCCAGAGGGAGCACAACTTCAGGGACCGGTTCATCGAAATCCAACTTACCGCCCAAGGTACCGTAGGTATGTCGCATTTTCCACTAATGGCCAGTTAAAGGACTTGTGTGCACAATGGTAGAATGAGGACTGTGTGGTTCCGTTTTGTGGATTTATTATATATCTAGAAGATGTGAATGCTTTGACTACATGCCAGAGTTTTCAGGTGGTGGTGTGACATTTCCCACCTACTTAATACTAGAATTTTTAGTTATCTCTGCGCCAAAGCGTCATTTTGTATTCTGGAATTATAATAAGATGTAAATTAATACTTAATTTTTATCAAAATAAATCAGATAAATTATTGGTGGGCAATTCTGTGGTAATGCTGCAGATGGAGGAAGAATTGAGTGTCAGAGGATATTTGGGATAGTGACTGTTAATCACTGAGGCAGTCCAGTAGAGGGGTTAAATCAGGGTATGATCAAATCGCCTGAATTTATCTTCCTACTCTACAGTTCATTAGATGTATGTTCTTGGACTGCATTCCAGCCTGCGCAACAGAGTGAGACCCTGTCTGAAAACAAAGAGATATTCTATAGTTGGGGATTAAAGGTACTAATGCAGCTAAGATAATTAGTGTGGTACCTGATAAAGTAAAGGCCTCACTATGTATTAGATATTATTACCACCATTGAGGTTAATATTAGTGAACGCTGGGTTATTCTATTTGTGCTTTATTCCTTTGGAAGACTGAATTAGGCTAGACTCCTTCCATAAGATCCCTTTGAAGCATTTTATAATATAAGCCTGCCCATTCTTTTATCTTACCCTTTGTGGTAAGTGGAAAAGCTACAACTTCTTCCTGAATGATGTTTATGCTACCTTGAAATTTGTCAGTATGGCTTTATTGAAGGATAAAAAGTATATTATATTGGGAAAGGATTCCACCAATATAATTGTAAAAGGATCGTATCCTTTTTCTTCACAAGGTTCCCTCCAGCTTTAGGCATAATCACTAATGATTAAGTACTAGGGACTTTGAAAATAAAAGAGACGGCATAGAAATGTCTTACTGGAACAAAAAGGATTCAGTAGCGTGTGAGGCTCAGCTTTGTCAGTCCCTGGATATGTGATCTTGGAAAGTCATATTTGACCTTTTTTAACCTATAAAAGCAGCACTTTTATATAGCTCAGCCGTATACTTTATCATGTAAACCTCTTGGTTTTCTTGTTATAAATCTCATCCACAGAATTACCATTCAAATTAAATATTTAATTTTAAAACCGACTAGCACAGGCTCTGGCACATAATAATGTTTCTTCTCATGTTTAATTCCCTTAGTCTCTGCTAAATTCTGTTCATGGAAGGCAGATACCAGACTACTCTTCTTTTCTTTTTTAATTTTCCTATTCTTAGTGCTTATCAAAGGGCCTGATAGGAACAGAGTATGTGTTCAGTATATGTATGTTCCTTACAAATATGTATTCAAATGAAAGGGGAAAATGATGGAAAATTAAGATTTTTTTTTCGTGAAACCTCTATTCCATTTGTTGCATTGACCTGCGAATAATTCTAGCAATAAGTACTCATCACTTGACTTTTTTTTTTTTTTAATTTTGAGATGGAGTCTCCCTCTGTCACCCAGGCTGGAGTGTGCCAATCTCGGGTTGCTGCAACCTCTGCCTCATGGATTCAAGCAATTCTTATGCCTCAGCCTCCCAGGTAGCTGGGATTACAGGCATGTGCCACCACGCCCGGCTAATTTTTGTATTTTTAGTAGAGATGGAGTTTCACCATGTTGGCCAGGCTGGTCTCAAACTCCTGACCTCAAGTGATCCGCCTGCCTCAGCCTCCTGAAGTGCTGGGATTACAGGGGTGAGCCATCATGCCTGGCCCTGATCACTTGACTTTTTAATTTTTAAAAATAAATAAAACCTTATTTTCTGGAGAAGCCCTGTCCTGTTGGCACCTGTTCTATTTTCTTCTGTGTTCCCTACAGCAGGGGACCTCCTCGCCCACGACCTGCCCCAGCAGTTGGAGAGGCTGAAGATAAAGAAAATCAGCAAGCCACCAGTGGTCCAAACCAGCCGTCTGTTCGCCGTGGATACCGGCGTCCCTACAATTACCGGCGTCGCCCGCGTCCTCCTAACGCTCCTTCACAAGATGGCAAAGAGGTAAATCCAACCAGTCAGGGCGGATGTTGCCAGATAGTCTTTAATCATGTCAGACTTTAGCATTCTAAAAGTGGTTTTATCACATGAAACCTGACACTTAACAAATATAAAAACATTTTGCTCAAGATCCATATATATAGGGTATGCCTTGTACATAACACAGACCACATATTTGAATCCAGTTAACATTCTCTGAAAGAATGACCCATATTAATGGGGATTCAGAGCTAAAACATTTGGGGTTCTTCAAAGAAGAGAGGCATTTATCAAGAGGAAGCTGCCTCTAAGCATGAGTTGAAAGCAGTTGTATATCAGACTTTATGGAGAGTAGTGGTATTTAGTTGCCGTTTTGTAAGCTGTTCTTATATGGTACTAATTTTGTTTTGTTTTGTTTTTTGTTTTTGTGAGGTTTTGGTTTCGTTTTGTTTTGGTAGAGATGCCAGGGACTGAATATGGTACTAATTTGTGACTCATACTTAAGAGTAGTTAAATTTTTGCATGCTAATTTTCCTTCACAGGAAAATTCAAACTTTTAAGAACTTTCAGTCTTGAACTTTCCACTGTCATCTGACTTTATCTGATTTATGGCTTTGTTTTGCATTTTAGGCCAAGGCAGGTGAAGCACCAACTGAGAACCCTGCTCCACCCACCCAGCAGAGCAGTGCTGAGTAACACCAGGCTCCTCAGGCACCTTCACCATCGGCAGGTAAGAGCTGGGGCAGCCCAGTCTTGAGTTGGTATTTTCTTTTTAGTATCACTGGTTTCTCAACAAGAGTACAAATTAGTCTAAACTAGTTCTGCAGTTCATCTGTGCCAACCCCTTGTCTCTATTGGGACTCTGTGGAAAAAGTGATTTGGTGGTTAAATATTTCTGGGATTGACCTCATTTTGATAAGCTTTGGTGAGGGTATAAGCATTCAGACAGAGTTGATGATACTCAACTTCTTTTTTCTAGACAGGCAGTTTTTTAACTACTAGTACCACTTAGGAAAACTGATGCTAAAAGTCCCTAACAAAGGCCTGGTTTTAGTAATCAGAAACAGTTTCAGAACCTGTTTAGTAATCAGAAACAGTAGAATAAACTAAAGGATTTTTTTTCCTTCCCTTTTTCTTTGATAATCAACTTTATTTATTTTGAGGCGGTGCAGCATAGTGTATAAGAGCCAAGGTTTATCTACCCATTGCAGGCTCTACTGTACCTCTCATTTGCTGGGTGATCTTGAGCAGTTTATCCTCTGTCTCAGTACTATCTGCTACTGGTAAAAATTAGGATACTAATTATATTTACTAGGGTCGTTGCAAGGATTATTAAGTGAAATAACAGGGAGTGTTTACAATAGGGTATGGTAAAGAATAACCTCTCGTAAAAGGATAGCTTGTTATTTTCTTGTCATTTTCTACTTTTTTCTGTCTTTTAAAGGTCTTGGACATTTTATTTACATAGAATTATAGCCAGAAAGATCAACTCAATTATAAATTCTGGGTTTGTTTTTTTTTAACCTATAACCCTTTTAACTGAGACTTTAGTTCTTATACTTCTTGGTTATCACCCTTTCCATTAGCTTTTAGTTAAGAGAGAGGTTGTAAACTCAGTGTCAATGCTATTTTTCAAAAATTGTTAAAATTTCATCAATGAAGTTTTGGGATTATTATAAGTTCTTGTGTCTTAAGGCCATCTGCTTTTATATCCAGTGATGTGGGATTTTAATCAGCCATTAATTAGGTAAGCATTCACTTTGAGGACAATATTCTGTTTTATCTTGGGTAGCATGGACAGTTTGTCACAGAAATAAGTTCCCTATTCAAACTTGGAATTAGCTGATTCAGAGTAACATATTAATAATATAAAAATGGCCATACCCTTTTATGGCGTAACATTATTTCTAGGTATTGTTTCTAAGGAAATAATTTTAAATATTGGGAAAAAATATTTTTACAATTTACAGTCTGTCTGACATTTGGTAAATAGCTAATTGTGATATATTCATATTAGGAGATAGGGTGCAGCCACTAAAATGATTTTGAGTATTGTTCATTAGTAATGGTAATTTTCTTTTATACAATTTTATAAAATTTTTGCTCTTATGTACTGACTTTTCTGGTTTATAAAAATACTTTATTAAAAAGTGAGAGTTTCCATTTAATTAACATATAGCTTACAGATCTATACAAGATGTGATTGTATTTAGAGCATTTGAAGTACTCTTTTTCTAATTATATGAAAAGCATATAATTTCTGCCTTTTTATTCTTTAACTCATGGTTACTTTGTCACTCTTTATAAGTTTGATTTTAATTTTTCCCAGGTGACCTAAAGAATTAATGACCATTCAGAAATAAAGCAAAAAGCAGGCCACAACCTTAACCAACACCAAAGAAACATCCAAGCAATAAAGTGGAAGACTAACCAAGATTTGGACATTGGAATGTTTACTGTTATTCTTTAAGAAACAACTACAAAAAGAAAATGTCAACAAATTTTTCCAGCAAGCTGAGAACCTGGGAATTCCTGCACGGAAGACAAGAGAGTAGCCTCTCCAGTTTCAGCAACCGCTAGGTTTCTATTTTTTTTCCTGGTTTTTACTGTTTTGGTAATATATATATTGAAACAAGAAATATTAATACCACATGGGGAGAACCCCAACCAAAGAAATCTGAAATATATAGTAAATGCTTTTTTTTCCGTTTTTGTTCATTTTGGATGCTGGTGCTAAACCTCCAAGTGTCATGATTTAAAAAAAAAAAAAATTTATGTCCTTCTTATTTATTTCTAGGATGAGGGGAGGATAACATTTTTGCTTTCTTATGTGACTCTCTTTGAAAATGTGCAGTAAGAAATTCCTCAAAAATAAAATTTTTACCCTTCAGAGGACAGAATGTTTAATGGGAGTGTATTTTTGCCGACCTTAGCGTGTGTTTGTCTTCTCCACCACTTGATTTACTTGACTTGATTAATAGTAAATTCAAAGCCAAATGTAAAGTTAAGTTAATGCTGTTTCACAAATTTAGGCATATAAGCTTGAGATGATAAAAAATTGGATTCCTGTTGAAATGTACAGCTGGAAATTGACAAGTTCATGTCTGAGTTCAGTAGTAGGCATGAATTATTTGGTACTGTCTCTTTTTGAGTAATCTTCATTCAGTGAGGTGACGTGATGACCTTTAGATTAACGAAGGAGTTAATAGTTCTAACATCCTTCAACTTCCAGCCTGAGGTTTTTACCAGTAACTGCTGTGTTGTAGGTATACAAGGGAGCTCTTTACAACTACATTTCTCCCCCTCCCAGCCATGGTGCCCCTAAGTTGAGAAAAACTATCGCAGCTGTCAGTGCCGTATAGTTACTTTTCAGAACTGCTGCAGCAGTACATATCCAGTGTAGGTTTGTGCTAAACATTATTCTAGTGGCTAGGATGGAACAAACCAACAAAATACCATTGTTTCAATGACCAGGTACATACAGAAAATAAACAAGTATGGAATTTAATTTAGATGGCAATAAGTGCTGTTAAGAAACATAAAACATGGTAGGAGGACAGGGACTGGCATAATCATAGGGGATATGTTGATTTTAAATAGTGGGGAGGGTCTCCTATTTAAATGGAGTCCTAAGGTGAAGGGGCATTAAACATTTGAGTATCTGCAGGGAAGAGCATTGCAGGTGGAGGGAGCATTCTTGGCCTAATAAATGGCAAGCAGGTGAATGTGAACTGTTCAAGAACCTTGTATTATCTTGCAAGTTAAAAGGGTTGGTAAAAATTGGTAATAGGCCAAGGCAAAAAAAAAATCAACTATTTTATTCTATTAAAAAAGGCTCCCATCTTGGTTCCAGTTTCCTCCAGGCAACCAGTTAGCATATCTTAAAAATAGACCCATTTCACATATTTCATGTGTGTGAGTCTCTGTGTGTGTGTGTGTGTGTGTGTGTATGTGTGTGTGTGATTGGCCGACTAATGCAAATTTGAGAAGAGGAAATGAGCTTAAATTGTGCTTATGTTAACAACTTAAAAACAATCATTAGACATATCCATGTTTAAAATTCTATGGATAGTTCAACTATACTATTTAGCCAGTCTTCTTTTTCCTAACTTCCCCTTCTCTCTTCCTGCTCACTTTAAAGCTATTCTAGTATAGAATATTTCAAACATACTTTTTAAAATGTTTTTAAAATGTACGTATACTTTTTGGCACTGATTTTCTTTTTCACCTAATATTTTTCCTATAGAGTCCTCTCATCATTTGTACTGACTATATAACATTCCATTACATAGCTATCCATAATTGTACTAGCCTTCTATCATGGGATATTGAGGGTATCTTAATTGCCATTGCAAACATTTTGCTTGATATAATCCCAACATCCTTACTTCTAAATACTGTCATCTGTTTCAGGATGGTAGCTATTCTATTTCTGGGAAAAAATAAAATAAAATGGAATGATGAATGCAGAGTTGGGGAAAACACACTGGTTGTAGGTACAGAAATAACACAAATTGGATGTGATGTGAGGATGGGCCAAAAGTATGTTATTTTACTGGTGAGGGACCTTGGATTGCTTTATCAAGAAATACAGGCTACCGGGGTGAGACCACAGCCAGAAATTAACTAGAAGGCTATCTGTCATACGGCAATCACAACTTAACTCTGTGGTTGTTCATATTTGATGGCACTGCACCTATCAGAAAATAGCACTATGCAAATCAGTATTTGCCTCCTACTATGTGTCAAGAGTGATGGGTGCTTTCAGATCACAAGTAAGTCAGCTGTAACTGTTATAAGGGCTCTTGTGTTTATTGCAAAGATGCAAGTTTTGAAAGCTTTTTGCTCTTAGTGGAGTGGATAAATGTGTTTATAAAGACATGTTTTGAGATTTTAAAGAAAAAATTTAGAGCTAAATTAGATTGAAGCTAGTTTCAGTTAAAAAATGGAAAAGAATCTCAAGATTGATTTTGTATATTATGGCATAAGCATTTTGTTTAATAAGAAAAAGTCTAGAAAGGATACAGGTGCTGATATAAATCTCTGGAAATGTGATCTTGTGCAGTAGCAGAAATAAGAATTCATCAGCTTTGTGATTTTCCCAAAATGCTTTGTGAAAGCATTTCATTTTAACTGATGAGCTAGCTCCAGAATCACCCAGGCTTTCAGAATGGGGATGGTAAGCTCTAATGAATGATCCACACTGGTCAAATAACACGGGGAGCTTAGTTTGCAGATCCCTCCCTATGCCTCTAGTTTGGACAGTATTCTAGTAAAAGGGGTATAGAATAGAGGCATCTGATAAAAGAGACTAGAAATCACCACTTTGTTATTGCCATAGTATTGTTCTTTTATGCATTGATCTCATTGTCAAATTCATGAAGGCTTGCACATAAGGGGTTCCAGGCAACGCCTGTGCCTGTCACATGGACTTGGCACCACTGGTGAAAACTCCCTCTTATCAGTTGAGAACAGAATTTCCCGAGTAATAAAAATTGTGGGAAGAAGTGTGTGTGTGTGTGTGTGTGTGTGTGTGTGTGTGTGTGTTGTTATTTTAAAAAGTTCCTAAGATGTTTTCCAGAATGGCTGTTAAGGGCCAAATTGTGTCCCCCTAAAACTCAAATGTTGAAGTCCTAACCTCCAGTACCTCAGAATGTAACCATATTGGGAGATAAGTTGTTTTAAGGGGTGATAGATGAGTTTAAAATAAGTCCATTTTAGGGTGAGGTCTAATCCAATATGACTGGTGTTCTTGTGAGGAGCAACACCAGAGACATGCGTGCACAGGGGGGTGGCCATTTGAAGAAGTTGCAAGAGGAAGGAAGGCCATCTGCAAGCCACGGAGAGGCCTCAGTGAACCAAACCTGCCAGCACCTTGATCTTGGACTTCCAACCTCCAGACCTGAGAAAAGGAATTTCTGTCGTGTAAGCCACTAATCTGTGGTATTTTCTTACGGCAGCCCTAGCAAACTACTACAGAGGCTATGTCACTTTACGTTCATGGCAGCAGCGTATAAGACCTGATTTCTTAACATCTTCATCAGCATTTGGTATTATTACCGTTATTTGTTTAACTTTTATAGGTGAGGTGATATTTATTGTGGCTTTAATTTGCATTTCCCTAATAGCTATATATTTTCATGTGCTTATTTACCATCTCTGTATCATTGGTGAAATGTCTTTTCATGTCTTTCATCAATTTTCTGATTGGGCTGTTTGGTTTTTGTTACTGTTTGAATTTTGGGAGTTCTTTGTATAATCTAGATATGAGTTCTTTGTCAAGGATGTGGTTTGTAAACATTTTTCTCCCAGTTTGTAGCTTGTCTTGACTTTTTTTTTTTTTTTCTTTCTTTCTGAGACAGAGTCTCACTTTGTTGCCAGGCTGGAGTACAGTGGTGCAATCTTGGCTCACTGCAGCTGCCGCCTCCCAGGTTCAAGCGATTCTTCTGCCTCAGCCTCCCATAGCTGGGATTACAGGCACATGCCACCACACCTGGCTAATTTTTGTATTTTTAGTAGAGCCTGGGTTTCACCATATTGGCCCGGATTGTCTCTCTCTCTTGAACTTGTGATCCACCCACCTTGGCCACCCAAAGTGCTGGGGATTACAGGTGTGAGAACCATGCCTGGCCGTCTTTACCCTTTTAACAGTGTCTTGTGCAGAACAAAACTTTTTAATTTTGGTGAACTCCAGTTTATTGTTTTTGTTTTTTGTTTTTGTTTTTTCCTTTATTGATTGTGCTTTTGGTGTTATTTATGTCTAAGAACTCTTTACCTAGCCTTGGTCTTAAAGATATTCTTCCATGTTTTTCTCCATCTTTGTGTCTAAGATAGGAAGTTTAAGTTGTTTTCACCTATGTCTGTCTAGTTGTCCCAGCACCATTTGTTGAAAAGACTGTCTTAGTTGAATAGCTTTTCTATACCATTGCCAAAGTCCACTTGGCTCTGCTTGTGTGGGTCTTTTTCTAGGGTCTCTAATCTGTTCCACTGGTCTTGTTTGTTATCTCTCTGCCAATAACACATTGCCATAATTACATAAATCTTAGTATCAGGTACAGTGATTCTTCCCACTTTATTCTTTTTCACAATTGTTTTAGCTATTCTAGTTCTTTTGCCTTCCTGTGTACATTCTAGAATAAGCTAATCTGTTTCTAAAAAAAAAACCTTGCTTGGATTTTGATACAGAATGTGTTAAGCCCTTGATTAGTCTGGAGAGAATTGATGTTGAGTCTTCCAATCCATGAACACGTACATCTCTCTATTTATTCAAATCTTTGATTTCTTTCATCTGCATTTTACTTTTCAGCATATAAGTTCTGTACATATTTAATTAGGCTTATACCCAAGTATTTCATTTTCAGTGATTGCAAGTGGTACTATAAGCTTTCACTGTTCATAACTAGTGTATAGAAATAGAATGGATTTGTATATGTTGACCTTTTATGCTACAAATTCACTGAACTTACAGTTTTAGGAAATGTTTTGGTAGATTATGTTATCTGCAAGTAGGCACAGTTTTATTTTTTCCATTCTAATCTGTATGCCATTTATTCATTTATTTTCTGTTCTTTATTTTTATTATTTATTTATTTATTTATTTAGAGACGGAGTCTTGCTCTGTCACCCGGGCTGGGGTGCAGTGGCGCGATCTCGGCTCACTGCAAGCACCGCCTCACGGATTCACGCCATTCTCCTGCCTCAGCCTCCCGAATAGCTGGGACTACCGGCGCCCGCCACCACGCCCAGCTAATTTTTTTGTATTTTTAGTAGAGACAGGGTTTCACCGTGTTAGCCAGGATGGTCTCAATCTCCTGACCTTGTGATCCGCCCGCCTCGGCCTTCCAAAGTGCTGGGATTACAGGCGTGAGCCACCGCGCCGGGCCTATTTTCTGTTCTTACTGTGCTGACTGGTGAGGACATTCAGTGTTATATTAACTGAGAATAGTAGAGTGGATATTCTTGCCTTTTTCCCAATATTAGGGAGAAAGCATTCAGCCTTTCACCATTAAGTATCACGTTAGCTGTAGGTATTTTTGTAGATCTTCTTTATCAGGTTCAGGAAGATCCTCTCTATTTTCTAGTTTGCTGAGAGTTTTTATCATGGATGAGTATTGGATTTTGGCAAATGCTTTTCCTGCCTCAGTTGATATGATCGTATGATTTTTCCTCTTTAGCTTGTTAATATGGTGGGTTATATTGATTTTTAAATATTGAACCAGCCTAGCATTCCCTGAATAAATGCACTTAGTCATGTTGTATAATGTTAAATATATTATTGGATTTAACTTGCTAATATTTTATTGAAGTTTTGTACTCCTCTGTGCATGAGGGATATTGGTGTGTAGTTTTTCTTTTTTCTGTACTGTCTTTGTCTGGTTTTGGTATCACAGTTAGCATTAGCCTTATAAAATGAGATGGAAAGTGTTCCTTCCTCTTCTGTTTTTTGGAAGAGATTATGTATAATTGATGTTAAATTTTCTTTAAATGTTTGGTAGCATCTGAGCATAGAGTATTTTTTTTGAGAATTTTTAAACTACAAATTTAACAATTATAGGTCTATTCAAATTATCTATTTTATATTGGGTGAGTTTTGGTAGTTTATGCTTTTTAAGGAATTCATTGTCTCTAAATTATTACCACATTTGTGTATGAAGAGTTATAATGATTTTTTAGATTTTATTTTTAAGTCTTTGGGGATGGTAGTAAAATCTCTGTTTCACTACTGATATTTGTAATTTGCATCATTTTTTTCTTTGTCAGTCTCACAAGAGGTTTTCAATTTCATCAAAATTTTCAAAGAACCAGCTTTTTGTTTTATTGATTTTTCTCTGGTTTTCTGTTTTGCACTTTATTGACATCTGCTCTTTATTATTTCTTTTTTCCTGCTTGTTTTAGGTTTATTTTGTCCTTTTTCTGATTCTTAAGATTGGAGCTCAGATTATTTATTTTTGACTTTTTTCCTATTCTAATATAAACACTTATGCTATAAATTTCCTTCTCAGCATGGCATTAATTGTGCCCACAGATTTCAAATGTTGTATTCATATTTTCATACAGTTTAATGTATTTTAAAATTTATCTTGAAACGTCTTCATTGACCCATTAAGAAGTACGGTGTTTAATTTCAAATGCTTGTTGGTTTTTCTGTTATTCTGGTATTAATTTCTAATTTTATTTCATCATAATCAGGGAACACACACTGTATCATTTTGATTATTTTAATTTGTTGAGTTTTATTTGGTTTACGGTCCAGGATATGGTCTGTCTTAGTGAATGTTCCATGGGCTCTAAAAAATAATTCTGCTATTGTTTAGTGGTTTTGGTGATATTATTCTTTATCCTTGCACCAATAGAAAGACCATCTAATCATGTAATTTCTGCTCTGTGAACATGATAACTGCTGAGTTTTGGGAGAGACAAGGGAACCTGGGGCCATATGCTGACTGAGGTTGCCAAAAGAACTGGTTTGAACCAGCCAATTAAAGCACCTCCCCCATTTTGAAACTTGCCTTGCGGACTCAAGTAGATCTAACCAAAACCTGTCTTGACTACTCCAGAAGTCAGAGAAATTGGGTGGGGCAAAGTGAAAGATTATAAAAATTTTGTGAAAAATGTTGAGAAGCATGGTATGAAGTTACCTTTAAAGTCTCTTGCATAAATGAACAACACATTAAATACCAATGTTCTCAACATTGTTTTAGGCCTCCACAACAATCCTTGCTAGTCACTTTTGTTGCCATTTAGGAAATGTGAATATTGTGGATGCTGGTTACACAAATGTATTATAAGACTGAAATTCACAGAAAGTAGGCTGGATGGAGAACAAGCTCGGGAGTTATAATATCTAGGTTCAGGTCTAAAGCCCTCATCATCTATAACCTCAGGCTGCTCACTCCAGAACGTGGTTTCAACATATTTGAAAGGAAAAATGTAGTTTTCAACTAAAGGTAAAGGGGAAGACATTTCAGATTATCCCAGCTCTCCCTCAAGTAGAATATGCCATTGTCTTTTTGTGGATGGCTCTGTCCTGGTCTCATCTAGGGATTATGTTTCACTGCCTGAGACATGTAATCTATACCTCTACATAATTGTAGGACAAAGGATAGTGGAGGTCTCGGCCCATGTAGAGTAATCCAAGTGTGTGCCAATGACATTGTATCATAAGTATAGCCAACCAGAATAGGTAAGAGAGAAGCTAAACAAAGATCAAATACGTTGCTCGTTCTGGTCATTTAGTTTCTATTTAGAAAAGTGTATTTAAACTGTGGTATTAGATCGTTTTTGACAAGTACAGTTTGAGATAACCCTGATGATGTTGTGAAAGTAAAGTGTGCTGATAATGACTTTCCTTATTATTCTTATTCCTGAAGTCATTTTCTTGACAGACTCAGAACTTTCAGACCCTTTCCTCCTACTTTTTCTGCTTAGTGCTTCTCCTTTTTCTTTTTAAGGTTAAATTTTAAGGTTAAATGACTGCTGATGGCATGTGCAATTGTTAATCATTTCCATCATCCCCAACAAGCAGCATTTGGTAGGTATTGAGGCCTTCCTTTATGAAGTTCGTTGTAGTTGGGAAGGTTTTGATGGTTAATTTTGTGTGTCAACTTGACTGGCCACAGGGTACCCAGATTAAACACTATTTTGAGGTGTGCCTGTGAGAGTGTTTCCAGAAGAGATTAGCATTTGAACCTGTAGATTCAGTAAATTGATTGTCCTTCACAGTGTGTGTGGGCATCACCTAATCCATTGAAGCCATGAATAGAGCAAAAGGCAGATGAAGGAGGAATTTGCCCCTTTTTCCCTGCCTCACCACTTGAACTGGAACATGTCGTCTCATCTTCTCTTGCCTGAGACTGGTATTTACACCATTGGCTCCTCTGACTCTCAGGCCTTTGGACTCAGACTGAATTAAACCACTGGCATCTCTGGAACTCCAGCTTACAGACAGCAAGCAGTTCTCAGCCTCTATAATGAGCCAATTCCTTATAATAAACCTTTTACATACATCATATATATACATCATATACACACACATCATATATATACACATATATACATCGTATATCATATATGTGAGATATATATATGTGTGTATATATCTCATATATATATATATATATATATATATATATGCTACTGGTTCTGATTCTCTGGAGAACCCCGACTAATAGAGATTTTGGTAGTGAGAGTGCTTCTAGAGGAATAGAATTTTAAGGATGAGTTTTCAGAATTCCTTCTGGAGTTCCCAGAATTGACTCTCTAATCTGATTAGATTTAAAGATGCTAATGACTACTTCCAGTAGTAAATAAAGCATTGATAGTGTATGACATGAACTGTTTATGGAGATATGCAAAATTTCTCCACTGGGTACTCCTAGTCCACCACTTACAAGGAAGCAAGGAGCTAAGTGACTATGTATATGATACTTTCAATCATTTTTGGAAAACTAAGGAAAATAATGATGTTAGTTGGTTGTTCCTATGTTTCTAGACAGAGTAGTGAAAGAAAAGGATGAGCTCAGGGATATGAAATCTCAGCTTAAGCACTACATAACTGTCTCAAGAGCTTCTATGTTTGACCTGAAGGAGACTCTTACCTCCTGTAGCTGTACGGCTGAAATTGCTGAAAATCGAAGGCAGAACCTCATCCTGTGACTGGCCGAGTACACTGCAAGTTGAATTCCCAGCTTTGCATGGTATGTTGTATTGAAGTGAGGGCATTAAATGAAAAAGCATGGGATCCTATACATTGGGATGTGGCTGTGTGGCAAGACCCTGATGAAGCTGGGGACATTGAGTCCCTCATTCTTATAGCATTCTTTACAAGTAGAAGAGGTCTTCCTAGCCCCCACAGAAGTGGTCCCCTCAACTCCAGAAGCAGCAGCCTCCCCATGCTCAATACAGTGGCATCCTCACCCCCAGTGGTATTAACCCTGAATTGCCTGAGAAAATAGTAATTGCCTTCCCTGAGACAGTGGCCCAGTGAAACAATACTGATTCTCAGGACCCACCCTCAACACCCTTATTTTCTTCTAGACCTACAACTAGACTCAAGTCCCAGCAGGCCCCTAAGGGTGAGGTAGAAAGTATGACCCATGAGGAGGTGCACTACACTCCAAATGAGCTACTTGAGTTTTCTAATTCATACACACAGAAATCCAGGGGACATGTGTGGGAATGGATACTAAGAGTATAGGGTGATAATGGAAGGAACATAAAATTGGATCAAGCTGAATTTATTGACATGGGCTCACTAAGCAGAGTTTCTGCATTTAATGTTGCAGCTCAACTCAAGGAGTTAGAATGAGCTCTAACAATTAATTTGATTGTTTGACTAAAACATTAATCAAAAGGTGGTTCACCATAAGTGAATTGGAAATACCAAAAATGCCTTGGTTTAATGTAGAGGAAGAGATCCAAAGGCATAGGGATATTAGAATGTTAGAGTGAATTAGTCATTTAAGACATTCTCACACTGAGAAGCCCAGAAGACATATCTTTCAGCAATACTGGAAGAAATAAATCTGTGAAGTAAGTTCTGGCATCTTTGAAGAGTTCTCTGATGGCTCTACTCTCCATAGGCCAGACCTCGTAGTGGGAACTGCAGTCACTGAATTGGGAAACCTAAATGCAGTAGGAGTAATTGGATCTTGGGGTAGCAGAGGCCAAGGCAAGTTGGGCGTAGTTACATTAGAGGGCATCAGAGTCAAAGCAGTAATCAGAATAGTCTGATTTGTGTAGACCTGTGGCATTAGCTAATTGTTTATAGTGCTCTTAGAAGGGAAACAAATAGAAAGTCTACTACATTTTTTACCTGTTTAAGCAGAAAAGTTCTAGGTCAAGTGAACAAAAGTCTAACCTGAATCATAAAAACAGAGAGTCATGGCTCCTCAATCGATTACCAGACTTAAGCCAATTTACAGACCCAGAGCCCCTTAAATGAAAGGGAGTCCAGGTCCTTTTGAGGGAGGAGCCGCGTACCCTATCAAAAATGTATACTGTTAATCTTTCTCCAAGCCCTCCACAAAGAAACCTACTGCCTTTTACTGGGGTAAAAATCACTGGGGAAAATAATCAGGCATTTAGGGAATTACTGGACACTGGTTTTGAAGTTACACTGATTCTGGGAGTCCCAAAATATCACTTTGACCTACCAGTCTGAGTAGGGGCTTATGGAAACCAGGTGATCAATGGAGTTTTAGCTCAGGGTCATCTCACAGTGGGTCCAGTGGGTCCCCAGATCCATCCGGTGGTCTGCTTCCCAGTTCCAGATGCGTAACTGGAATAGACATATGCCATTAGTAGCTGAAAGAATCCCACATTGGTTCCCTGACCTGTGGAATGAGGGTTACTATGGTGCGAAAGGCCAAGTTGAAGCCATTAGAACTGCCTCTACCTAGGAAAAGAGTAAATAAAAACAATACTGCATTCCCTGAGGGATTGCCAAGATTCACGCCACCATCAAGAACTTGAAGGATGCAGGGATGCTGATTCCCCCAGCATCCCCATTCAACTCTTGTATTTGGCCTGTCCAGAAGACAGATAGATCTTGGAGAATGACGGAGGATTATCACAAGCTTCACCAGGTGATGCTTAAAGTTGCAGCTGCAGTATCAGATATAGTTTCATTGCTTAAGCAAATTAACTCATCTTCTGGTACTTGGTATACATCTATTGATCTATCAAATCCCTTTTTCTCCATACCTGTTCATAAGATTCACCAGAAGCAGTTTGCTTTCACCTGGCAATGCCATTAATGCACTTTCACTGTCCTAACTAAAAGGTAGGTGTATTAATCCATTTTCAACTGCTATAAAGAACTACCTGAGGCTGGGTAACTTATAAAGGAAAGAAGTTTTTGGTCTGCATTTTGGTCAAAGCCATTCAACAAGTTAACTAGGAAGTTCTAAACTTTCCCCTGTCTTTCTATCTTCTGAGCCCTCCAAAGTGTTCCAAGTTCTGCCTGTTACTGAGTTCCGAAGTCACTTCCACATTTTCAAGTATCTTTATAGCAGTGCCCCAAATTGCCAGTATCAATTTTCTGTAGTAGTCAATTTTCACACTGCTATAAAGAACTACTGAGAGTGTGTAATTTACAAAGAAAAGAGGTTTACTTGACTCAGTTCCTGTATTAGTCTTTTCTCATGCTGCCAATAAAGACATACCTGAGACTGAGTAATTTATAAAGGAAAGAGGTTTAATCGACTCACAGTTCAGCATAGCTGAGGAGGCCTCAGGAAACTTAACAATCATGGAGGAAGGGGAAGCAAACATGCCCTTCTTCACATGGTGGCAGGAAAGAGAAGTGCCAACCAAAAGGGGAAAAAGCCCCTTATAAAACCATCAGATCTCATGAAAACTCACAAGAACAGTAACATGGGGGTAACCAACCCCATGATTCAATTACCTCCCACTGGGTCCCTCCCATGACATGTGGGGATTATGGGAACTAAAATTCAAGTTGAGATTTGGGAGGAGACACAGTCAAATTTTATTAGTTCTGCATGGTTGGGGAGGCCTCAGGAAACTTGCAATCATGGTGGAAGGCAAAGGGGAAGAAAGTCACATCTTAAAATGGCAGTAGGGGGCAGGGAAAAGTGCACCACTTTTAAACCATCAGATCTCATGAGAACTACCTTACTATAATGAGAATAGCATGGGGGGAACTGCCCGTATGATCCAATCACCTCCCATCAGGTCCCTCCCTTGACTTGTGGGGATTATGATTTGAGATGAGATTTGGGTGGGGACACAGAGCCAAACCATATCAGTGGGTCAACTTGCCAGACCTATGTTATAATTTAGTTCTCAGTGATCTTGACTGACTTTCTCTTCTTCAAGATATCACAGTGGTTCATTACATTGATGACTTATGCTGATTGGACCTCATGAGCATGAAGTGGCAACTATTCTGGACTTATTGGTAAGAAATTTATATGTCAGAGGGTGGGAAATACATCTGATGGAAATTCAGGGATCTTCTCCCTTGGTGAAACTTCTAGGATGCAGTGATTTGGGTCATGTTGAGATATCTCTTCTAAGGTGAAGGATATGTTGTTGCATCTGGCCCCTGACAGAGGCACAGTGCCTAGTAGATCTCTTTGGATTTTGAAGGAACATATTGCTTATTTGGGTGTGTTACTCTGGCCCATTTACAAGTGAACTGAAAAGTTGCGGGTTTTGAGTGTGGCCCAGAACAAGGCAAGGCTCTGCAACAGGTCCAGGCTGCTGTGCAAGCTGCTCTGGTACTTGGGCCATATGGAGCTTGAAGTATCAGTGGCAGATAAGGATGCTGTTTGGAGCCTTTGGCAGGTTCCCTTAGGTGAATCATAGGACAAGTCTTTAGGATTTTGGAGCAAGGCCCTGCCCCATCATCCACAAATAACTACTATTCTTATGATAAACAACTCTTGGTGTGCTACTGGGCCTAGTAGAGACTGACTACTTAATTACGGGTCACTAATTTAACTGGACCTGAGCCACCCACCATGAACTGGGTGTTATCTGGCTCCCCAAACCATAAAATTGGGTATGCCAGCACTACTCCATCATCAAATGGAAGTGGTATATACATGATCAGGCCTGAGCAGGCCTAAAGGCACAGGTAGGTTACATGAAAAGTGGCCCAAATGCCCACTCCAGCTATACTGCCTTCTCTCTCCCAGCCTACACTTACAGCCTCACTGGGAGCTCCCTGTGATCAATGGTCAGAGGAAGAGAAGACTTAGGTCTGGTTTACAGATGATTCTGCACTATATGCAGGCACTACCTGAAATTAGACAGCTGCAGCCCTAAAGCCCCACTATGGAACATCCCTGAAGGACAGTGGTAAAGGGAAATCCCCCAATGGGCTGAACTTTGAGAAGTGCACCTGATTGTTTACTTTGCTTGTAACAGAAAATGGCTAAACATGTGGTTATATACTGATTTATGGGCTGTGGCCAATGGTTTCACTGGATGCTCAGGGATTTGGCAGGAACACGACTGAAAAATTGGTGGCAAAAAATGTTTGTAGAAGAGCTATATGTATAGACCTCTCCTGTGTCCCATGTGAATACTGACCTTAGCAGGGGAAAATCCTGACTCCTAAGGCAAAATGGGACAACTGCTTTGCAATGGAAATAAGGAAGAAAACATGTCTGGAATACAGGAGATCCTTTAGGGCATCTCTTAGATTACATGCTCTGTGTTTAAGGTCAATGAAACTATAACAACCCAGCCTAGGGAGGAGGACTAAGGGAGCAGATCCTTCAGAAATGAAGGTTTTGGTCACATCGCCTGATAAAGAATCATGACCAGCTGAGGTGTTGCTAAAAGCAAAGGGAACATGGAATAGGCAGTGAAAGACGGTATTACAAATACCAGCTACAACCACGTGACCGCTTACAGAAATAAGGACTGTAATCATCATGAGTACTTCCTCCTTATTTTGCCATGAATACATTTGTGTTTGTGTGCATCTTTGTTTTCTTTCCTCTCTTACTCCCTTATCATGTAGCATAAGATATATTCATTGTATAGCCATAGTGTTTAAGTACAGTTGTTCCTTGGTATCCATGGAGGATTGCTTCCAGGACCTCCTGCTGATACCAAAATTCACAGATGCTCAAGTCCCTTATATAAAGTGGTATAGTATTTGCATATGACCTATGTACATCATCCCATATACTTTAAATCATCTCTAGGTTACTTATAACACCTAATACTATGTAAATGCTATATAAACAATTGGTATCCCCTATTGTTTAGGGAGTAATGACAGGGAAAAGGTCTGTACATGTTCAGTAAAGATGCAATCATCCATTGTTTAATGAATACTTTCAATCTGCAATTGGTTGAATCTGTGGATTTGAAACTCACATATATAGAGGATTGATATTTATTTTATATCATAATATTTAAGTCAAGGGATGTCAAGGAGAAGAGTACACACTGCTCAAGGACTTTACCTCCTTTTTTGGGAAAAGGGTAATTGCCAATTTTTGTTTTATGCAGGGTAATTGTATCATGTTAGGTGGAATTAGGACATTGTTGTTTTCTTTATTTGGAGATTAAAGTATGGTTTAGAAGATGTGTATGGGTGCCAAGTTGGCACGGTGTAGACTTGAGATGGTTAATTTTATATGTCAGCTTGACTGGCGACAGGGCGCCCAGATTAAACATTATTTCTGAATGTGTTTGTGAGAGTGTTTTGGAAGAGGTTAGCATTTGATCGTGTGAACTCAGTAAGGTAGATTGCCCTCCTCAGTGTGTGTGGGCATCATCTAATTCACCGAGGGACTGAACAGAGCAAAAGGCAGAGGAAGGAGGAATTTGCCCCATTTTCCCTGCCTCACTGTTTGAACTGGGGCATCTCATCTCATCTTCTCTGGCCTGGGACTGGAATTTATACCATAGGGTCCTCTGAGTCTCAGACCTCCAAACTTGGACTGAATTATACCCCTGGCTTTCCCAGGTCTCCATCTCACAGATGACAGATTGTGGGACTTGCCAGCCTCCATAATCATGTGAGCCGATTCCTCATAATACCCCCACTTCTTTCTCTCTCCACGGATAGATCGATTGATAGATAGATCTTTTAATTATTTGTTCCAATTTTTTAAAAAATTTAAAAAAGGAAACACACCCCAATAGACATTTTAATATATAATCTCCATATATGTATGACTACACTCATAGCACATGTTATAAAGCACACAAAAAATAAAGATCAAATATTTTCAGAAGATGTTTGTTAATGTAACAAACTTCTTCATACTCAGATATTTTAATAATAATGTGATTTAAAATGTTTCATTATTTATAAAAAGGTATTGTCTTAATACTTTGTGATATGTGTTTTGAAAATCTGTTTCTTTGCTCAGTTTGATATGGTATTTGATTTCAATGACTGTAACAGCTGAAAAAAAAATTCTGGTCCAAATAGAAAAAAAAGCACTTATACATGTATAAAATATATACATACACACACAGATACACACACATACATATATACACGTATGTGTGTATATACATATTACATGTATATATGTGTATATATACACACATGTAATATATACACACATATAAGAGCTAGTTACATATATGTGTGTAATATCCATATATACATACATACGTGTATATATATGTGTGTATATATGTGTATGTGTGTACATACTATTATGTACACTTACACGTATTTTTTGTATACACATATGCAAAAATCATTTATTATTATATATATATACACATATATAAATACACATACACATATACGCACATCCCATTGCCCAATTATTTAAATGTTTTTGTTAAAATGTCCATAGAACATTTCCATCTACCCTGGTATAAATCAGTTTCTGTAAACTAGAAATTTTTACATAAAAATTGCTTTCAGAATAAATGGGAAGTAGTCATTTTAAGTATAATATTTAAAGAGGTTAGAAATTTCTTTTAAATTTTATAAGTATGTAAATATGAGAGAATTCATAAATGACTAATTTATTTCAGCAACCAAAACATTTAAAATTAATGGTAATGGCCGGGCACGGTGGCTGACATCGTGATCCATCCGCCTCAGCAAAAGCAAAATTAGCTGGGTGTGGTGGCGCGCACCTGTAGTCCCAGCTACTCGGGAGGCTGAGGCAGGAGAATTGCTTGAACCCGGGAGGCAGAGGTTGCAGTGAGCCAAGTTTGCACCACTGCACTCCAGCCTGGCAACAGAGCAAGACTCCGTCTCAAAATACATACATACATACATAAATAAATAAATAAATAAATAAATAAATAAATAAATGGTAATATGTTCAAAAACCCATCTTAAAACCCCATAACAGGTGTTCTTTCCAAAAAAGTTTCTTTTTACCCATTGTGAAAACATCATGTTTACCTTGAAGGTGTTTATTTTTACAAAATTGTTTGCAAAATTGTTTGCTGTTTATCAAAGAATAAACAGCAAAGTGGGAAACTTGACTTTGTGTAAAGGGAAAAATGAATAGTATTTTGAATGTGATAACTCTTGAGTATTTTGACAGATGACAGCAGTAAAAACAAGTAATTATAATTATTTCTCCTGTCATTTTTTGGTATTGCTAAGATCATACTATTTATTGGTTTTTATTTTATAAACTAAACCACACTGATATCATCATAGGCTACATTATGTTAAACAGGTACGAAGAAATGCATCTTGCACATTAGCAACCCCTTCATTCACGTATTGCTGTCCTACTCACCAGGATACTAGATGAATATCTCATCTTCCATACATGATACACAACCCTCTGACATACAGACCCAGTGAGGGTGCCACTGTCATTTCATGATATAAAATATTAGTAAATTTTAGTAAAAGCTTATTTTCATATATTTCAAGACAAAAATACAAGCAAATATTTATTTTTTCCTCTGGTTTACATATTACCCACGAAAGTAACCACAATATCAAGCATTGTAAATATACTATCTTTTACCTTTACTGAAAGACATACTATTTCCCTTTTACTGATGTGGAAAACAGTGGCTCTTGCATCCTAATACGTTTGCATTCCTCAAGATAATTAATGCTAGCTGCTGTAATCAACAATCTTCAATTCCAGGGGCTTAATATATTTTTTTCTTGTTTGTTTGGTTTGGTGGCTCTCTCCGGGCATTTCTCCTTCCAGTAGCTACTTAAGAATAAAGTCTCCTTTACACTGTGGCTCTATCACCTTTAACATGTGGTTTCAGCCTGTTCTGCGGTCATCCAGCCAGTAGGTAGGGAAATGAGGGAGTCCCTGGGCTTCAGACTGGAAGTGACACATCACTAATGCTTATGGTCTTTGGACAAGAGCTAGTTACATGGTCCTATCCAGATGAAAGGGTGCTGGGAAGGTGCACCTAGAGGGAAGAAATAGGTGAGGTGGGCAGAACCTACCACAGTCTCTGCCACAGTTCCAAAGCATGAACTGTTTGGAGGTGGATTTAGGTTTCAACCATGGTCTTTCTGATTACAATATCCATGCTTTTCTCTTCATGCTACATTGTCAGTGCAAGGCAAAAGGAAGAACCCACGAAAAGACTAACTGCCTCTTCATGCTGCACTTCGTAGGGGCACAGCTTGATGAAAATGAGATCTGTCTTTAGCTTTGCCCGTTCATAAACTTTACTAATTTTTAGTTCCCCAAGGATTGTTTAATACTATGTTTGCAAAAATCATTTATAAGAAATGACATTTTAATAACTTTAAAAAACTTCTTGGGTTTATTGAATTTTTCTCCTTCCTATTCTAGAACAACTTAAGATGCTTTACTCTATATAGTATACGATATACTATATATACTTTATACATAGTATACTGAAATTTATTACAGTATATATGGTAAATATATTTACTGTATTTACATAGTATATATAATTAAATTTACTATAGCATTTATAATATAGTATACTATATATAGTATATACTATAGACTATATTTACTATACTATATACTATATATTTACTGTATGCTATATTTATATTTAATATATACAATATTTACTATATACTACATATAGTAAAGCATCTGAAGTTTTTATTATATATATAATATATATACATATATATGACACCAAAAGATAAAATAAGTAAATTGGTAAGATAATGAAGTAAAGCGCAAATAGGTTGAAGTTAAAACTGAGGTAGAGCACAATATGTTAGCCATGAATCCTATACATAATAGAGTGGGTCATAAATTTGGTTCTGATATTTTGTAACAAATTTACTTCTAAGAAATACAAGTAGCTATAAGGTGAAATGCATCTACAAAAAGAGTCAAATAATTTGCTTCCAAAACGTGCAACTACACCTCTTACTTAACCCAAAAGGAAATATATCCCATGGATCATTGACTCATTCACTCATCCATTTAATAAACATTTATTAAGGGGCTATCATGTACCAGATACTGTTTTAGGTTTTGGAGATACTTCTGTGGACCAAACAAGACCCTGTCTTTACAAAGTTAAGGAAGAAAGACGATAAATAAAGAAGTAATTGTATAGTATGTTTGGCGATGGTAAGCACTGAAGGGAAAATAATGGCAAGGATGACTATATGTGCCAAGATGGAGTGGGGTTGGGTGGTCAGGAAAGGCCTTACTGATAAGATTACATTTGATCAGATACCTGAAGGAAGTGATGGTGGTGGGTAGCTGAGGAGAAATCCAGAGTGTTCTAGGAACAATAAATCACAAGTGCATTGCTCCGGGAATATGTTTAGAGTTTTTGAAAGATATTGGGAAGCCAAGGAGACACAGTGTCCTTGGGGAGACCTAGGGAAGGAAATACTGGGGATCTTGCCTTATGTAGTAATAGCAACCTTATGCTACACAAAGTGTTCACATCATGTGATAAAAGCATATTTCTGCTTGGTAATGTTGAATATGTAACAAATTTCGCTCTGGGTTTTTTTTTTTTTTTTCTGGACTCTATTCAGACCACGGCATTATTATGAAGAAAACGAATCCTTGATGAGATTTGGGCTTCCTGATCTCAATACATTTCTTAATTACCTCTTAGAGGCTTTAGCATATGG
Organism: Homo sapiens; assembly: GCF_000001405.40. NCBI lineage: Eukaryota > Metazoa > Chordata > Mammalia > Primates > Hominidae > Homo > Homo sapiens. The sequence continues at coordinate 10,680,448 of NC_000012.12, read as the reverse complement.
TTATATTTTTTAAGTTGATTTTACTAGCAATTTTTATGTATTTGGGTACAAATATGTATTTAATAAAGCATTTAATTTGGCAAATATTGACTTTGCAGCTGACTTTCTGTGTGACTACAGATGAGACACAATCACTGAATCTCAATAAAAATTACATGTTTTTTTACAATAGCTGTCCTCTCTGCCTCACTAAGGTTTTATAGAGCTCTAACAAAATGATAAATCTGAAAGTAGTTTGAGACTTCATTGTAAGACCATCACTTTTTCTGATCTTCCCATGTTTGACAAACACGCCCTGGCACTTTGCAAGGGTCTATAAATACTGACAAATTGGGGTCTCTGTCCTTAGGGAGAATATAGCCTATTAGAAGAAACAGACAAGGAAACTACAAATGAGAAACGCTCTGGTACCGAGAAGAAAGAAGGATAGTCTGCATAGGAGAGGATTCAGAGTAAAGTTGAGGGACCATTTACTTCTCAGAGGTGAGCTGCATCCTAAAGAACTAGGAGGAATTATTAGGTAAGTTAGGAGGGGAAGGGCATTACAAGCATAGGGAACAGACTGTGCAAATGCTTGTCAGTTGAGAGGATTTAGTACTTGTTTCTTTGGTTTTTGTGGGAAAAATGAATATGTAGTATGATTGGTGGATATTAGGAAGTATAGATAAGGTGAGGGTTAAGGGAGATTCACCATCAAGAAATTTTATTTTGTAGTGGTGTAAGAAATCTTCATTAAGAAATTTTATTTTGTAAAGATTTTAAATGGGGATAGGTATTGCATGGTAAGACATACTCATTGGAAAAAATATGCTGGCAATAAAACGAAAAATTAGAAGGTGATACTGAGGAGTGAAGGCCAGTTGGAAGAATCTTACAGAAATTCAGGCAGGAAAAGAAGAGGGGTGAATTCAGATAACAGAAGAGAGAAAAGAGACAAGATAAAGAGAGATTTAGAAGGTATGACTGTTATTGATATTTGATTATGTGAAATGGAGGCAAAAAGATTGAAGAGCATCCATGTGGCATTTCCCAGCTTCCTGATTTGAGCAGCCCAGTGGATACAGTATTCTTAACTTGAAGCTTATAGTCCATTAGGGAGGGCAGTAGCTATTTGGAAAATCATATTTAAAGACTGCTTATTGAATAATTAGTACCAACCTTTAGATAATTATTTAGTGGTATTGTAAAAACTCTGTTCTTTTTACCTTTATCAATGAAGTAGGTAGAAATAATATAAAAAGGGTGCTTTTTTAAAAAAATCAAGTATATAGTTGAAGATATCTCAGTAATATAGCTAGAAAGGGATAATGTCAGAATTTTGATTCAGAATTATTTTTAATGTTTTACCTGAAGGGGACTGAGATGAACAAGATAAAGTGTTTAAAAGATAGATGTACAATCCACTATAGGTTGCATAAGTATAGATTAATAGAAACCTAATTTATTATTAGCAATATTAGGTAATAATATGGCAATTAACACTTATGTACTGCTTTTGATTTTCAAGAAATATTTTTCAAGTATTTTTTTTTATTTGAACTTTCAACAACTCTCTGAGTTGGGCCTTTTTTGTTTCATTTTACACGTAAACAAATTGAGGGTTAGAGAGGTTAAGTGTGAGAACAAACTTTCTGATAACCAGGCGTTATGAATGGAATAAGCTGCTTGTTGGCCGGTCCTCAGCACTGAAGAACTGTAGACAAAGCTGGATGTCTACCTGCTAGAGATGTTCCACAGTGTGCAATAGCTCTAGCAGGAGGGAGTTAGGGGGAGATGAGATTTTGCATTCAATGATGAGAGGATCATAGAGTATGAACCCTGACAAGAACCTGAGGCTAATGTAGTCTAACCTTTTCATTTTACAAGCGAGAAAACTGAGGCCCAGAAAGGTCAACTTGCTCAAGCTGATGCAAGCTCTGGAATCTAGCTGTAGGTCAGTGATCGCTAACAGTCATGCTAAACTGAATGATTCTTTGAGAATCCTGAGGAAAGAAGGAAAACGAGAAGAAAAAAATGAGTGGCCCCAAATGGTTGACATAATATCCTTAATTATCACATTTTTTTAATCCATAGGGAGAACGAATGTTCTTGAGGAGAATAAAAGTAGTTGGCAAGTGGTATATGTTTTTATGGTCAACAACATTTTTTAAAATTTATTTTTTATTTTATTTTATTTTATTTTATTTTATTTATTTATTGATCTTTTAGTATTTACAGGAAACAGAGACTACAAAGAGGTGTAAGACATGGACCTTACACCGCAAGCTCTTCCAAGCAATATGTGGTAGGCAGAATAATGGCCCCCAAATATGTCCACACCCTAATCCTCAGAACCTGTGATTATGAGGCAGGAGAACAGGGTCTGAAGGCAGGAAACCTAAGACCGATTGGCTCTGACTTCCTAGAACTGAATCAAAAGGAAAACCCCACCTCTCCACATCCAAGTAACAAAACGATCAGAGGCTACTTCCTTTGCAACTCCCCCCTCCACCCTTTTCTGCCGTTGCAGATGAAAAATGAAAGGACCTCCAATTGGTCTCCTCCTGCAACCAATCAGACTGGTTGCAGGCCAAGTCTTCATGTGTAAATTTGTAACTTCACTTCAGCCTCCAATTGGTCATTTTGCACCACCAGTCAGACTGGTTGCTGGCCACTACTTTATTTACATAGGGTTTAAACCAAGTAACAAACAGGAAACCTCTAGAGAGTATTTGAACCCCAGAAAATTCTGTAACCAGGCTCTTGAGCCACTTGCTCGAACCTGCTCAGTCTGTGGAGTGTACTTTTATTTTAATAAATCTGTGATTTTCTTTCATTGCTTGTTTGTGCCTTTTGTCCATCCAATTCTTGGTTCAAAACGCCAAGAACCTGGACACCCTCCACCGGTAACAATTATGCTACCTTTAATGGCGACAGTGACATTGTAGACGTGAATGGAGCTTCACAGAAGAAGATTATCCTGTGGGCCCAATCTACTCATCATGTGAGTCCTTAAAGGTGGAGAAACTTTCCGATCTGTGGTCAGAGAGAGCAGGACACACAGCAATGACAGAAGGGTCACAGAAACACACACCTGATGTGAGAGGACTCAACCAGCCACTGTTGGCTCTGAAGACGGGGGGATCAAAAAGGCTATCAACCAAAGAATATGGGAGACCTTTATAAGCTGGGAAAGGCAAGAAAACAAATTCTTCCCAGGAACCTCTAGAAAAGAATACAGGCCTGCTAATACCTTGATTTTAATCCACATAGAATTTTGTTGACTTCTGACTTACAGAACTGTAAAATAAAACATTTATGTTGTTTAGACCACTAAGTGTGTGGTAATGTGTTATGTTAGCAATGGAAAACTAATATATAAGGTAAAAAGAAACAACATATACATGGAAGCTTACCAATGATCAATATTCTCTAGGGTATACCAACCAGGGTTAAACATGAGGTCATATGAATAGTAATTTCCCATACTCTGTCGCCGCCTTTAGTTGGTTGCAGAACCTCTGTTGTTTCTTAAAAGATCTTTTCCCCAACTGTCCCTGAAGATCCTCAAGATAGTAGAGGACCTCATAAATTTTCACAATCCCAAACCCTAGCGGCTACATAGAATCCACTCTTTTCCTTGTCTTAGATTTCTTCTGGTGATGTCTATTGTTCTCTAAATGCCTGGGAACTCCATTTACATGCCAGGCATTGCTGCAGCAGTGACTCTACTGCTGACTTTGTTTATAATTTTCATCAGAGTGACTCTGATCCTCTGTGCCAGTGCAAGCCTTTCAGGTAAGCCTCAGGCCCATGTGGAGCTATCTCCTACTGGTAGCCACTGCTTGCCCTTTTGTGAAAGTTGAACTGCATTTCCAGATAAAGTTGGAAGAATTCACCTGCCCCGCTTTTGTGTTATATTCCCTTGAAAACAGTTCCAAAGCAAAGCTACCTTGTGTACACAAGGTCTCATACGGTTTTGTTGTTGCTGTTGTATTTTTCTGTGAAATAACTCTACCAGTTGTACTTGAGAGTCCCCTCTCACTAGGACTCTGTTATTGCATACGGGCTTGGCCAAAGGACATTGAGATGCAGACCCAGCGCTGAACCCCAAGCTATTCTTGTTAGTGGAAAATACCTTTGTGCTTTGATTTTCTTTTTTCTTATAATGAGTGACTTTCCAGGAATTCCTCCATGCCTTCCGTAAATAGATTCCACCCCACTAAACCAGTAGATTCCTTCCTCACAACTGCAGAATCATACAAGAGGGAATATACTAAGTAACACATGGATGGATGGCTTTAACAGTTTAGAGGAGCGCAGGATCTGGCAGTTAGGATTCATGTAGGCTAAACTGGAGAAGGAAGAGATCTCCAGTGTATATTTCAGTGTGACTTCCCACTACCGTTCAGTACTTAATCTGGACAGAGAGATAATGGGCATTCAACAAATTCCTATGGAATTAATAATGAGGCAGAAATAACGATCTGGTAGAAACACTGGGGCCAAAGCATTGTTGACAATGAGTTGGAGGCTTATAAATTTGAGATGGAGGTAATAATTGAAATTACAAGGGAATGAAAACTTGAAGAAAAAAGAGAAATAATGGATATTCTAACCATCTTATTAATGAGTATAATGTGTGGGACTAGCTATACATATATAACTCCTGGTGAATGTCTGCTGTGTAACTCAGACTATTTGGTACTTAGTTGTTTCTGTGTGTGGGCATTATCATTTCCAGTGTTTTCTCTAACTCAAAATGTTTTTAATGTATAATTTATGTGATTTGCTCAAAAAAATTGGAGAGAAAAATTTTGCCTCCCCTTTCTGGATTGTATTTTGGTTTCTTTTTTAACTTCTATTTCTATAATAGTAACTAGATTTTAGACAAAATTCTGTGCATCAGAATGAGTATCTAGCAATACATTGCAGAAATTTTAAAAATGAGTAAACCACTTTATCTGTCATGGAGGAGCATGCTTGGGGAGGTAGAGTAGAAAATTACATAATATGAAGTTCCAATCAGTTCATTTGGATTTGATGTATCACTTATGACATAAAGAATCTAAAGAACAACTAACTGATGAGATGTCTTCCTTTCCCCTTTTGAGGTAAAATTCACATAACATAAAATCAACCATTAGCCATTTAAAAATGAACAGTTCAGTGGCATTAAGTACAATTCATCCTGTTTTTAAAAAGCCCTGAAGGAAGTGAAAATGCCAATAGAGAAAGCTCTAGAGAACTGACATACCTCAATCTCTAAATATGCCACATTACATTGACTCAAGTTCTTTTTGCTCTAATGACTGTCAGTTTGTGTTTGGTATGCGTTCAATGCTGAATAAATTGGTCACATATTCAAGTTACCTATGACTCTTATTTCTTTAATTGAATTTGTATTAGGTGTTAATATCTAACAGAATTCCTTCAGCTATCTATTGTCTTAAGTATTTTCTATTATTTTAGTTTCCATGTGGACGGGTAACATAACTACCTTGTTCACTGTTTCCCCAGAGGAGAACCCAGGACATAATGGGATATATGTGTGTGTGTGTGTGTGTGTGTGTGTGTGCGCGCGCGCGCGCGCGCGGGCTCTAAATGAATGATCTATTACGTAATCTTGGGGTTTTAATTCTCATTAATTCCTTATAGGTTCCCCCACGTCTCCGCAGTGGTCAGTACTTTTTTTTTTCTTTTTTTTTTTTTTTTTTCTGAGACGGAGTCTTGCTCTGTCGCCCAAGCTGCAATGCAGTGGCACAATCTCGGCTCTATGCGATCTCTGCCTCCTGGGTTCAAGAGATTCTCCTGCTTCAGCCTCCTGAGTAGCTGGGATTATAGGCGCCCGCCATCACGCCTAATTTTTGTATTTTTAGTAGAGACGGGGTTTCGCCACGTTGGCCAGGCTGGTCTCGAACTGCTGACCTCAGGTGATCCACCCGCCTTGGCCTCTCAAAGTTCTGGGATTACAGGCGTAAGCCACCACTCCCGTCCCTTCAGTATTATCTTGTAACACCCCGGCAAAGCCTTCAGGTGGAGAATGTTCCTGGCGCGGAATAATCCACCTGAATGTGAATCCTGACCATTTTTAGGCGCCAATGGAGGCCGCTGCTACGGGGCCGGCCGTGAGGTGGCGCTGTTGCCCTGTATCGTGACTCCGTTTTCACCTGGACTGGAGTCACCGTGATACCTGACATCTAGCAATCACTAGAGTAGGAAATGAGTATAGATCAGCAACAAGTCCAGCCTTTACAGTTGCAGCAGAGGTTTCCTGTGGCTCGAGTGTGGCGAGTCCCGGAAACCTCGGAGCCCGCAGACTTCCCTTCGCGGGAGCCCGCCCGAACTCCATCCTTTGCCGGCAGCCACGCCCCGCAGTGGGAAGGAGGGACTGAAAAGCATTTCCTTGAGGCTGGCACACCTTGCCCTACCCAACCCTGTCATTATTTCCCCTCCGACTGGGCCGGTGCCATCGGAAACCGGAGTGACCAGAGGAGGGACACGGTAGTGAACGGGGTATGGGGGGCGGGCGCGGCGGGGAGGGTAAAGAAGGTGGGAAGGGAATGGCAGCGAGGCAGCTGGGGGAGGACTTTGCAGTTGGGGAGGGAGAAAAAGGGAAGAGGCTGGGAGCGGAACGGGTGTTTATGTGAACAAACAGAAATCACCAAGTGAATTAACCTGTGTTTCTTCGGAACCAGCATCTTGTGGGGTTTGGCTTCTGTGTTTCTATATGATAAGGGAGTAAACCTGACTCAGCAGATTTGGTGCAGAGAGAAACATGAGAAAACCCAGGAATGGGGGACCTCTGTTTATTCCTGGAGAGGGGGCCATCAGGAGAGGGGGAAGGGAAAGAATGAGGTTACAGGAATTACTTGTCAGAGGACTGCATAGCCTTTCAGACCATGGAATCGTTGCTTTCAGCTTCGGCTTCCTCATCTGCAAAGCATAAATACGGTAATTACTTTCCAGGGTTGTTGCGATATTTAAATGAGATATCAATAACCATGCTTTAAAAGTGTACAGCCTGATGTGCTATCCCTTGTTGACTGAATCTCTGTTTTCTTTCCTTCTTTTTATTTGGGGTGGGGAGTGGGGGAGGGAGTCTTGCTCTGTCACTCAGGCTGGAGTGCAATGGCGCGATCTCGGTTCACTGCAACCTCCGCCTCCCAGGTTCAAGCGATTCTCCTGCCTCAGCCTCCCAAGTAGCTGGGATTACAGGCTCCCACCACCACGGCCGGCTATTTATTTTTTTGTATTTTTAGTAGAGACGGGGTTTCACCATTTTAGCCTCTGTTTTCTTTTCAATGTCTTTTTTCCTCTTTCATTTTTCTCTATCAACCCTTCATCCCCCCTTTCTTTCTTTCATTTATGCGATTGTTGCTTCCTTCTGTAATGGGTCCTCTCCACATTGGAGTTTCTTATACCTATGAGACCACACTTCCTTCCCACTCGGTGGGAAGTAGTGGCAATAAAGGAGTCGAGTTACTGTAATGTGCAGCACAGCTCAACTGAAATACACCTGGAAACAGAACTCTGTGCTGTCTACCTGGTTTTTCCCCCTCAATGCACCGGAATCTCCACTGACAGCTAGCTAGGGGGCAGCTAGGTCTTTCAATGAGACATCATGAAGTATTTGCTTCAATGAAAATCATATACTTTTTCGTTCAGTGCCTCCATTACTGTGTGAGTTTGCTAGGGCTGCTGTAACAAGGTACCACAAACTGCATGGCTTTTGGCACCAGGCACCAGGGACTGATTTTGTGGAAGACAATTTTTTTCACAGATGCCGATGAGGTTGGCGGGAGATGGTTTCAGAATGAAACTGTTCCACCTTACGTCATCAGGCATTAGAGTCTCATAAGGAGTTCGCAACCTATATCCCTCACATGAGCAGTTCACAATAGGGTTCACGCTCCTATGACAATCTAATGCTAGTGGGCACGGTGGCTCACACCTGTAATCACACCACTTTAGGAGGAGTTGGTGGGTGGATCGCCCTGAGTTCAGGAGTTTGAGACCAGCCTGGGCAACTTGGCGAAACCCATCTCTACCAAAAATACAAGAGGAAGAAAAAGAAAGAAAATCTAATGTCGTGGCTTATCTGACAGGAGGAGGAGCTCAGGAGGCAATGACAGCGATGGGGAGTGGCTGTAAATGCAGATGAAGCTTTGCTGGCTCACCTGCCTCTGATTTCCTGCTGTGCACCCCGTACCTGTCGGCGCCCCGGGTGTTGGTGACCTCTGGCTTAAACAACGAAATGATTTTCTCACAGTTCAGTAGGCTGGCTATCCAAAACTAACATGTTATGAAGCCTGCATCTATTCCAGGCCTCTTTCTTTGGCTTGTAGATGGCTGTCTTGATGTTTATATGGTGTTCTCCCTGTATATATGTCTCTGAATTTCCCCTTTTTATAAGGACACTAGTCTTATTGGATTAGGGTCCATCCTAATTACCTCATTTTAATTGATTATCTCTGCACTATCATCTCCCAATAAAGTTACATTATGAGTTACTGGGGGTTAGAATGTCAGCATATTAATTTTGAGAGGGTGTACAGTTCAACCCTTTAACAACTAATGTCTTTAATTATGCACAAGTTAGTTGAGCATTGCATGTATTTCAGTTTTCTCTGGCAGAAACTATTTCCCACCTGTCCCAAACCCTCACAACCAGTCCCAACCAACATGTGCTCCGAAGATCTGCCAGGAGTTATGTGATTCTGCAGCTCTGTTTTCTTTTAACCTGAGTGTGTACATTTCCTGTTGCCACTGTAACAAATTACCACAATGGTGGTGGCTTTAAACAACATAAAGTTTTATCTTACAGTTCTGGGGGTCAGAAGTAAAAATGGATGGGCAGGTTTCCAAATGGATGGTTCTTTTTGGAGGCTCTAAGGGAGAATCAATTTCCTTGCCTCCTTCAGTCTCTAGAGGCTGCTACAGTCCTTGGCTCATGGACCCTTCCTCCATCTTCAAAGCCAGGAATGGCCGGTAAAGTGTTTCTCATGTCTTATGCTGACGCTCACTTTTGCCTTTCTCACACTTAAGGATTCTTGTAATTGCACTGGACTCACTGAGTATTCCAGGGTAATCTTTCTATTTTAAGGTCAGTTGATTCATTCCATCTGTAACCTTAATTCCCCTTCGCTATTTCAACGCTATTAAAAATCAACATGGCCAGGCGTGGTGGCTCACGCCTGTTAATCCCAGCACTTTGGGAGGCTGAGGTGGGCGGATCACGAGGTCAGGAGATCGAGACCATCCTGGCTAACAAAGTGAAACCCCATCTCTACTAAAAATACAAAAAATTAGCTGGGCGTGGTGGCGGGCGCCTGTAGTCCCAGCTAATCAGAGGCTGAGGCAGGAGAATGGCGTGAATCCAGGAGGCGGAGCTTGCAGTGAGCTGAGGTCGCGCCACTGCACTCCAGCCTGGGCGACAGAGCCAGACTGTCAAAAAAAAAAAAAAAAAAAAAATCAATATATTCATAGGTTCTGGAGATTAGGACATGGACATCTTTGGGAAGCCATTATTCTGCCTACTGTACCTGAGCTTTCCCAACTGGGTATTCTTTATTTTTATTATATGTATATTTAAAATTTATGTTTAATTAAAAAAATTAAAAATTATATATATATTTATCATATACATGTTGTTTTGAAATATGTATATATTGTGGAATAGTTAAATTAAGCTAATTAACATAGTATTATTTCACATATTTTTGTGATGAGAACACTTAACATCTACTGTCTTAGCAATTTTCAAGAATACAATACATAGTTATTAACTGTAGCCACCATGTTGTACAATAGATCTCTTGACCTTATTCCTCCTAACAAGGAGGAATAAGGTCATACCCTTTCATATCCTTTGACGTCTTTCTAACCCCTCGAATTCCCCCAACCTCTGGTAACCATCTTTCTATTCTCTACTTTTATGAGTTCAACTTTTTCAGATTCTACATATAAGTGAGTTCCTATGATATTTTTCTTTTCGTGCCTAGCTTATTTCACTTAACATAATATCTCCTGGGTTCATCCATGTTGTCAATTTCCATTTTTCAAAAGGCTGAATAATAGTTCATTGTGTTTATACTGTATGTATTTATACTTTATTCATTTATCCATTGATGGACATTTACATTGATTCCATCTCTTGGATATTGTGAACAATGCTGCAATAAACATGGCGTGCAGACAGCAGTATGTGAAATCAGACACACTGATTTCATTTTCTTGCTATCTATACACAGAAGGCAAAACATTGAGCCTTCAGAATAAAAGTAAGATAATATACTGAATAAAGAACATTATATACAAAAGTCAGATCACTATTGGATGTATACCGAATAGTGGGATTGCTGGATCATATAGTAGTTTACTTTTAATTTTTTGAGGAACTTTCATACTGTTTCCCTAACGGTTGTACTAATTTACATTCCCACCAACAGTGTGCAAGCATTCCCCTTTCTCTATATCCTCTCCAACACTTATTTTTCATCTTTTCGATAATAGCTATTCTAACAGGTATGAGGTAATAGCTCATTTTGGTTTTAACTTGCATTTTCCCTGATGATCAGTGATGTTGAATATTTTTTCACATATGTGTTGGTCATTTGTGTGTCTTCTTTTGAGAAATGTCTATTCAGGTCCTTTGTTCATTTTTAGTACAGTTATTTGTTTTCCCCCTATTGTTTTAGTTCCCTATGTATTTTGGATATTAATCACTTACCGGATATTAATCACTTCTCAGATATTTCTACCATTCCATGGGTTATCTCTTCACTCTGTTGATTTTTTCCTTGGTTGTGCAGAAATTTTTTAGTTTGATGTAACCCCATTTGTCTATTTTTGCTTTTGTTGCCTGTGCTTTTGGGTTTATGTCCAAAAAAACATTGCCTAGCCTAATATGATGGACCTTTTCTCTGTGTTCTCTTCTAGTACTTTCACAGTGTCAGATCTTACATTTAAGTCTTTAATCCATTTTGAGTTGATTTTTGTACATGGTGTTCTTTATTGAGTATATTATCTATTTTTATTCTGAAGGCTCAATGTTTTGCCTGCTGTGTATAGAAAGCAAAGAACTTTAAATCTTTTTTCTGAAGAAAAACAACCTGCTTAATGATGGAACAAAAAATGTGTCCCTATCGAACAGAAACCTGGGTACCATGTACTTGCTATATATACTGTTAAAAACTACTCCCCATTCCCCCTTGTACTTTTAGTATTATAGCTTAATCCTTTATGCCCCATTAGTTTCTATAGGTTATTTTTCTATAAAAATTTCTTGCAGATCCAATGCTATTTTCATAGATGAATTAGCTACTTATTTATTCAACAATCATATGAATTCTGATATATGCCAGACACTGCTCTTGGTGCTAGGGATACAGCAATGAACAAAATAGCTGGTCCCTAAACTTTTATTCCCATGAAGGTTTCATGCTTTTTCTTCTTCCTTTGCCAGTTCATTTTTGTCCTCCCCACCAGCCCAGGCTCAGCCAGTCTCTAGTTCTCCAACATGCTTTCTGAATTTAGATGTGGCTACTGTTCTGTGCCTACTTCTGGGCTGGGCTAATGAGGGACCTAAAGAAGCTGACTGTGCTCTCCAGGAAATTAAAGTCTTGTTGGGAAGAAACAGATAATAATAGGCAAACTGGTTAAGTACTGAATAAGTAGGTTGGGTATTAGATATCATGTCTTGGCATAGTGTCTAACTGGAGAAAGTGAAAGTAGAAGGGAACGAATGTGCACAAAGGTAAAGAAGCTAATTACGGCTGGGTGCAGTGGCTCACACCTGTAATCCCAACACTTTGGGAGGCTGAGGCGGGCGGATCACCTGAGGTCAGGAGTTCGAGAGCAGCTTTGCCAACATGGTGAAACCCCATCTCTAGTAAATATACAAAAAAAAAAAAAAAAAAAAAAAAAAAGCCAGGTGTGGTGACAGGTGCCTATAATCCCAGCTACTCGGGAGGCTGAGGCAGGAGATTAGCTTGAACCTGGGAGGCGGAGGTTGCAGTGAGCCAAGATCGTACCACTGCACTCCAGCCTAGGCAACAAGAGTGAAACTCTGTCTAAAAAAAAAAAGAAGAAGAAGTAGAAGAAAAAACAGCAGCAGCAGCAGCAGCAAATTACACAGACAGACAGTGTAGAGTGGACAGAGTCCTCTCTCAGTCCGGGGGACCTGAAATCCGTTTTAAGCTCTGGTTCTCTCTTTGTGAGCAAACAGCAAGGCACCTACCTCAGGGGTCCTTAGTTGTTTTATTATTATTTTTATTCCTTTTGAAAAATGGAGGGTAGAGTTTGACTGGGAAATTGCTGGAGATTCTTCCAGGTTAAAAAAAAAAGTATTTTATTGTTGAACTTCTCAGAATTTCTTTGAGATTTCTAACCAGAATAATAATAAGATAGTTTAGAGTTTAGAAGAGACAGTCACCTCTGGATACAGAAAGGATAATGGGGATGGAGTAAGGGGTTTCTATCCATCCGTTGGCTTAAAGCCTCATTTCCTGCAGTTGTTCTCACCTCCTCAGCCCAGGTGTCCTTCTTCACTAGCTTTTCTTCCCTATACCTTCTGCTGAATTGGGCAGTTAGAGTTCAGCCCTATCATATTGTGAATACTACCTCCTAAGGGTGAGTCTTCAGGAAACATAAACATTTCCTGATGCTCACTCTTTCCTTAGCCCCCAGCAGTCTAAGTCGTATCCAAGCTTCTGAGCATTATGTGCTTCCCTGAAAGCCATCTCAATCAGTTTTCTCATATTTCTCATTCATAATAACCCTTCTTGGCATAGTGACAACAAGGAATATCAACAGTTAATTTGTTTTGTTTTGTTTTTTGAGATGGAGTCTTACTCTGTTGCTCAGGCTGGAGTACAGTGGGATGATCACAGCTTGCTGCAGCCTTGACCTCTCAGGCTCAAGTGATCCTCCCATCTCAACCTCCCCAGTAGCTGGGACTAGAGGCATGCACCACCACGTCCAGCTAATTTTTGTATTTTTTTTTTTTTTAAGAGACAGGGTCTTGCTGAAGACCCTGGCTAACCAGGCTGGCCTGGAACTCCTGGCCTCAAGTGATCCTCATGCCTTCATCTTCCAAAGTGCTGGGATTACAGAAGTCAGCCACGGAGGTCAGCTGACAGCTAATTCTTAACAATTGACATGGTCAGAGCAAATCGAAGGTAGTGTTTTAACTTTTATGACCCCAAATTTATATTTTTATGCTTTAAATTACTGGCTAAAATAAAAAATGAAAAGGAAACCTGTTTTAGTTTTTTCCTCTGTAGCTGTTAACCTTTATAACCTCAATAACTAGCTCCATCTTTATACATTTAAGGGTATTTTTAAAAATTGTTAGATAACAGTATATAGGAATATGGTATTTTTAGAATATTGATCTAAATTAAAATTATGTATATAATTCTAGGCTAAGTTAGAATTCTAGTAAGACACAGTAGTAAATGCCAAAGGTTTAAGGGAAAAAACATGTTTCAAACTATGCATTGTGGTTATAGAAAAATCTCAGTAATACACATGTGTACTAGTCCTTTCTCACACTGCTATAAAGAACTGCCCAAGACTGGGTAATTTATAAGGAAAAGAGGTTTAATTGACTTATAGTTCCTCTGCCTTATAAGTTTCCTCAAGAAACTTATAACCATGGCAGAAGAGGAAGCAGGCACGTCTTACATGGTGGAGGTGAGAGAAAGCATGTGAAGGAAGCAAAGGGGGAAGAGCCCCTTATAAAACCATCAGATCTCGTGAGAACTTATTCCTATCACGAGAACAGCATGGTGGAAACCGCCCCCATGATCCAATCACCTCCCACCCGGTCCCTCCCTCGACATGGGGGGATTACGGGGATTACAATTTGAGATGAGATCTGGGTGGGAACACAGAGCCAAATCATATCAACATGTAATATCCACATATGAAGTCAGGTGCCTTTCTGGAAAAAGCCTTGAAATGATTGGTTTTAGTTGTACACTCAGACATTGAATGATTTAACCAGATGTACTGTGTTGTGGGAGATGAATGCAGGGTTTGTGTTGGACAACTTTAGGAGACAGTATTATGTTATATTCATATTATGCTACCAAATAAGTGGTGAAAAATATTTGCCAAAGGTGCTAATTTGGTGTTTAGAGAAGTTGATCTCAAGTGCTTATTTTTTCTGACAATAGTCAGCTATCAGGACCAATTGTATGTCAAGTCACCCCTAGTTTGTGTCAGTGAAAAAAGGCTTAAAATCAACTTCTCCAAAGTCTCTGTTAAGTCAGATCAGGCTGGCTTCACTTAGACAGGAAAAGCTCCTGGTTGACCCTCACCTACATGCTCTTTGACACCTCTTCAGCCTGGGCCCAAATTTAGTACCACTTCTGGCCAGTAAGAAGCTATAACAGCAAGAAAGGACTTGTTTAGTGGTAGAATTAACAGGTTTGGCTTAAGGAAGGAGGAGAGAGGCAAACGGAATGCTGAAAATTGATCCTGACTTCCCTGTGGTGAGATTTATTCTATAAGACTTATTCGCAGATTCCACAAATCCAGCCCATCTGATGTGAAACCACATGGCTTCCCTGACTCCTACTTCTGTGGTCTTTCCTCACAGGGCTCAAGGCCTGGCTCCTTTAACTTACCTTGGGGCTGATATCTTAGTATAAGTCAGAGTGAGTTCTGGCTGAGGAAGAAAAAAGAAGCAGAGTATTAATTAGAATATTCTTAAAGCTCCATCAATGAAAACACAGCTGGGATATAAATATTGTAGCCTTCATGTATCTGGTAGAGATTGGCAGAGGCTAGTCTGGACACATGTGCATCCCAAAGTTCCAGAAGAAACTGTGACAGTGTATGCACATTGTGAATTGCAAGGGCCAGGATCTTCTTCCTGGTTCTCATCCCTACAAAACTCAACTGAAAAAAATAGATGGAATATCCAGTCAGCCTTATGAAGGGTGGGAAAGTGTAGTGGGAAGAGCATCAGATGGAGATTCAACACACAATGCTTAGCTGCTAATTAACTGCTGGGAGGTGTCTGAACTCTGTGCCTTAATTCCCCCACCAGTAAATTTGGAAGTTAGGTTTTTGTTGTTGCTTTCAAAGCACCCTTGTACACATAGGGCATTCTACGGCATTTGTGAAGCATGCTCTGCATTTCATAGTGTATTTGTCAAAGAGATCAAGAAATAGACAGCAGGGTTGCTGTTCTTACATTTTTTGTTTCTGTAACAGGGAGGTGTGATCATAGTGGTACAGAAGGCATGGGATGGTTACCTCATTTACAGCGTGTGAACGGCATGGCTTTCTGACACTGAGAGTTGAACCTGCTGTGTTTGCGTTCTTTCTTGAAGCCCAAGCAGCTCCCATAACCCCAAGTGACCTTGATTTCACTCTCTGTCTCTTTTCCTCACCCATATTTCATACTTAGGGACAGTCTAATTAATGGATTCATGATTGGAAGGTCCCACATCTGATTAGATCTCTGATTCATTTTCTGACTTATGCATGTCACCTTTTCACTTAAACTTGGTTTCCACATGCAATATGAAGTTGGTAAAATAGCCATGAATTATTATGAAATGATTTCCTATTACAAAAATGGGGATAATTTGGAAAAATATTCCAGTTTTGCAGCATTAGAAAAAAAGGAGTGTAGGTAAACCTAATGTGATTTATAACTACAATTATAATCTCCCCTCCCACACCAAAATCATTTTTCTAAGTCTGCTTTTTTGGGGGCTAACATTAAAACAAATTATTCTTAATTTGCTGAGTTAACATTTACTAGGAAATAGAGACAGGCTCACTTGAACTAAGGTCATAAAAGTATGACCTTAGGATATCTACAAACAGACGGACAATAAAGATTTGGCAGTATCAGCAAGACATAACTAGTGACAGGTTGTGGGTTTATAAATATTCAGATAGTGTGTGAGATCGATTGCTCACAAAAAGAAGTTCATTGATCCTTGGCATAGAACTCTCTGTTCTGTGCTAGATGTACTAGCATCTTTACACCTGAGTTTAGGGTTTAGAGGTGATATTGGGGGCTGCATCTTTGTGGACTTTTACTAGAATCTCAGTCAGACATATTTTGGGTGCCTAGGGAGCAGTGGTCTCTGTAGGAGGATGGATAAATAGAAGTATTTATATTAATAGGAAGTTAGGGATGTGAATTCTTTGGACACACTCTCTTGTCCCTGCAATTCATGACAACCTGAGAAATTTAGATCATCCCTTGTGGTCTGTCAGGGGAAAATGAGCTGGGTTCTGACACCAAGACAACTACAGAACGTAGTGCCCTATATTCTGTCTACTTATCCAGGTATGAGAAGGATCAACAGTGGCCTTATATTACACCATGCTGCTTCACATAGAATGCATTTCTGGCTAGTCTCTGGGACTGGGAGGCATTTGTTGCCCGACCTGTTCTAGGACAGATTCTTTCGGAGACAGAACATTCTGTGGTCTCACCAAATCACACACAAATTCTGGTTTAACCTTTAAAGGCCATGGAACTATAAAGTTTATTATCAACAAATGTTACTTGTACACCAAAAACTACAAAACATCCCAAGTATCCTTGAAAGAAGCTAAAGAAGACCTAAATGAATGGAAAGACATATAGTTTTCTTAACTGGGATGACTTAATATTGTTAAGATAGTGGTACGCCCCAAATTGATCTACATCCTTAACATAATCCCTATCAAAATTCCAGCCTTTTTTTTTTTCCGAAATGGTCAAAGTGATTCTAAAATTTATGAGAACGCAAGGGAGTCAGAATAGCCAAAACAGTCTTGAAAAAGAACAAAGTTGGAGGAATCACACTTAATGATTTTTTTTTTTTTTTTTTTTTTTTTTTTTTTTTTTTTTTGAGACAGAGTCTCGTTCTGTCGCCCAGGCTGGAGTGCAGTGGCGCCATCTCGGCTCACTGCAAGCTCCGCCTCCCAGGTTCACGCCATTCTCCTTCCTCAGCCTCCCGAGTAGCTGGGACTACAGGCGCCTGTCACCGCGCCTGGCTAATTTTTTGTATTTTTAGTAGAGACGGGTTTCACTGTGGTCTCGATCTCCCGACCTCATGATCCTCCCGCCTCAGCCTCCCAAAGTGCTGGGATAACAGGCGTGAGCCACCGCGCCTGTAAGTTTTAATGATTTTAAAACTTACTACAAATCTACAGTAGTCAAGATTGTGTGGGCTGGGTGCTGTGGCACGTGTCTATAATCCCAGCTACTTGGGAGGCTGAGGCAGGGGGATCCCTTGAGTCCAGAGCTTGAGGCTGCAATGAGCTCTGATCACACCATTGCACTCCAGCCTGGGTCACAAAGTGAGACATTATCTCTAGTAATAATAAGGCTGAAAAGACTATCTTTAATCATAATAAAGAGCAGAAAAAGATTGTCTTTAACAAATTATGCTGGGACAATTGGATATTCACGTGCAAAAGAATGAAGTTGGACATTTACCTCTAATTCAAAATGAACCAAAGTCCTGAATATAAGAACTAAAACTATGAAATTCTTAGGAAAAACCTAAGTGTAAATCTTTGTGATATTGGTTGGGCAATGGTTTCTTAGACACACGTCAAAAGCACTAGCAATCAAACACAAAACTGTCAAAATTAGAAACTATTATGCTTCAAAGGACATTATCAAAAGTGAAAAGACAACATACAGAATGGAAGAAAATATTGCATATGATATATCTAATAAGGGTTTAGTTTCTGGACTATATACTGGGTACTTACACAATAAAAAGACAAATTGCCCAATCAAAAAAAAATGGTAAAGGATTTGAATGTACATTTCTTCAAAGAAGATATACAAGTGGCCAATGAGCACATGAAAAGATGTTCAGCATTATTTATCATCAGGGAAATGCAAATCAAAACCACAGTGAGATATCATTTCATACCAACTAGTTGGGCTACAGTAAAAAAGACAAAAAGCAAGAAGTGTTTGTCAAGGATGTGGAGACACTGGATTCCTTATAAATTACTGGTGGGAGTATAAAGTGATGCACTCACTTTAAAACACAGTTGTCAGTTCCTCAAAATTTAAACATAGAGTTACCATATCAGCAATTTCACTCCTACATATATACCAAGGAAAAAGTAAACATGTCCACACAGAAACTTGTATGTGAGTATCCACAGCAGCATTTTTTATAAATGTGAAAAAGTGAAAACTATCCAAATGCCCACCCACTGATAAATGGCTAAAACAGAATCTGTGTATATCCATACAATGCAATATTATTTAGCCTCAAAAAGGAACGAAGTTCTCATTCATGCTACAACATGGATAATCCTTGAAAACATTTGCAAGTAAAAGAAGCCAGCCAGATACAAAAGTCCACATACTGTATGAGTCAATTTATATGAAATGTCCTGAATAGGTGAATCCATAAAGACAGAAAATAATTCATGATTGCCAGGGGCTAGGGAAGGGAGCAGAGTAGGGAATGATTGCTATTGGGTAGGGGTTTCTTTCTGGGGTAACGGAAATATTCTAAAATAAGGTAGTGGTGATGGTTGCATACTTTTGTGACTATAATAAAACCACTAAATTGCACACTTTAAAAAGGTAAATTTTATGGTATATGAATTATATCTCAATTTATAAAACACAAGTAATATTAAAGGTAATTCTAATTTTGCAAAAAAATACTAGTTTTTGAGAATTTACTGGACAAACAGTATAGGACAGATTTTTAAGCCAAATGATCTGGGTTGGAATCCATCTTCACTGCTTACTAGCTGTGTGATCTGGAGCAACTTACTTAACCTCTCTCTGTGCCCCAGTTTCGTCATCTGGTAGAATTAAATGACTAAATATTTGTGAAGTGCTTGGAAGAGTGCCTAACACATGACTACCACTATATAAATGTTTGCTGTTATAACCGGTGCCATAAACTGTACTAGGTAATAGTGGGAATCAAAACCAGTATCAAGGAAGTTTGTGTTAAAGACAAATATCAGTTAAGGAATAGCAGAGCAGGGTGGATTCCAAAGCAGATTGCTTCACTTGGTTTATTGGCTGGACTGTGCTCCATGCAGATGTGTGAAGAGTCTGGGTTTTGTGCAAGAGGAGGAAGAGATGACACGGATCAAGAATATAACATCTAAATTTTGCCATCTTACTTGGGTCCTGGGAAAAGGCCCAAAATTATGTTAGAGGGGACATATGGAGGAGTAGCAAGGAATGGTTAACAGCACTTAATATATATTTGTTGTTTAATGTAAATAAAAATTAGGCAAAAACTTTTCAGGATTTTCCTCTGGAATTTTGATCGTAAACTCATGATGTTTCTCCTCCTGTTCTGATTTGAAGATTACTTTTTTCTTGAGACGTTTTTATTATTTCATTTCAAAAAGTAAAGGTCAGACTGTTACCAGAAAGGGGTCCCAATTCAGACCCCCAGCAGAAGGTTCTTGGACTTCACTCAAGAAAGAATTCAGGGCTAGTCCATAGAGTAGAGTGAAAGTAAGCTTACTAAGAAAGGAATAGGCAGAGCAGCGGTGTGGGTTACTTGACTGAGTATATTTATAGTTATTTATTGATTATATGCTAAACAAGCAGTGGACTGTTCATGAGTTTTCAGGGAAAGGGATGGGCAAATCCCAGAACGGAGGGTTTCTCCTCTTTTTAGACCATATAGGGTAACTTCCTGATGTTGCCATGGCATTTGTAAACTGTCATGACACTGGTGGCAGTGTCTCTTAGCACGCTAATACATTATAATTAGTGTATAATGAGCAATGAGGATGACCAGAGGTCACTTTTGTGGCCATCTTGGTTTAGGTGGGTTTTGGCTTGCTTCTTTGCCACATTCTGTTTTATCAGAAATGTCACTGTGACCTGTATCTTGGGCTGACCTCCCATCTCACTCTGTAACTAAGAATGCCTAACCTCCTGGGAATGCAGCCCAGTAGGTCTCAGCCTCATTTTACCCAGTTGCTATTCAAGATGGAGCTGCCTTGGTTCAAATGCCTCTAACATATTTCCCTCCTCCCCTTTACAAGGGGACCCTTAATCCTAAGGGTTGTAGAGGGATGACGATCCATCTTCTGTAACTTCTTCTAGCTGAATAGTGGCAATGATATTGATACCTAACTATTAGTGTTTTTTGTATTCAGGGTAGAGAGAAGCTTGGTCAGAAAGTATCAGTATGGAGAGGGCCATTCATAACTCTTGATTTCCCACAAAAGGTAATATCTGGAAGATTAATAAGTGTTCAATTTAAGAAAACATTCAGTAAGCTTATACTGCATTCCTACACAAAGGGTACAAAGCAATATATTCTGCAAGAGTAGAGCAAAATAAGCAAAACTATCCTAAGTAAACTAACAAGGCTTTTTGTGAAGTGGGCAACTGTTAGAACCAAGATGATATGTGGTCACTAACTGATTCCAGTACTTGCCCAGAATTAGAATACTGATCCAGATCTTTATATTACCCATCCATCTTGTTTCTTCTGAGCTGCAGTCAGAGATCACTGGTTGATTTACAGGAATAAGCAGGGTCAGTCTAAATTGCAGAAAAAAACTAAAAACTGATGGGACTAGAATCTAACAACAGGTGTACCATAGTTCTTGAAACACAATTTTTCTATCTCCTCATTTTTACTAAAGACAAATCATAATAGAACTGATTTGTTTGCAAAAATAAGCTTTACTATTATACTTGGCCTGATTATTTATATGAAGTTCAGCAAGAATAATTATTTTTCACATAGGTTCTTTTTAAATTAGCTCTGATGAAACTTTATTCCATAAGTAATTTCAGATAAGACTTTTAAAAAACTCCTTGAGCTCAGCCATGGTTTTGTACCATAAAATACCTAGGAGTTGGATAAATTCTCCTCCTCTTGAGGTCACAAGATAACTTGCCTCCTGGGCCCATCAGAAAATGACATTCTTCACTTACAGGAACCCTGTACAGGGACTACATAGACAAGGTATGAGGCCAGTTTTCCTAAGGAGCTTTTATTGACTCTGTAAGTCAAGTTTGATTCCTCAAAGGAAAGCACTCTATTTCAGTCAAAGACTTGGTAATAAAAACAGTTTATCCAGTTGTGTCCTGTTGCAAAAGAAAGCATTCTTTTTGCAATTATGCAAATAACTATATTCCGTAAGTTAAGCATACTCACAAATAGTTTCCAAATTCTGGAGAAATCAGATAGAGAGAAATATGCTCTAAAATTTTGTTTACAGGAGTATTGCCACAAGCTACAGATAACTCAAAAATGTTCTTGACTCTGAAAAACAAAGCAAAGAATTAGCAATGTTTTAAGCAAAAAGTCATAAAAGGATTATTTCAGTCTTTCATTAGTTCAGTCCATGCAGTTAACTCCTGTTCTGTTTGATATTCATGAACATTTCAGCTCTCCGTGAGAATCATGAAAGTTTTCGCCTCTATCCTAATGTCACAATCTCCAAAGTTATCAGAAACCTGCATTCAAGAGCACCTGTCAAATCCTGTTACTGACTATAAGGCACCTTTAAAAGAGGATCAAAACAAGACAACAGTTGTCTGTGAATGACAGAAAGTCTTAGGGCAGCCACAGTCAGACATGATTAACAAGGAAATATGGTTACCTCTGTGGCACACAATAATATTATGTAACAATTATAATTACTAATAACATACTAAGTCATATTAGAATTATAGGAGTTTCCCATAATTTTGGGACACATAACCAAGAACATATTTATTCAAATACAGCCCAAAGAAAGCCAAACACAATTTTATATTTTATAATGCTTCCTGTATGATTTCTACAGATTTTTATACCACATTAAGCCAAATATGTCTCTTCTGGACTTTAGGGGACCTAATACGAAAAGATTAATTAGGTCAGAAAAAGACATAATTTACCATTTGATTTTGGAAAGTTTGTCAAATATTGAAGGTTTAACCACTTGATTATTAGAAACATAGAATCTCAGGTCACCGTAAGTCATTCATTTAGCCAAAACGATAACTCAAAAATTTTAAAAAGACAAAAAACTTTACTCATTAATAGAGGGAAGACAGCTTTCCACACAATGTCTCTTTTCCTTCCTTTCTTTTTCTTATAGTTTATTCAAAAGGCAAACAAAATTTCGTTTTTAAAAATATTACACAAAAATCTTATTCAAGAGAGAAAGCCAGATTTTACAGTGTACTGTTAATGTCAATCCCAATTCTTAATAAAACATTATAGACAAATCTATTCAATCGTAAGCAGTTAGACCAAGAGGTAAGATTCCCATAAACCTTTTTAAACTCTTTACAAATTTTTGTTAAGGAGCAGATCACTGCTCTAAGAACACCCTGTTGTGCTTTTATTCCAATGTTCAATTTACAGAAAAACTGAATAAGACCCCTTTAACTTTAGCCGATATGTTCACACAGAATTTCCTTCACAAGATTAATTTTTCACAAATCTTCCACAATTTGCTCAAATTTTCAGCTTCATCCTAACTTTTAAGTGAGGATAACTTAACTTAGAACCCCTTAGCCTTCTAAACTAGGCTAAAAAAAATTCACATTCCCATGCCTTCTTATAATCTTTTACCAAAAACACATTTCACTTTCCTTACACACCTTGCATGTTAAAACTGTTTTTCCAGTAGTCTCAATTATATGTTACAATGTTAACTCTTAGCAACTTTTATTTTTGGTGCAAAACCTGGTAAGTAAGTGATTTTAATTAGGTACTAGGTGTGAAGCCTAGGACACCAGAGAGAAGTACAAGATAAGGTCTGATTCTTTCCAGCATTGCCAGGGGGCATGTCTAATTCTACATATCCCCAGGACTTATCTAGAATCTAAT
Source organism: Homo sapiens (assembly GCF_000001405.40). Taxonomy (NCBI): domain Eukaryota; kingdom Metazoa; phylum Chordata; class Mammalia; order Primates; family Hominidae; genus Homo; species Homo sapiens. The sequence goes on along the minus strand of NC_000012.12, from coordinate 10,657,655 downwards.
GGCTCTAAAGCAGGTATACCAAACAATTTTCAAAAGTCAAATAAGCAGTTTATGACCTTAAAGTATTTAGCAAATCTAATTATCTGATCTGCCTAATTTAGACCAAATGTCTAAATTTGGAAGACATTTTTATTTTACCAATAATCTTTAAAACTGTCTTTATTTCCCAAAGCTTCCTAAAGTCACATGAACTAAAAAGCATTACAGTTTTTATTTTTCTGACAAAATATTTAAGTGCTTATTATTTTTAAACCAATTAATCAGAGCTCTTTCATATATAAATGTTACACATACAACACATATGACTACACAACAGACAGAAGATCCAGTAGTTGTAAGATTTTTCATTTGCCAATTTTTAAGTTTCTTAATTGAATTACTGGCTTCAGGGAGGAGCCCTTTGAGGAACAGGGCCAGGAAAGCATGCAATTTCTAGAGCCTAATAGGCAGGCACAGCTGGAAGGCAAAACAGATTTCAAAAATTTAAGGGTCCCATTTTTATACCAGATCTTGGATCCCAAAAAAGAGGAAATCAGCCCACCTCCTATGGAACTCTTATCTCTCAGTGTGGCAATGGGGACACTTCCAGTATCTTCCAGGTGGTCAAGAGTATGCTTCTCTGATCCAAACATGCAAAGAGTTAAGTATCCCCCATAACTTCCATTAGCCATCCCTAAAAGTATGTTTCCTACCTAGTTATTACAAACCAAAGCTCTCTCATAATAAGAAGTAATTTCTGATACCCACAAAAGTCAAAACTGTCAGATAACACAATACAAAATGAAACAAAGCATTAGATTTTGAGAGGGATTTATTTATCCCCTTTCAATTCTAGTGGTTTCATAAGGAAAACAGAGGCTTTTTTCCAAAACAGGATCTGTGGCAACTCCTCTGTTTTTCCCAAGGAGTCTCAAGCTGTTAGAAATTATCTTAGATCCCCTCATGTGTATCAAGAGTGGCAAGAAGATAAAACGGAGAAAAACAATTGTATTAATCCCTTGTTTTTTTGTTTTTTGTTTTTTGTTTTTTTTGAGATGGAGTCTCACTCTATCGCCCAGGCTGGAGTGCAGTGACGTGATCTCGGCTCACTGCAAGCTCCGCCTCCCAGGTTCATGCCATTCTCCTGCCTCAGCCTCCCAAGTAGCTGGGACTACAGGTGCCCACCACCATGCCCAGCTAATTTTTTGTATTTTAGTGGAGACAGGGTTTCACCATATTAGCCAGGATGGTCTCTATCTCCTGACCTCGTGATCCACCTGCCTCAGCCTCCCAAAGTGCTGGGATTACAGGTGTGAGCCACCGCACTCAGCCCTGTATTCATCCATTTTCATGCTGCTGATAAAGACATACCTGAGACTGGACAATTTACAAAAGAAAAGCTTTAATGGACTTACAATTCCACGTGGCTGGGGAGGCCTCACAATCATTGTGGGAGGCAAAAAGGAGGAGAAAGCCATGTCTTTTGCCTGTGGGCGACAGGCAAAGAGAGAGAGCTTGTGCAGGGAAACTCCCACTTTTAAAACTATCAGGTCTCACGAGACTTATTCAGTATCACAAGAACAGCATGGTGAAGATCTGCCCCCATAATTCAGTTATTTCCCACTGTGTCCCTTCCACAACACATGGGAATTATGGGAGCTACAAGATGAGATTTGGGTGGGGACATAGCCAAACCCTATCAACAATTTAGTCAACTGAGAAGAAAAAAACTTTTTCCTCAGAGAAATAAGATCCAAGAAGAGAAAAAACATAAAAACCTTTTAAATATACGTATAGCTCATATATCTTCTTTTAATTAAAGCTGACTTTTAACCATAGCACTTCAAAAATGCTTTTAAATCTCTTATTACCTGACTTCAGCCAGGCCACACAATCCATTTTTCTGGCTTTTAAGCTTTACCAAAGGTAACCTCCCAGATGAAACCAGTAAGCTTTCACTAAGGTTATGACTTAATCACAAGTGTACCAGTATTTTAAAAGAGATGATTAGCAGTTTTTACAAGATTTAGAGTCTACAAGGTGCCTCAGAGAAAGGAAGATTCAAGAAGGGAAGATAGAAGTTGTTCATGGGGGGAGGGGATAAAATCAACAAATGGCAAAGATCACACCAATATCAACCTGAAAGTACTCATTCCCTAAACCAGAAATTGAACGCTGAACCAGGGATGCCATTGTGAAAAGGCAAAGCCTTAGCTACTAAGCTACAGCATTGGGAAGTTTCCATTGCCTTCTCAGAAAGAGCCTGGAGCAGACAATTTTGAGCCAATGAAGGCTTTTAACTGCTCAAAACAATTTTTAGAGCTAACTTTGTCATAAACTCCAAAATTGCTGTCCTCTGGATGGCAGAAACTAAGAGAAAGTACTGCCACATGGTTACAAGGTCAAGCTCCCAAGGATATAAAACAAGATGAGAGAGAAACCCTATCTAGCTTATGGAGTCCCAAGCCTGTGTTCTATCCCAAGGTACCTCCCCTTTATGACAGAATAACACAGAAAGACAAATTCAAAGCACAAAATACACCAGATTCACTACAGCATTAAGACTAGCCTCATGAATCCTTTTATTCATTAATTAAAACGTTGCAAGAGAGTGATTTCTACCATTCCTACAACTGGTTTGTACAGAGAGGGAGGAAAGGGAAGGGATAAAAGTGTTGCCTACAGTGGGGTGGGGAAGGCAAGGAGCTCAGAGAGACTAGGTAGTGAAGGATCTTTTCTAGCAGTCCAGTCAGCTCTCAAGTTTCCCACTTTGGGGAGAAAAAAGCTCCCCGTGTCTGGTGATCCTGTACATGCCTATTCCTGTCATCCATATCTGTCAGCAAAGAGTGCAAGGCAGATTAATCCAAAGAGAATAGCAGTTAACATCCCATAGTGTCAAATCCACTTTTAACCAAGAAGGACTTTACTGAGAGGGGCCTCTAATCCCTAAATCTTAGGAAGGACTCTAACCTTTCTAAATTGGGCCTCAAACTCAAGTTTCATTAAGCATCCTTGCCTTTTATTAGGAGGGGCCTTAACCCTCTCTGTCTTAGGAGAGACTCTCCTAAGTTGGACCTCTAACCCAATCTGATCCTTTACCTGGGCAAAACATACCCCGCCCCTTACCTAAAGTCTGCCAATTGGCAGTGCTGTGGTCTATTTCCTTTGGGTCCATAGGATTCTCCTCAGTATAGTCCCTTCATGGTTTCCAGGAAGATGTTATTGGAAAGGGGTCCCAATCCAGACCCCAAGAGAGGGTTCTTGGATATTGCTAAAGAAATAATTCAGGGTGACTCCATAGAGTAAAGTGAAAGCACATTTACTAAGAAAGTAAAGGAAAAAAGGAATGGCTACTCCACAGGCAGAGCAGCAGTGTGGGCTACTTGACTGAGTATACTTAGTTATTTCTTGATTATATGCTAAACAAGGGGTAGATTATTCATGAGTTTTCTGGGAAAGGGTTGGGAAGTGAAGGTTCCACCCTTTTTTAGACCACATAGGGTAACTTACAGATGTTTCTGTGGCATTTGTAAACTGTCAGGACACTGGTGGGAGTGTCTCTTAGCATGCTAATGCATTATAATTAGTGTATAATGAGCAGTGAGGATGACCAGAGGTCACTTTCATGGCCATCTTGGTTTAGGTGGGTTTTGGCTGGCTTCTTTACTTCATTCTGTTTTATCAACAAGGCCATTGTGACCTGTATCTTGTGTTGACCTCCTGTTTCATCCTATAACTAAGAATGCCTAACCTCCTGGGAATGCAACCTAGTAGATCTCAACCTTGTTTTACCAAGCCCCTGTTCAAGATGGAGCTGCTCTGGTTCAAATGCCTCCAACAAGGCCAGTCTTTAAACATTAATGCAGTGCCACGTTTTTGTTCCCAGGACAAGTCAAGAATCCATGAGGGTAGCAGGTATTGCTAGCAATATTCATATACCTTTGCTTTAAACTGCTTTCTGTATCAGTCGGAGCACATCTACACTTCTTGATGTTCCTGTAGCTCTGACTCTTTCTGTCAACATACAGGATGTACAGATTGTACTAAAGGGACTGGAAGGACTGGATTTTGAGGAAATGATATAAGGTATTAAATTTCTTGCTTAAAATGATAGAGAAAAACTCTTATCCACCTTTTCTCAGGTTTTACACTTCTGAATTCTCATATGTAAATATATTTTATATATCTTAGTTTCATTATAGTTCTACTTTCTTGGGTACTCCTCATGAGGTATCAATAAATAATCATAAGATCTTGTATTTGTACTGATTGTTATACATCTCAAATACTTTACATGCAACTCTCTAGAAAAGGTATGTTAATTGGGCCAGGCATGGTGGATCATGCCTGTAATCCCAGCACTTTGGGAGGCCAAGGTCGAGACCATCCTGGCTAACATGGTGAAACCCCGTCCCTACTAAAAAATACAAAAAAAAATTAGCTGGGCATGGTGGTGGGCACCTGTAGTCCCAGCTACTCGGGAGGCTGAGGCAGGAGAATTGCGTGAACCCAGGAGGCGGAGCTTGCAGTAAGCCGATATCACGCCACTGCACTCCAGCCTGGGCAACAGAGTGAGACTCCGTCTCACAAAAAAAAAAAGAAAGAAAAGATATGTTAATTGACTTGCCAAAGGTCACACAGGAAGTCATTGACCCAGTGTCATAATTGAGATCTCCTGACTCCTTTCCCTATTTCAGGAGAAGTTTCTTCCTTTTCACCAAGCATTTCTCCTAGAACTTTCCATTGAGAAATAATTTAGGTGAGGAAAACAAGATGAATTTCAGAGCGGAGGGAAGTTGAAGCCAAAGTGAAGATTACTGTCAGGACCTCATCGTACTGGAGACTATATTGGTGCAAATATAGCATTATTCTAAAGTTCATTTATCTTAGATTTTTTCCAGAGTGCATCTCATATTACCTCTCCTTAGACTCGTTAACCTTTTTCTTTCTAAGAACTATAAGTAGTGATCTAAGACAAGATAAAAAGTGTGGTCAACAAATGATACGGCCTTGAGTAAAGTTGGCTTGAAAGTCTGTGAAAGAAATACCAAAGCCTGAAGGATTTAACAGATCCTCAAGTTATTCAGCATAGAAAAGCTTTACTTCAGGAAGCAAGGGTACTTCAGAAGAGATGGCCTTGCGCCTGTCTACATGACAGGAGAGGGAAGGATGTGGGGAATATGATAATTCTTCCTTGGATTTCTGAAATACTTGTATTCTAAAACTTTAAAGTACTTTCATATGTTTTATCTCATTTGTGCTGTCAAAACATCTCTGATTACATTGCGCAATTCTATGACCCGTTATTTTACAGATTAGGAATTAAAACCCAGGGAAGTGATCTAACTTGCTGAAGATTACATACAAATGAGGGAGAAATGAATGAAGGGAGGAGGGGGAGAGAAAGAATGTGTGTGAGAGAGAGAGAGAACTAGAATAGTGGCTGCCAATGTAGAATCTTATCTAATAAATTAGAGTCTGGTGAATTTTCTCCGGATTAATTAAGAAAAGGAGATAACAAGAGTTTAAGGCGGGGTTCCCAAACTTGGCTGCATATTGGAATTATCTTAGGAGTTTTACATAAATCTCAATACCTGGTTCCTATTCCCAGAGTCTGATTCTGATTTAATTGGTTTGAGATACATCTCAGACAATGGGATTTTTAAAAAGCTCCTCAAGTAGAACCACTGGCTTAAGTCTTCGTTGTTAGAGCCTAGGAAAAGAATAGTACAAAATCTGCTGCATCCACTTTAATATGCCTATGACCTTTTAAATTTGAAAACTATGAAGCAATTTACAAAAAAAAAGAATAGAACAATTGACAATTTAAGACTTAAAAAAGTAGATACATTGCAGAAGGATGGTAAGAAAACTGTACTGAAGCATAAGTAAGATTTTCTGTAAAGTCAGGTGTCAGGAAATAATTATCTTATTCCTGTGGAATATACAGAAATGCGAGTGGTATTATGTTATCATATTGATGTTACATAGAATGAAGTTCTTACCCACAAGGTGAGGTCGTTCAACAATGTCATAATTTGAGGAATTATAATAATGATATAGTAATTATTATAGGAATATTCTTATTATTATAGCTATCATAGGAATAATTAGTAACAGCTACTGCTTACTATGTACTAGGTGTTGTTCTAAGTGCATTATCATGTAAAATTGTTTAATTATTACAATGGCTCTTTGTGTTAGATAATATTGCAAACCCAATTTACAGATGAGAAAACTGAGCATTAGGAGAGATTAAGTAATTTGCTTAAGAGTACAAAACTAATTATAACAGTAGGAGAGGTGGGTATACTGGATTTCAGAAACGGGCTGGGCTATGCTTCTGAGACTTGTAAGAAAACTGGAAACTGAGCTGAAACCTAGGAGTCTGAATAATAAATATGCCTTTATCATGGCAGATATAAAAGACCATAAGGAAAGAAGTGAGTGAGCCCAGCATTTCGCTCATGCATACAAGTTTAGAGCAGGAAAAGTGCAGGACCAAGGCAGGAGGCTGTTGGGCTCCAGCGTGGTCCTCTTAAGATAACAAGCTAGCTGCAGTAGAATTGCAAACTTCAACTTAGGAAAATACACACCCCTGCATACACACCTCACACACCCAAAACCACACTTGCACACACACTGCTCCCACACTTTTTTTTTTTTTTTTTTGAGAAGGAGTCTCGCTCTGTCACCCAGGCTGGAGTGCAGTGGCACGATCTTGGCTCACTGCAACCTCCGCCTCCCGGGTTCAAGTGATTCTCCTGCCTCAGCCTCCTGAGTAGCTGAGACTACAGGTGTGTGCCACCACGCCCGGCTAATTCTTGTATTTTTTTTTAGTAGAGACGGGGTTCTGCCATGTTGGCCAGGCTGGTCTCGAACTCCTAACCTCAGGTCATCCGCCTGCCTCCGCCTCCCAAAGTACTGGAATTACAGGGGTGAGCCACTGCGCCCGGCCCTGCTCCTGCACTTTCAGTTCACTGAATTGGTTTCCCAAATTTACTTAACATTTAGCAAGTCTTTGGGCAACTCTCATTTTATTGTGTCTGTGCTAAGAAGAAAGAAATTTTAGCTACATTTATGCTAATGCGTTGAAGGAAAGCCACACTCTCTTCAGACCACTGGGGTGGGGCAGTAGTAATCAAAAAGGGAAGCTTGATCAGGAGCACAAAGTTGGAACCACTGATTTGAAAAGTAATTATGTTATACAAATAAATTCTTGCTAGAAGAGGCACTTTTAGCTACTATCACTGAAGAACAATTTTACTTTCTTATTAATTCTCACTAGAATCCTCTGATGTAAGCAGGCAGAATTATCTCAGCTGTATAGGTTAGTAAACCAAGGCTTCAATAGATTAAGATAAATCCACCCCTAACTCTGACACTGGTTCTTTTATTCTTTCTCCTTTACTACAGTTGGATGGAGATGATACATTAACTTTGTTCCTGGGAGTCCCAACTTGGCTTTCTCCCAGGTCGGCAAGATAATGCCTTTAGCAAGCAACAATGAAGCTTGTTAAACTCAAGATTTTTTTTTTTTTTTTTTTTTTTTTTTTTGAGACAGAGTCTCTCTCTCTCCCTCAGTTGCCCAGGCTGGAGTGCAGTGGTGCGATCTCGGCTCACTGCAAGCTCCGCCTTGGGTTGATGCCATTCTCCTGCCTCCGCCTCCCGAGTAGCTGGGACTACAGGGGCCCGCCACCACGCCTGGCTAATTTTTTTGTATTTTTTAGTAGAGACGGGGTTTCACCATGTTAGCCAGGATGGTCTCGATCTCCTGACCTCGCGATCCGCCCGCCTCAACCTCCCAAAGTGCTGGGATTACCGGCGTGAACCACTGCTCCCGGCCTGAAGCCATTAATCTTGATTTAACGGTTGTACTTTGTCTTTAATTCTAAACACTAGTTCTTTAGGAAGATTGTTTTCCCTCTTGGTCTTTTTTTGTTACCATCAGCCAATTTTCTTTTGTATTTCTGCTATCAAACTTTTCTGCCTTGTAGCCTTTCTTCCTTTGCATGTTCTTATTATAAAATAACTAAGGCTTAATTCATTCCATTTGGAAAATAGAAAATAGAGGAAAAAATTATTAATAGTAACCATCATCACTGTTGCTGTAACATTCTAATATATTTTTCTTTGGGCTTCCCCTACACAGGTGTTTTTCCCAGTCAATTTCATTGTACTCTTGCCATATATACCTCATTAAAATGTGCCTTTTTACTTAACCCACTAACATTACAAATTGCTGTTTATTAAACATTTTTGTGAACGTAAATTTAATAAATGTGTAGTATTCCATGGTCCAACTGTATAAAAATAATTTGAAACATCCCTCCTTTTGATGAAAATTAGTTATTTTTTCTATTTTTAATTTTTTTCCAGAAAATTTCAAATATGTACAAAAGCAGCAAAAATAGTACAATGACTTCCCATGTATATCCCCTGAATTTGGCAATTTTGAACACATGGTTGATTTTTTTTTATTTACATCTCCACCTATTTCTCCTCCTTCAAGTCCATGAATTATATTTTGAAGCAAATCCCTATTTATATTTTCAAAAAAATTAAATAAGGGTCACAGATTTTCTTGTGTGTTCAGAAACATCTTCCATTTTTAAAAAACATACATATAATTGACATTTGGGAGAGAAATTACAGAGTCAAAATTATGAATGCCATTCAGGCTCTCAATTTTCATAGTGCCAAGTTATTTTTCATAAATGTAGACATTCAGATTCCTTGTCAGTCTTACAAGAGTCATTTTTAAATAAAACTATTTAGGGAATAAACATTAGTTTTCAAATCTTCTTTTCTGCTGGGTGTGGTGGCTCACACTTATAACCTCAGCACTTTGGGAGGCTGAGGGTGGGAGGATCACTCAAAGCCAGGAATTTTACATCAGCCTGGGCAACATGGCAAGGCCCCATCTTTACAAAAAAATTAAAAATTAGCCACCCGGGAGATCAAGTCTGCAGTGAGCCAAGATCACATCACTGCACTCTAGCCTGGACAACAGAGTGAGACCCCAGCTCAAAAAATTTAAAAATAAATAAATAAATAAATAAATAATATTTTGTCTTAAATGGATTGGCAAAAAATGTATCTTGTTTTATTTTAAAGTATTTTTAAAATTACTAGTTAAGATAAAAATCTTTCATCTTAGTTCAACATGCTTCCATATTTGTTAAACATTTTGTTTCAGTGAACTCATTTACTTTTGTTTTTCACGTTTTTGACTATTTATTTATTGGCATATTAGTGGTTTTCTCATTACTATAAAAGTACTATGTTTTTATTTGTTTATTGATTGATGTTTCCATTGTGATTTTTTTTTCTGTTGGAAGAAAGTTTTTTGTTTAAGCTTAGGAAGTTATCACAAACCCAATATAATTTATAATGTTAAGTTTTTTATGTCTCTTAAAGCATCTAGCTTTTTTCCCAAAATTTATTTTGTGTACAGGTGAATCAAAAATATAATTTTTGTTATCAAACAAGTAGTCCATTGCCTAAATTCCATTTGATGAATAATCTATCTTAGTACTTCTCAACCCCAGCTGTATGTTAGTATCTCCTGGGAAGCATTTCCTTGATTGAAGCTGATATCTGAAGTCATAATCTATGGGGTTTATAATCATCATAATCTCTAAGAGGAGTGGTGTATTAGTCCGTTTTTATGCTGCTGATAAAGACATACCTGAGACTGGGCAATTTACAAAAGAAAGAGGTTTAATGGACTTACAGTTCTGAGTGGCTGGGGAGGCCTTACAATCATGGCAGAAGACAAGGCAGAGCAAGTCACATCTTATGTGAATGATGGCAGGCAAAGAGAGAGAACTGTCTTGTGCAGGGAAACTCCCCTTTATAAAACCATCAGATCTCGTGAGACTTATTCACTCTCACAAGCACAGGAAAGACCTGCCCCCATGTTTCAATTACCTCCCACTTTGTCCCTCCCACAACACATGGGAATTCAAGATAAGATTTGGGTGGGGACACAGCCAAAACATATCATTTTACTCCTGGCCCTTCCCGAATCTCATGTCTTCACATTTCAAAACCAATATTGCCTTCCCAACCGTCCCCCAAAATCTTAACTCATTTCAGCATTAACTCAAAAGTCCACAGTTCAACATCTCATCTGAGACAAAGCAAGTCACTTCCACCTGTAAGCCTGTAAAATCAAAAGCAAGTTAGTTATTTCTTAGATACAATGGGGATATAGACATTGTGTAAATACAGCTGTTCCACAGGGAGAAATTGGCCAAAACAAAGGGGATACAGGCCCCATACAAGTCTGAAATCCAGCAGACCAGTCAAATCTTAAAGCTCCAAAATGATCTTTGACTCTATGTCTCACATCCAGGTCATGGTGATTCCAGAGGGGGGTTCCCATGGTCTTGGGCAGCTCTGCTGCTGAGGCTTGACAGGGTATAGCCCCACTCCTGGCTGCTTTCATGGGCTGGTGTTGAGTGTCTGCAGCTTTCCCAGGCACATGGTGCAAGCTGTTGGTGGATCTACCATTCTGGGTTTTGGAGGATGGTAACCCTCTTCTCGTAGCTCCACTAGGTGGTGCCCCAATAGGGACATTGTGTGGGGGCTCGACCCCACATTTCCCTTCTGCACTGCCCTAGCAAAGGTTCTCCATGAGGGCCCCGCCCCTGCAGGAAACTTTTGCATAGGCATCTGGGCATTTCCATACAGCCTCTGAAATCTAGGCAGAGGTTCCCAAGCCTTAATTCTTGACTTCTGTGTACCCACAGGCTCAACACCACATGGAAGCTGCCAAGGCTTGGGGCTTTCACTCTCTGAAGCAACAGCCCAAGCTGTACCTTGGCCCTTTTAGTCACAGCTGGAGCAGCTGGGACACAGGGCACCAAGTCCCTAGATTGCACATAGCAGAGGGACCCTGGGCCCAGCCCATGAAACCATTTTATCCTCCTAAACCTCTGGGCCTGTGATCAGAGGGGCTGCCTCAAAGGTCTCTGACATGCCCTGGAGACATTTTCCTCATTGTCTTGGTGATTAACATTTGGCTCCTTGTTACTTATGCAAATTTCTGCAGCTGGCTTGAATTTCTCCTCAGAAAATGGGATTTTCTATTCTATCACATTGTCAGGCTGCAAATTTTCCAAACTTTTGTGCTCTGTTTCCCTTATAAAACTGAATGCCTTTAACAGCACCCAAGTCACCTCTTGAATGCTTTGCTTCTGAGAAATTTCTTTGTCAGATACCCTAAATCATCTCCCTCAAGTTCAAAGTTCTACAGATCTCTAGGGCAGGGGCAAATGCCACCAGTCTGTTTGCTAAAACATAACAAGAGTCACTTTTGCTCTGGTTCCCAACAAGTTTCTCATCTCCATCTGAGACCACTTCAGCCTGGATTTCATTGTTCATATCATTATCGGCCTTTTGGTCAAAGTCATTCAACAAGTCTCTAGGGAATTTCAAACTTTCCCACAGTTTCCTGTCTTCTTCTGAGCCCTCCAAACTGTTCCAACTTCTCCCTGTTACCCAGTTCCAAAATCACTTCCACATTTTTGGCTGTCTTTTCAGTAGCACCCTACTCCTGGTACCAATTTACTGTATTAATCCATTTTCACGCTGCTGATAAAGACATACATGAAACTGGGCAATTTACAAAAGAAAGAGGTTTAATGGACTTACGGTTCCAAGTGACTAGGGAGGCCTCCCAATCATGGTGGAAGGCAAGGAGCAACAAGTCACATCTTACGTGGATGGTGGCAGGCAAAGAGAGAGAACTTGTGCAAGGAAACTCCCCCTTATAAAGCCATCAGATCTTGTGAGACTTATTCATTATCATGAGAACAGCATGGGAAAGACCTGGCCCTATGATTCAATTACCTCCCACTGAGTCCCTCCCACAACATATGGGAATTCAAGATGAGATTTGGGTAGAGACACAGCCAAACCATATCAAGTGGGAAATGAACATCAGGATTGATATTTTTTAAAAATGCCTCCTAGGAGATTCTAATGTGCTCTCTGGTTTGAGAACCACTCATCTGCTTATTTTGATTCTTGCTGACTTCTTTATATTAAAGTCCTAAATATGTGTCTCTTTTTCTGGGATACTTATGTGTTCTATTAATCTATCTCTCTGTTTTTCAGTGTGTGTGGGTGTGTGTGTTTAGGCTTTGTAAAACATTTATGCCTGATACAGGCCTCTCCATACCAAACTTTGCTTTGTTTTTTTTAGAATGAGAGATTACTGCATGTTGGGGTATTACCAGTTCCCTTTCTTATCTTGCTGGAGCCCTAAGTTTCCAAAGAAATCAACTGTGAAATCTCTCTCTGAACTCCTCTTTTCAGTCCTCTCATTCATATAGGTCGCAAAGATCATAGAAGAGCCCCCTAAACACATTTTCTCCACATCCTCACCACCTATTCATTCCCAGAACCACCCTGCTCTCTGGCCACTGCACTATAGCTATTCTTTCTATGATGGGTGACCTCCATGTTGCCTGTATCTGCTACTTATTGTTTTCCTGACCTGTCATCAGATTTTAGCCCAGCTGTTGTCCATGCCCCTCTCCTTTGCTTCCACAACAGCACAAACTCTTGGTTCCCCTTTTACTTCTCTAGTTTTTCCTTCTTAGGCCCTCTTTGAGTTTCCCCCTGGACCCCAATTCCTCTTCCTTCATGTAGCCCTTATCCGTTGGAACTCCATGGATTCTTTCCTAGGCCCTCTTTTCCTCTCTTCTCTTTTTCCTTTTTGTTCATTTTTTCCTCTTTCTCTCTTATTCACTTTCAAGCTTTCAATATTATCTAATGACTCCCAAATATTTATCTCTGGTCCAGACTTCCCTTATGAATCCTAAGAACTGTACAACCAAATGCTTTTTTCTAATATTCTACTTAAAAGTCACACTGGCATCTTAAATCAAAATGTCCAGAACAACTCATCATCTCCTCTTCTTTGATTTCTCCTTCTCCTTCTTACCTTCTACAACCACTGTGTCCTGTTGGTTCAATCTCCTCAAGGTTTCCAATCCATTATTTTTCTTTTTTTTACTGTCACTACTGTAATCCAAAAAATGATTATGAAATTATTAGTTTCACAATTGATATTCTCGTATGTATTTATTATCACCTGCAATTTATTACTCAATTGCTGCAAAACTAATACTCATTTTTACTTTTCAATTTGAAATGATTAAAGGTTCACAAGTAGTTGCAAAAATAGTATAGAATCCAATGTAACAATTACCAATTTTCCCAATGGGAACATCTAAATAACTGTAGTAAATTATCCAAATTATGAAACTGACAATGGCACAGTATAATGAACTAGAATGTAGAGTTTCCTGGGATTTCAGTTTTTGCATTCACACATTATCTTTTTCCTCTCTGTGCATAGTTCTTTGATATTTTATCACATGTATAGACTCATGTAATTTTCACCACAGTCAAGATACAGAATTGTCTGTCACCATAAAGAAACTCCCTCATGCTACCCCTTCAAAGTCACACCTTCTCCCTGTTCCTACTGGTAAACACTGATCTATTTTCTGTCTCTCTAATTTTGCCATTTTGGAAATATTATACGGATGGAACCATACAGCATGTAACCTTTTGAGACTGGCTTTTTCCACTCAGCATAAAGTCCTTAAGTTCCATCTAAGTGTTGCATGTAGGAATAATTTGTTCCTTCTTATTGCTAAGTAGTATTCCAAATAATTTTTTTTTTCTAAAATACAAAATGGACCATGTCACTCTATTTAAAGCACTTCAGTGATACTTAGAATAAAACAAGCAATGTTTAGCATGGCCTAAAGGCTCATTATGATCTGCCTCTCGCCTACCTGCACAGTGCCATCTCTTCGTGTTTTCTCCTCTCTTGTTACTGTCCAGGCCCACTGACCTTCCAGTTATGAGAATGTATCAAGCTCTGTTCCCATCCAAGGCCTGGATATTCCTCCTCTCTTGCCTTGTGGCTGTGCCCACCTTTATCTAGTCAGCTCCTACTTATCATTTGCTTAAATACTGTTTACTTAAAGAAACTTTTTTTGACTTCCTTCCTATTGCCCCGTTTTTATAGCACCCTAAACTTCTCCTTCATAGCAAAACATATTTAATAATTTTTATGATTAATTATTTAACATCTGAGTGAATGACTTGGTATAAGGCTGGCCCCCCAAGGAATGATGTGAGATAAACTAACTAGATTGTAGAAGTGGAAGAAGTAGAGCTGTCTTGAATGGACAGTTCAGTTACAGAGCAAAATTCAGGCAAGAATTAGCAACTCAGGTTTTCAGTGTGGCCAGCAGAACATAAAGGTAATGGGTTCAGGGGTGTGAATGAAATAGGAATGAAGTAGAGTGGAGCAGGATGATGGTCAGTAAAGAGGCATTCAACCATTGTGGTTGCATTTATCTGGGAGGCTTTTATATTAGTAGCAAGAGCTCAGTAATCAGAGTATAAAGTAAAATTTCAATCTCACTTAGGATTGATTTAGGCAAAGAGAGGACAACACGGCCCCATCGACTTGTGTGGCATTCAGGTGAGGGCTCCAGATTTGAGAGGGTTTTGTTAATAGGCATGAGTAAGTGGGCAGATTTGGGGAAGTGGATAAAGGCTACATCTTCCCCAAATTGGAGAGTATGTAAGATAAATAGGATGAAGAGGACTGAGACTGCTGATCTCCGTAATGCCCCCGTCAGAATTGGTTCAGGATCTGGGTGGAAATTAGCCAGCATATAAGTGATATCAGCGGAACCAGTACAAGGAGCTGAAAAATTTAGAGACAGAAGAAATCAGGCAGGTGCTGATATATTTTCCCTGATGAATACCATACCACTATCTAGCATTCTTTCCATTTCTGTACCTTACTTTACAGCATTATGCTATTTGATTTATCTGGTTTAAATCTCTCTTTCTCAACATGATTGTTAAATTCAGATATCTACTGGCAGCTGTACTATTTCTGCTATCAAATGACACCTAGTTGAAGTATAAAAAGTTTTAAATCCTGCATTAACTTTTTGATTACTTTAACTCCCTCTCTGTGCATAGAGTATACTTACATGCACAAATATTATAAATATTTAGATAAAAGATTTTTTGTTTCATTTTGTTATTTTTGGTTATACATGTTTACCTGATTGATACAGCTATGTGACTATTTCCCAACTGGAAAGGCAGATGAAGAAGGAAGGGAGGAAGAGGGAGACTAACACATATTGATGATCGCAATGGCTCTGGTAATGTTCTAGGCATTTTACAGAAATTATGCTGCATAGCTCTCAACAACCCTGGTAGGTAGTTATCATCAGCAGCACTTTACATATGGGAAAACACCTTCACAAAGTTAAAATACGTTATACAAAGTCATCATGAATGATAGGAATGAGATTCAAATGGAAGCCAAACTCCAAAGTCTTACCATTATAGCACAGGAAATTCTATGCAGGGTAAGTGTAGGAATAGATATCCATCAGATTCCAGGGCTGCCATGATATGGGTAGGAAGATGTGGATGAAAGGAAGCCTCCAAAATTTGGGAGCTCTTGCAGGGACAAGGAGAGGTAGCATAACTGGCTGAGGGTACTTATTGATTGGCATGCCCGTTTTCCAGTTGATAAACTTCCTACTGCTCTCTGCAGTTCTTTATTACCCTTAGGAGACATGCACGTTTCCTGCTCACTAAACTAGGAAGGCAAGGAATGGCAAGGTCAGGTGACATGCTTCCGGATGCTGAATGAATCACCCACCAAACCAGAACTAGAACTTCCAATCTCTCACTCTGTTATTACAGCACTAAGTCAGGGCTGACTCCACTTCCCTTAATTCCTGGACTGCTCAGCTCTGAACCATGCTGACCCACTCCCTAGGGAGGGGAAACTGCCCTTGGATCCTGGCTGTACAGAATGAGGCAGGAGGTTATGTGTTCCCAGAAGTGTCTTTTTCCTCTCGCCAGGAGTTTGTTATTGTTTACCTGGAATTACATTCTACATATAGAAATTTTATAGTGACACACTGTATGGCACAGCACTGAGGTAAACAGGAGCTGAGTTAGCTTTCTGATGGTGAAACCTCATGTCCACATCTCTCTGCCTGGGCCTGGGACTCATTTATCAGAGAATGAGAAAGTGTGTGTATGTATATATGTGCCCCTACAGCCTGTTGTAGCCTGTCTTCCTTCAGTCCTCCTCAGCTTGGGCCCTCCTCTCTGCCAGAGGGCAGTGTGTTAGACAGGCTGGAAGAGTGGCCAGAAAACAAAACAGATCTCCTCACTTATGGGGGGAGACTTCCAAGAGAGTTTTAGAGAACCCAAAATCTTTCTTAGAAGGAAAAACCCAGCAGGCTGAATACCAAAGAAGAGGACTGATCCTTGGAAATGCAAGGTCACTGACAACAGTAGGAACAAGGTATTTGAAAGCAGCCCCAACCCATCTTCTGGTGCATTAATCAGGTAGGAAAAGGAGACACGGATGGATTAGAGATAATCCTGTGCTGAGTGGGGGTGGCGTTGTGAGTTCTCAGCTTTTCCCTCTCACTGATAGCCCTTATTCTGAGCTGGGGAAACTGAGGAGCTGGGAAAATTGTTATTGATTAGGAATCTCAGGAAGAGAACGTAATCAGCAGGAGAATATTTAATTTAAGATATGCTATTTCTGGGCTTTTCTTTGAAACTGGTAGATGAAGGATTATGGAATTGGGTACATACAAAATAGCAAGATAATTATAATAAAAATAAACTGTTTTGAATTTGTATAATACCTCAAAGGAAATAAAATGTGTTTATCTGCGAAACCATATTTAAAATCTGATGCTGTTTGTAAGCATCTGTGAGCACTGCATTTCTTACCTAGATGTTATGGGGCCTGTCTTGCAATCACTTTTCTCCTCTACAAAGTAAACTTTTGTGAGGTACCAGGATATAGACTAAGCTTCCTCATCTCAACTGTATATCACATATGTTTCAGGAATCTCTGGAGACAGGTAAAAATAGAAGCAAGAAAAACTGATAGCCCTCAGATTTCATAATTTGGTGAGTACCAGTGAGTCAAAAGATCTGTTGAAACAGGCGCAGGACTCCTAGGCACCATGGTGGAAAGGGGTTCCCCTTTGAGAACCCATTTGAAACACTTTCTCTAGTGTTCATTTCGATCCCTGGGTCTCTAGGAAATGGGGGAGGGCAAAGATCAGAAATAAGCACAATTTCTCAATATCTGAGAAGAGTGAGAGGACGAGATAACCTCTCTTAGATAACCTCCTCCCTGCCTCACCCACACTAGGAGATATCACAGGGCATAAGGCAAGTTATCTACACAAATACGCTTCTCTGGATTTAAAAAGAATCACCTCTCCAGTGTGCCCTTCCATGCACTCTGTGTCCTCTCACTGGTTTGTTTCCCTAGAACGGTAGAGCCTGGGGCACTGAGAGAGACAGCATGAAGACCCTAATTCCTAAGCCAGTGCCCTGTCCCCTGCAATTTCTGGCCTCTTTCTGACCCTCATGCTCACAGTGAAAGATGGCTAGTCCTAAGAACCGGGACTTTTTACTCAAAAAGCAGAAGATAGAAATAGGATTGGGGATCAGACCCAGGAAAATGAACAAAGGAAACAACCCAAGATGACATAATCTGGTGAATACTAGGAAAAAAATTCTGATTCTACTTCTATTTTCAGAATATACTTTAAAGACAGACATGCAGATGTCATCTATGTCCCTATGAGGTTCCTATATGGACACCCTTACAGGCAGATTCAATTCATCCATTCTTTCCAAATTGAGTGTATGTTAGTAAAATTTGGTTTCAGCCTTGTGGTTTCCATGATTCTTTTGGATTCCAATGTAATTCCTTCTTGACCTTGTTGGTCTTTCTCATTTGAAAGACAAGTATATATGCACAACAAAGTAGTATAAAGAACATTGGGTTTGTAAGTAAAAGACCTGGGTGTGCAACCTTGCTCTGCCATTTTTTTTTAAAAAGTGGCTAATTTGGTGGGGTACAGTGGCTCACGCCTGTAATCCCAGTACTTTGGGAGGCCAAGTCAGGTGGATAACCTGAGGTCAGGAGTTCGAGACCAGCCTGGCCAACATGATAAAACCCATCTCTACTAAAAATACAAAAATTAGCTGGGTGTGGTGGCATGCACCTGTAATCCCAGCTATTTGGGAGGCTGAGGCAGGAGAATTGCTGGAACCTGGGAGACGGAGGTTGCAGTGAGCTGAGATCACGCCATTGCACTCCAGCCTGGGCCCACAACAGCGAGACTCCATCAGAAAAAAAAAAAAAGTGGCCAATTTATAACTTAATCACTAATTCATAACTTAATCCCTCAGTTTCTGCCTTGCCTTCTTTGTATGAAAGTGCCTAGCACAATACCTGGCACACTGTAGTTGCTAAACACAGGTTTATTAGATCTGAAAACCGGAAGCTTGTTTCATAGGATGTTGGTAACAAGTAATTCTCAGATTCTCTAGATCTGAGCATTGTTCTCTATCTCACTTCCAAATTAATATATTCAGCCCATTAAACATGTTTTTTGTTTGTTTTGGTTTTGTTTTTTGTTTTTGTTTTTTTTCCAGATAGCTCAAGGGTAAGAATGAAACGCTAACTATACAAGAAGGCAGACTGTTTCAGGCTAGGGGCTGCTACCTCCATATATTTTACCCTCCTCACTTTTAGTCTTTGAGTCCTCTGCCCCATAGCCCAAAGCCATTAATAACTTCCTTGATCCATGTGGCAGCCACCTGGGAGGGTGGATCACTTGTCTATCTAAAAAGAACATGGCTGGAAGATCCACATGTGTTGATAAGCAAGCAGTAAGGTTGAAGGTGAGGCTGGCACAACAGATTTAACTGTACCTTACTGGAACAGGGCCAGATGTTATACTGAGTTCAATCATGGAATTTTTCATCACACATAAGCAGGCAGAGTGCAGGAAATCTGATTTTAGAAGTCTTATATCTAGGTATATTTTGGTAAGAAAAGTTTACTCTGGAAAGTCATGGGTAAATTGCAGATTGTGTCCGGGAGACTGTATTGTGCTAACTGAAAAGAAATGCCACTTATTAAGAGTTGTGTTATGGTTGCAAATAGAATATAGTGTGAATTAAAATAGATGCCTAAATGCAGTGTGACACTATGCTTGTATTGTATGTGTAAAAGTTTAGAATTAATATTACTATTTAGTTCAATTTCGTTATAGTTATATTCATGAGCTTTTATGGTCTTCAGACTATAGTCTTGTAAAGATTTAGCATGGACTTTACTCCTCATTTCACTTTCATTCTCCTCCCTTTTGTATCTCCTTCATTGCACTGTTTCTTCTCAGGATTCTCAATGAAAGAGGGGAGTTAAACCTTTAACATGCTAAGAGAAAGTCTGAAGCAACTGATAAGAGAAATTAAGGAATGATAACTACAAGTGAGGCAATATTATGGTTCTAACTAGAACCCTGCCTGAAGAGATTTGGCTCTGTAGATATAGGATTATGTAAACTAGAGGCAAAGTATATACAAACATATTTTACAACTATCAAACATATTTATCAGAATGAAATATATTACAATTTCACTAGACCCTTGATTCCAATGCCATGGATTTCATTATTCATAACATTAAATAGAGAACTGTGGATAATGCTTTACAGTTCAGCTAAGAGAAGAAGCAGTAGCCTACATATATTTTTTGACATAGTGGGAAAAGTATTTAGAGATAATGAAAGGGAGTGGAGTATTGGTCAGATTGAACAGGAATCTTGGCCAGAAGTGTCCTTCTAGTAGTCAGGTGGGCCAGAGTTGAACCCATCGAAGAGTCATCCTAGAGGTTTTTGGCATTAAGGCATGCCTTTTCTCAGCTTGACAGAGTGGACAGGCAAAGCCATGTGGTTTCTGAGTATGAATTTCAAGCTAAAAAGTGATCTAGAGAGGAATATTGCTGTTACAAGTAAATATAAGCATCCTCTGATGTATGAGCTTTGGTGGCCTCTGTGTGGTGAGGTTTCCCACATTAGCTTTCATGGATATGTGGGTATGCCCAGTGTGTATGCCTTAAAAATCCTAGACTCGGCCAGGCGCAGTGGCTCATGCCTGTAATCCCAGCACTTTGGGAGGCCAAGGCAGGTGGATCACGAGGTCAGGAGATCGAGACCATCCTGGCTAACACAGTGAAACCCCCTCTCTACTAAAAATACAGAAAATTAGCCGGGCGTGCGTGGTGGTGGGTGCCTGTAGTCCCAGCTACTTGGGAGGCTGAGGCAGGAGAATGGCATGAACCTGGGAGGTGGAGCTTGCAGTGAGCAGAGATCACGCCACTGCACTCCAGCCTGGGCGACAGAGTGAGACCCCGTCTCAAAAAAAAAAAAAAAAAAATCCTAGACTCATCTGGTACACTCCATATGCCTCTACCTAAATAAACTGTAACCATTAGAAAGGGTTTATTGTATACACATATGGAAAGCAATTTCATTGGGTGGACCTCATCATTCTATACATTTATCTCCTTGCTCTAGCATCCAATTTCACTGGGCTGCAAGATATCAATAAGCCTTGCCTCTTTAAACTACTTATGTACAAATAAAAGTGATGGTGAGAACCTGGCTCAGGAAATGCAGTAGCAGGCCATATTGCATCCAAAGGTGAGTGCTCTGTAATAGGTGTGATAGTTAGTGTAAGGATATAAGCATGAGTTTGAGTTATCAGGGATTTGTGTGTTTGGCCAGGTGCCTATAGTTGAGTATGGATGGCCCTCCGTGAGCAGTTCACTGTGCCCATGTGGGGGTACACGTACACATGGCTTTAAACGACTCCCTTCAGTATGTATTAGTGGGTGTGTAGTTTGTTTTCTGGGCCGAGCTCATGAGTCTGAGCTAGCTGCTGACTGACCCTTTTTTCCACCTGTGCTGTGGTAAGAGAGAGTGTGCTGAGAACCTCCTCCTCAGAAAGCCAAACTGGTTAAACTGGCTGCTCCCTGAATGAAAACAATTACTTCTGATAATCCACTAAAAAGGAGGCAAAGGAAAGGAAAATAAGAATGATAATAGCAGTGATCACTTTTCTAATAGCCTTCCTGAATTCACCGTGCTGATCCAACGTTTTATTTTTCAGAACTTCTCCTTTGTGCCACTCTCTTAAGGTCTGTTTTTTGAAAGTTTCATCACTAGTGCTAGTCCTTCCATGTGGCCTCATGAATTGTGGAAGCTTTCTCAGCCACATTTCTCCTTGCCATTTTGGTTTACACACTGGATACAGTGGACTTTGCTATCTAACTATTCATCAACTTCTTAGATCCCATTCTAAGAATAAGAATAAGGATAAGAAGTTCCCTCTTCTGTGCCAATTTTCCGCCCGCTGGCTACTTGGCTGTTTACCTGAGCTTCTGTCAACCAACTGCACAGTTTTGTTTCTCTTGAGTCGTAAGGGAATTGTTTAACTATTAAACCCATATACAAGTTCATGGTGCTCCAGGAAGAGTGGAACACAAGTAAGGCAGAATCTGGGAGGCTTCTTTACATAGGTCTTTCAGGCACTGAGAGATTCTGCCTCAGTAAGTAACACTGTGGTTATTAGTATCAGTATTAAAAACAATGCATAATGTAATGATAGAGGACAGCATAATATGGCTAATGTAACACCTGTACAACATAGTAGCATATTATATAAGCTATACTTCTGATTTTTGTTTTATGTTTTTATCAAGTCACTACAAAACTGGATCACATATTTAGACTTATTTAGCAGAAAATCATATTTTCTTTCAAGTTAATCAGAATTAAAGAAGTAGGCTTTGTTGACTATAGAACCATGGGAGTGTCTTGTCAAGCAAAGGCAAAATATAAATTTAGGAGAGGTATGGGACAGTGGTAAACATGAGTTCTCTTTGGAAAGAAAGAACCAAGTTTCTAGGGCTGTTATTTGAAATATGTACTGATTATATTATATAGACTTAACAGTGATACACATAAAGAATCCCTTGCCAGACAAACAAGAAACTAATAACTAGAGTCTACTTGGAGGAGACTGGAGGAGAGTTAAGAACTGGATAAATGGAGAAGAATGGGGGGGAGAAATATTTTTATGCTATACAATTTTACACTACTATTTTTTGAATCATATGAATGTATTTTCTTTTTATTTAAAAGAGAAAGAGAAGGTGGCTTGGTACTGATACTTCCTTTATATCCTTGTAGCAATGAGTGTCCGTGTCTATATCTGATATGAGCAGAGGAAGCACCTTGAAGCTCTGAGGGATGAGGAATTAAATAGTTTTTATTGATAAATGCTGTCTGTTCACTGCTTGTGAGGGTGTGGATATTTCAGAGAAACAAAGCAAATGTGTAACTCATATCCTTCGACATCTGTCAATTTTTTATTTGTTATCTGAATTAACTGTGTGTAAAAATGAAATTAAATGTTTTCTTTAGAGCTAGAAATGGTAGCTCATGCCTGTAATTCCAGAGACTCAGGGGATTGAGGCAGGAGGATTAATTGAGCCCAAGAGTTTGAGATTTAAATGAGCCATGCATGATCACACCACTGCACTCAAGCCTGGCTACAGAGCAAGATCCCAACTTCAAAAAATGTTTTGCTTAAAAAATATGATGCACAGCTAAAAAAAATATATTAGACATGCTTAATACTGTAGGGGAGGTAGATCATGCCCACATAACCCATGGATCACAGTTCAGATGGATGTTTTGAATCTGTACTTGATCATGGGAGCAGAAGTCTCGGGTGGGAGGGGAGACTTTAAAATAATTTCAGTAACAGTTGAATGAAAGGACAAGAGCAGATCAGAGCTCTTTGCTGTATAATAGAGAAAAGAGAAACGCTGAGAGGAAGAGAAGGTTGGGAGGGTTCTTCCAACCTGAATATCAGCTAGGTAGATAGAGATAAACGGATGACTCAGAGAGGTAGCCATTTACTTAACTAGTGATCTGTAGAGGCGGTTTAAAATTCTGTGTGTACTTCATTTATTTTTTTTCATTCATTTTATTTTTTTCAAAAACCACTCAATCCTTAGGAATTACTCACAGCTGTGCTGTGTGCATTCTCTGTGGGCCTAGCAGGGAAGGGGACAGCCCTGTGGCAATGGGCATGACACGGATGCTCCTGGAATGCAGTCTCAGTGACAAGTTGTGTGGTAAGTACGGATTCCACAGATGTCTATCCTCTGATTTTAGAATTATGAAGGCTAAGGTCTCGGTAGATTCTAGAAGGAGGATGATTTGATTTCCAGTAGAAATGAAGACAGTGGTGATAAAAGGATGGGGACTAGAGGCCATTGTCTTTTTGGGGAGAGGGTAAGTGCTAATCAGTGATCCAGATGCTGCATCTTCAATCTTGGTAAGAAACTGCCAGAAGCAACGTCATGCACATTTGATGGGCTAAGAAACAGAGTCACTGGGGTTTCTGGTTAGAGAGTTGCTCCCAGCAGTGTTTCTGTTGAATGGAAGTAGAGGAGATGGTAGAAGAGATGACCTTTTCATGTATGATGAGCTGAGAGCTGGCGGGTAGGGGAAATTGCATGAACACCAGGTTAGGCTTCTTCATTCTCTTCTCTTCCTGTGTGATCGCCTACCCAGTCATCCAGGAGAAGCAGTATGAAGTGATTATCGTCCCAACTTTGTTGGTTACTATCTTCCTCATCCTTCTTGGGGTCATCCTGTGGCTTTTTATCAGAGAACAAAGAACTCAACAGCAGCGTTCTGGACCTCAAGGTAAAGCTCAAACTTTGGGGCTGGGCAGGGGCTTAAAGAAGATGGAGATTAGGAAAAAGTATGGTCTAAGTTTCAATGAGCCCATGTCTAGAAGTCTAGGTACCTGCAATGAGAGAGGCATGGGTTCCCTCCCATGGAGTTGAGAGGGGGATGATCTCTTTTCTAGGAATTCCCGAGTTGGAATTCAACACGTGCTTACTGACTGAAAAAAGAGTGTGCAAGAAAAACCTCATATAACCTGTTTCTATTCCTGTTGGACTATCAAAACTTTGACTATATGAGTGCCTAAGGACCTAGGAGAAAGACCTAAGGGGGTAAAGTCCAAGGCTTTATGAACATCCTAGGAGGATGACATATCACCCTATGATACGTTCCATTCCTAATCTTTGCCTCCAGGATATATGATGGAAAGGAGGGGCCTTTATATTATAACAGTCTTTGAAGTGCTAAGTAGATGATAACAGTCTGTTCTGGAGTTCCACTGAGCATATAATAAAAGGGAATCAATTCACAGATGAAACTCAGGGTAAAAAGAAGGAAAAAGAAAACTCTCATAATGATATGAAACTCTATAGTGGCTAATCCTTAGTTTTTCTTTAAATTTTATCCCAATAGTCTTATACTTCACTTTTATAGAAAACTTCTCAAACAAGTTGTCTAAACTCACTCCTACTACTTCTACTCATCACATTCTCTTTTGAACACACTAAAATAAGGTTTTCATCTCTACCACTTCGCCAAAACAAGTCTTTCCAAGGTCATCAATGACAGCTGCATTGAAAAGTCCAATGATCAATTCTTAGTCTTCGTCTTACTTGATCTGTCAAAAGCATTTGAAACAATTTTAAACTTTCTCTTTCTTGAAATACTGAAAAAACTAAAGCCACTTCCTAAATGCTATAATTTTTAGTCTTATGGATTCAAATACATTTTCTATTCCAATGATAGTCCCTTGAACTCAATTCTCATATTAAACCACCTACTGCACAGTTTCAATGGAATACAAATCTCATATGTAATATGACCAAAACAAAGGTCCTGAAATTCTCTCATAAATGTCCTCCGCAAATAGTCTTGCCTATCTTAGTAAATGGCAAGTCCTGTCTTCTGTGTTTTCAGTCTCAAACCTTGAAGATATCAGTCTCAAACCTTGAAACACAGTTTGAGACTGTGTTTTCAGTCTCAAACCTTGAAGATAACTCCTTTCTTTCTCTCACAGTCTGTATCTAATCCATAAGCAAACACTGTTACCCTATTTTCAAAATAAACCCAAGTTACTCTCACATCTCACTGATCACTGCAACACACTCTTAACATTCCCTGCTTCTGCCCCTACTCCTTTATAGAAATGCCA
Organism: Homo sapiens; assembly: GCF_000001405.40. Lineage (NCBI taxonomy): Eukaryota > Metazoa > Chordata > Mammalia > Primates > Hominidae > Homo > Homo sapiens. The sequence goes on along the minus strand of NC_000012.12, from coordinate 10,632,635 downwards.
GAATGAGTCTTTTAATACAGTCAGTCCTGTTAGTTATCTGCTTGAAATCTCTCTTCCACACACACACATGCAGTAGCCTCCCACCTTGCTCAGAATGAAAAATGACAAAATTTTTTCCATGGCCTTATGTGATCTGGGCCTCCCTGGCCTTGTCTCCTACTACTCTCCAATGATCCCACTTGGCTCCAGCTACACTGGCTTCCTGGCTATTTCTCAACTATTGCAGCTATGCTCCCTGCTTAATGCTTTTGCAATTTTTGCTTTCTTTGCCTACAATACTCTCCCTGACACCAGCATGGTTTGCTCCCTAGTTGCTTCCAGGCCTTTCTCAAATGTTATCTCATCAGAAAGGCCTTTCTTGACCTTCATATATAACACAGGTGACTGATTCACTGATGCTTCTTCTCCCCACCACCTTTTTTTGTTTTTTTTTTAAAGAGATGGAGTCTCGCTATGTTGCTTAGGCTGAATGTTAATTCAGCCCAGGATCTCCTGGGCTCAGGAGATCCTCCTGCTTTGGCCTCCCCAATAGCTGGGATTATAGGCTCATGGCATCACACTCAGCTTTTTCTCCATCTTTTATTTTCCTCCACAACATTAATTGCTTGATATATTATTACCTGCTTCCTCTCCCCTACCAGTAGAAAGTAATCTTCAGGTGAATCTGGACTTTTCCTGTTCCCAGCACTTAGAACAGTACCTGGCATGTAATAGGTGATATTTGTTGAATAAATGAATAAATGTAGATTTAATAAGAAGGATGAACCTCTCTTTTTTGCTGGCCAAGGGAAGGAGAGAGTACCAGAAGACTTTTTTGACCAAGACTCAAGGAAATATGAAATAACTTGACTTTTGGGGTAACTCAAAGGAGGAAGAATAACCATAGCTTAAAGCTGATTAATTATCCATACCTTTCCTCCAACGTTGAAAGCCATTTGTCTGATTTAAATGACAGTTCTCACTGGCAGTTACCTCCACCTTTAGGCATCTGTGGTTTGGATACCTATTCAGTAACTTCCCTAATTGTCTCCATACCACACTCATGGGAAGTACTCAATTGTAACCCAGAGGAAGGAAGGCAGAAAGGAAGTGTCATGACCGATTTCCTGGGGTCCTTCTTGAGTTGTCCTAAGAACTAATGGGGATTATTATAAAGGTTCTACAAACTTGACATTGATGCTGGTTTATAGAGAAGCATCAGAAGACAACTCCCCATTGGCCAAAGAGAAAACTGCTGAAGGAACCTCCTTGCCAATTTGTTTCAGGGTCTGCTTTCCGGGATCCCCAGGGCGGGGAAAAACTGGTTGACATCATCTCTCTGTTCTAGGCATTGCCCCTGTTCCTCCACCTAGGGACCTAAGCTGGGAAGCAGGACATGGAGGAAATGTGGCTTTGCCACTTAAGGAGACATCCGTGGAAAACTTTCTGGGAGCTACCACACCTGCCCTGGCTAAGCTGCAGGTGCCGCGGGAGCAACTCTCTGAAGTTCTGGAGCAGATTTGCAGTGGTAGCTGTGGGCCCATCTTTCGAGCCAATATGAACACTGGGGACCCTTCTAAGCCCAAGAGTGTTATTCTCAAGGCTTTAAAAGGTAAAACAAGAAGTGTTTGACTCCCCCTTCCCCTAACAGTAAATATTAACAGGCTTTGCGAACATTGAGATGTTAACTAACAGATAGTTGTGATCATAACTGTGTACAGAAGAAGGTAATAGAGTGGAAACTTGAGGCAGAAATGTTTTTCTTGGTGTCTTTTTTTTTAATTACACAAATTGTTTATTTGTGAATCCTTACCCAATCTCCAAATAATAACTAAAATGACTACTACAAATAAGCATAATGTTATGATGAGTAAGATGTTAGCTGTGGGTTTTTACACAGTCTTTATTGTGTTGAGGTACATTCCTTCTGTACTTTGTGTAGTGTTTTTATCATGAAAGGATATTGGATTTTATCAAATGCCTTTTCTGCATTGATTGAAATGATCATATGATGTTTATCCTTTATTCTGTTAATGCGGTATGTCACAGAATTGATTTGCATATGTTAAAACATCTTTGCATCCTAGATTCCCTAGCTCTTCTTTGCATCCTAGGTTCCCTAGCTCATCTTTGCCTATTGAGGCTGTTAAAACAGATTTTTTCACAATGGATGTTACTTGTACTAGGATTCTGAGGTTGTTTCCTCATTTTACTTTATTCTTTGATACCCCTTCCTGATATTATATTTCTTTTTTCTTTTTTTTTTTTTTTGAGACAGAGTGTTGCTCTTGTCACCAGGCTAGAGTGCAATGGTGCCATCTGGGCTCCCTGCAACCTCCGCCTCCCAGGTTTAAGTGATTCTCCTGCCTCAGCCTCCCAAGTAGCTGGGATTACAGCCGTGTGCCACTATGGCCAGCTAATTTTTGTATTATTAGTAGAAATGGGGTTTCACCATATTGGCCAGGCCAGTCTCGAACTCCTGACCTCAGGTGATCCACCAGCCTCAACCTCCCAAAGTGCTGGGATTACAGGTGTGAGCCATCATGCCCAGCTTACATTATATTTCTCTCTCTCTCTCTCTCTCTCTCTCTCTCTCTCTCTCTCTCTCTCTCTCTCTCTCTCTCCTCTTCATGATATGGGCCAGTAATGGTGGATACATAGAACAAGGATAAGACAAGCAAGGATATTAATCCAAAGGACTAGACAGTGATAACTTTTTAATGCAAACAGACTATCTCTCTATTTAGGCAGATGAAAGCCTATCCAGTTCTAATAATTATGATTCTGTGTTACCTTTGATAAAAGATCAGTGACATTAAGCATCATCTTCATCTAATTAGTCCCCTTTGTGTTTATTTTTGCCTTCATTCACTCCCATGTGGGGCCTTGAGAATTAACATCTTAAGTTGCCTCCTGCTCCCTGCCTCCCACTCATCGAGGATGCTCTGACTGCTCACTGCCTGGATCTTTCGTCCTCTACAGAACCAGCTGGGCTCCATGAGGTACAAGATTTCTTAGGGCGAATCCAATTCCATCAATACCTGGGGAAACACAAAAACCTGGTGCAGCTGGAAGGCTGCTGCACTGAAAAGCTGCCACTCTATATGGTGTTGGAGGATGTGGCCCAGGGGGACCTGCTCAGCTTTCTCTGGACCTGTCGGCGGGTGAGCAGTAGGGCAGAGGTATTAGGAGGTTAAGGCTTGACCTTGTTGACTAGCTTTTTACATGTCAGTTAGTGTGACAAATGACAAAATGCAGAGACACTATAATAGCATGACAGAATAAGGGAGTATGACCATATAATAGAACTTTTTGTAATTATAGAAATATTCTATAACTGCTCCATCCAGTATGATAAGCCACTAATCACAGATGGCTTCTAGACACTTGAAGTGTGGCTGATGTGATGGAGAAACTAAATTTTAAATTTTATTTAATTTTAAGTAATATAAGTTTAAATAGCCACAGGTGGCTAATGAGCAGAGAGTGGACAGTACAAGTTTAGAGCATGGACTTTAGGCTTCACCTCCTACTAGTTATGTGACTGTGAGCAAGTCACCTTTCTGATCCTGAGTTTTCTGAATCTGTAAAATGGGAGTAATAATTATTACAAAAAATACAAGAAATTATGTATGTGAAAACATGGCCATGGTTGGTACAGAGTAAGCACTCAAAATGGTAGCTGTTATAAAGATAATTATATAACAATTATCTTTATATTGTTTATATATAACAATTATCTTTATATGAGTATTTTTGGTAATGATTATAATTTTGTTGCAGTTATTAAGTGTGTTTTCCATTCTGTAACATCACTATAATATGGTGGGCAAACTCAGGGAGAAATTTAGCTTGTAAAGCTTTTGTAGCTCAAACTCACGTTTTTTAAAATTAAAGCATTCAGAAATTTTTAGCCTCAAATGGATGTCCTTTTCCTTAAAATTTCCCTTGTTCTATATTCCTCTTTCAGAAGTGCTACCTGTTTCCCTAGTTTCTCACTTGCTAGTGAGCAAGTTCAATATTCTTTGAGCCTCCTTCATATGCTGATTATTGTACAACTGAATGTGTATGAGAAAGGGACCCTGTTATTGTCTTCCATCCTGTATTGTCAATAGGACGATTGCAAGTATTTAGGCATTTTAAACTTTTTAAAGAGGTCACTCATCTAAAACTTGTTTTGTCCTCTAACTGCACTAGCTTCTTTCCATTTTTAAAAAATACCACGCATCTCTATTTCAGATTATCTTTATATGTTTTTCTTGTTCCACCAAACTTCTCTCTTCTCTTCTTTTCATAGTTAATGTCCACTCATCCTTCAGATCTCATCAATTTCCCTGTCCCTGCAACTCAATCAACTCTCTTCTGCCCACCATCATATGCTCTCTTAGCACTTTGTACATTTCCTTTATGGCACTTACAGATATGTAACCATTGATTTATGTATGATTATTTGATTCTGATTCACATGTGCCTGTCACCCAATAAGCTCCAGAAGGCAGCAGCCATGCTATTTTACTCATGCTTGTATTCCAAGTTCCTAACATGGAATAAGGGACATTTCAGGCATTCAATAAAGATGCATTCAGTTTATGTGCTAAATTAATCATGAACACATGTGTGCTCACATGTGCATACACACACAAGCACACACACAGAGCCCTAGAAAAATTGCTGCTTTATTCAGTGGATAGTCTTATTTATACTTGTCTTACCTGCTATTCATCTATGTCTGTCATTGTTTTTCCAGTCCAATGGATCATTTTATGTCTCTGCCTATCTGAAAATCTCCCACAGCCTCACTTTGAACACTAGTCCTTATATTTTTCAAAGCTTTGATAACTGCATTTCAGAGTATCTCTGCCCAACTTTATTTCTTTTCCAAATCTGTGAGTGCTATTTTGATATAATGGCTTTTTTTCCCTGTCTCTTTAGGATGTGATGACTATGGATGGTCTTCTCTATGATCTCACAGAAAAACAAGTATATCACATCGGAAAGCAGGTCCTTTTGGCGCTGGTAAGATGAGGCAACATGACAACTGATGGTGTGACGTTTCCTTGTTAGCCTTGTTTTTGATGCCATATTTCTCATATTAATATTCTCAAGTGGTGTGTATGTTTTAAAGAAAATTAGATAGAAGTTAGGGGGCAGAAACTCAAGCATGGATAAATTGTTTTTAGTCCCTTCCTTAGGGATTTATCTAGATAATTTACCACACTATTGGTAATTTCAGGGAGAAAGTAGTCAACTTAGGGTTTATACAAGGAACAGGAAGGATTTTTCAGATTTTTCAGGGCCAAGAGGTATACACCCATTTACTTGATAATTTTACATCCCCATTTGTACTAATAATAGAATTAAAAGAGACAGATAGGGAAGCAAGTAGGGAGAAGATATGGAAAGAGAAACTGAATGGGTGAAAGGCGACAGAACCAGAAGGAAGTATGCAATTTTATACCTGAGAAACAAGAAAACTAGTTCAGAACATGTTTGGTTGGAGACTTGCTTTGATACTGAATGTGACAGGGAGTACATATAATTATAAAAGATTAAGGAACAAGTGGAAAAGGATGAATGAGAAGAGCACAGTTGGATAATTCCTTTATTTTAAAACAACTTAAATATTTGTTTATTTATTTATTTATTTTTTGAGATGGAGTCTTGCTCAGTTGCCCAGGCTGGAGTGCAGTGGCACGATCTCGGCTCACTGGAAGCTCCGCCTCCCAGGTTCACGCCATTCTCCTGCCTTAGCCTCCCGAGTAGCTGGGACCACAGGCGCCCACCACCACGCCCGGCTAATTTTTTTGTATTTTTAGTAGAGACGGGGTTTCACTGTGTTAGCCAGGATGGTCTCGATCTCCCGACCTCGTGATCCGCGCGCCTCGGCCTCCCAAAGTGCTGGGATTACAGGCATGAGCCACCGTGCCCGGCCTAAAACAACTTAAATAACGAGATAAGAGAAAGAACTCAGGGTTTAAGATAAAAAATTTACCTTTACCAGAATTACCCAGGAAGTTTATATGTCTATTTCTATGAAATTATTTAAATGGTTGTGTTTAAAATTAACATTTGCTATGGAAAATCGGGGTTCTGTGAAGCTACTGTTTTAAGTATTTGATATATCTTGCTACTTTGAGGTGTGAAATATAGGGATGTAAGTGGAATCAGGAAAAGGTTAGAAAAAAAGGATTAAGGTGGGTAAAGAGTAATAGTTATGGTTGAAGCTCCCATGGGACAAGGGAGAGTACACATCATATACGTGAATATTGTCTATGGTGTTTGAATGGCCTCGTTGATATGTTCCCTTGATAAAGAGTGTCAGGATACAGCCTACCCTGTATTCAGAACCGCAATTGCAGAGGCGCCGTCCAGGGATGAATTGGTCAAATTGGTGCATTCATCAGGACCCTATGCTACCTGTTACAAGGCAATATCATGCTATTTTTTTCTTACTTTTAACAAGCTCAAAGTCAGTTACATTCTTTAATTCTTATCATGGCACTATAATTTCTTATTTTAAAGCTTCACCAGGCACAGAAAACTGCTAGTTTTCTTTGTCATCAGTGATTGGAAATTATCACCTTTACCTTCTAATTTTCTATACCATCCTTTTTTAGTAATCACAGCCCTCAATATCTAGATCTTCAGTCATGTATAGTTTTGCAACTTTCTTCTTATGCCTTGAATAGGTTGATGCCATTGGAAATTACTCCAAAAATCAATTATCATAGGGTGCCATGGCTCTCCGATGCTCTGTTGGCTGTACTAGAATTTGATACATCTTAAAAATGTCGGTTACCAGGTCTTTCTTCCTACATTTTGGTTTATTAAATCTGGGGTGAAAATCTTATGTTTAAAAAGCTCTCAGGCAATTCCAATATGCAGACTGACTTGAAAATTTTTAGTAGAGTTTATATAGTACATCCTATGAATTATAATACCTGGTTCTGGTCACTACTGCTTAATAACTCTGTGGCCTTTTGTAATCATTTAGATTTATCTAAAAGAAAATTTCTGAATTCAACCCATGCAGTTATTTTAGGGGAAAAAGTGAGATATGTATATACATTTTTCATTATGATACTCAATTTTGGTACGTATTACATTGTTTTGAGGACTACTGCTAGAAACTTGGAATCAGGCCGGGTGCAGTGGCTCATGCCTGTAATCCCAGCACTTTGGGAGGCCGAGGAGGGCAGATCACAAGGTCAGGAAATCGAGACCATCCTGGCTAACATGGTGAAACCCCGTCTCTACTAAAAATACAAAAAATTAGCCAGGCGTGGTGGCGGGTGCCTGTAGTCCCAGCTACTTGGGAGGCTGAGGCAGAAGAATGGCATGAACCCAGGAGGCGGAGCTTGCAGTGAGCTGAGATCCCGCCACTGCACTCCAGCCTGGGTGACAGAGCGAGACTGTCTCAAACAAACAAACAAACAAACAAACAAACAAAAAAAGAAAGAAACTTGGAATCTACTCCCTTTTCCAGTGTCTAGCTGGGTCCTTTCTCACGGGAAACGAAAATCAGGCAGGGGTCAGTGTTTGAAACAGAGGTGATTATATTTTCAAAATCCAGTATTAATGTCATTTGAATTATTTGCTCAATTTGGTAATCCTAAACACAATGCAGAAATGTGCAGTTCATTAGCATGCTTTGGAAGTGACATATCATTATTAGTGAGACTTGTTCAGAGTAGAAAATGTCCTTGTGTTTTTGAAGATTCCTAGGACTGCCTCTCCTTGTCTGTGACCCAAGCTGTGATCTCAGACAGCTGATCATATTTGATTTTATCTTGACAGGAATTCCTGCAGGAGAAGCATTTGTTCCATGGGGATGTGGCAGCCAGGAATATTCTGATGCAAAGTGATCTCACTGCTAAGCTCTGTGGATTAGGCCTGGCTTATGAAGTTTACACCCGAGGGGCCATCTCCTCTACTCAAACCATACCTCTCAAGTGGCTTGCCCCAGAACGGCTTCTCCTGAGACCTGCTAGCATCAGAGCAGATGTGTACGGTTTATTCCTGGACTCTGAGTTTACTTTCTTCATGACTTGGGTGTTGTCCCTGAATATGATTTGATCTGTTGCCAATTCTGTATACGAATATAATCTCTACTTAGAAATCAGACATACTCTCAAGCAGAAATGTTATGTGACAGAGTTCATGTTTGTCATCTGTCTGCAATCCTTTTTGGTACTTTTTCAACTTTTTCTTTTCTTTTCTTCTTTTCTTTTCTAAGACAGGATCTCACTGTGTTGCCCAGGCTGAAGTGAAGTGGCATGATCACAGCTCACTGCAGCCTCCACCACCCAGGCTCAAGCGATCCTCCCACCTCAGCCTCCCTAGAAGCTAGGACTACAGGCATGCACCACCCTGCTTGGCTATTTTTTTTTTCTTTTTTTTTTAGAGACAAGGTTCACCATGTTGCCTAGGCTGGTCTAGAAGTTCTGGGCTCAAGTGATCCTCTCACCTTCGCCTCCCAAAGTGCTGGGATTACAGGCATGAGCAACCATGCCCAGCCTCAAGTATTTCTTCTGTATTAGATTAGCAGCCTTAATTAGAAAAAAAAAAAGTGAAAAGATTATTCACATCAATATCTGAGGACTTAATCTAGTAAAGTCTGTTTTATCTGAAGGAATAACCAAAAGGCCAGTTAACCCATACATTGTTAAAATAAAAAGAAATATACATACCTTCAATAACTTATTTTAACATAAAACTTATAAATGTACATTATCTGTTTTTTTCAAGGAGGGGCAAGGCTTCTTTTTATAAGGATGAGTTTCCCAAATGAAGTTACACGTTGTTCTTTTAGTGTAAATAGTATCTTTTAGTGTAAATAAAAATGATTTATTTTTGAGTTCCAGTTCAGAATGATTTTAGGTAGCATGAGAAACCTGAAAATAATTGTGAAATTGTTTGACTGCAGACTTTTGATGTTACTTTTCCCAATTTTCTAAGTTGTCTCCCTCACACAATTTGACAAGACTTTCTTTTTCAGCAGTTTATTTTTATAAATCATTTTCAAAACATTCAACTTAGTTTTCAAAACATTCAACTTCCTTCAAACTTTGTTTGAAGGAAGATAACACTTTTTTGCATTTAATCCATATATAAAATACCTAATTGATTATATAACTACATATAATTGCAATTACATGTAAAATTGGCATTAACAGGATCATAAAGAATCACAATTGACTTTTGGTAGCCATATAACTCAATTGCTTGGAGAAGTGCATTGATGTAATGTAGAATATCCTGCTAGCCATGAATGCCATGAGCAGCAGAGGAAATTTAGAATATCAGTTAATATGATGAGTCAGTTATGAGATTTCCATTGTTGCTTCACTGACATCTGCTTTTCAATAGACATCTGGGGGTAATAAACTTAACTGTAAAATATTAATCATTCAATAATGATATTACAGAATAGTGAACTATACACCTCTCAAGTCATATTGCTTAGGCAAATACCTATTTCAACTATATATAAAGCTTGCCCTGTTAATATTTTTCCTAGGTTTGGGCAATTAAATCTACTGAGAAAATAGTGACTAAATGATAAAACTTGGTTGAATTTGTGCTAAGAATAAAGGCAAGAATTTCAGCAGAGAGGGATGGAAAGGAAGAAAGAGACACAGAGGGAATATTTTTAGGTAAATGTGCTTTTGTGATTGAGGTAAATGTGTTTGTGTGGTTACATGCACACACATTTGCAAATAATAACAAACATCTATTAATTTAAAACACAGGAGAGTAAATAGAGATATAATTTCAATCTTAAAAGAGATTCGAACCTATGGAAATTGAGCAGAAATGCTTTCTAATGGCTGTTATTTTGTTTTTCAGACACTCATCCTTGATTCTCCTTCATTGCCTTTTTCATGGGGCTCTTATTAAAGGCTTCTGACACTTAAATGAGCTCTCTTTAGAAAAACAGAAATAGAAATTAAATAGATGGCTTTGTTTCTTTTACAGCTGGTCTTTTGGGATCCTGCTCTATGAGATGGTGACTCTAGGTAAGGATGAGCCCCAAAATAGTGTGTACCTGTATGCAAATATGCAAGCGTGTTTATTTAAGGGGTGGATGATGTATGCTTTCTGAAAGGGTTTCAGTACAGTGCTGAAGCTTGAAATGGACTGACATGTTATCTAAGCCTGATTCCCGTGATAGTCATATAAAGTGATTATTTTCTCCTTGCCCCAGTCCCTTCTTCCCTGTCCTTTTTTACCTTTCTTTTGCTCTCTTCCTCTTTATTTTCCCCAAAATATTACCAAATCCAAGGGATGTTTTCAAATCCCAAGGATAATTCCCAGAGTGGTCTTGCATAAACATAAAAATGTTTACTCCAGACTTATTAATTCATTTGACTGAGAAACTGCACACTTTCCCATGTATGGAGAGTGGAGGACAGGTCTTATGTCTTACTTTGTCTTATTTGATCACTTTCTTAGAGATTCAAGATTCTCCTAACTTATCAGGTTTTTTTCTCCAAAACACCTTTCCCCCCAATTCACTAAATTATATCCATATTTGATCACCAGGGAGCAACTGAATTGTATGTAGTATTTTTCCTATGGCTATATCTTTTGCAAGCAACCAACCCAAGTGGATGAAGAATAGTGTTAGTTACAGTTCATATTTTAGAGGACCTTAAAGTTCTCATTATTTTCGTAATGACAGGAGCACCACCGTATCCTGAAGTCCCTCCTACCAGCATCCTAGAGCATCTCCAAAGAAGGAAAATCATGAAGAGACCCAGTAGCTGCACACATACCATGTAAGTGGTTTTTAAAGGCCTGCTCCTCTTTCATTCCAAATGTTGTTTAGCCCTCTATCAATCGTGCCCTTTTCAAAGGGCTCAGATGATCCTCACCTGTGTATATGTACCCATGTACAGCTTTTAACCAAACCCATGCAGTAAAATATACCTATCTCATATATTATATATGCATATATATTATATATACATATACATACACACACTCACACATACTCACACACATACACACACATACCCCCACCACACGCTGAGAACTATATCAGGAATCTAATTTTATTATAGTTTAGTTCCATGGGAAGCTTCTAAAATAGGTAACAAGTAAACTAAACCCAATGCAAGTATAGTTGTGTTTAGTCTAAATGTCAGTCTTCTGCCAGCCACAGTTCAGACAGCTGTCATAAAAGCCATTGCACTAGAGTTACTCATTCAGAGTATACCAGTTCTTATTTAGTATTTAACTTTTAAATGACTGTCTCCCTGTTTTTCCAACTCTCAGTGTGATAGAAGCCAACCAGAGGAAGGGGAGATAAGAAGAAATTAGAAAGGCAGAAGGAGGATCCAATATTGTCAGCAGATTGGGACAGTTAGTGAACCAACCTAGAGGCAGGAAATGGAAAAATAAAAAATTACATAGACTGTTATTACCAATGAAGTTCAAAAAGGAACTGCTGTAGAATGTAAGAAAAGGTTAAATTGTGTATACGGAGGCAGCAGAGAATATATTAATGTTTTTATTAGAATTGTTGCTATTTTGTAAGTTTTTTATCATTGAATGGGTAAATTTACAGCACTTGGTTTTCCTTATGATAAATAATTACTGCATCAAGCAGATTAAATTTAAGTATCTTAATTATATATGAGTATACACATACACACACACGCACAGAATATAGTGATGGAGCTAGGTACAATAGAAAAAAATTGATGACAAACATTTCTATGTGTTAAAGGCTGGTCTTAATACTGGGAAAGACACCTAACTGACAAAATACCTGACCTGGTACCACAACCTCTGGTACTTGTAACACAGCCTTGTCATCTGCAATTCTAGCAGCAGCTTCTAGGCACAAGTATTAAAGAACATAACATTTTGATGAGGAGATATCTGAAACATGAAAATCAACCTAAAGTATGCAGCAGTATACATGATTAAAAGCTCCGTCTCATATCAGAGTAAAAATGACATGTGTTCATTTCTACCCAGCCCTGTTACTTTACTGCACAATGCTTACAACGTTACAGCAAACAATATGTAGTGATAAAACTGTCCTGTCATACCCTAGTTTGGAAAATGTTAAGTCATTCCTATTATACAAGAGCACTTGTTGAGAAAGTGCTATTAAGAGACTTGATATAAAAAGATTGAGAAGGAATATCACTCTCTGGGAAGAATATGAGTAACAGGGCAAACAGAAGACAATTAAAGAATTGCAGAGTTGTTTGTTAAAGTTTGTGAGGAGAGGAGACATGCTCCCCATACATTTGCCTTGTCAAGGAAGTCAGTTTCTCTTGTTTCCCTCTCAGGTACAGTATCATGAAGTCCTGCTGGCGCTGGCGTGAGGCTGACCGCCCCTCACCTAGAGAGCTGCGCTTGCGCCTAGAAGCTGCCATTAAAACTGCAGATGACGAGGCTGTGTTACAAGTACCAGAGTTGGTGGTACCTGAACTGTATGCAGCTGTGGCCGGCATCAGAGTGGAGAGCCTCTTCTACAACTATAGCATGCTTTGAAGAGTCTCGGGCAAGAAACATTCATGCATGAGTATATGTTCTTGGAATCAATTCCTCTAAGAACAGAGAATGGTCTTTCCCAGGGACACAAAGGGAGAAATGGGACATGGATTCTTGATCTTCCTTTACACATTTCTCGGGAAATCTGAAATGATGCTGGATGGGACTCTACACATCCTGAGCTAAGACATACTGTCAGTCTCACTTCTGCTGTCCCAGTCCTAGAAATCCTGGGTAGAAGTGGTGGACCTGTGCAAAGGAGGTTTTAGAACTCTGCAGTATTTGTTGGGGCATGGCACAAATAAGCTCATCCCTCCCGTCCGAGGCTAGTTTCCTCTGGAACCACATTTTTATCTAGATGAAAATTTGGAATGAAATGAAGGAATAGAAATCCAATAAAAGAGTTGAAGGGAAAGAAAATTTAAGGTTCTTCTTGCTCAGGATTACAGATATGGACCAACACCTCCTTCAAGAAAAGGTGGTAGGACACAAAGTTCTTCAGTCCTGAGCCCTACATGTGGGGTTGGAGGAGAACTATAACGGAAAAACCTCTGAGTTTCACCTTAGGTATAGATAAAAGAAAGATGGTCCCCTTTTATCTGATTCTGAGACAGGTAAATTCTGTTTGTTACTACGTTTAATTAGAAGGTGGAGGAGTCATTTCATGATTAAGAACATTCAACATGTATTGTTCATTAAGCTAGCTTCCTAGTTCCGATTAGACTAAGGAGACTAAGCCTAGAGAGTCAATGTTAGAACAGTGAAAAGAATTCTGTGTGTGTGTGTGTGTGTGTGCACAATAAATAGGAAATGTAGAAACCAAGCAAGAAGGCTTAGTAGCTCAGTCTTTAACAAGGGCTAGAAAAGAATGTAATCTGATATGGAAGGATAGCAGCTTCTAATTTTCAATCATCTGTTGATATACTGTGAAACTTATTTTATTAAATTAATATTTATTAAATGGAAATATGCTTTTCTGGTTTATAACTACTAAAAATATCATAGGGAGGATAAAAGTAAATAAGTGAAAGTTAATGCCAATAGAAAAATTCAAGAGATAATGTACAATGTCAGAAAAGGGATTCTTTATGTGTAAATGGGGATAATACCTATTTCACAAGGTTGTTCTGAGGATTGATACGTTTTGAGTATGTATTTGTACACTATCTGGCACATATGCGCTCAATAAACGTGTTTCTCCTTTTCTTTTGCCCTTCCTAACCCAGGACCTTTCATATATTTTTCATTTAAAATCTACTGTGACCAAGAAGAGAAACTCAGTCGCTAACACTGCAAGGCAGGACATGCCTAAAGATGATGATATGGCACAAGTAGTGATATTATACATGTGCAATGATGAAGTCATCATTTTTGTACGCTTTTGGATGATGATAGTGGACTCCTACTATTACAAAATATTGAAAACATCATCATGAGGGCAATTCTGTTGAACATGGTAGTCTGCAATTTTAAAAAACACTTTGGGTACCCTGGAAGGGACATCTAAGGCTGCCATAAGAAAAATGACTGGCAGCTAAAAATGTTGTAGAAGTTGGAATCCTGATGGAATCATAATGAGTCAGCTAAAGGAATAATGATTCTTGCCGCTGTAAGAATACCACAATGACTAGTCAGGATTTAAATGGGTAGCAAGTTGCAGTAGGGAGAAGGGCAGAAGAGTGGCTTCACACAAAATTACAAAGTCCTATGGAATCCCATTGTTGCCTCTCAGCTGTTCAGTTAAGTCAAAATTACAAATATTTACTTATTTATCTGATCACTGAAAAATATTGAGTGTTAAGGCTTGCTGTGCCAGACACTTGGCTAGGTGTAGGATAAAAGAAATAGGGAGCTTTTGATTACAGTCTAGAAGGTGAGACACATTATACATTTATTTGTGTGGGTATCTGTTAAGTGCGAAGTGTTAAGTGCTATAAAGAAAAAGCATAGGGTAGTAGAAGGGAGTTTAAAAGGAACACTTCCCTGAACAGAAATGGGCTATAAACTGAGACCTTAGGGATGGGTAAGTAACCCAGGCCGAATAAGAAGAGTCTCCCAGGAGGAGGACATGTGTGCGTGAAAATTCTGAGGCAAGGAACTGCAAGAAAGCATATGGGTTGCAGCACGGTGAGCTAAGGGAAAGTGGAACACAGTGAAATGGAAGGTTGCTTTGTTGTACTGTCATATTTCTTTTAGTAGGAGGGAAAGAAGCAGACAATTGATATTTAAGTTTTTTACCCCCAATTTTATTTGTTTTTCCGGCCCGGAAAACTGGATACAGTAATTTTTACTCTAAGAAAACTGGGTCTTTCTCTCACTTGGCCAGGCTTCTTCCAGAAGGAGGATGATATTTCTGGCATCATTGACCTTTCAGCCAAACTAGGTGTTTCCAAGCTAATGAATGAAAAAAAGAATCAAAATATTTATCATTTAATCGGGTTGACTCTAGATAGATTTTGTTGTATTGTTTTGATTGCCTTCTCTTCCAGTCTTGTTTTTCCAATCTATGCTTTATTGTTAAAAAAAAATTCCAACACTTAGGAACAACGCAAACACCCACCTAGATACAGTGTCTAAGGGAAACTTGGTAACGTCGTTTAAAATAGAATAGTCTGAACCAGTAGTTCTTAAATTATGCTTATGGAGCACACTATGTTTTTTTATGCCAGATTTAGGTATTCTGTTATTAAAATCAAATAATAGTAGTGGGTTTTTTTTTAGCATTTTAAAACAAAAAAAGTCAGTTAATTAAGATTTCTTAATCTTAACTCTGTTGCAATAATTTTTTTAAATTTTGCTTTAACACTCTTACTGAAATAAATAAGTAGCAAATACAGTGGAAGACTGGAAGATATCCTATTACCCTTAATTTAGCATACTGTGTTTACCCGTTTTGGGGAAAAGAGTTAGAGATTATGCTATGTGTTTGAAGCATATAATATTGTCATTTGCTGGAAAAAAATTTTAGATTGAACAATCGAATTAAATATATCATGTCATGGTAATCTAGAAGTAGCTCCAAGTTCTCGCCATATATGAACATATGTGATAACGAATGGTGTGGAAAGTTTGGTGTTTCTGCATGATCATGATTCTCTTACTTAAAAAGTTAATACCACTAAGTGGTAAAAAGACAGATAAGGCTAACGTCCACAGGGAAGTCTATTATGGAAAAGAGAAGAGCAAGGTGGGTGGATGAATTAAAAATTAAAATACTACCTCATTCTGAGTATTTTTTAAAATTTAAACCACATTATGCACTTATTCTTGACTTACTACTCTGATCCATTTATTAATAACTGAATGAGATAGCCCTGACATCTTTTCTTCTGTAAATACAAAATCAAATGAATCAGACGTTATTCATAAATTAAAAACATGAGACTATAATACCTAGTGCTTATCACAATAAACATGGAACATGTTTCTGAAAATTGGAAGTCAGAATGATTTGATCATTAAGCCCTAATTTCAGATGGAAATAAAACGTTTATTTCTTACCTACTTCACTTTGTGCTTTGAAATTTACCGCTGTGTTAGCAAAGGTGGAAACAGTATTTTGGCTTCACTTAAGCAGCTCAAATATTTATTTTCATAAGTAAACTGTGTTGATATCAGTAAGTACGTCCTAATTTGGAGCCTACAACAAGCAATTTGAAAATGTTCACAATTTTTTTTTTGCTATTTCTAGCCCAACTAAAAGTGTATGAAAAGATTCTAACTGTGCTGACCAACACAGTAGCTTCTAGCCACATGTGTTTATTTAAATGTTAATCTAAATTAATCACAATTAAGAATTCAGTTCGAAGTCACAGTAGTCACATTTCAAGGGCTCAGCAGCCATACAGAAGAACATTTCCACATCACTGTTGTGTACCATCCAAGAATACAACACAACGCAAATGCTTTATCACTTTGTAATTCTTGCTTCAATACAAAAGGTTCAAATTTTGGCTTAAAATATAGAGAGTTAAGTAAATATAGTTTCATATTTTATCTTACAAACAGGTAGGATTATAGTCTTGAACCCCTATGTCATTTTTGGAGATCAAGACAGTAACTGGCCCACTTAACAAAGATGTTAATACTTTGTGCATTCTGTAACCTCTATTTATATAGTTACACATTCTGGTATCCATAGTTCTATTTAGGTAAACATGAAGATGAACATTGGCACATGTGCCAAAAACCTGAAGGAGAGACATTAGGGAATCTAAGATATTGAATGAGGCTTTCCATATAATTCAACAAAATGGATTACAGCTGATATTTCCAGAGATACTACGGAATAGAGTGTTCAAATTTCTGTGAATTATTCTTGTGGTAAGTGTGGTGACCAACCCATCTCAGTTTGCCTGGGTGTTTCCAGGTATGGAAAGTCCCATTTCCCAGGAAACTCCACAGTCCTGGTCAAACTGGAACGGCTAGTCACCCTAGTGGTAAAACATGGTGCTTCCTGTTTCTTACGTACTTTCCAAAATGGTGGCCCATTGTAGGGACTGATTCATTTTTCTATATTAATAGTTATATAACTACTAATATGGACTCAAGGAAACGTGGCCCAATTTGCCTTTTTAGTCATTCTACTTGAACCTTATGCTCTAGCTATACCGAATTTCTTAGTGTTCCCCAAACATGAATTTTCACACCACTGTCTTTGCTCGGGTCATTTTCTGCCTGGAATGCTTTTTCATCCCACTGAACATACACAGAACTTACTTCTCAAGGTCCAATTCAAACACTTCCGTTGACAAGCCTTTTCCAATACTCTTTTTTCAAATTTCCCTACTCTGCAATAGAATGCTCTTGCTTCCTCTGCTGTACTACCGGCATGTTTTACACACTTTTTTTTTTTTAGACGAAGTTTCGCTCTTGTCACCCAGGCTGGAGTGCAACTGCGCGATCTCCGCCTCTCGGGTTCAAGCGATTCTCCTGCCTCAGCCTCCTGAGTAGCTAGGATTACAGGCACGTGCCACCAAACCTGGCTAATTTTTGTATTTTTAGTAAAGACAAGGTTTTGCCATGTTGGCCAGGCTGGTCTTGAACTCCTGACCTCGGGTGATTTGCCCCCTTTGGCCTCCCAAAGTGCTGGGATTACAGGCATGAGCCACTGCGCCCGGCCACATATAGGCTTTCTTTTCTTTTTCTTTTTTTTTTTTTTTTTTTTTTGAGACAGAGTTTCGCTCTTGTTGCCCAGGCTGGAATGCAGTGGCACGATCTCAGCTCACTGAAACCTCTGCCTCCAGGGTTCAAGCAATTCTCCTGCCTCAGCCTCCCGCGTATCTGGTATTACAGGCACGCGCCACCACGCCCAGCTAATTTTTTTGTATTTTTAATAGAGACGGGGTTTCACCATGCTGGCCAGGATGGCACATATATTCTTAATTATAGCAATTGCTCCCTTGTGCTGGTATTCGCCTTACGTGTTTGCTTTCTTTTCTAGACTACCAGATCAAATGGCTTATTTCTAGTTTCAAACTGTCACATAGGAAATGTTTGTTAAAACTAATGTTTTATAAAATTTAAAGCTTATTTTACATATTATCTCATTAGATCTCTCAAGAATTCTGTGAGCTTGGCAATGTAGATTGCTGTATATGCATTAGGCTGATGAACAAACAGGCTTAGAGATAGTCACTTGCCCGAGGTTAGTTAGCTGTTAAGTGTTGGGATTGAATCCCAGGTCTTCTCTCCACCACTTTCTACTAAAAATCACTGAAGGTTGTCAACCGACAGATAGGATTACTCTGTGTGTTGATAACAAAAGGGTGATCAATAATATCTGAAAAGGAAACTTTGTGTAAAAGTCTTTCCCTTACCTTAAAAACTACGCCACACTGGAGCATTCTTTCATTCCCCCAATTTAATTCTATCTGGCGAGAAACAATAATGGGCTAAACCATTATTGTATCGTAAGTCAAATTGCCAAAACTTCACAGGCTACTAAAAGTTAACCCTTATTGAATGAATTAAGAACCTTAGAAGTTCTGCTGTTAAAAAAAGCACGGTGACTGTCAGGGTTTTTCAGGTGTGGGGGGTGTGAGGGTTTTAAGAGTTGGATTCCTTTGACTTTGTCTCTATTATTATAGGCTTAGAGGTCCCGGGTAACTACCAATCGCTATCCAAAGGGAAAGCACCCTGTTAGAAATTAAGTAAGAAAAATAGTTTATATTCCCGGTCTGCCATTTCGATTCTAAGCTTTATCTTTATTTAGCTCACAGTTAAAGGGGGCATAGAGCCACACCCACCTCACAAACGCCGCAAGGATTGGGAGACCAGAAAAGTAAAAGTGACTTGCAAACCTTTAGCTCTAAGTCCATAAAAAAGACTATCATATGCTCACATTTCTAATCTTTGCTAGTATAATGTAATCTTTATTTTGAAAACAATGTGCCTCCATTCCTAGTAAAGCGAAAGTCACGGCGCTGCGACCCTCCCTTCAGCGCCTCCGGACTCTCACGCGATACTCGGCTTTCACGCTTTAGTCTAGGGCTGCACTGCAGGAGGAAGAGAAGCGCCTGTGGTGACGCACTTATTCCGCGCGATGACGTCACTGCAAGGCGCCGGGGGACACGTTGGCTGCGTTTTCGGCGGGCTTCCCGGGTACAAAAATGGCTGTGGCTAGCGATTTCTACCTGCGCTACTACGTAGGGCACAAGGGCAAGTTTGGGCACGAGTTTCTGGAGTTCGAATTTCGGCCGGACGGTGAGAAGAGGCCCACGGCACGCGGTGCTGGGAAAGGGGAGCGAGACCGAGAGGCCGGGTGGTGTGGAGGGTACAGGCGGCGGAGGCCACTGCTTCCCTCGAAGGAAATAGGAGCTTAAGAATAGAGGAGGCATAAGTTGGTTTTATAAATGAAAGAGAATTAATTGCAATAAATTAAAGCTAATCCTGTCACAAACTGAAAAGTTGAACCTACAGTAATCAGAATTCTGTAACAGTGCACCAGAAGGGACTCTAGATCGTCGCCCTGATTGAAAATGCTAGCACTTTTTTGAAAACACCCCCACCAGCGGGTGGTCCAGTGGATGAATAAAATCTTGTGGTGACCAGTACCTTTTTTTCATTTAGGCTGTGTGTTTTCTTTGAAGGGGAGGAGCCCAACGTGTTAACAAATGAGAATAATAATATGTTTTAGGTGTTTACGTGTAATTGTTCACCATAGGACGCATGAAGAGTACCAAGCAAGAGGGGAGAGGTAAAGTTCCACAGGAGGGAGTCAGGAAGATCTTCTTAGAGGACGGCACTCTTGAGATGAGTCTCGAAATGAGAGACTTGGCCTTTGAGAGAAAAAAACAGACTTCCAGAGCAGTATGAGCAGAGGATGAGGTGAAACTGCTACCCAAGTAGTGTGCAACAGTGTGTTTTCTGACAGCGCTATCCTTAGAGAATGTTACATTGATCTTGCCTACCTGCAACAAGAAAGTTCATTTGGATATATATTTTTTGGGTTTTTTTGAATGCACGTTTTGTGCTGGACAACAAGCAAATACAAAATTTTAAGGTACAGTAATGAGTAAGACAAATTTAACTAAAGCAGATTTGTCTTGGTGGGAGGCACAGACATTTAACTATAAAGCAGTATGCATATTAAGTCCTATAAGCAGGCTTTGGACAATGTTCTGTGAGAGCAAGAATAAAAAATTAGAGAAGGAACGTATATTAGGAAAGGAGAAGAGTATCAAGCATTTCAGGCAGAACTCACGTTAACTACAGTCCTGCAATTATTATTATTATTATTATTTTGAAACAAGGTCTCACTCTGTCACCCAGATCTGAGTGCAGTGGCACGATCTCAGCTCACTGCAACCTCCCCCTCCCTAGTGCAAGTGATCCCTCACCTCAGCCTGCCGAGGTGCTGGGAATACAGGCCCACGCCACCTCACCCAGCTAATTATGTTATGTTATGTTATGTTATGTTATGTTATGTTATGTTATGTTATGTTATGTTATTTTTTGTAGAGATGGGTTTCCCCATGTTGCCCAGGCTGGCTTCAAACCCCTGAGGTCAAGGGATCCACCAGCGTCAGCCACCCACAGTCCTGGGATTACAAGCATGAGCCACCGGGCCAGCCCTGCAATTATTTAGAAACCTTAATCACTGTATTTAACCTTACCGTCCCCATAAATTCAGCTAAATTTACCTGAATTCATCTATTCTTTATGTAGTATTATTTTCAGTTCCTCTGCCTGCGAACACCATCAAGCTTGTCCCTATCACTTTTAGCAGGTCACATGAATTAAGTACCTGAATATTATCAGGGAAGTTTTATGCTAGAACAGTGGTTCTAATCAATGTATCTGCCACTACACTGTTACACATACTTCCATTGGTGATATTGAGCCTCCCGAAGACGCGTTTCTTTTCTTTTTTTTTTTTTTTTTTTTTTTTTTTTGAGACAGAGTCTTGCTCTGTCGTCCAGGCTGCAGTGCAGTGGTGCGATCTCGGCTCACTGCAACCTCCGCCTCGTGGATTGAAGCGATTCTCCTGCCTCATCCTCCCGAGTAGCTGGGATTGCAGGCATGGGCCACCATGCCTGGCTATTTTTTCGTATTTTTAGTAGAGACGGGGTTTCTCCATGTTGGCCAGGCTGGTCTCTAACTGCTGACCTCAGGTGATCCACCCATCTCAGCCTCCCAAATTGCTGGGATTACAGGCATGAGCCACTGTGCCTGGTGCCAAGCCATCAAAGACTGTCATTTCTATCATTTTAGAGTACCTGTTGCACATTATAGCTGTGTCTGGGCAACTGACTAGCCATAAGGGGAAGCATACATCAGATAATACAGCAATCATGATGGATTAAAATTAAATATAAACTAGCTAACAAACTCATCAACTTTGATCCAGAAGCATCGTTTGTATGCTTCCTAGTCATAATTCTAAAATGTCTGCATTATAATTGCATGCATACATTTGAAGGAAAAAAATTTTTAAAAGAGAACATTTTGGTGTAGTGGGGAAAGCCTGAGTATTGAAAGAAAGTAGATCTAGATCTGAATCTTGTGTGACCCTGGTTAAGTTACTTAACTTTGTTTTCTCTCCTATGAATAGGTGAGAGAATAAAACCCGATTTTTGGGATTGTTTTACAGATTAGATTAAATGCTCTGGGTGAGGCACTTAGCACCGATACAGACATATAACAAACTTTAAAGGAATCTTAGTGCCTTTTGCAGATTCTCTTTCTAGTTCATGATGTAGCTTAAGAAAATAGGCCTTAAAAATGACCCAATATATATTGTAGGCATGGGCTGTTTAAATATTTGGCTAGCTTCAACTTCAGCAAACTTAACCAGCAAACATTTATTGTCTACATGTCTAGCAATGATCTTACACAAGGAGGGAGGAAATATTAATAAAAATAGTAGTATAAAATGGTCTTTACCTTCAAAATTGTATATGATGTTAATTTTTTTAGCAGTTTTTGCTATTATAAATTGATTTTTTTCCACTTCCCACAGGAAAGCTTAGATATGCCAACAACAGCAATTACAAAAATGATGTCATGATCAGAAAAGAGGTAAGTTCTATGTGAATGTCTTTTTTTTTTTTTTTTTTTTTTTTGCATTTAGCCCATTTTCTTCAAGTCTGTGTTGAATTTAAAAAAGTACATCTAAGGCTATATTGTAAAGAAGAAGGCAATTTATAGATTGAAAGAGTTTCCATTTAAATTAGATACAGTGTTTGCATCCATAGGAATGAGAAAGTTCAGAGAACTAACCTTGACGTGAACTACACTTGCATTTATTGATTTATTGATTTAGGGACAGAGTCTCGCTCTGTTACCCAAGCTGGAGTGCAGTGGCTTGATCTCAGCTCACTGCAACCTCTGCCTCCCAGGCTCAAGCGATTCTCCTGCCTCAGTATACTTGCATTTATTACAGTTCACCTTATAGATCTTGTGATGACACAAGTTAACCACTTGTGGGTATTTGGATCTCAGTGTTGCAAAGGCAGAATACAGTGTTTGAAAGACAGGTAATGATGAGAAGAGGGAAAAAATGTATGTGAAAGGAAAGGGCAAGAGATGAAGAAAAGCAGTGTAACAAGGATAAGTGATTCTGTCTCCTCTACTTTTGGAATCAATTAAATTTTTCTATATTCCTCTATTTGGATATTCAGGGTTTGTAACTCATTTCTTTCTGAGTTGAGGGGTGACATAGGTGGGCATTATCTCATTTTATTATGATTAATTTTTAGGCTTATGTGCACAAGAGTGTAATGGAAGAACTGAAGAGAATTATTGATGACAGTGAAATTACAAAAGAAGATGATGCTTTGTGGCCTCCCCCTGATAGGGTTGGCCGACAGGTTTGTATTTAGTGATTCTTTAAGTGTATAAATATTAAAAATTGATAATACTATTTTGTTTCCCGTTATTTATTTGGAATGAGTCTAAGTTGATTCTTTGGCTTTCTATTTAATAGGCACCTGGTAAATTCTCTTTAATTTTATCTCTTAGTTCTGTTTTTCTGTGCTACCTCCTAGTAGTGAAGGAGTCAGTGCATAGCTCTAAATTTAGACATCTTTCTCTGTAGTCACCCCAGCCAACGTTAGGATGTTTTCACAATGCAGTGTTATGAATAATTTCTGTTGTGTGTTAATCACTTTTATTAAGAATATGACTATGTAAAATTTATTTTTGCCAAATCATAACTTCTAAAATTCTTACTTGCATCCCTATACCCCAGAGAGAAACTTGATTGGTGGTTTCTTTGTTAAAACTGATGATTGCATTTCCCTCTCATATTCCTTCAGAATAAATGATGTTTCTCAGGCTTCTGAAGAACTCTGAAGGCCTAATTTCACTCTGTAAAAAGAAAGTTTGGTTTCTGAATTGGGTCTTTTCAACTCTTGGAGAAATTCCTTCAACAACCCCTGGAAGGAAGAAACATTTAATTTCACTTTTGTATATCCCTGAGGATTGTACTTTGTATCACCTTCTTTGAATAGAAGAAAATGTGGAGAAATCTAACACATGCTGACACTCTGTAGGAGTAACTTAAGTCTTCTGCTTAAAGAAGCATTATTTAGAAAAGCAAAGGTAATAGTTAACAGTATTTATTTTAAGCATCGTATCACTTTTAAAAAGTAAATTTAGGCCTCAGTTTGTTTTATGCAGATACACATATGTACTAAAAAGCAAACCACAGCAGCTAACCTTTTATATCATTTAGACTCAGGGAGAGCCTAGTATTTTATCTATTCACTTAAGGATGTGTTCATGGGTTTTGGTTAGTGGGGAGGAGTAGGCATGCTTCAGAAATTGCCTTTTGTATCAAGTCAAAGGTTTTATGGCTGTTAGAGCATCTTAGCTAATTCTCCATTCTGTGTGTGTCATAAACTGCATAATTAGGCCTCTGATTAAATAAATAGCTAGGATTGTCTTCAATAGTGTCTGTTAACTTGAAGATTCATTACAGATATAGCTTTTTAATTATTGGTTTTAGGCCTGCAGATAAACAATATAGGGAAAAATCTATACAGTAATTACAGCACACTAGGAACATCTACATTAGGTTGGTTTTTTTTTTTTTTTTTTACTAGTTCTTAATTTTAGTTATTTTGTGGAGTATTAGTTTTGAAGTCTTACCATCTTGGGATCAAATATAAGTACCATCATTATTAGTGGTTATAAATATCAACAAGTATTTTCTTCTGCTCTATGAGTTTTGGATTACACATTTGTAAAATAGGTTAGTAAGGTTATTTTCAAGATTACAGAGAGTACAAAGTCCCTACCACTAGGGCCTGACATACAGTAGGTGCTAAAGTGGTGGTGGTTATTAATATTACACATTTTATTTGTAGAATCTTCCAGAAAGAAAAAATGTGTATTTATCATATTAAAAATGGTCTTATACTCCAATCATTTTTACAACATGTGCTTCAAAGTGATGTCTTTAGTTTTTACTGACATTGTAAGAAATATTTCTTTGTCATTTTGTTTCATAGTGTCTTCTTTATGTCTCTGGAAAGCAATTCTTTGTTGGTCCTAAACTTGGGGGTAGTGCGCGTGAGCAGTCTTTATTTTAAGGATATAGTTTATATCTAAGAAACCATGTTTCTTTCCCCCTCGCCCCCCACTCCCTCTGTTGGCTGCTAGAAAACTTGCAACTAAAATTGGGATCTGCTTGTAGCAAGAATACAGATACCTCTGGGATAGATTTTTATATTAACTACATTTTTCTGCTATATTTTTTAGGAGCTTGAAATTGTAATTGGAGATGAGCACATATCTTTTACCACATCAAAAATAGGTTCTCTTATTGATGTAAATCAGTCAAAGTAAGTATGTTAAAGCATTTTGGCGAAGTTTTCATTATTACAGAGGCTCATTTTAGAACTATAGTCAGTTTGCTAGCCAAGATAATTTCAGTGGCATCCTATCAGTTTATTATGCAGATGTAATCCTGATTTTTATGTCATTAAAGGCTTATTATCTTGTCTCTCAGTAGAAGTTAGCAGAGTATTTCATTGATTGTCCAAAAACTTTTAATCCAACAGCTGTATATAATAATGCCCAAGTTGTATTAGCTACTTTGTATAAAAATGTGGATACAGTATCAGCAAATCCAAAGGAAAGAAATCCTTATTGGATTATGTCAGCCTCATTAGGCCTATATCATCTCACTGTCCTTCTTGGGCTCAATACTTGGGAAAAAGATGGAAAAAATCCATTATGGCCTAAGTATGCTTTAGCTATCGATGTCTTCCCAAGATCTGTCTCTCCTCTGCCCCAGGGTTTTGTAGCACATCCCATTTTCTTGGTCTGATCCTAGCCACTTATTTTTATTTGTGCCCATTCCCCTCAAAGTGTCCCCATAGTGCTCTTACTTTTTTCTGTCACCCTGAATTGTAATAACCTATTTGTCTGCTTTACTGGTTTGAATGTAAGCTCCTTGAGAACCTTGCTGTATCCACAGAGTTAGCATAGTGCCCTGCACATAATAGATGCTTTCAATAAATATTTGTTAGTGGAAAGGAGAAAGGAATGAATGCATGATAACTATTGGACGCAAAATCTGTGTTCACAAAGACCATCCAAATGCTTTTAAACTATCAAATTTCTTTTCCTACATTTGGTAAGGGTGTGGCATTGATACCCTACTGGGATTATAAATTGGTAATGGTTTTTGGAAAGCAGTTTGGTAATATGCATCAAAAACTGTTGACATTTTTCATTCACCTTTGGCCTAGTAATTTCATTTCTGAGCATCTCTTCTATGGAACTATTCCTAAATATTGGAAAAGCTTTATTATGCATGAAGATGCTCATTGAAGTATTATTTATAATAGGAAATTAACCCCAGTGTCTAACAAGGAGAGAATTATTAAATTAATTAAAAATTACTAGGGAATTTTTTTTTTTTAATGCTGTGGGGAAAGTAATGTAAAAAAGGGCACAAGGAATAATTTTAGTTATTAAAAAATAGAGAAACATCAAAATGTTTATAGTTATTCTATGAAATGGTAGCATTACAGTATTATTTTTTTCTGCTTTATTAGACATTTTTATGATGTGGTTATTACAATCATAAGGATATGAACTCTTTAAATACTAAAATGAATACTGATGAAGAAACTATTTTTTCGTATAGAAAAGATATTAATTGTATGTTCATTTTAGTTGTCAGCAAAATCCTTCCTTTCTCCTAAATTTTGTTAACTTAATTGTTATGAGATTTTGATTTGTTTTGTTTTAGGCATTTAAAGAATTGTTTTATCCTAGGAAGAAAAAGTAACTTTTACCTTTTTAAATTTTAGGGATCCTGAAGGCCTTCGAGTATTTTACTATTTGGTACAAGACTTGAAATGTTTAGTTTTCAGTCTTATTGGATTACACTTCAAGATTAAACCAATTTAAATTGTATGTTTTCAGGCTGTTTGTATATTTAATTAAGGGATGGGAGGGGTTATTTGTCATTTACAGTATTGGGGTTTTTATGAATGTGAAGCAAACAAAAAAAATTTGTATGTAAACTGAAAATAAGAAAATACATTAGCAAGCTTAATGGTTATCCTTACTTGAGTCCATATGGGTTGGACAGTCCCCACACACATTAAATTCTGTAAATGAAAGCCACCTTTTGTTAAAAATTTGCTCTAATAAAACATACCAAATCCTGGTTGCAGAGTAGTTTTTTGTTTTTTCCAGGAGGCTATGTCTCTAATTCACTTTAGAGATAATAAGAAATTGTTCTGGTAGATATATCCTGTGACAGAAGATACTTTAGGTGGAACTATGTAGCCAGATTCCCATCCATGAAAGGCAAGTGTAGATTGTCCCTTATTTCCTTCATACATGATTGGATTTAATTTTGGGGGGCTTATACAAGGTCTAGTTTTTTTTTACAGTTATGACAAACCCCTCAGGGATTATTCACATTTAAATATTTTCAGTTATAAGCAGTGAGGTCCTAAAGTGTTACAAGAGTACAGTCTACCCCATGTTAGGCATATCTTTGATTATGTCTTTATTCCTTATTTCACAATGTATTTGGTGTGTAGGGGAGGGGGGAGAACTAAATGAGTTTTCAGCTTTATAAATTGTTAAACATTTAGACAAACATATATGTATGTATGAATGTACATAAATATTTTTAACTCCTATTGACCACGAGTCTCACTTCAGTTTCCCAGTTCCTTTCAACCTCTTTCTGATAGATTTCCTCTTTCATTACTTTTAGTAACCATGTTCCTTGTTTCCTTTTATTCTTCCATCTGAAGCCCCACTCTTAAAAAGTTGCACTGTTCCAGTAGTTATAATCCACTTGCCCTAGGAACAAGTTAGCACTGAATTTTGGGTGGAATAATTAGTTTCTGAAGGCTTGCCAGGACTCCTGAGCAGGTAGGCTCTAGAGTCGGGCAGTCCAATAACTTTTTTGCAATAATGGAAACGTTCTATGTGCAGTCCAATAGGGTAGCAACTGGCCAAATGAGGCCTACTGATTACTTGAGGTGTGCCTTGTATAACTGAATTTATGGTGCTATTTAAACAATTTTTTTCTAACGTGAAAAGGATAAAACATTAAAAACTCTTGAGAACTATAAAGTGAACACCTATATGCCTACCCCTACCTAGATTCTATACTTAACATCTTTTTTACTGTAATATCTCTATTATAATAAATCTTGGTTTTTCACTTAACTGGTGTAATTGGTGCCAATAAACTACTTTTTTTGTAGTGCTATTTAATTTTGATTAAATTTAGGTAGCCACGTGTCTAGCGGCTACCGTTTGGACAGTATAGCTCTAGAGCATGGCTTGGTAACCTGTTTGCCATGGAGCACTAGATGGTCCTTTTCACTCCTCAAAATGCATGCCCATTGTCTTCAGGTTTGCCATGGAAAGTCAAATGATTTCCACTTCATTATGCAAGTACGCTATCATCTTCAGGTCTTTTGTATGTAAAATGTTTCTGTTCCAGTTGTAGACCTTGATGATTGTGCAGTATGAAATCGTATTGTAATTTTCTTGCATTTAGATGTCAACCTCAGAAACAGGAACAATCGTCTTTTGAACTTCCAGTAGGCCCACAGTTGTTGGTTGTTCCTCAAAACAGGTTGTGGCTCCTGTTGAATAAGATGATCCATTAAAAACTGAACAAGGTTGAGGAGAAATAGTGCTTACGTTGAAAAATCTTTAAGTCTTTGTCCCCGTTCTCTAACTTCCTTACGTTTTCGTTTATTTAGCTCTATCCCCACTATCTACTAGAATTTCTCATATTTAAACCAAGATGGGAGACTAGGTCATTAGGAAAATATTACCGTCTACAATTTTCTTATACTTTGATCTGTCTTTTATTTGATTGTAAGTTGCTGATGGACAGTGATCATTAGAAACTGAATTTTGTATAATACTAGTTTTATATGAAACTAGATTTTTATTGCGCTCAGGTTATGTTCCTTTTACCTCCTTCCTTAATAAAGAGACCACTTGAAATAATCAGACTTTTTCCAAGTACTGTCTGCACCTCATCCCACCTCTTCCCCATTCATGAGATAGTGCAGAACCCTAGCACAGTCTTTTCCATATAGTAGGTGTTTTTTAAGTTTGTTGAATTGGTTGCTGTCTTGCTCTGTCCTTAGATTATTTGCCTTTAGATTATTTATCTTTGGTATTTCATTGGTATCAGGCTGAGTCTATTTGTATGGATATTTTTAATGTAAATATTAATGTAACTGAGATGATTTATATATTCTATTGTTAGACTACTTCGTTTTGATTTGAAATGTGTGAACCTATGAGCATGGACTGTGCTGTAAGTTTAACCACTGACCCCTTTAATTAATAACTGGATTCCTAGCATGAATGGATAATGAAGTCGAATAGAAAATTTTAAAAATTTAATAAACAACAAAGGTAAATGAAGGATTTGAGGGTGAGTTCAGAATCTGCCTTGGCTGACTTCCGTATGATGATCAGTAAAGTTGGATAACTACCACTCAAAATCTCTGGCATCTACCTTGTCCTAATTTGAACTGTGTGATGTGGTGGAGAGAATACTAATTTAAGAATCAGAAGTCTTAATTACAGATCAGCTTAACTATTTTCTCTTAAATTGCCATCGGGAATCCTTTTTTTTTTTTGCCATTATGTCATCATAGTTAACTTAGTTCCTGAGGTGGCCCTCTTGTTTGGTTTCTCAGAAATAAGAGGAAGGATGGTTGCTGTTTGATCAATTACTAGAGGTTCAGTTGGGACAATGTATGTTAAACTTAGAGCATTTGAATGTATTTTACTGTAAAGACAAGAAAGACAAACAGGGTGATTAGGGAAACAGAAAATCTCAAGCTAGAGATTTTTTTTTTTTTTTTTTTTTTTGAGACGGAGTCTCCCTCTGTCACCCAGGCTGGAGTGCAGCGGCGCGATCTCGGCTCACTGCAAGCTCCGCCTCCGGGGTTCATGCCATTTCCCTGCCTCAGCCTCCGGAGTAGCTGGGACTACAGGCGCCCGCCACCACGCCTGGCTAATTTTTTGTATTTTTTTTAGTAGAGATGGAGTTTCACCGTGTTAGCCAGAATGGTCTCTATCTCCTGACCTTGTGCCTGCTTCGGCCTCGTTTTATCTTTTTCTTTACTATAAGAGCCAGGAAGTTCAGTGTCATGCAGTGGGATAAAAGTTAGGCATTAGAACAAATAAAAAAGGAGATGGCAACTTGTCTGGGTGAGGTTAGTCCTCCCAGTGAAGTGATTCAGACCATCTTCCCTGCATGCTAGGGGTTTTTCCAGACATCCTTCATTTTAGTCTGGGGCAGGAAGAGCAGTGTGCTGCTGTGAAATGATAAACCACTGAGGTTTGACAGTGTGACCCGAAGGTTTGAAGGTGTGACTAGAAGCTGTTCTAAGCTTCTAGCTAACGGTATGGTCAGAAAGGAATGAGTAAAATATGTGGTTTCCTAAATAAAAAGGGCTTTTGCAGGAAAGGAGCCAGAAGATGAGCAAATTAATACTTCATATATTCATATTTGTGTGTTATGTGCATGTTTTGCACAAAAGTGAATTTGGAAGGCAAAGTACCAGAACATTCAAAACTCTGTATATTTCTCTTCTGTTTTATTAACTGGATGTGATAAAGTTTAATACTTCCAACTTTGTGCCTCTTTAATCAAAAGGCCAGGTAGGGAGTTTCAATCTCATTTGAAGTTACTGTTATCTTCTGGTGCTGATTGTGTTTTCCTTTAAAGGAGAAATTTGCCTTTTCCAGCAATTCAGAGCTTGGTAATAAAGAGAAAACAGGGGAGCAGCTAGAAAATTTGGCTTTCCCGTCGTCAGTTTCATTCTGCCTCTTTTCAAAACTATGAAGAAATCTAGATTTTATAGTCAGTTCCTTTTAACTTGATCCACTTGGTTCATGAGGTGCACTTGTAGGCATCATGCCTCTTACATGTGCTGCAGTTTCAATAATGAATAAGACAGACTTGTGGACTTTATATTATGATAGAGGAGACAATATGTAAAAAGTATAAAAAATTGTGCTCTGCACTTGTCTAGTCTCCATCCTGAGAACTATTCACCTTCTCCCCAGCTATGTGGATGTAAATCAAAACAGAAACATGCCTCAACATAACCAGTATCTATCTGAATGGGGCAGTAAGATATGCAGCCACGGAATGGTTTCTCTAGAGTGATGGTGGCACTAGCACGCCAAGCCTCATGGCAGGATAGAGAACCTGGCTCAGTATAACATGTCAGGATTTCTGCACTGCAGTCCTGGTGTTTCCCCTATTAGAACCTTAGGGGAAGAAAAACAAACAAGAAAACAGTTACTTATTTTGAAGTGTAAGAAATCCTGTCTGTAGTGCTAAATTTAATTAGTCCTAGCCTATGAAGCGTGTGATACTTTTATTGAACCTATGAGAAAAGTGAGGCTTGAGGATTTGGTTGACTTGTTCAAATTTTTATAGATAAGAACAATTTGAATCTTGGACTTCAAGTAACAATTTTTAACATTTTATGAGAGCCCACCATATATATGCCAGGTTGTAGTTAGACACTTTGAGATGGATCTTACCTCATTTAACCCTCATAGCAACCTTGGATGGCAAAAAATATCACTATTTTACTATGGTGAATACAAGACTTAGAGAAATGAAGTAACTTGCCTGAAGTCACACATGGGAGCTAGGGGCTAGCATTTCAAGCCAGATTTGCCTGGTTCCAGGATTCATGCTTTGTGGCAAGAGCCTTGTTGGAAGCCCGGGTCCTTCTGAATTCACGGTCCATTGTGCTCTGTCTTCAGTCAGGCCAGATTTTAAACAGGAATGAAGAATTAGCAATAATGTTTCCTTATGCAAGTCAATGAACTTCTTCACTTTAGTTTCCTCATTTGTAAAATGGGGACGAAAATACTTGTCAATGTTGGGAGGTTTTAATATGGTTATATGCACAAGAGGTACTCCAATACGTGACAGTATCTCTGTCACCTTTTCAACATCCGCTATTACTACACCCCAGCCCCTGACCCTGTCACCCACTTCCTATCATCTCTCACAGAACTAACTTCCTTTATTTATTATTTTGGCATTGAGATAAAGGGATATGGACCGTCTTTACTCTGATTTGGGATTGACGAAGCCAATCCAGGATGGAGGGAAAGAAGAAAATGCCCAGCAGCAAGTATTCCTGAAGCGTCCAAACTCCATGCATGAAACTTTGCCTACATTATTGAGTAAAATTAGCCTCTGGGAGATGTTTCATCTGATGGCCTGCACATGATGATGTGGCCGACTTCAGGGACTACATGTCCCTGTATCAGCAATTTCGCCTGCTGTTCTGTGCCTCTCTATCCCACACTCCTTATTAACCACTATCACCTGATTTGAACAATTTAAGTTGGTTTCCTAGAACTGTAATCAGAAGATTGAAAAAGACTGAATCCAATAAAAGTGGAAGTCAATGAGAGATCTGAGTACATTCTGGCAGGGTCTGCCTCATGGTGGAGTGACAAAAATGAATTTTTTCAAGTCTTCGATATAGGTGAAAATGTGAGGCCTTGCTGGAAGGTTTTAGGGATAGATTTTATGAAGTGAGATTTCGTGGGAAAACTCAAGTAGAGAAATAATTTGCCAGTATCTTTTTCTTAAAAAATCAAATGTGCACATTTTCACACACAACTGATGGAACATCAAAGGGAACATCTCTTCTGGAGGGCATTTGGTGATATATATTAGAGTTCTTTAAATACATATACCCTTTGACATACAATTTTATGCTTAAAAAGTTTCCCTAAAAAAAAAAAGTACAGACCAAATATATTTTACAATAGAAAAAATTGAAAACAATTTAAGTATCCAATAGTAGGGGATTGCCTAAATAAATGATGGTTTATCCCTGTGAGTAATATTTTTAAAATAACATTTCAGATGAATTTCTTTGAAATAATGGAATACATATTATTTATTAGAAAATAATAAATAAAAAATACTGTGTAAGGAATGATACCAACCTTGATAGTAAGCACAACATACAGAGAAAAAAAACTGGAAGAATATATGCCACAATTTTATAGAGGAATTACGGATCTTTTAAAGTAATTTAAAAAATACATTTACTTGAAATAAACAGATAGAAAAAGGAACTTTTAAAAAATAATGACATATAGGAGAACATTTCCAACAGAGAGACTGTTATTTAAACTAAGAGCTAAGTAGTTCAATCATTACACTTCTTTTATATGTCTATATTTTTATACATAGACATTTCAGTAATGTCTTTTACCAGCAGTTTCTCTAAAGTACGTTAGTTTTTTGTTAATGATATTAGTTTTATTTTCTCCAAAGATGTGTACAAAATTTTATCTTTTCAGCCCTCAAATATTGATTTTGAACATTATTTTGCAAAGAGTACTAAGTGGTTGGTTAGTTGAGATAGAGGAATATGCAGCTTTTGACTATCTTTCCTTTCCCGTCAGTACCAGCTTTCATGATACAATTTCCTCTTATCACTTTGGTCAAGAGGTGGGGCAGAAAATTTTGAGTTACAGTATCATTCGAAGAGAATTTATTTCTGCCTTTCATGTTATAGCCCCTAAGGGATCCAGGACCCGAAAGGCCAGCTTCTCCCTCATTTTGAAATCAGTTTTCTCCACCTGCACCACTGCATAGCACAGATACAGGTAATATCCACTTTTATTTTCTCAGATCTTTCTACCAGATTATCCTTAGTCTTACTAATTCTAGAAATACGGCATTTAACTACAAATGACTTAGCATTATAACAGAAATGATAGGAAAGCATTCGCTACTGATTGTATTAATGCTGCACTACTTTGAAGGAAATTGTAGTCCAGTATTAACAAAAAGTTATTTTCTCTTTCTCAATATGCTGTGATTTTTGCTTTGTGTTATCAAAATAAAGAATAGAGATTTGAGGGGTTAATTACTTTTTACTTAAGTCTAATGATTTACATATTTTATCCATCTTGAATGACTCTATAATAGAAAATACTTCTTTTTCTTAGGAAATTAGGGAAAATGTGACTAGGTTAGAAAATTTTGTAAATTAAAAAAATTAGAAAAGAATATGGTTACATGTGCAATTTGTTTTTTCATATTTCTCATTTCTTGGATATCATCTTTTTATACTGACTAACATAAGAAGTAAATTTTAGGTATTTACTATTTAATTATTCTTTTCTATATTGACATTCATTAATCAATAGAATCTTTTATGGACATTAATGACTGCCTGTTGACAACTGTTATTTTCACATAGGCTTCTCTGGCAATATACCGGAAGATTATTTCTAAAATTTTAACGTACATGGAATCATTTGAGATTTAAAATACATTTATCTGGGCTCCAACCGAAGTGATTTTTATTTAGTACATCTTGCAAAAGGCACTGAGTCTGGCATGTTAACCAATTTGCAATATTAACCCTCAAATAATTCTTTTGTAGAAGGTATATGCGATACATTTTGGAAAGCACTCTGATAGAGTCAAGTATAGTTGGAAAGAATGCAAGAACTTTGTTATATTTACATGTATATTAGAATACATGTAAGTTTTTAAAAGCCAAGATATTTTTATTTTTCCAGAATTTATTAGATTTTTTGTTTGTTGAACTCATAAAGTGTTTCAGTGATTTGCAGTGGTATCAATTTTACCTAACATTTGTATATGTATGTTGAATATTTTGAGCAAAATTGGCTGGGTGAATAGAACAATAATCTATTGGTAGATTTTTTTCTCATCATTTCTGTATTTTCTCATTATCATGGCTGTGATCACTAGAAGTATAAATGACTTTAACAAAAGTATTGAAAGATTTTTCATTTCTTCTATAAATGAGGCTCACTCTAAATGCTTTAGGCACTTAGTTAATAAACACACGCCAATAGACACACAGACAGGCACACATACATCTCTCAGCATCAAATCCTGGTGTGTTCTTATTGGCTGACATTTTAATTTTTCTTTCAACAGAAACCATCCTATTTCAGGATTTGAATGCAAAACTTACCTTCTTACTCTAAAGATGAATGATCAGGGAGAGATTTATTCAACCCTGAGATTTTTGCAGTCTCCTTCAGAGTCACAGAATAGATTAAGGCCTGATGATACTCAAAGGCCTGGGAAAACTGATGACAAAGGTATGCGTTTTAAGCATTTACATTCACCTGTTTCTTATGGATTGTCAAACTTTTGACATTTGAAAAAAGATTCCTATCTGTACTTCTTGTTCTTGGCTGGTGATAAGAAACTATAATGGGGCAGAGTAGTAGAAGTATTTTTGTTTTAAGTTGTGAGAATGGAGAAATGAGTGAATTCTTTTAAATTTGAGAAACTAGTAGAATGTTTTTATTTAAATGTGGTCAAGAAGAATTTGTGAGGCCTTGATAACAAAGGACAGACTAGATCTGAAGAAAACATGACATTTCCTAGAGAAATAAAAGTATGAGAGGAAGTGTAAGAAATGAAAAATCAATGTTAAAAACAACATTTTTATGCAGATAGCAGATATTTTATGTGCCTTAAGTATTTACCAAATCTTAATGGCAATGATGCAGTAACAATGTTTGAATCAAAAGGGGCATTCTAATTTTTCTATGCTCTCTCTCTCTCCCTTCAAATGTGGTCATTGTTAAACTATGCATTGAGAATAACTTTTGCTGCTTTAATATAGAGATAATCAGAGATACAACTTTCAGACACTGAGGATCTCAAAAGCTAAAGGATAAATATAGCATTGTTTAGAGAAAAATAGAATTGATGAAAAAGAAAGAAAAGTTGATTTCTAGAAACTCCCTCAAAGATGGACCCATCCACATTTGCAGCTTCAGAATATCCACTATTGACTACTAATTTCTTAGCATTATTGAGTGCTTTTTCCTTTCTCTTCATGATTAGTTGTGATCACAGGAAGGAACACACACGTTAGCTTAGATTTTGCTACATGTTTTGTGTCTACTGCTATTGGTGCTTTTATGTGGGATGGACTTTTTAAATCCTATAGAACTATTCCTGTGTGCGGGATTTCTACAATGCATGCATGTAATTTCCAGATTACAAATTTAAATATACTTGTGTGATATATTTTTGTCAGAGTTTTAGAGGATATTGTCTCTTTGTTTCAAATGGTTTCTCAGGTCAAGATTAGTAGTGAGCCAAGCTCTTCCCCTGGTGATTATTTTCCTTATTTTTGTATTTAAAGAATTTTCAGTGCCCTGGCACCTCATTGCAGTGACTCTTGGGATCCTCTGTTTACTTCTTCTGATGATAGTCACAGTGTTGGTGACAAATAGTGAGTAATAAAATACAGCTTTCTCGTCCGAGTAGCAGCAGTAACCACTGATTGTGCAGATATTAACCATGCTCCGTCCATTGTTCCCCGTCTGTAATCAGAGAATGTCCCAGGTGGCTCTGGCCTTTGTTGGTAATTTTTTTCTGGGCATATGACAGTGTCATTTTTAATTTACTTAACCTTGACTCTGAATCTGTGATGAGCTGTCTCACTGTGTATAATACATGGTAATATTCCTTCTCATAGAGGATTTAGTAATACATGTATTCTGCCATTTGGGTTTGATTATTGTGAATCTGAGATAAACATTCTTTGAGAGACAACTGTTCAAAAGAAATTATGGCTTTCTCTTGACATTTCTCAAAGTATGTAATGACGAAATGGTTTAGTAAAAGAAAGAATCTACACATGCAGTTATATAATATTAAATTCAAGCTTTACCTTTTGTTTGAATTCCTTCATATCTTTTGAAAAAAATCACTGATATTTTATATTCAGATAAAATTACGTATCTGGATCTTACTCTCTTTTCTGCTGCGGATAGTCTATCTGCCCCAATAATAATTGTGCTATCACTTCATGTTTCTTTCTTAGTTCAGATTTTCATATGCAGAAGATATGTGGTTAAATGTTGGCAAACTGACTTTTACTTTAGTGCTTATTTGTAAATGATGAGTTATTAAAAATAAACTAAACTGAGAAGTAAGGTGTCACCTTCATAATTTTATTCAGATATGTTATTTATCCTACACTTAAGTTGCTAATGGTGAGAAATTTATGTTTCCCTTTTTATGGCCAGTTCGTTGAGGTGTTACTTTCTAAATGTCAAATTACTAATCAAAGTAATGACTAATTAAAGTAATGATTAATGGTTGTCAGAGTGAAATTTTTTCTTTTGTCTTAAATTTCAATATTTAATTATTATGAGTACTTATTTGTATTATATCTATGCCATTAATTTTAGTCTTTCAGTGTATTCAAGAAAAACATCAACGGCAGGAAATTCTAAGAAACTGTAGTGAAAAGTACATCATGCAAAATGACAACTACTTAAAAGAGCAGATTTTGACAAATAAGACTTTAAAATTTGACGTTCTCAAAAATAGCTTTCAGCAGAAAAAGGAACTGGATTCACGCCTTATACAAAAGAACAGATGTCATAGAGAAAATGAGATCGTTTTTAAAGTTTTGCAAAATACAGGTACAAAGGAAATCTTGAATGAAAGATTGCATGATTTTGCATTATTTCTTCCCCTCCATAATCCTTGAAGCCTAATAAACAGGCTTATGATAGTATTAGCGACCTCTGAGGTCTACTGGGCAACTTTTAATCTGTGCCTCTTAGATGTAGTGTGGGTATCTTGGAGGTTTTGCTTGTTTCAAATGTGGGATTGGGACCCCAGGATCCATGTTTAGATTAGTAAAAGCCTACAGTTCCCAAAATTCATTGGCACATCTTACATTATTAATGCTCCCAAAAGATGAATTCGTATGTAAACTCCCCTGAAAATTCTGATCATTTTGGTCCTGTGAGCAAATTAAAGACTTGCACTTTTTGCTGACATAGAATATGGAGGTTTTCAGTAAAAATATATTTGTGCTAAAATGGGCACAAGGGCTTTTATTTGGATGCTGTTATAAAGATAATTGTGTGTGTCGTGCACACGTGTGTGTTTCCATTCTGCCTTGGTTTCACATATTTGGTCTATTTGTGACCAGTATGTACTCCCTGTAGCACATCTGCAAGATTTGCCACAGTGTTAATGTTTGTGCGACTCTGTGCGATGATACCGTTGAAAGCACTTAAGATATAAAAATATTAAATCTCATACAGTAAACTCTATTATCTTGCATAATGATGGAATTAATTGACCCGGTTAATCAACAACTACTAAATACTTGTTTAGGATTTAGAGTTTACAAAGAATTTTTGTATATTTAATCTCATTTAGGTATGATAATTAGTAGAAATTTACCATCTCTATTTGTAAAGGCTGAGTAGTATTTTAAAAGTTTAATATAGTATAAAATATAGGAGGAAAAGAAAAAGTTTTAAAATTTTTCTTTTATTTAGAAAACATTCTAGAATCTTTTTTAAAAACTTAATTCAATTTTATTGTTTTTAGACAATTTTATTGAGGTATTATTGATATACAAAAATGCATATTTTTAATGTTTTCAATTTGACGAATTTGGACAGAAATGAAACCATCACCACGATCAGAGTAATAGATATATCCATCATCTCCAAAAGTTTCCTCATGTCCTTTCATTTATTTATGTATTTGCGGTAACAACACGAGATCTACCCTCTTAATAGGTTTTTAAGTGTACAATACAGTATCATTAACTATTGGCACTACGCTGTACAGCAGATCTCTAGAACCTAGTTATCTTGCATGACTGAAACTTTATACCATTGAACTTCCCTCCAATCCTGGGCAACCACCATTCTATGCTTCTGTGAGTTTAACTATTTTAGATCCCTCCTATAATTGGAATAATAAAGTATTTGTTCTTCTGTGACTGGCTTATTTCACTGAGCATTATGTCCTCAAGGTTCATCCATGTTGTCATATATAGCAGGATTTACTTCTTTTGGAAGCTGAATAATATTCCGTTCTGTGTATATAACACATTTTCTTTAGCCATTCGTCCATCAGTGGACATTTAGGTTGTTTCCATAGCTTGGCTATTGTGAATAATGCTGCATTGGACACTGGAGTGAAGGTATCTCTTGTATTCCAGAATCTTGATGAACCTTGTATTATAATTATTGATTGCTATTGGGATTTTATTTAGTTATGATGGGCTGATAAACATATTCCTCTGGTTAACAGAATACCAGATGACAAGAAGTTTGATGATTCACCTTATATATTGTAGGCAAATTCTCTGAAGACCACGGGTCCTGTTGTGGAGTAAACTGTTATTATTTTACCATGCAGAAGAAAGACTGGAAGGGATGTAAACAGACTTGTCAACATTGTAGATCATCCCTTTTGAAGATAGATGACAAAGATGAACTCGTATTTTACATTCACTTTTATTCTCTTGGACTCTGTTTCTCAATGTTGGACCTAAGATATTGAAGACAGGCTGGAGCCCAGAGTGAGAGACTTCAACTATTCTTTGTGTGTGTCTGTCGTGTGAGCAAAAATGATGTAGTTAAGAGGCTCCCAGGAAACAATGCCTGCTAATGGTCATATAATTCTACTACTTACTAAATATTCAATACGTTATCTATTATGATGACCATTATTATTAAGGATGCTGTTTGGGTCTTTGCAAATCATCTCCCTGTCAGTGGTTATACTGCAGACTCCTTAGAAAGGGAGATGGATGACCTCTAGTATTTATTTAACCTCTCCGAGCCTATCTTCAAAATGGAGATAATAATGAGGAACGTAAAAGTGATAACAGCTTTACAAATTAGCCTCAATAGTGATTTTCATTGCATTCATAGGTAACATCCACTTAACATTCTTTTTTTTTTGAGATCTTTTTCTTTTTTTTAACATTCTTATATATTATCTCAAGATGTGTATCTTTAAAACAGAATTGTAAAAAGAGAAAATATAGTGATATAGTGTAACAATACGGAATAATAGTGATAACAATATTGAATATAACAATATTGAATTTTAAAACAATTATGTTTAAAATTTTTAAAAACTGTTACTAATGAAAGTTATCCAAATACTCAAAATATGTTTTTATAGAGGTATGTTTGCAAAGATTAGCCTGAAACTTTTATTTATTGTTTAGGAAAACAACACAAAATGTATATGCAAATCTAATGAATGTTTAAAAAATCATAGCATAAAAGAATTCATGATATCAAGTTATGAAATAATTTCATATGATACAGTAAAAGTTACATTTAAACCTGTATTTTAAAATATATTTAGTCACTTAATCAGACATTATGTAATATGTCACTTTGATATATTACATTTTAGACATAGTAAATACTTCCAAATACTTCACCCATTCCAACTATGGAACTATAGCAAGGCTTCCTCTTATGGGGCTTAAGATTTTACTGCGCCCCTATCATACACACACCTTTTTATTTTAATAGATTTGTTTTGAGGATTCCTTTTTTCACTTAAGATTAAGTGTTGATCAATTTTCTACATCCTAAATATTCTTCTGGAGCATGATTTTGGATAGTTTCATAAAGCATTATAAAATATTTAACAACTTTCCTATTGGTAGATATTTGGATATTAAACTTTTCCATGTTTTAAATAGTCAGTGATACTGACAGCCATTTTTTAACATAAATGAATACTATATTAATATGAGGGGAAAATTACTTTGGGAAATGGAAAGGCAGGGATCTAGGGAAGAGAGGTTTTTCTAGGGAAAAGGGGTGAAGGATGATGTGGAGAGTAGCAGAGTACTGGCCATAGAAACAGTCGGCCCCTTGACCTGTCCTTGTTCTCACTCATCGAACAGATGGGAATTTAGTCACCTGATATGTTTTGTTTCTATTATAGGCCTTCATTCAATCTCAGATTTATGAAAATAATTACTGGATTGGATTATCATATGATGAAAGGGAAAGTAAGTGGAAATGGATTGATAATGGCACATCTCCTGGAATGTAAGTGTCTGGAAAGCATTCAAACTGTAACATTGGTGGGGGGGCGGGGGTGAAATGATTGTGTCTAAAGAGAATCTTTTCTCATTTCACACAGTTTAACTCATTTTTAAGCAGGAGTCTTTAGTAACAATTAGAACAATGGGTAAGAGTGTTTTAGGAAGTATAGGTAGAAAAGGAAGAGATGAGCCACAAAGAGTTAATAATAATTTTAAAAGTATCACGCTAAATACGTGCTCAGAAATATGTATTATGAGGTACATAAAATGAAATAAAATCATAAAGGAAGGTGGGTGGTATGAAGTGATTGGACCATCCTAAGTCAGCCATAATGATCCCTCCCACAACCACAAATGAGTATTCTGAGTATGCAAAAAATTTATTTTGAGTTACTTTATGTAATTAGTTTATACATACATAGCACATAAAACATATGTATTTTATATATACATACACACACACACACACACACACACACACACCTTCACTATAGACCTTCTATTTTGAAGTACATTATTAGTAAACTCTTGGGTTTACATTTAGTTATGGTTAAACTATTCATTGACTTTTAAAAAATCCTAATTATTATAATTTTAAGTGTGGGTTCTGCAAGTATTGTAGTTCTGGGCTGCAAACCTGCAAAAGATGTCACACAGAGGGAATTACCTTGATGTAATCATATCCTTCAAGCACACTCCCAGGCAAACTATTCCAGAGGTCAGAGAACAGAAAGGCTCACAGGCCAAATTAAGATGATCAAATCACAGTTGGCTAAACCAATGTAAAACCCATAGCACAGTTCAAAGGGAAAGAGATGGGATAAGTTGATGCACTTGGGATAAGGTGCAGGGTGAAGGGATCACCCTGAATCTTGGGTTGTGCATAACCGTGAATCTTGGGTTATGCAGTCTTCATACGACCTGACTCTCTCTGCTGCATAATCCTCTCCTGATGATGATATGGGGACATCTTGTCGTGTGAGTAAGGGGTCCCAACAGACACAAAGTTTTTGTGGCCAGCACACACATGTTTGTCTACAGGGAAGATTCTCTCTTACAGGAATGTGTAAGCCTGGCCACAGCTGTAAGTTTCCAGTTACCCTGATGAGCAGCTGTGGATTTAATTTGTGTTTCTTGGGCAGAGGCCAGAATGGGTATCACCAATGGGTGGTGA
This sequence comes from Homo sapiens, assembly GCF_000001405.40. NCBI lineage: Eukaryota > Metazoa > Chordata > Mammalia > Primates > Hominidae > Homo > Homo sapiens. The sequence goes on along the minus strand of NC_000012.12, from coordinate 10,591,109 downwards.
ATTTAAGACCTCAAGAATGTTGAGTTTGTATGAGCCTCATGTTTATTTTGTGTATGTTTAGTGTCTATTTGGTCCCTTCTTTTTTTGTCTATGTTCGGTGCTCACATACTTTACTTACGTATCTATATCTAACATCTCATATGTTACTAATTTTACCTGTTCACACCTAACACATCTTGTGAGTTCTACCTATGCCTCACAAACTACTTGGTTTCATTTATCTTCCTTACCTGTTTCTTTATTTTCCTGTAGCAGATTTGAACTTTCTTAAGTAATACAGCAAATGCAAACATATACGGATGCTTTTTGATTTTGAGTTCTTAAGTGGGGGCTTTTCTGCTTAGATCCAAGGTTCAAGACAATTCTAGGTGGTTTATACTGAATGTATATCCCTTTGGGTTCTCAGTCCTACGTAGCTTATCTTCTACTTAGAATCTCCATCTTGAGTGGAATTCATTTCAGCCTACTACATCCATTAAGGGAAAAACGATCTTCAGTGCTTCACTTGCCCTTCTGCAGTCCCACCTTTACTTAATATTCAGCCTGAGTATGAATCTGCTTCTTAACAGTTTATGAAGTTAGTCAAGAAGGCTTAACATATTTTTTATTCAGTATTTTAAATTGTTTTTAATAGGAAGGTAGTTCTGGCACTTAACCATTTTGCTAAAATAGAAGTCATGCTTTAGATATTTTTCAAAGAATTGTCATTAGCTAATAACTCTTAGCTATAGGGTGGGGGAGGAAAGGAGAGAAAACACGATCGAACAATCTCATCTCTGACTATATTCCAATTCTTCCCGGAGAGAAAACACGATCGAACAATCTCATCTCTGACTATATTCCAATTCTTCCCTTTTCTTCTTACAATATATATACATGAGCCCTGGTTATCTATGTTACAGATATTCAATTCCTCTCTCTCTCTCTTTTTTAAATTGTTTTAGAGGCAGGATTTCACTTTGTCACCAGGTTGGAGTGCAGTGGCATGATCTCAGCTCACTGTAGCCCCAACCTCCCGGGCTCAAGTGATCCTCCTGCCTCAGTCTCCTGAGTAGCTGGGACTACAGGCGTGTGCCACCACACCCTGATAATCTGGTAATTTTTGTATTTTTTGGTAGAGATAGGATCTCACTATGTTGCCCAGGCTAGTCTTGAACTCCTGGGCTCCAGTGATCAGCCCTCTTCAGCCTTCCAAAGTACTGGGGCTACAGGTGTGAGCCACTGTACCTGGCCACCATCTTTCTTTTTTAATCTCTCACTTTTATTGAAAAAAAATTAGCACAAGAAAGCAATATATCATAATTTCATTGCAATATTGCAAGGTACTTTTGCCTTCTGACCAAAAATTGTCGGTGTGGAATAAAATGGGAGATTGTGGGTGTGATTAAGAGGTCATGATTCTATTTAATGGACTAAGAGCAAAAGAAAATATTTTAGTGATGAAGTTATGATAAGCATTTCCATATTCTAGACATTTAGGCAGCAGAATTTTTTAAAATCATGGTTTATGCAGTTGTAAGCTTTGGAATTAAACAGTTGACTACATATGTTTTCTGTTCTACAGTAATTCTACAATAATGCGTTTTTCTTCTGGGAGAGGAGAATGTGCATTTTTGACCTCAACAAGAATGGCAACTATTGATTGCATTCAAACGTACAATTGTATCTGTGGGAAGAGAATAGACTCTATTTTCTCTGATTCGGTGTGCGCCAAGAAGAAAAGGTGAAAATGGAATGTTTTCTTTTTTTGTTTCCCATAATAATTTCTGATTATAAATCATTGCTTTTAACTGTGGGACTTAGTTAATTCTTCAAAAGATAAAGATGAACAGGAAGAAAAAGAAAATTATTTTGGACTATGACTTTAAAGATCAGATGCCATCTTTCTTCCTGGAGAAGAGGAGATTTTCTCTTTTGAGAGTGGTTGTTCCTTCCTTTAATGTCCCTGAGGAATTATTCATTCTTTCTAATTCTCAGAACTACCTATACAACCAGTTAGAGAACTCTGATATTATATCCTGGGTCTTTTTTCTTATCAATAGGATAAATCATTCCAGCATCTTCTGGTTTTGAAAGCAGTTGTGAACTAGAATGTAGTTATTTTTTTCTTCCCATCTAGAAGTTACCTCATCTTTTAAAACATTTGTTTTGCTACAAAATATAACTTCAAACTTACTGAAAGTTGCAAGCATAGTACAAGGAACTTCTATATAACCTTTACTCATACTTACTAGTTGTTTATATTTTGCTCTGCTTTATATTTCTCTCTTTCTATCTTCCACTTAATAATAAATTGAGGACTTCATGTCCCTTTGTCTAAATATTTTCCAAGATCAAGGGCTTTGTTTTATATAATCACAGTGCAATTATCAAACTCAGGAAATTTAGCATTAGTACAGTACTATGATCTAATCTGTAATCCATGTTCAAATTTTGTCAATTGTCCCAATAATGCCATTTATGTGTATTTCTTAAAAATCCATGTTCAGGATAATTCAATGCATTTGATTGTAATGTCTCTTTAGTCTTCTTTAATCTGAAACAGTTCTTTAGGCTTTTTCTTGACCTTGACATTTTAAAAATTAACTTTATTGAGTTATACTTTTCATGCAATAAAATGCACTCACTTTAAGTCATGAGGAATATGGGTTTTAACATATATATATACACACACACCCACACATATATATCTTACACAGTATGAAATCAAGATATAGAATATTTTCATCATCTCTAAAAGTTCCTTTCTGCCCTTCGCCACCCACTTTGCCCCAGGCAACCAGGGATGTGCTTTCTATCTGCAAATTAGTTTACCCTACTCTAGAATTTAATGCATCATGTACTCTTCTGTATCTGGCTTATTTTTACGCAGCATGTTTTTGAATTATATCTATGGTTTTGTGTATCAGCATTTCGTTCTTTTTCCTACTAGGTAGTATTCTATTGTACAGATATACCACAATTTATTTCTTCATTCACCTGTGGACATTTGATGTGTTTCCAGTTTTTGGCTATTGTGAATAAAGGTGCCATGAACATTTGTGTGCAAGTATCTGTGTGGACAGGTTTTAATTTCTTTTTAGTAAATACCTGGGAGTCTGATTGCTGGGCCCTCTGGTAAGTGTATGTTTACTTTTATTTATTTATTTATTTATAAATGGGGTTTCTCTATGTTGCCCAGGCTGGTCTCAAACTCCTGGCCTCAAGCAATACTCTAACCTTGGCCTCCCAAAGTGTTGTCATTACAGGCATAAGACACCTTACCTGGCCTACTTTTATAAAAAAACTTCTAAACTTCGAAACTATTTTCCAATGTGGTTGCATCATTTTACTCTCTCAGTTGCAACATATGAAGATTACATTTGCTCCTCATCATTTTCAACACTTGATATTGTGTCTTCTTAATTGTAGCCATTGTAGTAGCTGTCTAGTGGTATCTCATTGTCATTTTTAATTTGCATTTCCTTGAAGACTAATGATACTGAGCATCTTTTTATGGGTTTATTGGCCATATGTATATTTGTAAAACATTCATATGCCCACTTAAAAAATTTGGGTTCATCTGTCTTCTGATAATACAGTTGTAAGAGTTCCTTATATAATTTGGATACAAATCCTTTGTTAGATGTAGATAATGTGAATATTTTCTCCCAGGCTATGTCTTGCCTTTTCATTTTCTTAATGGTGTCTTTCAAGAAGCAGAAGTGTTAAAATTTTAGCTCAGGAGATGGTTGCACCAAAACCTCACAAATCATCACTAAAGAACTTACTCATGTAACCAAACACCACCTGTTCCCCAATAACCTATGGAAAAATAAATACATAAAAATTTAATGAAGCCTAACATCATTTTTTCCTTATTCATGCTTCTTAATTTCTAGCTAAGAAATCTTTGCCTTTATTAAGAGCACAGAGCTAAGAAATCTTTGCCTATAATTGCTTCTAGAAGCTTGATAGTTTTATCTTTAGCTTCTATCCATTTCAAGTTAATTTTCCTATATAAGTGAGAAAAAGTTGAGGTTCATTATTATTCCATATGGATATCCAGGTGTTTTTGCACAAGCTGTTAAAAAGACTTTCCTTTTCTTCATTGAACTACTTTGGTGCCTTTGTAGAAAATTAATTGACCTACCTGTGTGGGTCAATTTCTGGATTCTCTATTCAGTCTCAGCATTCTGTATGCCTATTCTTGTAATAGTACCATAATGTCTCAATGACTATAGCTTCATAGTAGCCCTTGAAATCAAATGTTCCAATTCTCCAAATCCATTCTCTTTTAAAAGTATACTGGCTATTCCAGGTTCTTCCATTTTCTCAAAATTTCTTCAAAAATGCCTAATGGGATTTTGGCCGGGATTGCGTTGACTCTATAGATTAATCTGAGAGAATTGACGTCTTAATAATATTGAGTGCTAGAATTAATGAACATGATTTATCTCTCATTTAGTTCTCATTTCTTTAATTTCTCTGAGCATTGTGGTACTTTTTTGGAATATATTACCCAGTTATTTTTTGTCTTTTTGAGATGGAGTCTTACTTTGTCACCCAGGCTGGAGTAGAGTGGCACCATCTCGTCTCACTGCAACCTCCACCTCTCAGGTTCAAGTGATTCTCCTGCCTCAGCCTCCCGAGTAGTTGGGACTACAGGCACACACCACCATGCCCAGCTAAATTTTTTTTTGTATTTTTAGTAGAGATGGAGTTTCACCATGTTGGCCAGGGTGGTCTCGAACTCCTGACCTCCTGTGATCCACTTGCCTTGGCCTCCCAAAGTGCTGGGATTACAGGTGTTAGCCACCGCACCTGGCTAGAATATATTACACATATTTTGTAAAATTTATTTTTTGATCATATTTTAAATGGAATTTAAAATATTTTTCAAAGTATTTGTTGTTAGTTTATAGAAATAAAATTGAGTTTGTAAATTAACCTCATATCTTATCACTTTGCTAAGTGTACTTCTTATTTCTAGCAATTTTTTTTTGTAGATTCCTTAAGAGTTTTCTTTCTATGTTCACAATCATGTCCTATAAGAATATGGAAAGTTTTACTTTTCCTTTCGTTCTTTTCTTTCTCTTGTTTCATTGTACTGGCTAGGACCTCCAGGACCATGTTAAAGAGAACTGATTCTAGTAGGCATTCGTTCCTTGTTCCCAGTCTTACAGAGAAAAGCATTTAGTTTTTCACTGTGATGTGTGAGGTCAGCTGTTGGTTTTTCACAGATTCTCTAGATCATTTTGAGGCAGTTTTCTTCTATTCTTAATATATTAACAGTTTTATCATGAATGGGAGTTGATTTTTTATACATTTTTTCTATATCGAGATAATTACATAGCCTTTCTCATTTTGTCACTTAATATGGTGAATTGCATTGATTGATTTCTGCATGTTAAACAAAACTTGCACTTCTTAGATAAATCTCATGTGGTTGCAGTATATTATATTCCTTATATGTTGCTGAACTTAATTGGGTAATTTTTAAAGGACTTTTGTGTTTATATTCATAAAAGATATTGGTCAATTTTTTTTTTTTTTTTGAGACCTAGTTTCACTCTTGTTGCCCAGGCTGGAGTGCAATGGCGCAATCTTGGCTCACCACAACCTCCACCTCCTGGGTTCAAGCAATTCTCCTGCCCAGCCTCCCGAGTAGCTGGGATTACAGGCATGTGCCACCATGCCCAGCTAAGTTTTTTGTATTTTTCGTAGAGACAAGGTTTCTCCATGTTGGTCAGGCTGGTCTCGAACTCCCGACCTCAGGTGATCTGCCCGCCTCGGCCTCCCAAAATGCTGGGATTACAGGCGTGAGCCACTGCGCCCGGCCCCAGATATTGGTCTATTTTTTAAAAATTTTTAATGTTTACAGTATAGGGAAGACACTGGTCTTATATATTCATTTGGGATATTTTTTAATATGCTTCTATTTTTGAAAGTTTTTTTTTTCAGAATTTGTATTTTTCTTTCCTTATATGTTTGATCTAATTTACCAGTGAAATAATCTAGGCCTGAGCTTTTCTCTGGGAGAATGTATTTAATTAGGAATACTATTTCTTTAACAGACAGGGCCATTTAGACGTTCTGTCTCTTCTGTCAATTTTGTTAATCTTTGTCTTTTAAGAAACTTGTTTCATTTGTCTACATTGTCAAATTTATTGGCATATTGTTCTTCATAGTCATATTAGTTTCCTAGGGCTACTGTAACAAGGTACCAGAAATTTGGTGGCTTAAAACAACAGAGATTTATTCTCTCACTGTTCTGGAGGCCAGGAGTCCAAAATTAAGGTGTTAACAGGACCACTCTCTTTCTGAGGCTCTGGATGGAGTTTTCCTTGCCTCTTCCTAGCATCCAGTGGTGGCTGTCAGTACCTGGTGTTACTGCACTTTCAGCTTCTTCCTCAATTTCTGACTCTGTCATCACATGAATTTCTCCCTGCATATCTCTGCCTTCACATGTGGTTTTCTCTTTTAATAAGGACACTAGTCATATTGGATTAGGGCCCACCCTAATGATCTCATGTTAACATGATTACATCTGCAAAACAACCCTGTTACCAAATAAGGTCACGTTCACAAGTATGGGGGTTATGATTTAAACATACATTTTTGGAGGACATAGTTCAACCCATAACAATAATACTCCTTTATTATCTATGTATTTACTGTCTGCAAGACCTGTAGTTATATTCTTTCTTTTCTGATATTGTTGTATTTATTTGTCTTCCTTGATCAGTCTAGCTAGAGATTTATATCCATTTTATTAACCTTTTCTACTTATTTTGAGTTTAACTGCTTTTATTATCTTGACTTCATAAGTGAAAGCCTCTTTTCACATATAACTATTTGAAGCTATAAATTTCCCTTCAAGTGCTATTTTCCTGCATACCACAAATTTTGTTAGGTAATTGTTTTTGGCTCATGTCTTAAAAGTATGTTGTTTAGGCGGGGTGCAGTGGCTCACACCTGTAATCCCAGCACTTTGGGAGGCCAGGGTTGGTGGAACACTTGAGGCCAGGAGTTGGAGACCAGCCTGGCCAACATGGTGAAACCCCGTCTCTACTAAAATACAAAAAAATAGCTGGACAACAGAGCAAGACTCTGTCTCAAAAAAAAAAAAAAAAAAAAGTTGCTTAATTTCCAAATATTTCAGGATTTTCCAGATACAATTTTGTTACTGATTTCTAATTTAATTTCTGTGTGTCCAGAAAATATACTATATTATTTTAGTACTTTAAAATATGTAATACTTGTTATATGTCCTAGTATATGGTCCCATCATGATAAATGTTCCATATATACTTGAAAACAATGTGCGTTTTGCTCTATTGGAATGGAGTGTTCTATAAATGTCAATTGGGTGAAGGTGATTGTAGCTTTGTTCAGATCTTCTATTGTCCTAATGATTTTTTGGTCTAATTATCAATTATTGAAAGAATGGTTTTTAAATGTTTAAATATTATTTTTACTTGTCTACTTATCTGTTATTTTTTTTTTTTTTTTGCTTCACGTATTTTAAAGTTTTGTTCTGTCTCATCCACTAATCTATGTGTTCTACTAGACCTTAAAATTGATCTTTGTTTTTTATATGTTGTATCCACAGTGCATTAAAGGGTCTTTTCCTCAGTAGTCACTAAATAAATATTTGATGAATGAATGAATTATACCCATGGCATAGTCCTGGGAACTAAAATATCAGTTTCTTGGTACATAGTTGTTTTAGTCTGTTTGGGATGCTATAACAAAATACCATAAACTGGGTAGCTTATGAACAACAGAAATTTATTTCTTACAATTCTGGAGGCTGGGAAGTCCAAGATCAAAGTGCTAACAAATTCAGTACCTGGTGAGGGCCTGCTTTGTGCTTCACATATGCCCATCTTTGCTGTGTTCTCTAGTGGAGGAAGAGGCAAGGGAGCTCTCTAGAATCTCTTTTATAAGGACACTAATCCCATTCATGAGGGCACGAGCCCCATGACCTAATCACCTCCCAAAGTCTCTATCTCCAAATAGCATCACACTGGGGATAAGGTTTCAACAAATGAATTTTTGGGGGACATAAATATTTGGTATATAGCAGTAGAGAAGAGTTTTTCAGTGTCCATAGAAAAGAAATTCTATCATTAAAGAATTTTAATAAATTTGTAACTCAAGATTAGATTTTCTTATTTGACTAGAGTAGGATGTGGTGATGATCTCATCTCAGCATGAAACAGGAAAGGTTGAAGCGTCAAAAATGGATTAAAAAATACGCAGTGGTAATGTTTCATTTTCATCTTTGATTTTATTCATTTCGATCTTCTCTGTTTTCTTAGTCTAGCAAAAGGTTTGTTCATTTTATCTTTTCAGAAAACTAACACTTTGTTTTGTTGATCTTCTGTATTTTTTAGTCTCTATTTTTTCATTTCTGCTTTAATGTTTATGTTTCTTTTTTTAAAAAAAGTATTAAGTTCTGGGATACATGTGCAGAACATGCAGGTTTGTTACATAGGTATACATGTGCCATGGTGCTTTCCTGCACCCATCAGCCCATCATCTAGGTTTTAAGCCCTGTGTGCATTAGGTATTTGTCCTAAAGCTCTCCCTCCCCTTGCCCTCTACCCCGCAACAGGCCCCAGTGTGTGATGTTCCCCTCCCTAGGTCCATGTATTCTCATTGTTCAGCTCCCACTTATGAGTGAGAACATGGAATATTTGGTTTTCTGTTCCTGTGTTAGTTTGCTGAGAATGATGGTTTCCAGCTTCATCCATGCCCCTGCAAAGGACACGAACTATTCTTTTTTATGGCTGCATAGTATTCCATGGTGTGTATGTGCCACATTTTTTTTATCTTTATATGTCGTTCCTTTTAATTTTGGATTTAGTTCTTGTTTATTCTGATTCCTTGAGGTGCAATGTTTGGTTTATTTGAGATCTAATTTTTTGATGTAGGCTATAAATTTCCTTCTTAGAACTCCTTTTATTGTATCCCATAGGTTTTGATATATTGTGTTTCCATTTTTGTTTGTCCCACTATATTTTTAATTTCCTTTTAAATATATTTATTGACCCATTTGTTCTTCAAGTTCCTCCTGTTACTAATTTCTACTTTTATTATATTATGGTCAGAAAAGACACTTGATATGATTTTGATATTTAAAAGAAATTGTTGAGACCTGTTTTGTGTTCTAACATATAATACATCCTGGAGAAAGTTCCAAGTGCTAATGAGAAGAATGTGTATTCTGCAGCTGTTGGTTGGACTGTTTTGTAAATATCTGTTAGGTCCATTTGATCTAGAGTACAGTTTAAACCTGATGGGTTTATTTTGGTTGATTTTCTGCGTGGATGATCTGTCCATTTTAGGAAGTGGGATGTTGAAGTCTGCTACTATTATTGTATTACAGTCTATCTCTCCCTTTGGATCTAATAATATTTGCTTTATATATTTAGGTGTTCCACTGTTTAGTGCATATATATAGTTGTTTCTCAGTATCACTGGGGAATTGTTTCCAGAAATCCTTGTGTGTCCAGAATTGGTACCTTCCAGTGGGTTCTTGGTCTCGCTGACTTCAAGAATGAAGCCATGGACCCTCGTGGTGAGTGTAACAGTTCTTAAAGATGGTCTGTCCGGAGTTTGTTCCTTCAGATGTTCAGATGTGTCTGGAGTTTCTTCCTTCCGGTGGGTTCGTGGTCTCGCTTGACTTCAGGATTGAAACCACAGAACTTCGCAGTTAGTGTTATAGCTCTTAAAGGTGGCCCATCCAGTGTTTGTTGCTCCCGGTGGGTTCGTGGTCTTGCTGACTTCAGGAGTCAAGCCGTAGACCTTCGCAGCTCATAAAGGTAATGTGGAGCCAAAGAGTGAGCAGCAGCAAGATTTATTGTGAAGAGCGAAAGAACAAATCTTCCACAGCATGGAAGGGTACCTGAGCTGGTTGCTGCTGCTGGCTATGATGGCAAGCTTTTATTCCCTATTTGGCCCTGCCCATGTCCTGCTAATTGGTCCATTTTACAGAGCACTGATTGCTCCATTTTACAGAGTGCTGATTGGTCCGTTTTTACAGAGTGCTGATTGGTGTGTTTACAAACCTTTAGCTAGACACAGAGTGCTGATTGGTGCATTTTTACAGAGTGCTGATTGGTGCATTTACAAACCTTTAGCTAGACACAGAGAGCTGATTGGTGCATTTTTACAGAGTGCTGATTGGTGCATTTACAAACCTTTAGCTAGACACAGAGAGCTGATTGGTGCATTTTTACACAGTACTGATTGGTGCGTTTCCAAACCTTTAGCTAGACACAGAGTGCTGATTGGTGCATTTTTACAGAGTACTGATTGGTGCATTTACAAACCTTTAGCTAGACACAGAGAGCTGATTGGTGCATTTTTACAGAGTGCCGATTGGTGCGTTTACAAACCTTTAGCCAGACAGAGCACTGATTGATGCGTTTTTACAGAGTGCTGATTGGTGTGTTTACAACTATTTAGGTAGACACAGAGCACTGATTGGTGTGTTTTTACAGAGTGCTGATTGGTGCGTTTACAAACCTTTAGCTAGACACAGAGCACTGATTGGTGCATTTACAAACCTTTAGGCAGACAGAAAAGTTCTCCAAGTCCCCACTCCACCCAGGAAGTCCAGCTGGCTTCACCTCTTACTTGCATCTACCAAAATTCATTGATGCTCAAGTACCTGATATAAAATGGCATAGAATTTGTATAAACTTATGTACATCCTTCTGTATGCATTAAATCATCTCTAGATTACTTATAAACATAATACAATGTAAAATATTTGGTATACTTTATTGTTTAGGGAATAATGACAATAATAAAAACTATATATATTCAGTACAGATTGGATATTTTTTTAAAAATATTTTCGTTCTGTAGTTGGTTGAGTCTGTGGATGTAGAACTCGTGAATGCAGAGGGCCAGCTGTATTTATATAATTGTTATATCCTCTTGCTGAATTGACCTCTTTATAATTACATAATGACCATTTTTGTCTCTTTTTATAGTTTTTCAATTATAGCCTAGTTAACTGATACAAATACAGCTGCTCCTGTCTTCATTTGGTCTCCACTTGGGATATCATTTTCATCCTTTTACTTCCAGTCTATTGTGTCCTTACAGGTGAAGTGCTTCTCTTACAGGTGAAGTACTTCTCTTGCAGGAAGCATAAAGTTAGGTCATTCTTTAAAAAATCAATTTAGCACTCTATATCTTTTAATTGGAGAACTTAATACATTTACATTCAGGGTTATTATTGATAGATGAGGATTTAGTCCTGACATTCTATTATTTTTATTTTCTAAGTTCTGGGATTCATGTGCAGGATGTGCAGGTTTGTTACATAGGTAAACATGTGCCATGGTGGTTTACTGCACCTATCTACCCATGACCTAGGTATTAAGCCCACCATGCATTAGCATTCTATTATTCCAAGCATCAGATTCACCTGGAAAACACAGCCTGATGAGTCTCACTTCCAGAGTTTCTAATTTTGAGAAACTGGAAACTAGTAGTAAGATCCACTGATATTGACCAGTACATACCCTTGAACTCTTCACTGGCTTGCCTGGTTACACTACCAGAACCAGCTTTGGCCACAGGCCAGCATCCCAACAGCATTTCACACTATTGTATAGGTTTTTTTTTGTTTTATTTTATTTTTTATTGACACATAATAATTGTACATATTTATGGGGTACAGTGTGATGTTTCAATACATGTATACACTGTGTAATGATCAAATCAGGAATCAGGGTAATTAGCTTATCCATATCCTCAAACATTTATCATGAATCAAGATCGGATTCACCTGGAAAACACAGCCTGATGAGTCTCACTTCCAGAGTTTCTAATTCAGTAGTATAGCATGTTAAACTGTGTCCCCCAAAAGGTAGGCTCCAGTTCTCACCCTGAAGAATGTGAACATGACCTTATTTATGACCTTATTTGGGAAAAGGGTATTTGCATATGTAATTAAGGTAAAGATCATGAGATCATGCTAGATTATGGTGGGCCTTAAGGGGTCCTTAATCTAATGATGGATGTTCTTTTAAGAGATAGGAAAAGACACAGAGACACAGAGGGGAATGCCGGGTGAAGACAGAGGAAAATATTGTAGTTATGCATCTATAAACCAAGGAAGTCCAAGAGCATGGCACTGGCATCTGGCAAGGGTCATCCCATGGTGAAGGCATTACATGGAGAGACAGCGAGAGAGAGAGAGAGAGAGAGAGAGAGAGAGAGCTTTTTTTACAACAGAACCACTCCTGAGATAACGATCTCACTCTCATGAGGGAATTAATCTATTCTTAAGATTGAGGTCCTCATGACTTTAATCAACTCTTCAAGGTCTTACCTCCCAATAATGTCACAGTGGCTATTAAATTCCAACACTGAGTTTTGGAAGGAGCATTCAAACCAAAGCACCTCTAATGGTAACATCTTGTAAAATCATGGTATAATATCACAACTTAGTTATTGACATTGATACAAATGCAGAGAGATTCTATCACAAGGCTCCCTATTATTGCCCTTTTAGAGCCACACCTGCTTCCTTTTCTCCATTCCTTGTTCCTGACTCCTTCTCTGTTTCTATAATTTTATCATTTCAAGACTGTTAAGTAAATGAAATCATACGGTCTGTGACCTCAACGTAATTTCCTGAAAATCTATACAAGTTTTTGTAGGTATCAATAATTTGTTCCTTTTATTGCCAAGTAGGTATGGATGTATCACAGTTTGATTACATTTACCTATTGAGGAATATTTTGTTGTTTTCAGGGTTTTTTGTTTTGTTTTGTTTTTTTGCTATTGCAAATAAAGCTGCTATGAACAGGAATAGACATTTTTGTGTGAACATAACATGTTTAATTTATCTGAGATAAATGCCCAAGAATGCAATTACTGAGTCCTATGGTAGTTCGTGTTTAGATTTATAAAACACTTCCAAACTGTTTTCCAAAGAGGCTGTAACATTTTGTATACCCATGAGTGATTCATTTTCTTTGCATACTGGCCATCATTTGGTGTTGTCGTTATTTTTAAATTTTATCCCTCCTGATATGTATATAGTGATGTCATTAGAATTTTTTTTTAAATAGATTACAATTTTGAGCAGTTTTAGTTTTACAGAAAAATTGAGTGGAAAGTACAGAGAGTTTCCATATACTCACTCACCCTCCTCCCAGTTTCTCCTATTAATATCTAGCATTAGTGTGGTGTATTTGTTATAATTGATGAGCTAATATTGATATGTTATTACTAAGTAAAGTTCATGGTTTATATTAGTTTCACTCTTTGTATTTTACATTCTATGGGTTTTGACAAATGCATGACATATATCTACCATTACAGTGCTGTAAAGAATAGGTTCATTGCCCTAAAAATCTCCTATGCTTCATCTATTCCTCTCCTCCTTCCTCTCTCTGAGGCCCTGGCAAACACTGATTTTTTTTTTTAACCATCTCCATAGTTTTGCCTTTTACAGAATGTCATATAGTTGGAATCATATCTTATACAGAATTTTCAGATTGGCTTATTTTACTTAGCAGCATGCATTTAAGTTTCCTCCATGACTCTATAACTTGATACCTCATTTGTTTTTTTACTGAATAATATTTCATTGTCAGGAAGTACCACGACAGGTGATCACACCTGGAGAAGGACTGTTGGTTGCTTCCAAGTTTTGGCAATTATGAATAAAGCTTCTATAAACATTCATGTGCAGGTTTTTTGTGGATTTAAACTATCACCTCATTTAAATAAATACCGAAGAGTATGATTGCTGGCTCATATTGTATGTTTATTTTTCTTTTAGCACCTGCCAAACTATCTTTCAGAGGTTGTACTATTTTGCATTCCCACCAGTCACGAATGAGAATGGAGCTGTTGCTCTACATCCTTTCCAGCATTTGGGTTGTCAGTATTTTAAGTTTTTACCATGCTAATGGGTTTGTAGTGGTATCTCATTCTTTTAATTTGCAATGGTATATGATGTTTAATGTCTTTTCATATGCTTATTTGCTATCTGTGAGGTGTCTCTCTATACCTGTTTATACTAGCTTTATAAGAGAAAAAAATCCAGAGAAAACCAAAATATTCCTCAATAGGTAATCTTTTGCCGATTAAAAATATGGTTTGTTTTGCAAATATTGTCTCCCAATCTGTGGCCTGTCTTTTACATTCTGTTAATTTGTTTAGAATTTTTGCCATAATCTTTCTTCTACTTGGAAAATAAAATTTCTTATAATTTACCTAATGTATACAAATTGGGATTTTCCTTATTTGGACATTAAAATCATATTAAATTTCACATCATATTTTTCTGCCATGATGTTGGGAATATTCAAATCCATCTGAGACTTTTTTATGATATCTTCCATTATCTTTCTAGACAGAGAATAATGGATATTTTCCTAGGTACAAAGGCAGATATGTATGTTATCATAGGCATTTGAAAATGGCAGGTGCCATGCGTTCATGCAAGTTATTATGGCAGTTACATAAAAGAGGTCTTTCAGTTTGTTACAGCAGTCATAAGACCAAATGCAGATACAAATTAAACTGAATAAAAGAAAAAAGGTTGAGCCTGAAACTGAGTTTATCCTTAATGGTAGATTCTGACTCATGATGCAAAGAGAAGAATATTGGGAATCAATAATGTGCAATAGGGTTGTTTTCCGTTTTTTTTTTTCTTTGATTTTATCTGCCTATCTTTGTCAAAATCTCAAAGTAGAATCCAGTTTTTTTACCGAAATTCCCTAAGATAATTCTGTTTTAGAAGTGATTGTTGTGTGCTTCGAATTCTCTATGCTAGATGCTGCTTGTTTCACCTATTATGTGTTCCAGCTGTGTTTCATTTGACCTGATATGCTTTATCCCGCCCATTTCTACAGCTAAAATTTTTCTATCAAGAATCAGCTGAAGTGGCATATGCTTGTACAATTAGTTTCTCACGTTTCATCCCAGCCAGAATTAACTGCCCATTCTCCTGCTGTATGAAACTCTTTGTCTTTTATTATGTCACTTTGGATTACATTAAGTAAATGTTTGTCATTTGAATTCCACTGAAAAATATTTTTTTCATACACTCGTTCACAATTTGTATAAACTTTGAACAGTTTATTTCCTCACTTAGTAGTTTGGCTTTTGTCGTGAAAGCAATACAAAATGAAACCCATTCGGTCCAGATATCTTAGAAGAGAAGTGAGCATTTAAAAAAAGAAGAAGAATCTGGAGAAAGCTATCTTTCAGTGGTGGAAAGCATAAGCAGAGATGTGGTAACTCTAAGACTTCACTGGAAAAATCTCTCAGAGCAATTATTATGATAAAACCATCAGAGGAAATAAGGATCTGGGTGGTATGTGCTTAAGTGTCAAATATCCAAGATGTACTCGAAAGCTAAATAATAAGGAAATATTTAAAGTTTATTTTTATTCAAGAATTATTTATTAAACAACTACCATGTATAGGAAGCTGTGGTAAGTATTGGGAATTCAAAATGAGTATGATATAGTCACTGCCTATAAACTAGGCTAGTTGGCAAAGGGATCATTAACTAAAAGACACATATCCATGATATCAAGTAAATTATTGATAAGGAATGACTATTCCAATTATGGAGCAGTTCAGAATATACATAATATACGTTAATACAGGATGGCCATAATGTTGGGAAATATAGATAACATTTACTTTCACAGATTAACCCATTTGATTGCTTCTTCCAGAAAATGCTAATGGAGCAGGTTTATATTCTGAAAATTAGAGACAAAAATCATTGGAGGCAACGTATCACAGAAGCATGTGCAGGCACTGATAGAAATGTTGTATTAATGTCCCATGTTGGTCCCCATTATGCATAACACATTGCTAATGAGGAACAACACGTTGAACATATCATGTAATGTCACCATATCTCAGAGTGATAGGAATAAATCAA
This sequence comes from Homo sapiens, assembly GCF_000001405.40. Classification (NCBI taxonomy): domain Eukaryota; kingdom Metazoa; phylum Chordata; class Mammalia; order Primates; family Hominidae; genus Homo; species Homo sapiens. The sequence continues at coordinate 10,575,184 of NC_000012.12, read as the reverse complement.
TACTATAAAACTTCGTTATGTTTCCAGACTTGCTGATCATGTTACATATATAATATATATAATTTAAATATTTTGAATGTTTCCCTTTTTTTGAAAGAAAATTGTGCCATTTTCTTCCAAATATTTACACAATGTAAAACAGAAGAGCAATGACATTTATAGAAATGACAATTTTCAGTATTTATAATCTTTTCTCTGTCTAAAGAGATAATTTTTCTATTCCCCATTTTCCCATGGTTTGAATTTGTAATTTTCTATAGCAGAGTTCTCTTGTATATTTTCTTCTTTGACTCTGTCACATCGTAGGAGGTGCTGTCAGAATATTCTTGTCTCCAAAAGGAGCTTTTGGCTTGGATTTCCTCTGTCATACAAACATCAAGGAAAGACAAGATCTCAATATGGAAACCACATATAAAGTGATTACAGAGATTCTTATCTAATTCATTTACAGTTTTGACTGGATTATTTCTCATTTCACTCCCTTTTTCCTATTTTCCCTTTTTTCTTCTCTGTTTTTTCCATCCTTCCTTGTCTAGTTATCTGTGGCATTATTTTTTTCTCTCCATTTACCAGTTAAATATATTTATTTCATATGTACTTGTTTTTAGCTCTCTTCCCTAAGTGAAAAGTGTCACTGTAAACATCTATGAGAATTCTGACCAGAATAGAAACTGTCAGAATGCCACTGAAATGTCAGGATCTCCTATTGTGCTGCTGACAACATTTGCAGTTGTTCTGGACATTGGATATTTTCTTCCTGTTCAGCATTTATCACGGAAAGTGAGCGACTCTCAATTCTATTTCTGACCAAATTGTTTGTGGAGCTTTCAGGTAAAGGACAAAGGTGTCATCAGCTATTGTTTCTAAAGATTTTGTTGATACCTTTAATTCTATCTGATGGTGATTGATATTTGAAATTCAGAGAGAGTGAATTCAGAACATGAAAACATTAGGAAAGGGGAGTGAATTCCCTAGATTAGATTATTGCCAAGTTGAAGTGAGTTAAAAGCAGTTAATTGATGGCTCACACCTGTAATCCCAGGACTTTGGGAGGCCCAGGCAGCTGGATCACCCGGTCAGAAGTTCGAGACCAGCCTGGACAACACGTGGTGAACCCTATCTCTACTAAAAATACAAAAATTAGCCAGGCATGGTGGCATAAGCCTGTAATCCTAGCTACTCAGGAAGCTGAGGCAGGAGAATCGCTTGAACTTGGAAGGCAGAGGTTGCAGTGAGCCAAGATCATGCCACTGCACTCCAGCCTGAGCAACAGAGCAAGACTCTGTCTCAAAAAAAAAAAAGCAGGTAATTGAGTGAAAGAATTTCTGTTCTGATAATGGAATAATTCTGGGTCTTCCAAGACTTCTTTCTTTTGGAACTGAATAAAGTGAATTACACAGATTAAGAAAGTAGAGAAGATGTAAGTTTATGTTTCCCTTTCTTTAGAAATAGTAATATTTTTTGTTGAACATTTTGTATGACCCATTTTAGTTAGCCTTTATTCTTAGCTTATAAACTATAGTAATCTAGACAGGGATTTTTTATTATCTGGAGTTATACAGACAAACTATTATATGACTTTTTTCTTTATAAGTTGAAAACTTTCAAAACATAAACTTTGTATTTTAGTTTAGAAACAAAGCCATTCAAGTAAATCAAATTGGTCTTTTTAGATGCCTTGATACAGAATTAATTGCTCCTTTTTTTAGACTCCTTTGTTTATAATTGTTTCCCTTAACAGAACATTTATTTGTTCCTTTACTCATTTGTCCAACAGTTGTTTATTCAACTCTTTCTATGTGTAAGGTATTATACTTAGAACTGAAATTATAAAGATAAATAAATTACAGATCTTTCCCTCAGGAAGCTCAAACTTCAGAGAACAGAAATACAGACAGATAATTGAAATGCAATGTCAAGACATAAGTCATTGGACCATAATTAAGGTGTTCAAAGAACTCACAGCATGTTATCAGGAAGTCTTCTCAAAGAACTCCATTCAATTGAGTTTAGAGGAAGAGTATGCATTTTGCCAGTTGGATAAAAGGGAGAATGACGTTTTATTCAGATTTCTTACAGTCCGAATGCATAACTTAAACCATGGATTATTAGCTCTGCTGGAAGGCAGGCTATTGGGCCCTTTGGGAGGAGTTATGGATGGGGATAACCAGCACAGTGTTTAGCTGGAGTAGGCAAAAAAAAAAAAAAAAAAAAAAAAAAGTTTCAATAATAGATGTAAGAATGAATACTGTATAACAATTTGAAAATATCCAAATATTTCTGCTCAGGGCCAAACTATTCTTCTTTTCTTCTTTGGTGTAGATTCCAGAAACTCACCCCTCTTTCCTTTTTCATTTAAAGTCGTTACTGCCTATGGTACTCTTTGGAATCACCATTAACCCTGACACACACCTCAGGTGAACTTTTTCTAACTCTACTGTTTTTATTTCCTCAAAGGCATTTGCTCAAGTTCCTTTTCTTAAAAGTATTTTTATATTTTTATTTTTATTTTTTTTTTACTGATAATTGCTGCAGGTAAACGAGCAGAGGATCAAAATACCACAAAAAATATAGTATATTGTTTTTCTTTATCCACTATGTACTATGGAATATAGCATATATATTATCCCCTTTCTGGGAATTGAAAGAGCCTTCTTGGATCCCTGACTTTCGTATTTATTTTGGAGTATGAATAATAGGCCCTCAAAAATTTGTTGATGTCTGGTTAAAGGTTAAATCTTGTGTAACCATTAGCCTCAAGTAGCAGAGACTGTTGGCCAATCCATGAATCATTCCAAATCTCCTGCCATTCTCAGAAGTTACTCGCTTTCCCAGCACCCTTGCAGCTACAGAGTGTCCATATGGCCCACCTCTGGCCATCAAACTAAAGACAAAGCTGGCTAGAGGACTTCTGGAGTGGCTTGCTTTGCCTCTATTCTCTTCTTGCCTGTGGGGAAAAGAAAGAGAGATCAGACTGTTACTGTGTCTATGTAGAAAGAAGTAGACATAAGAGACTCCATTTTGTTCTGTACTAAGAAAAATTCTTCTGCCTTGAGATGCTGTTAATCTGTAACCCTACCCCCAACTCTGTGCTCGCAGAAATATGTGCTGTGTCGACTCAAGGTTTAATGGATTTAGGGCTATGCAGGATGTGCTTTGTTAAACAGATGCTTGAAGGCAGCATGCTTGTTAAAAGTCATCACCACTCCCTAATCTCAAGTACCCAGGGACACAAAACACTGTGGAAGGCCGCAGGGACCTCTGCCTAGGAAAGCCAGGTATTGTCCAAAGTTTCTCCCCATGTGATAGTCTGAAATATGGCCTCGTGGGAAGGGAAAGACCTGACCATCCCCCAGCCCGACACCCATAAATGGTCTGTGCTGAGGAGGATTAGAAAAAGAGGAAGGCCTCTTTGCAGTTGAGATAGGAGGAAGGCATCTGTCTCCTGCTTGTCCCTGGGCAATGGAATGTCTCGGTGTAAAACCTGATTGTATATTCCATCTACTGAGATAGGAGAAAACTACCTTAAGGCTGGAGTTGAGACATGCTGGCAGCAATACTGCTCTTTAATGCACTGAGATGTTTATGTATGTGCACATCAAAGCACAGCACCTTTTTCTTAACCTTGTTTATGATACAGAGACATTTGTTCACAGGTTTTCCTGCTTACCCTCTCCCCACTATTACCCGATTGTCCTGCCACATCCCTCTCTCCGAGATGGTAGAGATAATGACCAATAAATACTGAGGGAACTCAGAGACCGGTGCCGGCGCTGGTCCTCCCTATGCTGAGCGCCAGTCCCCTGGGCCCACTTTTCTTTATCTATACTTTGTCTCTGTGTCTCTTCTTTTCTCAAGTCTCTTGTCCCACCCGACGAGAAATGCCCACAGGTGTGGAGGGGCAGGCCACCCCTTCATTGCCATGAATACTGATCTGGGGCTATGGCAGCTATGTGTGGCCACAAGGTTGTCCACATGTCCAAACGCAGAAGATTAGAAGGATTTAGACAGCGAATGGCATTGATGATGCTGTTGAGCTGCCGACAGCCCTCAGTCTCTTGACCTCTAGACTTTTTATTACACATGTCCAAATTTATAAGATCTACCTACCCGTGACTTATAGATTTCAATGGGCTCCTTATCACACACAAAAAAGAGCTCTCACACTGAATTAGAAGTCCATGCAGATGCAGATTATCTGACAAGTAGAAATGGACTTGTAGGATAACCAGAATGAATAAATCAGAATAATTCTGTATTTATTATTGCTGTAGCTATAAATTATGTTCTTACAATTTGGCATTACAGTATACAAATGGTTCCATACTACAAAACAAGGTGGTTTAAGATGAAACACAAACAAAACAAGACCAAACAAAACAAGAAACCCTTATGATTTGTGGTTTAAAAATTAACAGGGTCTTAAATCTCTCAGGAAGCCAAAACTGCAGCTTCTCAGCTTGCCCTTTTGCTGACAGCTCTGCTTTTATGTATTCTGACCTGTTATTTTAATTTTCTTCTGATCATAGTAGGAGGAGAGCCTCTTTGAAATGATAACATCTTACAGTTTTGTCTCTTTCCAATCAACTCTTTTTCCACCCATCACTGATGCAACAGCATCCTCAACCCTATGGAAGACCACAGATGGAACTCCAGTATACACTTCACTCAGGAAGGCCTGTAAAGAAATTCTTGTAAATGAAGAAAACCTACTCAATTATAATTTTTATTAGCAACTACTTCCAATATGTATGAGATGTATGAATTATAATGATTGTTTTCTTTGTTGACAAAGAGTCAAACTCTGTAAAATATTTGAAGATATTTATTTTGAGCAAAATTTGAGTGACTGATGGTCCACGACACAGCCCTCAGGAGAACCTGAGAACATGTGCCCAAGGTCGTTGGGCTACAACTTGGTTTTATACATTTCAGGGAGACATAAGACATCAATCAATACATGAAAGATGTACATTAGTTTGGTCCAGAAAGGTGGGACAACTGGAAGCAGGGGCTTGCAGGTCATAGGCTGATTCAGAGATTTTCTCATTGGCAATTGGTTGAAAGAGTTATTTTCTAAAGACCTGGAGTGAATAAAAAGAAATGCTTGGGTTATGATAAGAGGTTGTAGAGACCAACGTTTCATTATGCAGATGAAGTCTCCAGGTAGCAGGCCTCAGAGAGAATAGGCTGTAAATGTTTCTTAGGGGACTGAAAGGGTCTGTTCCATCAGTAATTCCAAAAGGTAGGAGGGTATAATTAGGCATGTCTGTCTCCTCCTTCCCATCATGGCCTCAACTAGTTTTTCAGGTTGACTTTGAAATGCTCTTGGCTGAGAGGCGGAGTCTATTCAGATGGTTGGGGGACTTAGAATTTTATTTTTGGTTTACATCTTGAATGATTATGGAGAAAGTTCTTCTTTCCCCATATTTTATCTCGTTATGTTTCTCTACTCTCCAGAAATGACTGAGGAGAATATTTACACAGAGGTGAAATCTCATGACAAAAGAAAAAATACGATCCAGAACTACTGGCAGTCAATATACTTATGGTAAACACCTATTCTCACATAATCTTAAATTTTGAGTAGGATCTTATATCCAACAATTCAATGAGTTTGTGAATTTCTTTTTACAACTTCCCTGCCAAGTGCTTGACTTTCTGGTTGAATACCTCCAAGGAAATGTAACTCATTTCTTCCCAAGGTAGCAGTCATGGACTTTACCTACTCCTAGACTATTTTTCTTTATTGTAAATCAAAATATTTCTTTCTGCATTTGATATACACAAGTTTACAAGCCTTTTATTTATAAACTTGTATATAAATAATAAAAGACTTATTTATAAGCCTTTTAATAGCAAAGAAGACGTAATCTCTTTGAAATAACATCCCTAATGACTTCTGAGGCTGAGCCCAAGAGCTCAGAGCAATACTTCGTCATCTCTTCCTGGATCTGTGAATTAATTACAGTGCAGAAAATGCAGGAGAGATTGTTTTGTTTTATTTCTAATAGAGTCAATGTATGTTTGCAATGTAAGACTCTCTTGTTATTTAAGGAAATAACATGAATGTCAGGCAATTGTGTATAATGCATTACACGGTAATGTTTAGGCCCTTCTCACCATTCTTCTAATTCTCTTTTAGTTCTTTTTTGACTATCCTTCTCAGTAATCCAAGTGAATATTTAATGCTGAGCCTTGCTTCCTCCATCAACAGATAGCCATGCCAGCGGAAGAACTGAAGGAAACTATCTTGTCTTTTATGGCTTGGAAAGGCTTTCAGGACATGCCTGGCATATAAAAGTCTGATTTATAATTATCCTTGCTCTTGTAGTTATAGCAGTTGTAAAAAAAAAATCAAAGAAAATAAAAACACATGCTATAATTTGTTGTGAGTGACCTTAGGAAGGTGGGTTTAGGACAAATGTGAGTCCTATCAATCCACTCTAGTGATTTATTAAATGTTAAAATTCTGAACATTAACCTTTTATTCTCAATGTAGAAAGTCATTATTTGTATGTGTAAATGTGTGTGTGTTTGCATGCACACAGACACACCCATTAAGCAACTTGAGGCAGAGACTGCAGCACGTGCATAGCATGTTTTGATGCCGGGCGCGGTGGCTCACGCCTGTAATCCCAACACTTTGGGAGGCCGAGGCGGGCGGATCACGAGGTCAGGAGCTCGAGACCACGGTGAAACCCCGTCTCTACTAAAAAAAGGACAAAAAATTAGCCAGGCGCAGTGGCGGGCGCCTGTAGTCCCAGCTACTGTACTCAGAAGGCTGAGGCAGGAGAATGGCGTGAACCTGGGAGGCGGAGCTTGCAGTGAGCCTTGATCGTGCCACTGCAGTCCAGCCTGGGCGACAGAGCGAGACTCCGTTTAAAAAAAAAAAAAAAGATTTTCTTACATTCATCTTTTTTGCTGGCTTTTATTGGGCACTGTTCCACATTATGCTGTTGCCATCCTCAATAATTTTATGCTTCTGTAATTTTGTTTTGATCTAGATAATTAATATTTGTTTTGTTTCAAACACTGTTGCAATAATACTTTTGATTTATATGTTAATTTCTTTCATCTGATTTATCATGCCAATATGTTCTTGCTGCAATATAATCATGAATCGTTTACTTGCAGGACACCCGTGTTCCAAGTGCTGTGCGAGCTGCCAGTGATACTAAGAAGACACTGTGTTTTGTTGTGGTTTACTGCAATGCTTTCTTGCACTAGATTTAAAAATCCTCAAGAATGACACTTATTTCCAAATACCTATGTTGGTGCATTTGAAATCTAAAAGAAAGCCAATGTAGGAGGAGACTGGGAGTAGGGAGAGTCACAGAAGATGAAGAAGTAGAGGCCAGAGAATGAGTTAATTTTTGATGCTTATCTTACATTCGAAGGGAAGTCATTTTCAATGGAGGAGAGAAAGGGTAAAGATTGCATTTTAGGAGAATAGGCTGCCTGCAGTGTGGAGGATTTATTAGCTGAAGATGAGTGGATACAATCTAAAATTTCCTTGTTGTGAAAAGTCTTTGCAGTTTATGAGTCTCATAGTATAGGAAAAGTAAGGAGTGTTTAAATAAATTTAAATCAAACACAAATAAATCTGTGACTGTAAAATCGTTCCATCACCTGTGACTCTCACTTCAAATTTTTACAAAAAGGACAAATAGCAGTGACAGTACTTTTGCCCACTCCTACCTTATAAACCCTAGTGCCACTACTGTTGGACACTACTGTTTCAGCAAATAAGGAAACATATAAGACAAAGAACACAGGAGTCAGGAGGAAGCAGCTTATTTTGATCAAGTTGTGACAAGTTGAGCATTAATAATAATAAATTAATTGAAATACACTAATATTTTATAAGGCAATGAGTTTCTAATGATACTTAAAAGACAAAAGTTCTCTAGATTACAACTATTGGTAGTTATTAATATTGTTTTGTTTCAAACACTGTTGCAATTACACTTTTAATTTATATGCTAATTTCTTTCATCTGATTTATCACGCCAATATGTTTGTGTCGCAATATAATCATGAATTGTTTACTTGTAGGTCACCCGTCCAAGGGCTGTGCTAGCTGCCAGTGATACTAAGATGCTGTGTTTTACTATTGGTAGCTGTAATCTAAGAGGAGGAATATAATAGATTAGATTTAAAAAATGTATTTCAATAAACTGATAAAAATTTTAGTAAGTTGTATTTTAATATATCTAAATCATTCTATTTCCTCTTTTTAAATATATGTGTGTTTATACAGCAGTATTTTTTAAAACTGTATAAGTAAAGGATAAAAATATTGGGAATTGTGAGTCAAACAGTTTAGAAAAAGCAGAACTAGACACAGGATGCTCATGTACAGTAAGAAAGGAGAGAGAAAGGGGAGTTGAATATTGTGTTATAAAATGATGACTTAGCCAAATGTCTTAAAAAGGGAGCTTACTTTATTGAGAGTTTTTAGCATGAAGAGGTGTTGAATTTTATCAAAGGCCTTTTCTGCATCTAGGTATTGATGGAACGTATCTCAAAATAATAAGAGCTATTTATGACAAACCCACAGCCAATATCATACTGAATGGGCAAAAGCTGGAAGCATTCCCTTTGAAAACTGGCACAAGACAAGGATGCCCTCTCTCACCACTCCTATTCAACATAATATTGGAAGTTCTGGCCAGAGCAATCAGGCAAGAGAAAGAAAGAAAGGGTATTCAAATAGGAAGACAGGAAGTCAAATTGTCTCTCTTTGCAGATGACATGATTGTATATTTAGAAAACCCCATCATCTCAGCCCAAAATCTCCTTAAGCTGATAAGCAACTTCAGCAAAGTCTCAGGATACAAAATCAATGTGCAAAAATCACAAGCATTCCTATACACCAATAATAGGCAAACAGCCAAATCCTGAGTGAACTCCCATTCACAGTTGCTACAAAGAAAATTAAATACCTAGGAATACAACTTACAAGGGATTTGAAGGACCTCTTCAAGGAGAACTACAAACCACTGCTCAAGGAAATAAGAGAGGACACAAACAAATGGAAAAACATTCCATGCTCATGGATAGGAAGAATCAATATCGTGAAAATGGCCATACTGCCCAAAGTAATTTATAGATTCAATGCTATCCCCATCAGTCTACCACTGATTTTCTTTACAGAATTAGAAAAAAAAAAAAAAAACACTTTGAATTTCATATGGAACCGAAAAAGAGCCTATATAGCCAATACAATCCTAAGCAAAAAGAAAAAAGCTACAGGCATCACGCTACCTCACTTCAAACTATACTACAAGGCTGCAGTAACCAAAACAGCACAGTACTGGTACCAAAACAGATATATAGACCAATGAAACAGAACAGAGGCCTCATAAGCAGTGCTACACATCTGCAACCATCTGATCTTTGACAAACCTGACAAAAACAAGCAATGGAGAAAGGATTCCCTATTTAACAAATGCTGTTGGGAAAACTGTCCAGCCAAATGCAGAAGACTGAAACTGGACACCTTCCTTATACCTTATAGAAAAGTTAACTCAAGATCGATTAAAGACTTAAGCATAAGACCTAAAACCATAAAAACCCTAGAAGAAAACTTAGGCAATACCATTCAGGACATAGGCATGGGCAAGGACTTCATGACTAAAACACCAAAAACTGGCAATAAAAGCCAAAATTGACAAATGGGATCTAACCAAACAAAAGAGCTTCTGCACAGAAAAAAAAAACAAAAAACTATTATCAGAGTGAACAGGCAACCTACAAAATGGGAGAAAATTTTTGCAATCTATCCATCTGACAAAGGGCTATATCCAGAATCTACGAGGAACTTAAATTTACAAGAAAAAAAAAACAACCCCATCAAAAAGTGGGTGAAGGATATGAACAGATACTCCCCCAAAGAACACATTTATGCTGCCAACAGACATAGGAGAAAAAGCTCATCATCACTGGTCATTAGAAAAATGCAAATCAAAACCACAATGAGATACCATCTCATGCCACTTAGAATGGCAATCATTAAACAGTCAGGAAATAACAGATGCTGGAGAGACTGTGGAGAAATAGAAACGCTTTTACACTGTTGGTGGGAGTGTAAATTAGTTCAACCATTGTGGAAGACAGTGTGGCGATTCCTCAAGGATCTAGAACCAGAAATACCATTGGACTTAGCAATCCCATTACTGGGTATATACCCAAAGGATTATAAATCATTCTACTATAAAGACACATGTACATGTATGTTTATGGCAGCACTGTTCACAATAGCAAAAACTTGGAACCAACCCAAATGTCCATCAATAATAGACTGGATAAAGAAAATGTGGCACATATACACCATAAAATACTAAGCAGCCATAAAAAAGGATGAGTTCCCGTCCTTTGCAGGGACATGGATGAAGCTGGAAACCATCATTCTCAGCAAAGCAACACAGGAACAGAAAGTCAACCACCACATGTTCTCACTCATAAGTGGGAGTTGAACAATGAGAATACATGGACACAGGGAGGCAAACATCACACACCAGGGCCTGTCAGAGGGTGGGGGGCTAGGGGAGGGATAGCATTAGGAGAAATACCTAATGTAGATGACGGGTCGATGGGTGCAGCAAACCACCATGGCACGTGTATACCTATGTAACAAACCTGCACGTTCTGCACATGTATCCCAGAACTTAAAGTATAATTCAAAAATAATAATAATAATGAAAAGGAAGCTTACTACAAAACTTTCATTTCTCTTTTCCTAGGATATAGAATTTCTAAGTGGCCCTTAAATAATACAATAAAGCATACATAATTTGTAATAATCCTAACATAAAATATCAGTATATAATAGAGATAGGATAATACATAATGAAATGTTGGTTGAGACTTGAAACGTATCATTTATGATGGAGATATTAGGTTATAAAAATCCAAAAACATGTGAAAGATGAGAATTTGAAATGTCTTATTTTTATAACAAAAGAAGTTTAACTCTAAAATAGGAGATGACTTCATGGCCTGCAGCTGGAGTTAATTATCGTGGCAAAAACAAACGGGTCCCAAACTGACTAAAAATCAGTTGCTTGACCAGCCATTTACTGAAATATTTTGCTTATTGGTCTAGGGAGATCACTACAAGCCCAGAAAGATGTAAAAGGATGCATTAATACAACTAATGGAAGTTATCAAGTGGAATTATAGCCTTAGAGAAGAATAAAAATTATAGGAATAACAAAAGAAATGAAGTTTAAAAACTATTGTTATATTTTAGGATAGGTTTAAGAGTAAGCAATAGGTTTTGTAATAATTTTCTTTGGGTATATTTGCTACTTAAGGTGTTTGAGGTGCTCAAAAGACTTAGCTTAACTAAATCTGTAATTGTAGTTTAAATTTGTATAGGACTTAAGTAATTTTGTATAGGACTTGAGTAATTATGTTGAAATCACTATTCAAATGTTTGAATAGCTTTCTTTCTTTTTTTTATTTTTTTAAGACAGGGTTTCTTGCTCTGTCACCCAGGCTGGAGTGCAATGGGCGATCTTGGTTCACTGCAGCCTCCACCTCCCGACTTCAAGTGATTCTCCTGCCTCAGTCTCCTGAGTAGCTGGGATTACAGGCATGGGCCACCATGCCTGGCTAATTTCTGTATTTTTAGTAGAGATGGGGTTTCACCATGTTGGCTAGGCTGATCTTTGAACTCCTGTCCTCAAGTGATCCGTCCACCTCAGCCTCCCAAAATGCTGGGATTACAGGCATGAGCCACCAGGCCAGGCTCAAATTCTTTTTATTAGTTAATTAGTTAACTATTTGTGTGTAACAAATTACTAAATTATCCCACAACTTATGCTTTTTTTGGGTCAGGAATCCAGCCATGGGTGACTCTGACTTAGAGTTTCTCACAAGGATGCCTTTGGGGTGTGGGTGAGGGCTACAGTCATCTGAAGGCTCAGTTGGGGCAGACTCATATGCAGCCTCATGCACATGCTGTTGGCTGGTGTGAGGTCCTCACTCACTGTTAACAGGAGAAATGTCAATGCCTTGCCTCATAGACCTCTCCATAGAGCTACTCACTTCATGGCAGTTTGTTATTCTGTTTTCTGCTGGGGACGTGTATGTGGGAGAGGGGAGTGGGAGAGAAAGAGGGAGAGAAAGAGAAACAGAGATGCCAACTTGAGCACACACTCTGGGAAGAAGATTATACAATGGCATGAATACCAAGAAGTGGAATGATGACTGGAGTTATTTTAGAGAAAGTCAACCACAATTACATATCATACATTTGATAAAAATGATTCAAATGACAAATATTAGTAAATATTAGTCACCACTTGTGAAAGCCTTTGGTAAAATTTATAGTGGTAAATTTGCATTATGTATCCCCATTAAACTACACATTCCTGGAAATCATGCATGGAGACTTCATCTTTTTCATCAGCAGGGAATAGTACTACCATGTGGTAGGTACTCCAAAAACTCAGGTTGAAGAGATGAATGAATGAGCATTGTTTGAGTTTGTAATCTTCATTTTACATGGCTCCTGATAATTTTTAGAAATCCAAACAGCAAGAATGCTTTCTGACAACGTATAAGACTTGTGCTATTTGCCATCACCTTATAAATTTAATTTTGCTCATTACAGTTTTCAAAAGGTTTTTCACTTCTGATTCTGTAATTTTGTACTAGGCCACCAGATGGCATCACCACATAAACCAAGCTCTAAAATCAAGGCTTATTTGAAAATTAGTCTTGCTGGTCAGAATGAAGTAATAACTATATTCTCATAAACTGCTGTAGCAAATGTTAGTAGATAACTACTGCACACAAATTTAGCAAAATATATTGATAACCTTAAAAAATGGTAGTACTTTTTGAGCCAATGAGTCTACTAGAAATCTATCTTCAGAAAATAATGTGGACAAAATGGTACACACTCAAGATTTTACCTTAGCATTATTGGAATTGTCAAATACCAGGTAAAATCTTGGGTCCAACAATAATGAAAGGGTTAGTATATATGATACAATCATACAATTAAAAAACATACACACTTTCAAATGACTTATGAAGTATTCAATGACATGAGAAATGCTTCTGGCATAATGCTAATTTATGAATTGGGTTGTAAACTAATGTGTGATTCCCAGTATGTTGCATAGAAATTATAGAAAGGAAACATATTAATGTAATTTTATAAGGAAGTGTTTTTCTCTCTTCATATTTCTCCTTGTTACTCCAATTTTTAACAATGACTCCTTGGAACATCATATGTTAATAAGAAAAAATCAAGTTAACAATAACATAACATTAGTTTTTTAGGGCTGGGCATGGTGGCTCACTCCTGTAATCCCAGCCCTTTGGGAGGCTGAGGCAGGTGGATCACCTGATATCAGGAGTTTGAGACTAGCCTGGCCAACATGATGAAACCCCATCTCTACCAAAAAATACTAAAGTTAGCTGTGTGTGGTGGCTCACACCTGTAGTCCCAGCTTACTCAGGAGGCTGAGGCAGCAGAATCCCTTCAATTTGGGAGGCTGAGATTGCAGTGAGCTAAGAAGGCACCATTGCACTCCAGCCTGGGCCACAGAGCAAGACTCTGTGTCAAATAAATTAAAAGCTTTTTAGTACTTATAATTTAAAATTGTTTGTCTTCTACTATGTTAAACCATAAAAATATGCATTCATTCAGCCAGGCATGGTGGTTCATGCCTATAATCTCAGCACTTTGAGAGGCCAATGTGGGAAGATTGTTTGAGGCTAGGAGTTTGAGTCCAGCCTGGGCAACAAAGCAAGACCCTGTCTCTACAAAAAGGGAAAAATTTTAAAAATTAGCTGGGCATGGTGGCACATGCCCATAGTTCTTGCTACTCAGGGAGCCGAGATGGGAGGATTGCCTGAGCCCGAGAGACAATTCAAAGTAGAGGCTGCAGTGATCTATGATCAGGCCACTACACTGCGCCCTGGGCAACAGAGTGAAACCCTGTCCCAAACAAAAAACAAAAATCAAAGAAAAAGCATTCATTCAGCAATTATTTATTAGTGGTTTTTATAAATTGCACTGTATGTTGATGGTTCAAAAGTGAGTAACACAATTTCTGCCTTCCCTGAATGTATGATCAACTTGGATTGAAAGCTATATAAACAGATATTTTGTAAAATAACAAGTACAATGCTAAAGACTAATGATGGTACAATAAACTTTCTTCATCCCATTTAATAGTTGCAACTCTTCCAATTTGAATTATTCTACAATATTTGGTTTATGTGACATACTGAACTTTGTACATATTTTTCATTGTATAATGATTTCCAACAGCAAATATGGCACATGAGTAAAAAATATTTGCATTGGTTACGGGTATTTCTCTGTTGGAAAAGATATTCTCTACCTGTGAGAAAAGGATTATTGGTGCTGTTATTAAGGTAGATTATGGTAGGAAATACTGTTAATAAAATATCTTGGTGGTTTGATTTTTCCAACATTTGAACTGTGAGGCTGAGATGATTTTTAATAATATGGGTTTCCACAAGATTCCCCCTCTTCTCTAGAACTCAGCATTTTAACACAGCAGAATTCATATGTGAAGAGGGAGAACATGTATAGGCAACTCTTTTTGGAGAGGAGGAGTTATCTTTGGAAAGCAGCCTTTTAAAGATGGTTTTCCTCAACACCATCTGTACTAAAATACAAAAATTAGCCACGCGTGGTGGCGTATGCCTTTAGGCCCAGCTACGCGGGAGGCTGAGGCAGGAGAATCACTTGAACCAGGGAGGTGGAGATTGCAGTGAGCCGAGATGGCACCACTGACTCCAGCCTGGGCGACAGAGTGAGACTTCATCTCAAAAAAAAAGAAAAAAAAAAAAAACCAACATTTGTGTGTCATATCCCTTGAATGTAAAAAACAAAGTGATTTGTATGGAAAAGGCTTTTTAAAAAAAAATTTGACAAACATTTTCTATAATTAATTACAGAAAAGTAGGGTGAGAATGATCACATAATTTATCCTCTCCTTCCTACCTATGTAAGTATAAGCGAGGATTAAAGTAGACTACATAAAATATAGATGTACATTTGTCAATTGAATGTCCTTTCGTGAGTCATCTAATGCCCCTAATTTTTCATCTCTAAAACACGGATATCATTTTGGAGAATTAGATGATATATGTCAAACAGCAACAATAACAACAACAAAAAAATCCTAACCCCCCAAAAACTGTATTTGACACATGTCTTTTCTATATATTGGTTTGATTCAGCTAGTAAACTATGGAATGTGAGTGACAGCACAAAGAATTAGCCAATGCTTATTTTTGAAGAGAGTCAATAATAATAAAAGGAATTATTAATTTTCTCACTTTCAATAAATCCAACAAAATACTTTTCAAAAACATGGAATCTAAGGTAAAGTATGACTATTAGAAATCGTAAAAAAAAAAATGAAGGAAAACTCCCAAAAAGACAAAAAAAAAAAAAAAAAAAAAAAAAAAACTACCAATCTGGGTCCAAACATTCTATTTTCAATCATCAGACTCTTTAGTACAATATCACATTATCATGTGAATGTTTCTTACGGTAAACCTATGGGGAGAATCCATACTCAAGCAGCCAAATTTAAAGCAAGCCAAGGATTTAAAGGTACATCTTAAATCCCTGTTATTTTAAGAATTAGCTTTTTGCCTTGTTCCTAGACCTTGGATGAAAGCGGGAGAAGAGAGGAGGTCTTGTCAGGGTCCCCCTGGGCCTCCTGGTACACAGTGAGCCCCTGTGCTTGAGGCTTCCTGTGTGGTTTTAGCTCACAGAGCCCAGCTAGCTCCAGCTGCAGCTCTTCCTCTGGTGGGCTACATGTTGTTAACCTCTCAGGAAGTATCTGGGTCTATTTTATGCTGTATTTTCATAGTGTCTTTGATAATGGATTTTCAGTTCTTATGAGGTTGGAGGATTGAGTTGGCATAGTGATCTAGAACTCACTTATGTGTCATTTAGTTATATATTTTATATACTATTTATTATTTACTATAATTATTTCCATTATTATTTACTATTAGATATTATTTATATATTATTTACTGTTGGTTTGAACATGCTTTGACAAGATGATATGACATTGACTGAGTTTTAACCAATGGATGACCAGTGAAAGTTGGCCGAAAAGGTGAGGTACTAGGAAGAACCTAGATGGGCATGAAAAATGCCAGTGTAAATCCACCAGGTGGAGGAGTAATTGGAATGAATCACTGAGAATGTGTTTAGAGCTATGTGTCTAGGCTATAAATTGACCCCATATAGGCATTGCGCCTGCTCTTGGTGTTATTACCATCGGGCAACAGGCAATGCTCTGTTAGGCTTGACCTGGAGATTATCATTTTCAGGTATCAAAAATTGGGAAGAGGAAAGAAACATAATGCATAATTCGGTCTAGTTTTTATTCTATAAATATATAAGGAAATCCTGCTATTTGTGACAACATGGATAAACTTAGAGGACACTATTCTAAGTGAAATAAGCCAGACGCCAAAACACAAATATTGCGTGATCTCACTTGTATGTGGAATCTAAAAAAGTTGAAGACACAGTAACAAAGGGTAGAGTGGTAGTTACCAGGGGTTGGGGGCTGGGGGAGAAGTTAGTCAAACTTTTAGTTAGAAGATGAGTAAGTTCTGGAGACCTAACGTACAGCATGGTGACTATAGTTAATAATAAGGTACTGTATACTTGACATTTGCTAAGAGCAGGTCTTAAGGGTTTTTAACCCCACACACACAAAATGGTGGCTAGGTGAGGTCATGGTTATGTTAACTTCATTGTGGTAATTGTTTCACAATGTATATGTATATCAAAACATCATGTACATTTTAAATATATACAATTTTTGTGAATCATGTCTCAAGCTGGAAAAAACCAGTGAGATGCTATATAAATGATTAAACATATTCCCATTTTGCATTTAGGTTAAGAAAGAATTTTATATTCAGGTATATCCTTACTTTTGAACTACAGCCAACCTCTGATCATTTAACTTTTTAGTTTCCCATTTTTATTTATCCCACCCAGGGTATTAATGGTAGGGATTCTTCACAGCTGTGACTCATTTGCTTCCAGCGCCAGCACCAGGGAATTTCAAACTTTATTTGGCATAAGAATCACCTGGAGAGCTTGTTAAGCTGCTGATTATTGGGTCCCATTTCAGAGTTTCTGATTCAGTGATTCTGGCGGAGAGCCCAAGAATTTGCATTTTTAACAGTTCCCAGGTGATGTTTCAGTTGCTGGTCCTGGAACCACACCTGGGGAACTTTTGCTCTAGTTTATTTTCAGTTATTTCTCACTGAAAGTACTAATGATGTAGACCAATACTCTTTGGTCAATCTGAAAATTCCTCCCTTGGACTTGCTTTCTCTGGCAGAAAAATACTCTGTTATTTCTTCAGACAAAGCCCCAATTGGCCTTTTCTTTCCAGAGCCTTATTTTCTGATTAAATGTTTTTTTCCCCTAATAGAATCTGTTTTCTTCCCTCATTAAGGTTCACCTCTTCTTGCTGTCTGTAGTGACAGACGGTCCCTGCTTTCCTGCCTCTTACGAGAATCCCACTTGTGAATGAAGAGTTCAGTTCAGCTTTATCTTGACCAGGTGCGAGACTGCCCCTTTGTGATTCTCAATCCCACACAGGGTGTCCAAGTTTCCTATCTTCTCCTCGGGGGAGCTTAAAAGTGTCCAGAACTGTTGAAGTGGCAAGTTGTCCACAGGTGACAGATAGTAGAAAATGCATGACCTTATTTCTGTCCCATCGTGTTCAAAGGTTCTCTTGTTAGTTAGCACCCACTACCACTTCATTTTGCACTCCGCTTTTCTGCCTTCCCCTTCCCAATGCCTGGGGGAAAGAAAACATCGGGTTCAACAAGTGAACTTTTACTTCAGACTCTTCATAGTATTTTCTTTGCAAATTATCGAAAAAGAGTGCCTGGCTAGGGCATGAAAGAGAGGGAGGGAAAAACCCTGAGAATAAGAAAACCACTGGGCTGTTATCCCTCTAACTCTGTCTCTCTAGATTTGGATATTAATTCATACATACATTTGTTCATTCATACCTTCATTCTTTCCACAAATATTTATTGAGCCCTGCATGCCTTTTGCTAACACTAACCACCACTTTTTAAGAGATCGATTTCCCTCTACATATACTATTTTCTAATTAAGTTCAAATGGTATACATTATATATTAAACATATATATGCATATTAAACATATATTTAAATGTGCACTAGTACAATTTATATGTAAGGAGTGTGTTTAGCGTGTATGTGTTTTAGATTTTACTTGTAATCTCCAATCAAAGATGATGTAGAATTGATCTATGATACAAATATACAGGTGTTTTTGTTTGTTTTTATCTCAGAATCACCAAGAGTTAAAATATCTTTTTTTTTTTTTTGCTTTAAGGTGCTATATTTTATTGAACACATTTCTGGAGTTTCTCTACAATGTTCTCCAGTTATTGTGTGCTCTTCTTTATGTGTCTACCTGATAATACATATGACACATGAAATTTTACAAATGTGTTTGTCCAATATTCTCAAAGGCATGACAACATGCAGATTAAATATCTGGAAGCCAAAATGAAATATTTTTAGAAATTGTTACATAAAAGCACAAAGAAGACAAATTACACCATTTGTAATTACTTAAAAATTCTTTTAAAGAGTACTTAAAATACTTTTAAATACCCTTCCAGTCATTTTTAAATTTAAAAAAGTTTGTTTAATTAAACAAACAATTGCTTCTTAAAATACATTATAGATTCTATACGAAAAATTGCAGGTAATTATACAGGAAAAAGTTTTTTTTTAATCCAAAATGTTATATGTAACCAAGAAATAGTCATTGTGATTATACAATCTATTAATGTATTATAGTTGGATATATATACAGATGAATAAGTAGAATATTAGGACAGAAAAGCATTTAGTAAAATAGGATTATACTATACATATTGTGCTTTAATTGTAAAAAAACTATTAAATTTTACATTAGCAGGATCTAGTAGAAAATAAGGCAGAAAATTAAACTAAATGAATTAATATTTAGAATTAATGTTTCTTTAACATAAGACACTATTTCCTAAGTTTTCCCTTTTAAGATTAAGAGAAATACTATTTTTATAAAGATTTTGAAGTCACTAGACTTTTATTCTTTTAAAAATATGTTTTACTTGTAGTAAAGATTGTTTCTCTGGTATGAAAATGTGAAGACTTCGATATTTTCATGTCTCTTTCCTCAATGTCCAAATTTATTAATTTTATCATTATTTTTATTGTCTTTATGTGGATATTCATATAAAATTAGTCATTTTCAGATTAATAGTATCAATTGTATTTAAATCAATTTAAGATCATCACTATTAATTTTCTATGCCTGATTTTATTTTGATTCAATTTTTAAGTTAAAAGGTGTCATGGATTCTTCTTATTTTATAAGCATATGAAATAAAATTATATAAAGTATAGCCTACAATTCACTTAGTAGAGTGCCCTCATTGAAAATCATCCAGAAATATATTTTTACAAAGGACTTTATTCCAGCAAAGCAATATTATAATGCTAACTCAAAAATAATGTATTAACAGAAACTGAACCAGTTGAGTTAAAAAAAAAAACATCTTGTACGGACTTGTGCTTAGAAAACAAAAAGCCACAGAGATAATCGCTCTCACCTGACAACAAGAAAAATTCAGATAATGTATAAAAGTATAACTTTATCTGAGGACATCAGAGTGCTGAGGTCACAAGGCAACCACTTAAATTGAACTCCAAGCGGGACATGCACCGCTAAGGAGAGATGGGACTCATAGACGGTTTCATTTTTGGCAGAGCATAAGAGGAAAAGATGGCAGCCATAAAAGTAAAATAAAAACACTAAATTTTGAACAAAGTCTTAAGCTCAGTTGGGCTTTCATGTGTCACTGAGAGTCCTAGCTGCAAGGGGAGTCTCCAGGTCTTTTCCACAGGCCTCAAGTGGGAGCTCATTAGAAGGCCTGGGGCAGGGCAGAGCCAGAGAAAGCCCCTTAGCCATGGCGACGTCTAGGCATGAAACCTCAGCATTTCCCAGTGCCTTTTCTCACTTGAAGCAAAACCTTTAAGATACTTAGGGAGGGCCAACAAACCCTCCTGCTCCCAGGAATCAGGCAAAGTTTGAGTGCTTTTAGAGAAGCAGTATAAGCAAAAGTTCTCTGCCCTTGGGGGAGGGGTAGGATAAACCTCTCTCTTTCTCCTGGTCTTACAGAACGTAACGTGATGCAAAAAGAAAGCTAAAAGCAAAATTTCTTTGTAGCAGAGAAAAGAGAAGGAAACCACCATACCTCCCACCACAAGCCTTGCACCAAGCAACACACAACAACAGTCTACTGCTTGAAGAGGGGCAGAAAACTCCCCCATTACTGATCCTAGTCAAAAACATTCTGCTGTTGAAGGAAGGGGAGAAGAAAAAAGATGTTCAAACAGAGAGGAGCAGGAAACCCTCTGGGGTCAAGGATCCCACAGTGACACAAGGCAGAGATCTGCTATGCCAGCAGAGGAGAAATTCTTTCCTGCCCAAGACTCCCCATAGATACAAGAAGAGCTTGGTTGCTGAGGAGGACGATGAGGAATGCTGAGGAAACCACACTCCTGAGGCCAAGGTACATAGGGCCTTGCCCAAGACTGAGAATAGGCCAAGATAAACTAGAATTTCTATTTCTCCCAACACTGTCGTTATTTTCACGTAACAAGCCACAAGAGAGGAGGGGCAACAGTTTAGAGAGAGAACCTCTTCACACTGCAGGTGTGCAGGGCGTGCTGAAATCAGAACAGAACACTAAGAAAAACCTCCCGCTCCCCAGACCCTGCACGAAGTGTAAGGTAGTGGCAGTACATCACTGGGAGCATTTGAAGTCTGTGGTGTACTAAAGGTGACCACAGGAACAATGAAACATAAACTAGCTCAACACTTCAACTTTACAGATTTACAGAAGAGGTATCGCCATGCTGGCCTGACATACAGTGTTTGCCATTCAATAGAATTATAAGCGACAAACACACAAAAAGTGAGAAAAGGACCCATTGCCAAAAAAAAATACTAGCTGATAAAACTCAAGATATGTGTGTTCAAGATGTTGAAATTATTGGTGAGAAACTTAAAATAATTTTTTAATATGTCAAAGAAACAGTGGAAATTTTAAAAACATGCATTGATATATGATGAAATTTTTCAGAGATGAAAACTATATTTTTAAAAAGAGTCAAGTGGAAATGCCAAGGATAAAACTATGATATCAGAAATAAAGAATTCCTTCCATGCACTTCTTAGAAAACTGAACACAGGATAGGGAAAGAAAAATCAAGTGAACTTGAAGATAGATGAACAGAAATTATCCCAACTAAACTACCAAAAATAAGAAAAGAGTAAAAAAATAACATAACAGGTCATCCAAGAGTTTAGAGACAATACGAATTATAATTTCACATCTGAAACTTTGCAGATCAGATGATAAAGTGGCATTTTTGTTATACTGAAAGAAAATTCTGTCAATCACTACAACAGAGATAAAGAATATTACATAATGTTGATGAGATCAAAAGCAATAAGCTGACATACAACTCTAAATGTATATATACCTAATAACAGATCTGAAGATACATAGAACCAAAACTGTTACCTGTTACTGGTGGAGGGTGTCCAGATTCTTGGCATTTTGAACAAACAATTGGATGAAATGCACAAACAAAACAATGAAAAAAAAAGCACAGATTTATGGAAACAAATGTACACTCCACAGAGTGAGAGTGGGCCAAGCAAGCAGCTCAAGAGGCTGGTTATAGAATTTTCTGGAGTTTAAATACCGTCTAGAGGTTTCCAATTGGTTACTTGGTTTACACCTTATGTAAATGAAGTAGTGGCCTGTGATCAGTCTAATTGGTTGCAGAAGGTGACCAATAGGAGGCTGAAGTAAAGTTACAAGGTTACACATGAAGACTTGGCCTGTGATCAGTCTGATTGGTTTCAGGAGGGAACCAATGAAAGATACTTTCATTTTTCGTCTTCAATGCAGAAAAGGGGTGGGGGATGTTGCAAAGGGAGTAGCCCCTGATCTTTTTGTTACTTGGGTATAGAGAGGTGGGGTTTTCCTTTTGATTCAGTTCTAGGAAGTCAGCGTGAATCAATCTTAGGTTCCCTGTCTCCTGACCATGTTCTCCTGCATCAAAACTGCCAAGACTGAAAGAAGAAATAGGCAAATCCTCAGTTATAGTCAAACATGTCAACACACCTCTCTCAGTGGTTACTGGAATATTTAGAAAAAAATCAGTAAGGACATAAAAAGTCTGGAAGAGCACCATCAACCAAATTGAAATAACTGGCATATATAGAATACCCCACTCAACAATAGAAAAAAATACTCAACTGCACACAGAACTGTCACCAGGATACACCATATTTTGGGCCAAAAGAGCCCATATGTTTAAAATGAATTATACATAGCATGTTCTCTGACCACAAATAAATCTAAAAATTCAATAGCAGAAAGATATTTGGAACATTCCCAAATATGGTAAAATTTTAAAATGCACTTATAAATAACACATAGGTGAAAGAAGAATTGTAGTCGAAATTAGCAAATATTTTGAACTGAATGAAAATAAACGTGCAACATAGCAAAATTTCTGCTACTATTGGAGTACTGCTTGGAGGGAAGTTATAAAATGCTATTTAGAAAAGAGAGGTCTAAAATCAGTTATCCAAGATTCCAACTTTGGAATTTAAAAAATAAGGAAAATTAATTCCAAATCCAACAGAAGAAAGGAAATAATAAAGATAAGGGCAGAAATCCATGAAATAGAAAATAGAAAGGCAATAGAGAAAAATAAACCAAAAGCTGATTCTTTTAACATGTCAACAAAATGGATTATTCCCCAAAACTGTAAGAAGACACCAATTACCAATATCAGGAATAAAAGTAGGAAAAGTAATACAGATGCTACAGATATTTAAAGGATAAGTGAATATTAAGTATTTTTCTGCTCATTAATTCAATAACATGTAAAGTGTACAAATTTCTTGAAAGACACAATTCCACAGTCCACTTAAGAGGGAATAGTTAACCTAACTAGCTCTATATCTATTAAACTAATTCAATTTGCAGTTAAAAAACCTTTCCACAAAGAAAACCCACACTTTCGTGGTAAATTCTACCAAACATATAAGGACAATGTAACACCTATCCCACTTAAACCCTTCCAGAAATTAGATGAGGAAGGAGCATTTCCCAACTCATTTGATGAGACCAGAATTACTCTAATATAAAAATTAGGCATGTTGAGGAAAGAAAACTGCAGACGAATATCCTCCCTGAATAGAAATAATCTTTTTAAACAAAATATCAGCAAATCAAATTCAGCAATGCTCTCAGAGTGGGCTTTGTCAGGAGGCGAGCATGCGCAGACCCTGCAGTGAGCCCGAGCGCGCCGCCGCGCCAGCCAGGCCTAGAGGCAGGATTGAAGCCAGGAGGCGGTTGAGCAGGACCTGAGGGCGTTAGCCTCCTCCAACAAGTGGTGGCCTCGGGCAGCCGTCACCTCCATCTCCAGGACACCCCTGGACGTGGTGAAGGTCCGCCTGCGCTCTCAGCGCCCTGCTGGGACTGAAGCCTCACTCCAGACTCTGGACCTCTCCTAAGCCGAATCGCCCTCCTCCCTCCGAGCCACGGGGCAGGGCCTCCTGTGCCGCAGTGGTGTCCTGGAGCCCCTGCACCTGTCTCCAAATGGTATCCGCTGTGCCGCCAGGACGCGCTTCACTGGCAGCATGGGTGCCTTTGTGAAGATTGTGAGGCGCTAGGATAACTGGGTGATGAACCTGCCAGCCACCACCGTCTACTTCACTGGCTTACGACAAACTCCAGGCCGTCCTGTGTGACAGAGCCCTGACCTCTGATCTCTACGCACTATTGTGATGAGGCTCAATCTTTTTTTTTTTTTTTTTTTTTTTTTTTTGAGACGGAGTCTCGCTCTGTCGCCCAGGCCGGACTGCGGACTGCAGTGGCGCGATCTCGGCTCACTGCAAGCTCCGCCTCCCGGGTTCACGCCATTCTCCTGCCTCAGCCTCCCGAGTAGCTGGGACTACAGGCGCCCGCCACCGCGCCCGGCTAATTTTTTGTATTTTTAGTAGAGACGGGGTTTCACCTTGTTAGCCAGGATGGTCTCGATCTCCTGACCTCATGATCCACCCGCCTCGGCCTCCCAAAGTGCTGGGATTACAGGCGTGAGCCACCGCGCCCGGCCGAGGCTCAATCTTTGTTTCACTTTATTTCTCAGAAGAGAATGACAAGAAGGTATCTCCTGTGGAATATGCACTTATCACTCCTAATTCACTGAGACGCAGTAGACCCGAATGATCTAAAGAAGGTATAAATTTGGATATGTTTTAGGCTTTGTAAGATCTTTATTTTGGGGTTTCTATTCACATAACTCTTGTCAAAATAATGTATTATTCGACTCCTTGTTTGATTTGAAAAATCCTCTGATGTTTTTCTCCAGAGTTTACTTTTGGAAGATTATGAGAAGAGGAAAGTAAGAGTGAAAGCAATAGTGTTATGTGACTTGATCTCCATTTGAAATCCTCTCCTCGTCTGACTAGTTTGTTTTCCAGTCAGCCTTATTACCTATTCACACACTGATTGCCAAATAAGCTCCATGAGGTACATTTTTTTTCTATTTGCTTCACTAAAATATCATTATCACTTAGAATAGTGTCTGTCATGCCACTGATGCTCAGTGTTTTTGAATGAATCATTCATTCATTCATTCAATGAATGTTTCTTGAAGGAGACCATATGTTAAGCATTACAATAGATACTAGTGTTGCATAGCTAAAAGAGAGAAATAGTGCCCTTAAGGGTCTCATAGTCCAGTTAGAAAGACAGAAAGTATACAGATTTGGATAAATGCTATATGGAATAAAAGTGGAGTTGTGGAAGGTCAAAGAAGGGTATTCTTTCAACACTTGGTTCAGAAATGAAAGTGGATTAATTAGAAAATTGTTTTTGATTAGGATAACTCTGATGGGGATGAAGATAAAGGAATGTTCCAGGTGAAGAGATTGCACCTACATGGGGGAGTGGCCAGCAGTGGCCGGCAGGGTTGTGAATGATTACAGAATCTAAGCTTTCATAAGTAATACAGGAGACAAATCAAATATGCAAAATATAATTGTGATCATGGGTATAGGAAGGAAAGAATTTTAGTAGAGAGGCACTAAGGAGGTAGAATCATCAAGATTTGGTCAATTGGGCTAGATGTGGTGGCTCATGCCTGTCATCCAACCACTTTGGGAGGCTGAGGCGGGAGGATCACTTGAGTCCAGGAGTTCAAGACCAGCCTGGGCAACATAGTGGGACCCCCATCTCTACAAAAAATACAAAAATCAGCCAGGCATGGTGACATGCACCTGTAGTCCCAGCTACTCTGGAGGCTGAGGTGGGAGGCTCACTTGAGTCTAAGAGGTTGAGCTTCAGTGAGCTGAGTTCACGCCACTGCACTCCAGCCTGCGTGGCAGAGTGAGACCCAGTCTCTAAGGGGGGAAAAAAAAGATTTGGTCAGTTGTGGGGTGATGGGAATACAGAGCCAGATATCAATGATGATTTGTGGGCTTTTGCATTGGAAAACTTGAATCATGGTCCCGCTCAGCAAGATGCGAAATGAAGGCGGAGGGTCTGATAGCAGATGGATAGTAAAGTAAGGAGTTCAGCTTTGAACAGTGAGTTTTCAATGCATGTGGAGAATTCTTGTGAGTTTTTTTTTCGAAACATCAGATACATGATGAGTATGCAGATTAGGAAAGCGATCATGTTTGGATATATAAATTTGGGTGTCCGTTATGCTATGAAGCCATGGCAATAGATGAGATCATTCATTGAGATTGTACAAATTAGTAAGAGAGAAAGGGCCAAAGACAGATTCTGGATAAAAATTATTTGAAGATTAAACAACAACAATAACAACAATAGCAACTAAAACCAATTAGGAAATTAATGTAAAACATGAGAAATCTATGAGTGTTGTGATGGAATGTAAGGGAGGAACATTACTTTCTCTCTTCACTCAGATACACGTTTTTCTAGTTTCATGAAATGGACTGTCTCCCACCTAACCCTCTCTTGCTTTTGTGTTTTGCCTTCTATGAGAATTGGGATAATATTAAGCTATTCTGTCCTTTCAACTGTTGATATGACTCGCTTTTAACACAGTACAGAGCAGTTGTTTACTTTGTGAGCATATTTTAGACTCATTTTTGTTGATGGTTATAGGCAAGGCCAGGATTTTAAAATATTAATGGCCAGTATGGCACCGGCTCAACCAACCTGAAAATATGCCAGTCTGTAAACATTGGTTGTGTCCTGGCTATCTATAAAACATTTTAAAAAGTTTCTTCTGGAGTAAGTTTTGGTAAATTAAATACTTCTTGGAATTTAAGTTTTCAAATGAATTATACTTTATTTTAAATTATAGTCCTTCACACTCTGTATTCCTAAGTTATTTCTTACAG
This sequence comes from Homo sapiens, assembly GCF_000001405.40. Lineage (NCBI taxonomy): Eukaryota > Metazoa > Chordata > Mammalia > Primates > Hominidae > Homo > Homo sapiens. Next base: position 10,548,639 of record NC_000012.12, on the reverse strand, counting down.
AATTTACCTTCCTCTAATGAACTATATATTTTAAAACATATTAAAAATAACCCTGTGTACAGTCTGGTGACTGGCTTTTTTAAACTTAAAATGTGATTTGTTTGCACAAATTTATGTATTATTACTTTTGAATTAATGTAGAGTCTCTACACTCTATGTGTGGAGACTAGTGGTTTATATACATAATATAACCATTATAAAGTATTCCTAAATGATATAACTAAATATATCAATATTTCAAGTTATTTTAAAAGAACCGTGGGCATTGGAGCATTCTTCCACTTGAACAATTTTAAAGAACTCAAGTAACTAATTACAAATTATAACTTTTGGTCTTCTTGAAGTAGTCAATAGGAGAAATGCTCTGGTTTTTGGAAAATGAGACATGAGAATAGTAAAAAAAATAATAATAATAATTGTATTTTAGAAAAATGTAGGGTCACATATCTACCTAGGCTTGGAGCTATGGATTCTATTGTTTGCAGTAGTATAAGGCTTGGAGCTATGGATTCTATTGTTTGCAGTAGTATAAGGCTTGGAGCTATGGATTCTATTTCCTGTAGTATAAGGCTTGGAGCTATGGATTCTATTGTTTGCAGTAGTATATGATACTCCTCTCTGCTTAGGCCTCAGCAATTTTCTGGGCAAAACATAGTTCCAATCGTCTTGGAATTATCATTGTGGTTATCTGCAGTGTGAATGCATCTGTAGAATGAATGTCCTCTGAACATTATTTAACACGAAATTACAAAGTTCTTGTTATATGCAAGGTCCTAAGCACCTTATAAATATTAGCTTATTTAGTTCATGAAACTAATCTATGAGTTAGATTTTGCCATTATTTCACAAATGAGAAACACAGATATAAAGAATTTAAGTAACTTATTTGCCTAAGCTAAGTCACACAGCTTAGTGGCAAAGTCAAGGGTCAAACCTAGGCAGTTTGGTTCTGGAATCCATGCTCTAAAGTCCTTGTTGAAGTTTACCTCAAATAGAGGTGTTTCCAGGGTCTGAGGTCTGGGTCAGCAAGCCTGAGGGTTGGCAGGGATGTGGGGTACTACTTGTGCCCCCAATTATCTGGAAAATTGTATATTTTTCCTCATACATACATATCTTGCCTTTGCCCCTGTACTTTCCTCTCTGGGGTAATGACCATTCCTGTAGTTATCTCAAGATGTTAATTAGTGCTGGGAACATTTATCTTCTGTGAACCATCAAAGAACAGGTGGGAAAGCCTCACAGAAATGAAGGTTTTCATTCTTATTCTCAGCCTCAGACCCAAGCAAGTCAACAAATACAAAGAATTACTGAACATAGTAGGAATGAGGGTATATGTATATTTCTGAATTTCCACCTTGTCCTGAGAGAACTAATGTCCTGAATGTAAGAATGTTGAAATTTTGTCATTGTCTTTTAAGAAACCTATGAGAACTTCAGAAGTATAATTGAAACTGCATCCCAATGTGTCGTTTAAGAGAAAAACAAAAGCTCCTTAATAAGATTTTTCTAATCCCCAGTAAAGAAGGAATTACCTTAGCTATTTCAGTGCTAAGGTATTAAGAGCAGCACGGAAGAGAGACTGGCTTGCTACTTGCAAAAAGTTAGGGATTTTGCAGAATTTAACGGATCCAACATATGGGCATCCTACTTCTCTTAGAAAGCACCTGTTTCCCTTAGAAACAGTGCTTCACTTCAAGTTGTCATCCCTAGAAATTGGAGGTAGTGTAGCACGGTATGTTTTGGAGCCAGATGGAACTGGATTTTGTTATTTTCAAGCAATAATTAGCTATGCGATACTAGACCAGTACCTTAATTATCAGTAAGATAAAAATCTCAATTGTTGGGACTAAATCATATTGTATAAGTAAGGCCATTACCATATGGTAGGCATTCAATTTGGGGGGGGGGGGTGCTTACTATTAATTGTCCCCATAGATACAAAGTATTTTCTAAATAACACTTTTTTTTTCAAAGTACACATTTTTCTTGTTGAGGTTTGGAGCAGCAGATCTTATCAACATGACAACTGCAGCCTGGTCAGTTTCTCAGTTTTTTCCTGAGGGAGTCATCCAGTTAATTAAACATATTTACTGAATGTATACTTTGAGGCATTGTACTAAAGGAAGACCAGTCAGTAGACTTTTATGGCTGTGACTTGGGTAGCATGATGAAGTCAAGACAGAAGATCAGGAGTGCCTTCACATTGCTACTGGATTGTTTTCTTCAGAGGATTTTTCTAGGACCTGAAATGTGTTTTCAATTTCTTCCTTTCTGTATTTCATAAAGATATCCTTTTGCTATAGTCTGGTATTTCTCCCTTAGCATTTGAGTTGAATCTTGGTTAGGTCCCAATTGACTGTACTATATAGTATTTTCCAGCTGTTTGCTTATTTTCCTAGAGATATTCTCTGTTCCTACATCCTTTCTTTGAATAATGGCCTGGGAAGGGATCCTAATAGTCACCTCTCTTACTTTTAAACTCAATAGCTTTTATTATTGGTAGCTCTCTTTTCTACAGTAAAAATCATACAATTTAGTAGTTCCAAACAAGGGAAATCCCATGCATATTGTAAGCAATTTTGGAAAAGACAAAATTGTTGATGTTAAGAAGTAATGGTTATTTTGAAAATAAATGAGAATATTCCACCCTGCCCCCACTACTTTACTACACCATGAAGTAATCTTTACAGCAGCAGCACCAATAATTTCAAAATTAGAGGCAAACACTTCTAACAGCTGGTAGGTTTTCTATAAACAAAATACCCATGAGGGCTGAGTGGGTCATAATATCTATTTAATGACAGTACTAATTCATTCAGTAATTTTATTTAATCTGTATGTGTATTTTTTTTTTTTAGTCAAAAACTCTTAGCTCAGATAACAGCTCTTTGATTGAAGGATTGTTAACACTTTCTCTGTAATTCATATATGCTTTTGGACAGAGTTGCAAACAGTATCTTCTGGATGTATTGTTGCAGTAATATCAGGAAATATGTATTTCATTCTTTTGTAAATATCAGGATTATTTGCAACTAAGTGTAAGTATTCTACAGAAACATTATTCCTCATGTTTAATGTTTTCTAAATGTTTTGTTTTTTCTTTCCCAAGGCAAGGGTGAAGGGAAAATCTAATGAGATGATCACAGTCTGACATCAGAGAAATATTCTCATTTCCAAGCCTTTCTCTGGATTTGGGAAAAATATCCACAAATTCAAAGCAGAAAGTCTTTAGTAAACAGTCAAGGAGAACTGTGTTTTATTTCTATCTAACATTCCATTTTCTTTGAGAGTCAGACACATTTACTCCTTCAATTAAATAGAAGTAATGTTTAGCTGTTTCTTCATTTTGATGTTAACATACTTGAGATTGCCGTTTTATTTTTTATTGGCTAAAAATATAATTTTTTCTTTGACTACTGGAATTAGTTCCTCCTGCACATTCCTAAATCACTTTTTTCCCCTTCTACCATTTCATGACTAATCAGGGTATAGTGTCTCTCATCTTTTGTTCAATCTAGCACATAATGATTGGCTGTTGCTTAATACATTTTTAAAAAGTTATCAATGTAGATATTAATGACATTTTCTAGACTTGGAAATATAGAGAGGGTACCTAGACATTTGCAGTTTCAATGGCTAGCCCCATGATCTAAATCAAATACATGCTATATTCTATTTATCTTTAGGTCCTTGCTATCCAGCAATGGGCATTCTAAATCACACACACGTAAGTACACACTACAAGGAGATAATTTGAAAAAGATTTGGATTGGACTCAGTGTAAAGTATTTTTTTTTCCATTTTTAAAGCATCTGATCCGTGAAATTATAGGTTTTTAGAACTATAAAGAATGTTGCAGATCAGATGGTTCAAGTATTTTGTTTTACAGATGCTAAATAAATTAAGAAACTCATGCACCTGTTGATGGTAGAGATAAACTCAGAATTAGGTTTTCTATTTCTAATTTGGTCCTCTTTATACTATGCTGCTATTTGGAATGCTTTTTTCTGTGCTGTATTAAATGTTTGCTCTCTGATATGCACTGTATGCTTCAAGTTTGCAGTTAACTCACATGAGATATGCTGTTTCATGCCTCTATATTTGCATATGCTATATCTTTTGTCTGGATTACCCTTTACTCTTCATCTGGTTAAACCCTACTCATTAATTTTTAGATACAGCATTCATTTATTCATGCATTCATTGATTTAATCTTTCATAAACCATGTGTCAGGTTCTGTGTAGTGACTGGATACATAATGAACGAAAAGGTGGATGTGGTTTCTTCTCACAAAGTATGTGTATCTTCTTTACAATTCAGCTTAAATGTTATCACGTCCAAATAGCTTTCCCTGGTGTGTTAGGGTTCTCTAGAGAAACAGACCTGGAGAATACACAAATACACACGTGTGTGTGTCTATATAAATATATATACACACACATATATAAACATATATAAAACATTTACATTTATTTACATGTATGTATACGTGTGTGTAAATGTATATATTTTATACACATCAAATAATTATATATGTAAAATATATAAATTCTACCCATCTCTCTCTATATATATTTGTATATATAGACCAGTAAATTTACACACACACTTATGCATATATAGAAGACACACACGTGTACACACATGTAAATATATACAAACATGTTTATACATATATACATGTGTGTATATATGTATATACATACACACATAAAAATAAATATATATATAATTACATATTTATTTCTTTATTATGGGAATTGGCTTACTTGACTATGGAAGCTGAAAAGTCCCACAATGTGCCATCTGCAAGCTGGAGACCCAGGAAAGCGGGTGGTGTAATTCAATACCAGTCTGAAGGCCTGAGAACCAGGTGAACTGATAGTATAACTCTCAGTCAGAGTCTGAATGCCTGAGAATCTGCAGGGAGGTGTGTGGGCGTGGGGACTACTGGTATGAGTCCCAAATTCTGAAGGCCTGAGACCAGGAGCTTCGATATTCAAGGGCAAGAGAAAATAGAAATGTGTCCCAGCTCAAGAAGAGAGAATCTACCGTGAGTTTGCGTTTCATTCTATCTGGACCCTCAATGGCTTGTATGATGCCACCCACATTGGTGAGGCCAGATCTTCCGTACTCCGCCTAATATATTCAAGTTCTAATCCAAATGCTTATCTCCTCTGGAAACACCCTCACAAACACATCCAGAAATAATGTTTTACCACCTACCTGGGCATCTCTTACTCCACTAAAATTGCCATGTACAATTAACCATCAAACCCAGCAAATTCTTTCCTCGTTTGTCTGAATTAGAAACCACTCTTTTTTGCTCCATGATGTGGCATTTCTTCAGAGTGAAGCCCTTGAGGACAGGAATAGACTTTTTTTGTGTGTGTCTATCCCAGGTCCTGGAGTTACGGTGGTGCTCTAGAAATGTTTGTTGAATGAATAAAGAAATAGAGAAATAGCTAAATATGTAACTCTCTTCTTGACTATAGTAGTTTACATATTGAAATTATTTTTTATATTTTCCTATTGGACTCAGTTTTTTCTCCTTTCTTAACAGGGCGCTACAGGGCTCAAATATAAAAAACAGCAACTGTGTATATACCACAATAACCAAAGTGGCTGCCACTCTCTGCACCAAGAAATTTTTCTTTATTTGTGAGAGGAATTATACTAATTCCGATCTCATTATTTCATTAAATGAAATAATGAACAGCTTGGTGTGCCTAGTGCCGGTAAATATTTCTTGGCTTTGCTCCATTTGTGAGACTAATTGCATGTGTAAGAGAGCTTATAATTTGATGTAGACATTTTTAGTGTCTTAGGGTTTCAACTGCATGAGAAGGAGATTGATGAAAAACTTTGATTTTAATTTATTTTTAATTTTTAGAAAGCATCTCACTCTGTCACCCAGGCTGGAGTAGAGTGATGTGATTTGGGCTCACTGCAGCCTCGACCTCCAGGTGCAAGAGATCTTCCCACCTCAGCCTCTTGAGTAGCTGGGGCTACGGGCATGTGCCACCACACCTGTATAATCTTTGTATTTTTTGTGGAGACAGGATTTCACCATGTTGCCCAGGCTGGTCATGAACTCCTGAGCACAAACAATCCACCTGCTTCAGCCTCCCAAAGTGCTGGGATTACAGGCATGAGCCATGGTGCCTGGCCGCTTCTTTGATTTTTTACTCAAGTTTCAAACAAATTTGATTTTGATGGAAAAATAAATGTTATAATTCAGGAATTATTAATGGTGTTCCTTCTTCCTCTACTGTAGCTGGATTTCTTTGCAACACATCACATCTCCTATATACCTTGTGAAGAAAAGGCCAATACATTTAAGTTTTTAAAAGTGATATTCAGGTGATGTGCATTCTGAAACCAAGATGGCCCATGACATAACTACTTCCACATGCTTTTCTTTGAGAAGTGAATTAAGTGCCTGCAGATGGAATGAGCCTAATTTCTGTTATTCCTATTTGATCACTTGCAGAGTTTAAACATTTTCACAAATAAGACAAATGTTAATAGTTGAAAAATAAAATAATATAGATGCATATTGAATAAAAAGTGACTCTACAACCCCATCTAATTTCCCTCCTCTCTCCAATGTAAACTGTTGATAGTTTTGTTTGTATCTTTCCATATTATTTTCCCCAGCATTTGCTACAAATAATGCTACATTAACCTTTTTTATGTTTTTATCTTGGTGAATGTGTTTGAATGTTTCTATAAGGTAGAAATCTGGAAGAGAAATTCCTATGCCAAAAAATGCACTTCTAAAACACTGGATGATATAAATAAATATTTACCTTCTATAAATGCTGCCAATTATTAGTCACACCTGTTTCCTCAAACCCTACCTAATATTTGATACTATCGATTTTAATGGGTACAGATGTCCTTTTATTATTGTTTTAATTAATACTTTCAGTATTACTGGTAGACAGAGTATCTTTTCTGTTATTTATTGGTCATACGCTCTTCTGTGATTGGCTGTTTTCTATATTCATGATTTTTCTACTTGTTTGCTTTTCTCCTTTTTGTGATTATAGGAAATAATTTGTCTTATATTATTTTTTAAAAATTCAGCTTTTATTTTAATAAATGTGGTACATACATAGGGTTATTACATGAGTATATTGAACCCAGGTAGACTGCATAATAGCTAATAGGATGTTTTTTAACCCCCACCCCCCTTCCTGACTCCCCCTCTAGTAGTCCACAGTGTTTATTATTCTTATGTTTACGTCTATATGTGCTCAATGTTTAGCTCCCACCTGTAAGTGAGAACATGCGGTATTTGGTTTTCTCTTTCTGTGTTAACTTGCTTAGGATTATGGCCTCCAGCTCCAACCATGTTACTGCAAAGGACATGATTTCAATTTTTTTTTATGGCTGCATAGTATTACATGGTGTATATTTACCACACTTTTTTTTTTCATTTCACCGTTGATGGGCACCCACGTTCATTTCATGTGTTTGCTGTTGTGAATAATATGGCAATGAATGTATGAGTGTGTGTCTTTTTGTTACAATGATTCATATTCCTTTGGGTGTATACCCAGTAATAGGATAGATGAGTCAAATGGTAGTTCTGTTTTAAGTTCTTTGAGAAATCTCCAAACTGCTTTCCACAGAGGCTGAACTAATTTACATTCCCACCAACAATGTGTAAGCACTTCCTTTTCTTCATAGCCTAGGCAGCATCTGTTGTTTTTTGACTTTTTAATAACAGCCTTTCTGAATTATGTGACATGGTATCTGTGGTTTTGATTTGCATCTCTCTGAAGATGAGTGATGTGAGTGTGTTTTCATATGTTCATTGGTTACATATATATCTTCTTTTGAGAAGTGTCTGTTCATGTCTTTGGCCCACTATTTAATGGGGTTATATGGTTTTTGCTTATTGTTTTGTTTAAGTTCCTTATAGATTCTGGATATTAGATCCATGTTGGATGCATAGTTTGTAAATATTTTCTCCCACTCTGTAGATCATCTGTTTACCCTATTGATGGTTTATTTTGCTGTGATCATTAGTTTAGTTAGGTCCCACTTGTCAATTTTTGCTTTTTTGGAACTGCTTTTGGGGACTTCACCATAAATTCTTTGCCAAGGCCAATATTGAGAAGGTATTTCCTAGGGTTTCTTCTAGGATTTTTATAGCTTGAGGTCTTACATTTAAATCTTTAATCCATCTTGACTTAATTTTTCTATATGGTGAAAGATAAAGTCTAGTTTCATTCTTCTTCATATAGCTAGCCAGTTATCCCAGCACCATTTATTGAATAAGGAGTCCTTTCCCATTGTTTGGTTCTGTCAGCCTCATCAAAGATCAGATGGTAGTAGATGTGTGGCTTTATTTCTGAATTTTCAATTCTGTCATTGGTCTATATGTTTGTTTTTGTACTAGTACCATGCTGCTTTAATTATTGTAGCCTTATAGTATAGTTTGTAGTTGGATAGTGTCTGTGGATTTGTTCTTTTTGCTTAGAATTGCTTTGGCTATTCAGGCTTTTTTTTTGCTCTACATAAATTATAGAATTGTTTTTTCTAATTCGGTGGACAATGATGTTGGTAGTTTGACAGGCATAATGTTGGAACTTTAAATTACTTTGGGCTATAAATTATTCAGGCTATTTTTTGGCTTCACATAAATTATAGAATTGCGTTTTCTAATTCTGTGGAAAATAATGTTTGTAGTTTCATAGGCATAATGTTGAATCTATAAATTACTTTAGGCAGTATGACCATTTTAATGATATTGATTCTTCCAATCCATGAGCATGGGATGCTTTTCTATTTGTGTCATGACTGATTTTTTTTTAGCAGTTCTTTGTAGTTCTCCTTGTAAAGATCTTTCATGTCCTTAATTAGCTGTATTCCTAGGTATTTTATTTTCTCTGTGGCTATTATAAATGGGATTGTATTCTTGATTTGACTCTTAGCTTACATGTTATTGGTGTATAGAAGTCTGCTGATTTCTGTACATTAATTTTGTGTCCTGAAGCCTTGCTAAAAATCATTTATCAGTTATAGTAGCTTTCAGCAGAGTCTTTACGGTTTTCAAAATGTAGAATCATATTATCAATGAAAGGAGATAGTTTGACTTATTTCCTATTTGGATGCCTTTTATTTGTTTCTCTTGTCTGATTGCTAGACTAGGACTCTCAGTACTATGTTTAATAGGAGTGGTAAGAGTGGGCATCCTTGTCTTGTACCATTTCTCAAAGTAAAAGCTTCTAGGTTTTGTCCATTCAGTATTAAGTTGGCTATGGGTTTGTCATAGATGGCTTATATTGTTTTGATATGTATTCCTGTGTGCCTAGTCTGCTGAAAGTTTTTATCATGAAGGGATGCTGGATGTTGTTGAAGTTTTCTGTGTCTATTAAGATGATCATGTGATTTTTGCTTTTAATTCTTTTTATGTGGTGAATCACATTTATTGATTTGCCTATGGTGAGCCAACTTTGCATCCCAGGAATAAAGCCCACTTGATCGTGCCGAATTAACTTTTTGATATGCTGCTGGATTTGGTTTGCTCGTATTTTGTTGAGGATCTTGCATTTATGTCCTTCGGGGATATTGGCCTGAAGCTTTCTTTTTTCATTGTGTCTCTGCCAGATCTTGGTATTAGGGTGATTCTGGCTTTATAAAATGAGTTAGGGAGAAGTCCCTTGATATGGTTTGGCTGTGTTCCCACCCAAATCTCATCTTGAATTGTAGCTCCCACAATTCCCATGTGTCACTGGATGGACCTCGTGGGAGGTAATTGAATCATAGGGGCAAATCTTTCCTGTGCTGTTCTTGTGATAGTGAATAAGTCTCATGAGATCTGATAGTTTTATAAGGGAGAGTTTCCCTGCACAAATTATCTCTTGTCTGCTGCCACGTAAAACATGCCTTTTGCCTTTCGCCATGATTTTGAGGCCTCCCCAGCCACATGGAACTGTGAGTTCATTAAACCTCTTTTTCTTTATAAATTACCCAATCTCTGCATGTCTTTATCAGCAGCCTGAAAATGGACTAATATAGTAAATTGGTACCAGTAGAGTGAGGTGCTGCTGTAAAGATACCCAAAAATGTGGAAGCAACTTTGGAACTGTGTAACAGGCAGAGGTTTTTAAGTTTGGAGGACTCAGAAGAAAACAGGAAAATGTAGGAAAGTTTAGAACTTTCTAGAGACTTGTTGAATGGCTTTGACCAAAATGCTGATAATGATATGGACAATGACATCCAGGCTTAGGTGGTCTCAGATAGAGATGAGGAACTTGTTGGGAACTAGATAAAGGTGACTCTTGCTATGTTTTAACAAAGAGACTGGTGTCATGTTGCCTCTGCCCTAGAGATTTGTGGAACTTTAAACTTGAGGGAGATGATTTAGGGTATCAGATAGAAGAAATTTCTAAGCAGCAAAGCATTCAAGAAGTGACTTGGGTGCCGTTAAAAACATTCAGTTTTAGAAGGGAAACAGATCATAAAAGTTCAGAATATTTGCAACCTGACAATACAATAGAAAAGAAAAACCCATTTTTTGAGGAGAAATTCAAGCCTGCTGCAGAAATTTACACAAGTAACAAGAAGCCAAATGTTGATCACCCAGACAAAGGGGAAAATGTCTCCAGGGCATGTCAGAGACCTTTGCAGCAGCCCCTCCCATCATAGGCCCGGATGCCCAGGAGGAAAAAGTGGTTTCATGGACTGGGCCCAGGGTCCCCCTGCTGTGTGCAGCCTAGAGACTTGGTGCCTGTGTCCCAGCTGCTCCACCCGTGGCTGAAAGGGGCCAAGGTACAGCTCAGGCCGTGGCTTTAGATGGTGCAAGCTCCAAGCCTTGGCAGCTTTCCACATGCTGTTGAGTCTGTGGGTGTACAGAAGTCAAGAATAAAGGTTTGGGAATCTCCACCTGGATTTCAGAGGCTCTATGGAGACACCTGGATGTCCAAGCAGAAGTTTGCTGCAGGGGAGGGACCTTCCTGGAGAACCTCTGCTAGGGCAGTGTGGAAGGGAAATGTGGGATTGAAGCCCCCACACAGAGTCTCCACTGGGGCACTACCTAGTGGAGCTGTGAGAAAAGGGCCACCGTCCTCCAAACCTCAGAATGGTAGATCCACCAATGGCTTGCATGGTGTGCCTGGAAAAGCTGCAGACACTCAGTGCCAGCCTGTGAAAGCAGGAGGGAGGCTATACCCTGCAAAGCCACAGGGGTGGAGCTACCCAAGACCATGGAAACCCACCTCTTGCATCAGTGTGACCTGGATGTGAGACACGGAGTCAAAGGAGATCATTTTGGAGCTTTAAGATTTGACTGACTCACTGGATTTCAGACTTGTATGGGGACTGTAGCCCCTTTCTTTTGCCTAATTTCCCCTATTTGGAACAGCTGTATTTACCCAATGCCTGTACCCCCATTGCATCTATAAAGTAACTAACTTGCTTTTGATTTTACAGGCTCATAGGTGGAAGGAACTTGCATCTCTTGGATGAGACTTTGGACTGTGGACTTTTGCATTAATGCTGAAATGAGTTAAGACTTTGGTGGACTGTTGGGAAGGCATGATTGGTTTTGAAATGTGAGTACATGAGATTTGGGAGGGGCCGGGGTGGAATGATATGCTTTGGCTGTGTCACTACCCAAATTTCATCTAGAATTGTAGCTCCCACAATTGTCATGAGTTGTGGGAGGGGCCTGGTGGTGGGAAGTATTTGAATCATGGGGGCGGGTCTTTCCTGTGCTGTTCTCGTGATAGTGAATGAATCTCACAAGATCTGATGGTTTTATTAAGGGGGAGTTTCCCTGCACAAATTCTCTCTTGTATGTCACCATGTAAGATATGCCTTTCGCCTTTTGCCATGATTGTGAGGCCTCCCCAGTCACATGGAACTGAGTCCATTAAACCTCCTTTTCTTTATAAATTACCCTGTCTCAGGTGTGTCCTTATCAGCAATGTGAAAATGGAATAATACGCCCCTCCTCCTTGATTTTTTGTAGTAATTTCAGGACAATTGATACCAGTTGTTTTTGTACATCTGGTAGAATTTGACTCTGAATCCATCTATTTCCAGGGCTTTTATTGGTTGGTATTTTTTTTATTATGCATTCAATTTCAGAGCTCAACACTACTCTATTTAGGATTTCCAATCTCTTTCTGATTCAATCTTGGGAGATTGTATATTTCCAGGAATTTATGCATTTCCTCTAGATTTTCTAATCTGTGTGCATAAAGTTGTTTATAGTATTCTCTGAGGATCTTCTGTATTTCTGTGGAACCAGTTATAATGTCATCTTTGTCATTTCTGATTGCGCTTATGTGGATCTTCCCTTTTTTTTTCCTTTGCTAATCTAGCTAGCAATCTATCAATCTTGTTTATTTTTTCAAAAAATACCCAACTTGGTTTCATTGATTCATTGTGTAGATTTTTGCATCTCAATTTCATAAAGTTCTTCACTAATTTAGGTTATTTGTTTTCTTTTTTCTTTTGCTTGCTTTGGAATTGGTTTGTTCTCTTTTTTCCTCTGGTTTCTTTAGGTTGAAAGTTAGACTGTTAATTTCAGATCTTTCTAACTTTTTGTTGTTTTGGTTATTAATTGTGAATAGTTTGTAAATGTTTTCTCCCATTCTGTGGGTTGCCTTTTCACTTCGGTGATTGTTTCCTTTGCTGTGCAGAAGTTTTTTAATGTGATGTGATCCTATTAGTTTTGGGTGCCTGTTCTTTTGGGGTATTACTCAATAAATCTTTCCCCAGTCTAATGTCATGGAGAGTTTCCCCAATTTTTTGGAGCAGTTTCATAGTTTGAGGTCTTAGATTTAAGTGTTTAATTCATTTTGATTTTATTTTTGTATATGGCAAGAGATAGGGGTCTAACTTCATTCTTCTGTATATGGATATCCAGTTTCCCCAGCACCACTTATTGAAGAGACTGTCTTTTCTCCAGTGTATGTTCTTGGCACCTTTGTTGAAAATGAGTTCACTGTAAGTGTGTGGATTTATTTCTGGGTTCTCTATTCTGTTCCGTTGGCCTATGTGTCTTTTTTTTTTATGTCAGTACTATGTCATTTTGGTTACTCTGTAGTATAACGTGAAGTCAGGTAATGTGATTCTTCCAGTTTTGTTTTTGTTTGCTTAGAATAGTTTTGGCTATTTTGGGTCTTTGTAGCTCGATATAAATTTTAGAATTTTTTTTCTATTTCTGTGAAGAATGTCATTGATATTTTAACAGGGATTGCATTGAATCTGTAGATTGCTTTGGGGAGTATAGACATTATAACAACATTGAATATTCCAATCCCATGCACATGAAATATCTTTCCATTTTTTGGTATCCTCTTCAATTTCTTACATCTATGTTTTATAGTTTTAACAGTTTTTATTGTAGAGATCTATTACTTCTTTAATTCCTGGGTACTTTATTTTATTTGTAGCTTTTGTAAATGGGATTACTTTCTTGATTTTCATTTCAAATTGTTCACTGTTGGCATGTAGAAATGCTACTGATTTTTGTTTGCTCATTTTGTATCCTGTAACTTTACATTTGTTTATCACTTCTAAGAGTTTTTTTTTGCTTGGAGTCCTTTGTTTTTTCCAAATATGAGATTATATCATCTGCAGACAAGGATAATTTTACTTCTTCCTTTCCAATTTGGATGCCCTCTATTTCTTTCTCTTGTCTCATTGCTGTAGCTGAGATCACGCCACTGCACTCCAGCCTGGGCGACAGAACGAGACTCTGTCTCAAAAAAAAAATAAATAAATAAAAATAAAAATAAAAAATAAAGATACTAGCTATGAGACTATTATACATGGGATTTACTATGTTGAGGTATGTTCCTGCTATACCTAGTTTTTTACAGTTTTTATCATGAAGGAAGTTAAACTTTATCAGGTGATTTTTCACCATCAATCGAAATGAACATGGTTTTTCTTCTTCATTCTGTTGATATGATTTATCACATTGATTGATTTGCATATGTTGTACAATCCTTGAATCCCTGGGATAAATCCCACTTGGTCATGATGGCTAATCTTTTTAATGTGTTGTTGAATTCAATTTGCTCACATTTTGTTGAGGATTTTTGCATCAATATTCATAGGTGATATTGATCTGTAGTTTTTTTTTAATGTATGTCTTTGGTTTTGGTATCAGGGTAATACTGGCCTTGTAAAATGAGTTTGGCAGTATGTTCCCCTCCTCTATCTTTCAGAATAGTTTTAGTAGAATTGATATTAATTTTTCTTTAAATGTCTGGTAAAATTCAGCACTGAAGTCATAGGATCTTGAGCTTTTGTGCTGGTAGAATTTTTATTATGGCTTTGATCTCATTGCTTGTTATTGGTCTGTTTAGGTTTTGAATTTCTTCATGGTTCAATCTTGGTAGGTTGTAAATGTTTAGGAATTTATGCATTTCTTCTAGACTTTCTAGTTTATTAGCATATAATTGCTCATAATAGCCACTGATGAGTCTTTGAATTTCTGCAGTATCACTTGCAATGTCTCCTTTTTCATCTCTGATTTTGGTCTTCTCTTTTATTTTCTTGGTTAATCTGGCTTAAATTTGTCAGTTTTATCTTCTAAAAAACAACTTTTTGTTTTATTGATATTTTGTATTGTTTTATTCATTTCAATTTATCTTGGCTCTGATCTTTATTATTTCTTTTCTTCCACTAATTTTGAGTTTAGATTGCTCTTACCTTTCTAGTTCTTTAAAATGCATTGTTAGGTTGTTTATTTGAAGTTTTCCCTCCTTTTTGATGTAGGCACTTATGGCTCTAAACTTTTCTCTTTGTACTGCTTTCATTGTATCCCATAGGTTTTGGTATATCATGTTTTTATTATCATTTATTTCAAGAATTTTTTCAATTTCCTTTTTAATTTCTTCATTGACCCACTGGTCATTCAGGAGTATATTGTTTCATTTCCATGTGTTTGTTTAGTTTCCAAAATGCCTCATTATTGATTTCTTATTTTATTCTGTTGTGGTTAGAGAAGATGCTTGCTATTATTTCCGTTTTTTTTTAAATGTTTTGAGACTTGTTTTTTGACCTAACATGTGGTCTACCTTTGAGAATGATCCATGCGCTGAGGAAAAGAATGTGTATTCTGCAGCCATTGGATGAAATGTTAGTAAATATCTTTTAGGTCTATTTGGTCTGTAGTGCAGATTATGTCTGATGTTTCTTTGTTAATTTTGTGTCTGGATAATCTTTCCATGCTGAAAGTGGAGTGTGGAAGTCTCCAGCTATTCTTGCCATGGTCTCTACTTCTTTTTTTAGTTCTAATAGTATTTGCTTTGTATTTCTGGGTGCTCCAGTATTGTATGCATATATGTTTACAGGTGTTATATCCTCTTGCTGGATCGATCCTTTTATCATTGTATAATGATCTCGTTTGTTTCTTTTTATAGTTTTTGTCTTGAAATCTATTTTGTCTGATGTAAGTATAGCTACTCTTGCTCTTTTCTGGTTTCCATTGTCATAGAATATCTGTTTCCATCCCTTTATTTTCAGTCTTTGTGTGTCTTTGTAGGTGAAATGTCTTTCTTGTAGGCAACAGATCATTGGGTCTTGCTTTTTAAATCCATTTAGCCATTCCGTGTCTTTTGATTAGAGAGTTCATTTACATTCAATGTTATTATTGATAAGTAAGTACTTACCCCTGCCATTTTGTTGTTTGTTTTCTGATTGTTTTGTAGTCTCTCTCCCTTCTTTCCTTCCTGTCTTCCTTTTAGCGAAGGTGATTTTCTCAAATGTTATGATTTAATTTCCTTTTTATTTTATTTATTTTATTTTATTTTTTGAGCTGGAGTCTCACTCTGTCACCCAGGCTGGAGTGGAGTGGCATGAACTCAGCTCACTGCAACCTCTGCCTACCAGGTTCAAGCAATTCTTCTGTCTCAGCCTCCCAAGTAGCTGGAATTTCAGGTATGCACCACCATGCTTGGCTAATTTTTGTATTTTCAGTAGAGATGGGGTTTGTCATGTTGGCCAGGCTGGTCTCAAACTCCTGACCTCAGGTGATCTGCCCACCTTGACCTCCCAAAGTGCTGGGATTACAGGTGTGAGCCACAACACCTGGCCTGCTTTGTGTGTGTGTGTGTGTGTGTATCTGTTGCATGTTTTTGAGTTGAGGTTACCATGAAAATTGCAAATACTATCTTATAACACATTATTTTAACCTGATTACAACTTAATACTGCTTGCAAATACAAATGAATTAACAAGAAAAAGGAAACTCATAAAAACTCTGTTTTAACTTCATTTCCATGCTTTTTAACCTTTGTTGTTTCTCTTTATGTGTTATTGTACTACATCTTGAAAAGTTGTTGTAATTATTATTTTGATTGGTTCATCTTTTATTCTTTCTACTTAAGATGAGTAATTTACAAACCACAGTAACAGTGTTATAATATGTGTGTTGTTCTGTGTACTTACTATTACCAGTGAGTTTTGTACCTTCAGAAGATGCTTTATTGCTTATTAACATCCTTTTCTTTCTGATTGAAGTACTCCCTTTAGCATTTCTTATAGGACATGTCTGGTATTGATGAAATCACTCAGCTTTTCTTTGTCTTGGAAAGTCTTTATTCCTCCTTCATGTTTGAAGAATATTTTCACCAGCTATACTGTTTATGCCTATTTTTTTTCCCCTTCAACACTTCAAATATGCCATGCCACTGTCTCCTGGTCTGCAATGTTTCCACTGAAAAGTCTGCTGGAAGATGTATTGGAGCTCCATTGTATGTTGTTTCTTTTCTCTTGCTGCTTTTAAGATCCTTTCTTTATCCTTGAAATTTGAGAGTTTGATTATTAGATGGCTTGACGTAGTCTTCCTTAGGTTAAATCTGCTTGGTCTTCTATAACTTTTGTGGACTTGGATATTGATATCTTTCTCTAGGTTTGGGAAGTTCTGTTATTATCCCTCTGAATAAACATTCTACTCCTTTCTGTTTCTCTACTTCCTCTGTAAGGCCAATAACTCTTAGATTTACCCTTTTCATGGTATTTTTTAAATCCTGCAGGGATAACTTTAGGTTTCTAAAAAACTTGCAGAGATAGTGTAGAAGGTTCCCATAGATCCTTGAGTGAGTTTCACTTTCCCCTAATGTTATTGTCTTACATTACCATAAGATGATACATCTTACATTTGTCAAAACTAGGCATCCTATACTGGTATGTTACTGTTAACTGTGCTGAAAACGTCATTCAGCTTTCACCCATTTTTCCCATGAATGTCTGTCTTCTGTTCTAGAATCATATCCAGGCCTCCACATTGTATTTGGTCATTACATCTCCTTCATCTCCAAATTATGACCATCTTATTTTTTATTAAACACCTCAAGTAATGATAGACTCAGTATCTATACTTCTGGAAAACCAAAAATTTTTTAAAGTTTTTTTTGCATTATTGCTTCCATCAAAATGACATTAAAAATTGGTCACTAGAAAACATAAGAGAGTCATTTTGGTATTTTCTGTATAAAACATAACTCAACCATTATTTCATATATTCAAACTCATCCATTATTTCATATAAACCATAACTGACCATTATTTCATAACTGTCAGTTTAAAACAGGAAATACAATTAAAGATATGTAAAAATGCAAAATATGAGAAAAACAATCCCTATTTTTATTATATAATGTTTTGTTTTTGGTGACAGGTTTACTGAACTAAAGATTCTCCCTTTGCCTTAGAAGCTAAGCTACAGTCACCTAACTTTTACCAATTTAAAAATTTTAAAGATAGGTGAAAATAACAGTATATAGGAAATACACAATATTAAAAATAAAAAATAAAAACCTATTACCTCTTGGATTTTTGTTTTTGTTTTTGAAAAATCATTTCAAAATTTTATGCATGCTGCCTGCTATATTATAAAGTTCACATTAATTCAGCTATATCCTGATATCATTCTGCTGTGTTCTATTCATGTTATCATGAGCCTCTATCTCTCTCTCTTATTTTATGTGCTTATTCACTTATTTCATCTTGGGGTTGTATCTTGATTTCTATTAACTTTATTCTTTTATTAAATGTCATTTCAGTTTTTAAAAAATTTAATACTGGCTAGACTTGGTGAACATAAATATAATTTCAGTGGACATTAAAAGATAAACACAAGTTGAGGTAGAAAAGAAGTATAGGAAACAATTGAAGAAACATTAAAAATACATTGATATTTTTGGGTACAAAAGTGTGTGGGTGTTTTAAGGAGAGAGGAAAGCTTTGGGAAAATGGTCTTTATAATCAACCAATTAATAATAACCTCATCCTTTATTCAAAATAGTTACAAAGTTAAAATCCTTAAAAGAAAATAGATATGATATACCTATACTCTGACAATAATATTTTATAGATATTGTTGATAAAATATCTAAGCCTATATAGTTTGCTAGATTTTCAAGAACCTCTTATATTTATTTTATTTAATAAACCTTGAAGTTTAGTATTAAAATGCCAAAAACTAAAATTGTTAATAATTACCTGTCTTTGGTGGTTTGCCCCATACTTTTAGGGACAGGTGTATATCAGTTGCTCTATTAATATTAAATGATGATAAATGTAAGCCTATACAACTCTTAAAAAGAGTGGAAGCAACACATTCCTATAAATATGTTATGGACTAATTTTTAGAATCCATTTGACACTTGTTATGGTTCATAACATATACAAATGCTATTAAATGCATTCTGGTTAAATGATACATTTGGAACTGGGGAATTTGAGGTAAAAACATACATAGAGATGTACAGCAGCCAAGCAGAGTAACTAATGGCTGCGAACCTGGAATATCATAGTTCATGGGCGTGCTTAAAAACTGTTTACCTTTAAAAGAAAGTTCAATTGTCTGGAGAATTTCCAGGATGCATTGTCTGTCATAACTTTATTTAGTTAGAAACCTACTCCCTGAAAGCAATCAGTTGATTCCTAGTAGAGAAACAGAATAAGCCGAAGGCAAACCTACAAGAGAAGCAACTAGAGAATCTAGTTTTGTTACCACTATTTAGAAGGGGATAAGATAGTTTTGCTTTAGGGTAATGAGAGATGCATTCTCAAACCATGAAGAAGTGCCTTTGTAAAGAATTCAAATGGTGTAGCTGAAATAGAGATGAATTTCAGTTGTTATTACTGCACATTTCTAAGAAGGATTTTTAAGCACTAGAGCATTGGGTGTGCAGATTAATGTGGTTGACCCTTTAGGTGTGCACATTAATGAGGTTGATATGAAAAAAAAAACAACACCAAAGCCTGCTTTTGTTACTACTACCTACTTCTAGAGTTAAATAGGACATAGGGCTGCTCATTGAATTAAATAATTTTTAAAAATGCTTTGACAGCTGTGGCTACAACTACTGGAAGAGATTATTTTGACTTTGATGCTTTAAAAGGGCTTCATTCAAATCTATTCAACAGTTTAAGGCTTTCTATTTCTGCTTCTGTCTTAATTTTTATTATTTAGAGAAACAGTCTCTTTCTTCAGATAATTTAAGGAGAAGACAAGAAGTGGAAAAACACTATTTCAGATCAGTCAACCCATACTGTATATAGTTACATTTATTATAATTCATCAAGACATCGCAATATATTTAGGATGTTCATTAAAAATACAGACCAAAATTTATGCACATTTTAACAGCTATCTATTTTTATTATATGTATAACAATTGTGGATTTTCCTCCATTTTATAAAAAGTGTATAAATCACACAAGGCAGAATATGGATATTTATTTTTCTATTTTTATAGATTTAAAATCTTTTTGTTAACCATTTTCTAGTCTCATGAGTTGCTGAGATGGCCATATAGATATAAAACAGGAAAGCATATTTGTAAATATATATATATGGATTAGAAAATGGTTAACCAGTTGCCATAAAGTTTATGGCAGTTGCTGTAACCAGTTTAGCAGTTGCCATAAATTTTATGAACATTTAATGAATCGAGAGAGAGAGAGAGAGAGAGAGAAGAAGCTTTATGGCAACTGCTGAAGCTCAGGTTTGAGTTAATCCATTAAATGTTCATAAAATTTATTATTTTATTTATGACTTGTCTGTCACAGAGTGTGAGTAGGAAAGGTGATACTGACACCACTGGAAACTTTCTGTGGGGAAATACTGAATGTCATATGATCCTCCTCGGCTTTCCTCTGACACAGTGTCTTTGAGGGTCAGTAATACATATCAGTAAGTACCTCCTGGTCTCAAAGGAGAGAGAAAACCAGCAGGTCAGCACATCCTTACTGTATTCCTGACCAAGTTTGTCTTCCAGCTGGTGAAATCTCAAGGCATAGACACAGGTATTATCAGCCAGTGTGGGTGTGCAATCCATGTCTCTATGTGTCATGCTGTTGAGGAAAGAGGAATAAAGTAGAATTTTGTATAGAAAAGCTATGTAGAAAGTTGGGAGACATTTGAATTGTTGCAGGAAATAATTAACTTTAGGATCTATGTTAATATCTAATGTTAATGTTACACTAAAGGTAAAGGCAGAAATGGATCAGAATAAGAACGTGTCAAATATATTAACCATGTAGAATATGATTTTTAAAAATTCTCAAATGTTTGGGGAATATTTATTTTCTTTTAGACATTATGACTCTGGACTTCTTTTTTCTTACCACGAAGGATGCTACTTACCTGGTTGGCGATGAATTATTCAAATCTCAAATTCCCTATCCTGAATTTAGGTGTAATAGGAAAAATTTGAATGTTTTTTAAAATAATATTTTTAATCAAAAAAATCCAGTTTTATATTTACGAATATGTTTTCCTGTTATATATGTACACAGATATTAAATAGAAAAAAACTAAACAAAAACTAGCTAGCTGGCAAAATATATGACCTTAAAATAGGACTTACCTTATAACTTGGCATAGTGAAAGAGAGAATATTTATTGAAAAATAAATTGTAGTACATTTATATATTTATTAATTGATGATCAAATCAGGTTCCCTCAAATTACAAAGTAATTAATGGTGGAAATATTATGATATTTTAAGGGTCCAACAACCAAATCTACCCGTAAACAATGGTATTTTGGTTCTGTCTGTAGAGTTATTGAAAATATTTTTTGGGGAAAAATATTTTCTCCTCTTAAATAACTAAGTATCTCAGATTTTCTTAGTAATTTATTTTTCAGTAGTCATCCAAGAATGCTCCTAAATATTTTTAAAGTATCTATTTTTTGTATGTGATTCAGTTATGAAATAAATTTTATTCATTTACTTAAATATATTTTTTTCATAGATTAGAAGTTGACATACATCCACAGGATAACATTTAGAAGAGGACTATCATTCAATCCACAAGCTTTACTGAACACTGACAGTGAGCCCTGTAGTATGCTAAGTGATGGAGGAGAACTGAAGGGCAAATAAGCCCTATATGAATGAATCTATTTGAGAAGACCCATGTTAAATAAGATAAAACAAATTATCTATGTATCTATTTAAGCAAAAGCTGTAGAAATAAGATATAAGAAGAAATACAAAATTCTCCCATAATTATATGATTCTTAAATGACCAACTTTATGCTAACTAATTTTTATGCTTCTTTTTATTTTCTCCTGTGAATTTATTTTCTATTTAAAAGAGATGGTATCCATGCCTTACCAAACTGGTATCACATAGTTTTATATTCTAGGTATTTCACTTTAAACAAGAGTACTTTCCCATTATAAATAAGATTTTAAATATGAATCTTATAAGAAGCATGGTATTTTATTCTATGGAAAAAACTTAATTTATGAAAATATTTCTTATTGCTGAAATTAGGATATTTAGAAAATAAAGCCATAATCTTTTTAGCATATGAATTTTGTTTCAACTCTGCTTATTGCTTTAGTATAAAAAACTTTTGGTCAGGCACAGTGGCTTATGCCTGTAATCCCAACACTTTGGAAGGTTGAGGAGGGCGGATCATGAGGTCAAGAGATCGAGACCATCCTGGCCAACATGGTGAAACCCTGTCTCTACTAAAAATACAAAAATTAGTTGGGTGCGCCTGTAGTCCCAGCCACTCAGGAGGCTGAGGCAGGATAATCGCTCGAACCCAGGAAGGAGAGGTTGCAGTGAGCCGAGATTGCGCCACTATACTCCAGCCTGGCAACAGAGTCAGACTCTGTCTCAAACAACAACAACAACAAAACACCTTTTATGCCAGGCACAGTGGTTCATGCTTGTTGTAATCTCTTGGTGCTTTGGAAGGCCAAGGACGGAGGATTGCTTGAGGCCGGGAATTCAAAACCAGCCTGGGCAACAAAGTGAGACCCACATCTGTACAAAAAATTTAAAAAAATTAGCTGGGCTTGGAGGTACATGCCTGTAGTCCTAGCTACTTAGAAGGCTGGGAGAATTGCTTGAGCCTAGGAGGTCCAGATTGCAATGAGCTGTGATTGCACCACTGCACTACAGCCTGGGCAATAGACCAAGATCCTGTCTCTCTTTTATATATATATATATATATATATATATATATATATATATATATATATATGTGTGTGTGTGTGTGTGTGTGTGTATATATGTGTGTGTGTGTGTGTATGTGTGTGTATATATGTATATATGTGTATATATGTGTGTATATGTGTATAGATGTGTATAGATGTGTGTGTATATATATGTGTGTATATATATGTGTATATATGTGTGTATATATGTGTATATATGTGTTTATGTGTCTATATGTGTGTATATATGTATGTGTATATATGTGTCTATATGTGTGTATGTATATATGTGTATATATGTGTATACATGTGTGTATATATGTGTGTATATACATGTGTGTATATATACGTGTGTATATATGTGTGTATATATGTGTGTGTATATACGTGTGTGTATATACGTGTGTGTATATACGTGTGTGTATATATGTGTGTATATATGTGTGTGCATACGTGTGTGTATATGTGTGTGTATATACGTGTGTGTATACGTGTGTGTATATACGTGTGTGTATGCGTGTGTATATACGTGTATATATGTGTGTATGTACGTGTGTGTATATATACATGTGTGTATATACGTGTGTATATATACGTGTGTATATATATGTATGTGTGTATATATATATATATGAAAAACCAAAAAAACTTTCAAAGGAGTTATAGTTGAAAGAATATTAACATCCTTAAGTCTGTTGACACATATTACTGTATTGCTTTCCAGAATCATTGGTACAAATTACACTACCACCAATGTTGTAAAATTAAAGTGAAATATGTACATAATGTCAATTATTACTGTTATTAATTATTATAAAATTTGTGAAATGTGATAATTAGGAAATATTTTGTAATTTGAATAATTTATGGTTCTTTCTATTAGTGAGAAGGTACAATTTTGTGCGTGATTGTAATTTGTCTTCTTTATTTCTTCTTCTGTAAGTTTTCTGTTCATTCATTTCACCTAATTTTCTCCTGTGATATATTTCCTTTTTCATTTTTATTTTCAAAGAACATCAAACAGTTTGAGTACATATTTATAACACTAATTAAAATGCGATATAATGCATGTGTGTAAAACAAGATACCCACTAAGTAGTATAATAATAAACATAGGAAGAAATGTTTTGAAATATTAAAAGTCATTATTCTTGTGTTATAGAATTACGAGGGATCTACAATATTTTTTTAAAATTTCAGATATGCATATCATAATTGTAAAATTGGAAAAATTCAATGGTATTCTATAAATAATTGCTGATTGTTTTTGTTAAATATCTTTTTTTGGTTGCCGTTTAACATGATACTATCCATTACTGACTTTAAAATTTCCTTCTATTGGAAAGGTTTGATATCTTTGTATCTTCTGTAATGTTTGCTATCCATTAACATTTTATTTTATTTTTTTATTTTAACAGTATGAGTTGTTTTATTCAAATATATATATACATGTTTTTATTTTGTGTGTGTATATATATACACACACACAATACATTTCACAAAACAAAAGAGAATGCAAACAGATTTGTGTTCTAAAACCACAAGGCAGCAGTGAAAAGTGTAGGAAAAAATCTTGCAGTAAACATAAAAGTGACTACAACTTGATTAAAAAAATGTACAGAGGTGAATGAAGAATGAAAGGACAAGGGGGAAAGAAGAACTGGCTTGGCTGTGGGAGAGGAGTTAGGGCCAAGTTATTAAGTATTTAAGGAATAAAAAGGCCCAAGGTTATTTGGAATTCTTGTGAACAATTCTTATAAAACCTTTGAATTTCTATTGGATTCCAGGCCCACTTTATGAAATGCCTACAGCCTAAATGCATTGGTATTTAATGCTACTCTTCAGATCTAACAGTATTCCAAACAAAAATTCATCATCATGCATCCCAACTTTTTGTCCCTTGACTTTCCAGAGTCTGTTTTATGAGCTGCCTTCCCTATTATCAGCATGTAAACTGGGGAAAAAAGTTTCTCTGAAATCCCTGGATAATATTACTTTCTGGCAATTTCTAACTTCTGTTAAAGATGGACATGTCATCTCTTTTCAACTAAATGTTAAATTTGTCTTTCTAATTTGTTATTCTTTAATCTAAAAATCTAAAGAGGCAAGAAATCTCTCTCCAAAACTCTGTCTTGAGAAGACTTTTCATGACACCTTTCTGAGCTAACCTATTAAATCTAATCGCTGACAAATTATTTGACAAATGATTTGATCAATTTAGCTATTGAATATTCCTCATGTGGTAATTTAAACTCAAAAGTTTTACCAGAACACCGTTTACTGTCTTAAGACTGGAAGTATAACAAAAAGGGTACAAGGAGAGTGATAAAAGTGGGGTAAAAATTAGATTGCTTTGGAAACTCATGGACAGAAACCCATGGAAAAGTTCCTCTCCTGCCACCATAGGGGTGCAGGTTACTCTGGTGAGTTGGGGCATGAACTGAGGTCTTCCACCTGATTCTTGCTTTTCATGTACCCGGGCAGGGAGCACCTATCATCTCTCACCATCATCCAGGGCTCATTCCCTTGCTTTAAAGGGGACATCACTTGTGGCTTATAAGTCCAGTTTCCCAAAGACACAAATATCACATTTATCCAGCATCAAATCCTTTTGGAGTTTCTCTGTTAAGGGCTCAGATGATCCCACTCATCTGGAGAGAAAACCATGACCATATTTTCAAATTTCACTGCCGCCTGTGATGGCACTCTTAGTAACGAAAGAACCATTTTTCTTCTCCTCCTCCTTCTGTTCTCAGGGAAAAGGTTAAAAATCTCAGGAAGATTTTGAAAGAATCATAATATTATTCCACTTTAGATTTTAGGTTTAAGCATCTTAATTCTTTTCTCTCCCTCATCAATATCAACAGCAGTCATTGGGTGTGACAGTGTAACTTATTCAAATATCTAGAAATTGCTGACTGGAGAATGATAGACAATTTCTAAAGAAGGCCTTTGTCTTTATCTTTATTGGTGTGGTAAAGGTAAAATATTTTCTGGTAATGTGCCTGAGATAGATTGAAAACTAGGTAGGATTTAAAAAATATGAAATATAATATCAATATAACTTCATTTTTTATTTTTTAAACATCAGAATTTTTCATATAATTAAATTAGGACACATCATAATTAACAGTCAAGTTTAGTTTATATTTAACATATTTTGAGAAAGAGTAGCATTCTAATACTCTATAAAAATATATACATGTATGTATATACATGTTTATGTGTATATAAATATAATTTTATTTGTTTGTGTATTTCAGATGAAAGCAGCATCATTTCAAGAACTTGGACTGATATAAATAATAAACATGAAGTCCAGGTGTAGGGCTGGCTGTAAACATGTTGCAATAAGATTTTCAGGAACCTAAGTTCTTCCCATAATTGTGATATGGTTGTCACAATTCCGGGCATCACAGCCTGCAAAGAATCTCCAGAGCAGAAAGGGGATCATGTTTTCTTTTGTCTTTTTTCTTTAAAGAAAGAAATGATTTCCTAGAAGTTTGCTGCAGACTTCCTCTGTGTCTCATTGGTAAGAACTGGGCCCCATTCTAATTCCTTAATCAAATCAAGGTGAATTAGATGAATCTGGAAGAGAATGCAATGGATGTTGAAGAATCAGTAAATATGGAAACTGCAATAACTCAAATCTATTTAGGTATAAGGAAAGACTAATTTTTTCTAGATAATTAATTCTCCCAGCTCCATTAATTGAATGATGCTTTGTTCTAAGTCCTGATTTGATGACAAATTTATACTCTTTTTAAAACTGCATATATTATTTAACTAATCACAGAATATAGTTATAGACATAGTATGTATTATGTTTATTTTTTATTTATTTAAATATTTTTTAGAGACAGGATCTCACTCTGTCACTAATGCTGGAGTGCACTGGCACAATCATGGCTCACTGCAGCCTAAAACGCCTAGGCTCGAGTGACTCTCCTGCCTCAGCCTCCTGAGCGGCCAGTGCTACAAGCTCACACCACTACACCAGGCTATGTGTTATGGAACATATACTAATTATACAGCATACTTAAAAGGATGAGAAAGTTGGATCTGAAAATAAAAATACAAACACCTTTGGCAGTATGATATGTTTTACAGACTGAAAGTCAACTTTACTCCTCTGGGTTTTGTTTTAGTATAATATTAACATAAAATTGTAGACTCAAAAGTTATTCTTGAGATGGTTTAGTTTAATGTCTCATTACTTACATGAGGAAACTGGAGAAGTTATTTTCTTAAGGCCATACGATTAATTTGTGGCATACCAAGGATTAGAACTGCTTCCTAGATTCAAGTTTAAGGTTCTTTCAGAAAATCTTGAGCTCACTTTGTTTTGTGGAAGGTTGAATATCAAAAGATTATGACTTTCAGGTTGCTCACACTTTCCTAAAATAGCTAGCTTTTACTATACACTTCAGGTTTCTGCGTGGACTTTGTCATCACAGTCTTTAAATACTCATTCTTGGCTTGCTATTGAGAACATATTCATCTCTTTCCTTACACCCTTAGTTAACTTAGAAAAGGAAATATTTTCATTGATTCAGATTCTTTTTCTTATTTATTTATGGTTTCTGAGGGAGAGAGATTATTTTATGGTTTTGCAGAAGTGTTATTTATATAAATGTAGGTATTAAGTGGAGGTGAAGAAGGATATATTTGGATATAGATATGTACATATATACACATATATGGATTTGAACTAAAGACTATCACTAGCTATTTGACCTTGGGGACTATCAAATATTATATGCTTTGAGGCTCAGTTTGCCTCATCTATAAATTGAAAAAAAAACATCACTCTGCAGAGTAGTTAGAAATACAAGTGATTCCCAGCTTTGTTAATGTTATTTCTTTAAACTTCCTTTCCTTAAATCCCAGGATTTGTTCATTTTTCCCATTCTCTAAGATTCATGAGATCCAGTTAAATGGATAAGATCAGGAAGTGATGGGGTGTGGTATAAGATAATCTGGCAGATTGCAGACTGTGTTGAATTAGAACGTGTATCCTTGCTAAAGGTGACTCAATTCAGTATCATAATATGGTTATCACTTGGGACTAATACAGGCACTAAATGTTCACATGCAATTTTCAAGAGAAGATATACATCTGGATATTTGTGTGTAAAACATTAATTTCTAACTTTTGGCAAGCAATTAAATTACCTAAAAGACAGCCTAAAAGTCTAATATAACATGTCTGTACACTGTCACAAACTATTATTTAGCTATGTAGGATCTCTGTTCTAAAACATCACAAAGAGAAGTCTACAAAATCATATTTTCTGATATTCCCTGACAAATGGTTACTTTATTTCACTTTTTCTTGACTATCATGCTTATTACTTATTGAGGTCTCTCCATTCCTTCATGATGAATGTTCCCATTTCAACTGAAGAATTATGCTGTTCGAAAGGATTCTTGCTGTGTTCTTTGACTGCAGCCCTCAGATATGAGTGAGGAGAGAGTGACATGCACAGAGACAAAATTCCCCTTTTCAAAATGAAAGAACGGAAGACGTTCAGCTCACAAAAGTAAAGGTAAACTGTTTTTTGTTTATTTTCTTGTTTTCTGAAAATATATTGTCAAGTAAGAAAAAAATGAAATCATAATTATGTTCATATATATTTGATATTGCATATCTCCTTTTCTTAAATTTTATTTTATTATTATTATACTTTAAGTTTTAGGGTACATGTGCACAATGTGCAGGTTAGTTACATATGTATACATGTGCCATGCTGGTGTGCTGCACCCATTAACTCGTCATTTAGCATTAGGTATATCTCCTAATGCTATCCCTCCACCCTCCCCCCACCCCACAACAGTCCCCAGAGTGTGATGTTCCCCTTCCTGTGTCCATGTGTTCTCATTGTTCAATTCCCACCTATGAGTGAGAACATGCGGTGTTTGGTTTTTTGTCCTTGTGATAGTTTACTGAGAATGATGATTTCCAATTTCATCCATGTCCCTACAAAGGACATGAACTCTTCATTTTTTATGGCTGCATAGTATTCCATGGTGTATATGTGCCACATTTTCTTAATCCAGTCTATCATTGTTGGACATTTGGGTTGGTTCCAAGTCTTTGCTATTGTGAATAGTGCCACAATAAACATACGTGTGCATGTGTCTTTATAGCAGCATGATTTATAGTCCTTTGGGTATATACCCAGTAATGGGATGGCTGGGTCAAATGGTATTTCTAGTTCTAGATCCCTGAGGCATTGCCACACTGACTTCCACAATGGTTGAACTAGTTTACAGTCCCACCAACAGTGTAAAAGTGTTCCTATTTCTCCACATCCTCTCCAGCACCTGTTGTTTCCTGACTTTTTAATGATTGCCATTCTAACTGGTGTGAAATGGTATCTCATTGTGGTTTTGATTTGCATTTCTCTGATGGCCAGTGATGGTGAGCATTTTTTCATGTGTTTTTTGGCTGCATAAATGTCTTCTTTTGAGAAGTGTCTGTTCATGTCCTTTGCCCACTTTTTGATGGGGTTGTTCGTTTTTTTCCTGTAAATTTGTTTGAGTTCATTGTAGATTCTGGATATTAGCCCTTTGTCAGATGAGTAGATTGCAAAAATTTTCTCCCATTTTGTAGGTTGCCTGTTCACTCTGATGGTAGTTTCTTTTGCTGTACAGAAGCTCTTTAGTTTAATTAGATCCCATTTGTCAATTTTGGCTTTTGTTGCCATTGCTTTTGGTGTGTTAGACATGAAGTCCTTGCCCATGCCTATGTCCTGAATGGTAATGCCTAGGTTTTCTTCTAGGGTTTTTATGGTTTTAGGTCTAACGTTTAAGTCTTTAATCCATCTTGAATTAATTTTTGTATAAGGTGTAAGGAAGGGATCCAGTTTCAGCTTGCTACATATGGCTAGCCAGTTTTCCCAGCACCATTTATTAAATAGGGAATCCTTTCCCCATTGCTTGATTTTCTCAGGTTTGTCAAAGATCAGATAGTTGTAGATAAGCGGCGTTATTTCTGAGGGCTCTGTTCTGTTACATTGATCTATATCGCTGTTTTGGTACCAGTACCATGCTGTTTTGGTTACTGTAGCCTTGTAGTATAGTTTGAAGTCAGGTAGCGTGATGCCTCCAGCTTTGTTCTTTTGGCTTAGGATTGACTTGGCGATGTGGGCTCTTTTTTGGTTCCATATGAACTTTAAAGTAGTTTTTTCCAATTCTGTGAAGAAAGTCATTGGTAGCTTGATGGGGATGGCATTGAATCTATAAATTACCTTGGGCAGTATGGCCATTTTTACGATATGATTCTTCCTACCCATGAGCATGGAATGTTCTTCCATTTCTTTGTGTCCTCTTTTATTTCCTTGAGCAGTGGTTTGTAGTTCTCCTTGAAGAGGTCCTTCACATCCCTTGTAAGTTGGATTCCTAGGTATTTTATTCTCTTTGAAGCAATTGTGAATGGGAGTTCACTCATGATTTGGCTCTCTGTTTGTCTGTTGTTGGTGTATAAGAATGCTTGTGATTTTTGTACATTGATTTTGTATCTTGAGACTTTGCTGAAGTTGCTTATCAGCTTAAGGAGATTTTGGGCTGAGAAATATTAACTTTAAATGTAAATGGGCTAAATGCTCCAATTAAAAGACACAGACTGGCAAATTGGATAAAGAGTCAAGACCCATCAGTGTGCTGTATTCAGGAAACCCATCTCACGTGCAGAGACACACATAGGCTCAAAATAAAAGAATGGAGGAAGATCTACCAAGCAAATGGAAAACAAAAAAAGGCAGGGGTTGCAATCCTAGTCTCTGATAAAACAGACTTTAAACCAACAAAGATCAAAAGACACAAAGAAGGCCATTACCTAATGGTAAAGGGATCAAGAAGAGCTAACTATCCTAAATATATATGCACCCAATACAGGAGCACCCAGATTCATAAAGCAAGTCCTGAGTGACCTACAAAGAGACTTAGACTCCCACACAATAATGGGAGACCTTAACACCCCACTGTCAACATTAGACAGATCAATGAGACAGAAAGTTAACAAGTATACCCAGGAATTGAACTCAGCTCTGCACCAAGTGGACCTAATAGACATCTACAGAACTCTCCACCCCAAATCAACAGAATATACATTTTTTTCAGCACCACACCACACCTATTCCAAAATTGACCACATAGTTGGAAGTAAAGCTCTCCTCAGCAAATGTAAAAGAACAGAAATTATAACAAACTGTCTCTCAGACCACAGTGCAATCAAACTAGAACTCAGGATTAAGAAACTCACTCAAAACCACTCAACTACATGGAAACTGAACAACCTGCTCCTGAATGACTACTGGGTACATAACGAAATGAAGGCAGAAATAAAGATGTTCTTTGAAACCAACAAGAACAAAGACACAACATACCAGAATCTCTGGAACACATTCAAAGCAGTGTGTACAGGGAAATTTATAGCACTAAATGCCCACAAGAGAAAGCAGGAAAGATCCAAAATTGACAACCTAACATCACAATTAAAAGAACTAGAAAAGCAAGAGCAAACACATTCAAAAGCTAGCAGAAGGCAAGAAATAACTAAAATCAGAGCAGAACTGAAGGAAATAGAGGCACAAAAAACCCTTCAAAAAATTAATGGATCCAGGAGCTGGTTTTTTGAAAGGGTCAACAAAATTGATAGATTGCTAGCAAGACTAATAAAGAAGAAAAGAGAGAAAATCAAATAGACACAATAAAAAATGATAAAGGGGATATCACCACCATTCCCACAGAAATACAAACTACCATCAGAGAATACTACAAACACCTCTACGCAAATAAACTAGAAAATCTAGAAGAAATGGATAAATTCCTCGACACATACACCCTCCCAAGACTAAACCAGGAAGAAGTTGAATCTCTGAATAGACCAATAACAGGCTCTGAAATTGTGGCAATAATCAATAGCTTACCAACCAAAAATAGTCCAGGACCAGATGGATTCACAGCTGAATTCTACCAGAGATACAAGGAGGAACTGGTACCATTCCTTCTGAAACTATTCCAATCAATAGAAAAAGAGGGAATCCTCCCTAACTCATTTTATGAGGCCAGCATCACCCTGATACCAAAGCCGGGCAGAGACACAACCAAAAAAGAGAATTTTAGACCAATATCCTTGATGAACATTGATGCAAAAATCCTCAATAAAATACTGGCAAACCGAATCCAGCAGCACATCAAAAAGCTTATCCACCATGATCAAGTGGGCTTCATCCCTGGGATGCAAGGCTGGTTCAATATACGCAAATCAATAAATGTAATCCAGCATATAAACAGAACCAAAGACAAAAACCACATGATTATCTCAATAGATGCAGAAAAGGCCTTTGACAAAATTCAGCAACTCTTCATGCTAAAAAATCTCAATAAATTAGGTATTGATGGGACGTATCTCAAAATAATAAGAGCTATCTATGACAAACCCACAGCCAATATCATACTAAATGGGCAAAAACTGGAAGCATTCCCTTTGAAAACTGGCACAAGACAGGGATGCCCTCTCTCACCACTCCTATTCAACATAGTGTTGGAAGTTCTGGCCAGGGCAATTAGGCAGGAGAAGGAAATAAAGGGTATTCAATTAGGAAAAGAGGAAGTCAAATTGTCCCTGTTTGCATATCTCCTTCTTTACATATTGAGAGGTGTATTTATGTGTAATATTTTATGAGATTTGTGATCAGCATAGTGATTTTAATCTTAAACTCTACAATAAATATTCATTTTGCTCTAATTCTGAGGGCTTTGTCATGCTCACTATATATTCTGCCTTTTGATTTTGTATAGACTTTTTATGGCATACTGTTGCAGTAACCCTGGGAGTTGCTGGCTGGCATTTGCAGGCTTACGATATATGCATGAGTATCAGCTACACATATTTCATATGATAGCAATAAGACAGGATGAAAAATGAGACACTATAACTGTGGAACCTCTACGAAACTTTGTAAACTATAAGGTTCTAGAGACATGTTAGCAATCATAATGGTACTGATGATATTGATGAAAATGATTTTATTATGTTGTTATCATTTAGTTTTTGTTTATCATTTAGCCACACAAAAGAGCATATAGCTGTGATTACACAAAAATTTCAGATACACTACACTTTACTTACCAGTGAAATTTTAAAAATAAAATTTTAAAATAATTTATTTTAATAAAATTTAAAAATATGTTAGTGTATATATATACTAACACCTATTTTACATATGTATACTAACACTTATTTTATACTAAAAATAAGCTAATATATATATACTAGTATAAATTAGTATGTATGTAGTATGTATATAATATACACACAGACATAGTGTACCCATGTATACACACACATATATATACATGTAGTATACTAGTATAAGTTAGTATGTGTGTGTGTATACGTATATTATATATAAAATAACACTAAGTTTTTTTGTGTGTAAAATGGGGTTTGCATATGACCAGTGAGTTGGGAGAATCTTTGATTATTACATTTTTATCTTACTGAAATACTGCTTAAATCACAAAGAGAATAAATTTGATGTCCTTTCTATACAAATAAAATGTTACTAGAGTTATAGAGTGAAGAACATGAATAAAGGACAGATTTGGGTATTATAATTGCCAACAATTCCTGGGTAATAAACTGAAATATACCAGTTTTGATATATTTCACATCAGTTTTTACAAAACTGTCCTCTACACTTTCTTTCAATATCTTTATTCTGATTATTATTAATTATTTGGTTCATTCATTCAACAAACAACTTTGGGTATCTTCTATAGGTCAGGAACTATATATGGCACCGATGATACAGAATTTTTTTTTAAATTATCAGCTTTCAATGAGCTCAGTTGAAAGGAGAAGTTTTTTTTAAGTGAAGCAGATTGAAATATAAAATACTGCTAGTGCTGTAATCGTATCATGAAAGGATCAGATGAATGTCATATAACATCTTGAGGTCATAAAAGCTTCCCTGTAGATCATAATTGATGTGAAGTAGAGGACAAGCAGGAATTGGGGGGCTGAAGGTAAACAAGACTAATGTAGATGGAGTGAAGAATATGAATAAAGGGCAGATTTAGGTATTATAATTGCAAATAGTTCTTGGGTAATAAAAAATGTGGCTAGAAATTGATTTGGACAGGTATGAAGCTTCATGAGGGTCTTTTGCACTATGTTAAAAATTTTTAGATTTCCCCTAAAGGCAAAGAAAACGATTAGATGATTTTAAGTGAAGGACCAATATGACTCATGTTACATGAGCAGATATGGATTTTAGAGAGGTCAATCTGAGTAGCCTAGAAAGTGGGTGGGGGGATGTAAAGGAAATTGTTTTAGGAGTCAAGGTTAGTGACAATGACTGTCTAAACTGGCATCATGAAAAAAAGCAATGATGGGTAGGAAACCTATATGAGAAATATTTACAACGTAGAATTGCAGGAATCTGCATTGGATTCAGTGGTTGAGGGAGAGGAGGAAATCCATAATTTCATATCATATCAGCCTTCACACCTTGATGGATATAATTCTATTAAATGTTATAGAAAACACAAGAAGAACATTAAACTATGTTTGTTGTGATAATGGTGATGATTTAGGTGCTTTGTGGTATATCACTGGAGACAACCAGAAAGAATTGGTCTGTGTCTCCAGAGTGAGCTTTTAGTAGCAGACATAGACCATTGGCATGTATATGGAAGGATTAAATGTCTGAGATCAAGAGAGATACCTAGACTGGATATATAAATTGTGGAATTATCAATTAATATAATAAGTATTTGAAAACATTGTAAGGAAAGGAGAGCCAGATGACAAAAAAAGCTTTGTAACATCAGGGAGTATTATATTATGTTAGAAGAGAAGGGGTCAGAATGATGATCTTTAGGATAAGTCAACATTTAGAAATAAAATATGAGTAAATAGCAAAAAAAAATGATATTTTGATGAGACAAGTAGGAGGGAACCCAATATAGTAGAGTATCTGGGAGAGTAAGCTATGGTGAAAGTAGATTGCAATGGCTAAAACCTATTGGCCAATTAGGAAACAGAGACACTGAGTTCAAAAAAATTATTTTTTAAATTATGGCTAAGAAAAAAAATTTACCAAGCATTGAAAGTATGGAGAGCTACATGATTCTTCTTCTTCTTTTATTTATTTATCTTTTTTGAGATGGAGTCTCGCTCTGTCACCCAGGCTGGAGTGCCATGGGACTATCTCAGCTTACTGCAACCTCCACCTCCCAGGTTCAAGTGATTCTCCTGTCTCAGCCTCCCAAGTAGTTGGGACTACAGGCATACGCCACCATGCCCAGCTAATTTTTGTATTTTTAGTAGAGATGGGGTTTCACCATGTTGGTCAGGCTGGTCTTGAACTCCTGACCTCAAATGATCCACCCGCCTCAGCCTCCCAAATTGCTGGGATTACAGGCGTGAGCCACTGTGCCCGGCCTTATATGATTCTTATATGTTATTAAAGGAAATATAAATTGATACAACCACTTTGGGAAACAGTTTGATTTTATCTTCTAAAGCTGAACATGGCTCAGGAATTCTAACTACATATCCAAGAGAAATATTTGCATAAGTACAACAATGCAAATTTACAGGAATATTTACAGCAGTGCTGTTAACAATTTGAAACATCTCGAAACTATCCAAATAACCATTAATGGGATAATGATTGCAAATCCTCCAACAAATACACAGGGACCCATCCATCTGTCTCAGAAAAAAATTTCTCTTCCCACTGAACAAGTCTGAAACTCCCACCCCAGTGTTGATTTCAGCCCTAGTATAAATAAGCAAGAAGGTGAGGGGATTTATGCCTGATAGCCACTAGTTTTATGTGAAGTAGCAGAGGAGGGGTAGGATAATATTTACGTAAATTATCTACTTCACCTCCTTGATTCTCCCAGAGGAGCATGACAATATGAGGTGAAAATAAAAACCAAATTTTCTGTACAATGTCATACAATTTTATAAAGTTAAAACATTAAAAACAAAAAATAATTTTAAGGAATAACAAAGCAATAAAGTATGTATAAAATAAATCAAGGGAATTCATCACATAGGATTCGGTATGATAGTTACATTTTTGAATGAGGTAGGAGGACGGGAAGGAGTGAAATATACAAGTAGATAAATGTAATGGTTATGGTCCTAGCTATAGTTTTGGGTTACAACTAACAAAGTGAGTAACTAAATAAATAAACAGAAGTTCTTGGAGCAATGATAAAAGCGTCTTATGAATGAAATATTGTGAATAATCCTATCGGGCACCTCAAGGTCTAAAAATTAAAAAGAGACAACTCTGTTTTAAAGAGCAGGAAAAAGAAATAATAGAAATCTGGGAAGCAAGAGTGGCTTGAGATTATTATATACAAGAGAAGAGAAACATTGGAGGGAAAATGTTAGAGGAAAAATGATAATAGAAGTGGAATAGCTAGAGATGATGATTCTTTAGGACATAACAGGGGGTGATATCCACACTAGGGATGGAAATTTTGGAGTTTTTCAGTGGGAAGATAAATTTTTTTTCTGAGATAGATGGATGGGTACCAGTGTATTTGTTGGAGGACAAGCAAGAAGATGAGGGAATTTATGCCTGATGGTCACTATTTCTATGTCAAGTAGCAGATGAGGGCATTTTCTGAAAAGGACAGTCAAGGAGGTCTAGTAGATAATTTAGAAAAATATTAAATAATAGAAATATCTGTTGAATTGAGAAAAAGGAGTGATACAATAAGTAGGTTGTATACTGTTGAGGGGCTAAATGATTATAAAAACCATCAATTTGGAGCTGCATTAATCTGCATCTGTACAGTTTTGTGATTTTTTTGCCAGCTGGCCTTCAGATGCTCTTGTGAAGATGAGATGGTGAGTGATAGAATGTTCCAGAGCTGACTGTTTTTAGATGACAAATATTCATTGCATAAAGACTACGGTGCAAGATTGTTAGATGTCCTGCCAAAATTATAAAGTGCTGCACTATGTGGACTTGAGCGGGCGATAAGGAAAGGAGAAGATAATTGATTAGTTATAAGGAAATAGCAGTTTTTAGAAACCAGATGTCTTTCATTTGTCTTTTAATTTCAGGTCTAGAATATAGATATTGGAGTGGATTGCTGAATGGAACAATAGCTCCATTTGTTATAATTGGGAACGTTAAGAGATTATGCAATTGATGTTGGTTTATTTTTACAAGTAGAATCGAAGTTGAATGAACAATGGTGAATAGAGGCAGAATTGTAAATAAAAACTCTTTGTGTAGGAAATCTCTGATGAATTTTTTTTAACAGAGCCATAGACTGTGCTTTTACATTTTTTATTCTTGACTTTTTGGAAGAAATTGCTATTTCTTTCAAGGAATCTTAACTTTCCTTTTGCACATTAGAAGTAGCTGTATAAGCTCTTTCCTCATGTGCTTTCAATGAATCCATTATAAACTTCAACATAGAGACAAATCCCTTTAAATGCAAATATTAATCACAACTTTGAAATAATTGTTTGAAGATGGAGTAAAAGCCAGCTGAATTCTTTAAATTTCCAGTTTATATCTTTTGTTTTATAAATAATTAGTTTTATATACTGAAAAATATAATTTATAAATGGTTTTATTTAAAAATTCATTTTATGTTCTGACACTTCAAAATATTTTATGTTTTTCCCAGACTGTACTTCCACTTCATCAACATCATTCACTTTGTTCTTTAGAATTTCAGTAAATGCCAGGTGCGGTAGCTCATGCCTGTAATCCCAGCACTTGAAGAGGTTAATGCAGGTAGATCACTTGAGCCCAGGAGTTTGAGACCAGCCTGGGCAACATGGTGAAACCTCATCTATTCAATAAAAATAATTCAGTAAATGATGATAATGAAATGATTTTCCATTAAACCCATTCATGATATTAACTTTATAATATAAAGTTTTGCAGAGCTCCTTTAAATGTAAAACACAAGATATAGAAGAGAAAAAAGAAAAAAAAAACCTTCTTTCTAGAGTTAAAGATCACTCCATTTTACCATCTAGTACAAATATGTACTGAGTACTTAAGCTAATAGCAAACAGATTTTTTTTCCATAGAATTAAACCCTTCTGCACCATTTCAATAAAACTTTACATTGATCTTTGGCAGGGCTTTTAATTTTGCTTTTTCTCATCAAATCTATTTTCTATATTATATTTAATTGAACACTTGATTTCACTAAAGAAGACCCTATTGTCATATTGATTTGAGTAATTTTACTTCCTTGTGTAAGTAAATTTTACTTGCTTGTGAATAAGTTTGCCCAATATAGAACTCTTAGGATTAATATAATTGCCATATATTCACTTTGGTAGATTTCTTCCTGCAGGAAGAACTTCTCCATATTGGTGCAGTTTGTTTATACTTGAGAAGTCAAGATTTCCGAATGTAATCCTAACAGTGGCCTTGGGTCTGTCAGAGGCTGTCTGGCTCAACAGTATTTTTCCCTGAAGAATTTGGTAGAAGAGCTATGTCCAACATACAGACTTTCGGCACACAGGGGAATGCTATTTTCTGGTAATTCATTCTGAAGTAAGCAGTGAAGTACGTAAAGTGTACATGTCTCTAAATGGTCTTGGGGATGGAGTGTGGGTGGTTGTTTTTGTTTTCAAGAAAAAGGCTGTGCCTCCTGTCAAGGAAAATTGTCCTGCTATGGAGAAAAGTGTTACTATTTTTCAAAAGAAGAGAAAACTTGGAATGAGAGTAAGAAGTCATGCCAAGATCTGGGTTCTAGTCTCATTAAGATTGATGACAAAGAGGAGCAGGTATGTTTATTTTATTAACCCCGAGTAAGTGCTTTATGAGACATGTGTGTGTCCTGAGTTAGGATAATTGTTTGGGCTTTCCTCTCATCTTATTTGACCCATTTGGTGGAGGTACCTTTAGTACTGGTGCACATTTACCTTTTACCTGCAGAGGAAGGGGAGTAGGTATTAAAGAGACCTGGAAGCACTGTTAATTTTAAACAAGAATAATAGCCCTGATGTCCTCTCATTGTATGTGTTACATCTTCATATTTTAGTATACATCAGACTATTCAATATTTAGCCTATCAGTGCTAATGTAGGACAAAAGATAAACTGCCTTGGATGATATGAGTAGTCGAAAAGAGATGACTTACTGTATTAAGCTCACTTCTTTCACCATCAATATTTGAGAAAGATCAAATTTCTAAGGGAAGATGATCTCTTACTGTCATGTCCATGGAAAAAAATAGGATGAAAACAATGAAGAATGCAAATAACAATGAAAAATACACATTGTTCTTTATGTGCCCATAAAATCTATGTGTGACTTTCATGCTTTAAATATAAATTTATTTATAATTAATTTACTAATAAATTAATATACTTCTCATGGATGTATGCATGCATGATCAAAAGTTTTTGGAAATTAATGGTGATGAGTGATATTTATCTGATTAAGATTTTTTATTGCTATCAAAATGAACCATAAATCTATATAACTACGAATATGGTGGTTCTTATTCAAGTGATATTTCAAGTAATGTGGGAAAGGACAATTTATTTCATGAAAATTGGTTGTGCAATTTGGATAGTTATAGAGGCATAGTATACATTCCTTTTATACTATATACCAAATATACTAGAAAGCATAAAAATTGGATGAGAATTAGAAACTATAAAAATTTTTGAATAAAATATAATTGAAGTCATGATCTGAAAGTGTTTTTAAAGCTAAAATTATGGTAAATATTTTAAAAATTTGTGATGGTTTAAAATTAAAACTCTAACTCTGGTAAAAATTGATGATTTTTCAGAAGAAAGGTAAGATTGTTGGAAATATATTTGCAAGCCATCTGACAGTAAGATAATACTCTTAATATTTAAGTGTGTCTATATATTACTTCAGTTAAAAAAATGAAGACCTCAAGGTGGCATATAGATAGAATGCTAGAAAAATACTGTGGAGGAATAGGCAGAATTAAAGAATAATATTCTAACAATGATAAGAATCTTGATAAAAATCTCACAGTAATGCAATAGTTAATCTTTCTTTAAACATTTAACAGGACAAAATAACAATAGATATAGAGAAATAATAGAGCACTAAGTAGCAGACAGGCTGCCCACTGCAAGAATGCCACTTTCTAAAAGACAATTAATTTGCTCCTCAACACTCAACATAAAATGGAGAAACAAAGAAGATAAGTATTGTATTAATATTACCCTCACATAAATATTAGATTTTTTGAAGGAGGTCAGATTTTATCTGACGGTTCTCATGTGCTTTAACATATAAGAGATTTTAACAACTTTTCTAAGAATTTATATACACATATGTACACGCAAGTTTTTATACTTAAATCCTGTATATGAAGAATTTTTTTTCTATGAGTCTATGGTTTCATAACTTTAAAAAGCAGAAAAATTTTAATTTGCCCTACACTAACAAAAGAAAAAATTTGATTATTCACATTTATTCCCTTAAGCTAATAAGGGAATATATTTTAATGTTATATATGGAGATTAATATTACTTTAGGTCAGCAGGAGAACCCAGGGATGTATAATCACAATGCCGTCTTCAGGGCTGGTTAAAGTTTGAATTACTTTATCAGAAGAACATGATAGAAAATATATTTTCTTTTTTTTTTTTTTTTTTTTTTTTGCTTTCTAACATCTTTTACTTATTGACCTTTTGAAACATCCAAAAATTAGTAATATTATAATCTGTGTCACAATCATATAACAGTTAAGAAAAAACATAAAATGAAGGCCTAGAAGGATCTTTGTTACTCATCTAGAATTATTTGGTATAACAGTATTTTCCAATGGAGGAAGACTATTGGATTTCAGGCATAAAACAATGCAGAAAAACATCTCAAGGCATCACAGGGAGAGGGAGATAACTTCTGACTCTAGTTTCCCGTATTTCAGGCCAGGAAGAGCAAGGGGAGAAAATTATTTGCCCATGGGAACAAGTAATCATGCTCTAAAGGACAATTTCATTCGAACCCATTCGTGCATCCTTTTCATGCAATTCGAACCCATTCATTGCATCCTTTTCATGCAAAATTTCAAAGATAAAGCAACATAAAATATGGGGCCAAAGAAAAGGGAGAAGGTCTTCAAGGATAATTTGTGCCTTTAAGTTTTTACTGGTACAACAGTCCTTCAGCCTGGAGGTACTCAAAGACGAATCATGAAAAACAAAAAAAAACTTTATTTCGAACAGTTTCAGTGATATATGTGTGTGCTACAGCAAAGGCTGGTTGTGGCAAAGTTTCATTTCAAACTGCATGATGTGGGCTAGGCAAGGTGGCTCACGCCTGTAATCCCGGCACTTTGTGAGGCCGAGGTGGGCTGATCACCCTGAGGTCAGGAGAGACTGGCCTGGCCAACATGCCGAAACCCCGTCTCTACTAATACAAAAATTAGCCCCGTGTGGTGGCACACACCTGTAATCTCAGCTACTTGGGGGGCTGAGGCAGGAGAATCGCTTGAACCTGGGAGGCAGAGATTGCAGATCATGCCACTACATGCCAGCCTAGGTGACAAAGCCAGACTCAAAAACAAAACAAAATAAAACAAACAAAAAAACTGCATAATGTATAATTTTGACATTATGTGGGAATGCTTAACTTCTGCCAAAATGTAGATTCAATCCAACATTATGCCAATTTTTATACTAATTGTAGTCCCTAAGTTTTCATAACCAAAAAAAAAAAGAGAGAATAACCTTACCGTTACCTACTAAGGTAACAAACTGTGAAATCAATTCCCCAATATCGCTTTGAAAATAAACCCCTTGGTTGTTAAAGAGAAATTGCAACTTCCAGCTCCATCCGAATGTATTATTTAACCGGTATTCTTCAGTCATCATCTACTGTTGGCTTGATTGTCACTCCTCTTCTTATCTGACCCCAACCAATTAAACGCCAGTGTTTTTCAACTCTTCGGCTAAGGGCAATTTTTTCTCCTACCTCTGTGCACACTGGATTGGTCAAAACAATTTTGCCCAAATCGGCCTTGACAGCACTAACTCTCCCTCCTGTCGACAGGGATCCTATGTTCACCATGAGCACTTCATTCTTAGACAGCTTTTGAACCTTTGCTGCTTTCTTGTCTCCTTCAGTGCGTACACCTAGAAGCCGTCTAAGCAGGAAATAGGAAATTTCCAATTCTGTGAATATCTCAGGTAAAGCTCCGACTGCACCAAGTATTTGCCCCACCATTCTGTCAGCCCGGCACAAAGTGGGGTCAATTTTTGTTCCAACTCCAATAAGACCGCCTGGAGCAGCATATTGCAGATCATTATGCTCCGCAAAAAGTGAAACAATTTTGGAAAAGATTGATTTACACATGAGTTTTCCTTCACTATCTTTGGAAACAATACCAGGTCTTACTTCTGTCTCCTGGCCCACCTTTAATACTCCTTTTAGGATACTACCACCAGCTACACCTCCCTTAAGGTCATCAACTTCACAGCCAGGTTTGTTGACATCAAAAGATCTAATAACAATAAGCCGGGGCTCTGAAGTAAAGTCTCTTGGGGGTACTGGAATTTTCTTTACTATGTACTCACAAACAACTTCAATATTGTATTTCAGCTGAGCCGAAATTGGAATAATGGGAGCTCCCTCTGCTACTGTACCTTGGACAAACGCAAGGATCTGCTCGTATTGTTCTTTAGCCTGCCTTTCTTTTACCAAATCAATTTTATTTTGTAGAATCAAAATATGCTTCAGTTTCATGATCTCTATAGCAGCCAGGTGTTCAGATGTCTGAGGCTGAGGGCAAGATTCATTACCAGCTATCAACAGAAGAGCTGCATCCATCACTGCTGCACCGTTCAGCATAGTAGCCATCAAAATATCGTGGCCAGGACAGTCAACAAAGGAAACATGTCTGACTAATCTGAAGTTCCCTTTGGTTCCTGGAATGTCTGTAGGAAACTCATCAGGCATACTGCTCCCACAAGATCGATAACATTCTGGCCGAGGGCAACTTGGGTCATCAAGTTGATAAATCTTAGCATTAGCATATCCAAGCTTGATTGTAATATTTCTTTCTAGTTCATTTTTGAACCTGACGGTGTGAACTCCAGAAATAGCTTTGACGACTGTGGATTTCCCATGAGCTACATGACCAATTGTACCTATATTAATTGTGGCTTGTCTGCTGATAACTTCGTGTGAAAGTGGCGTCAACTTGGTAACATCCAAGGTGGTGAGATCCTGACGCGAAAGGTGCGGCTGCCCCAGAGTCACCCCAGCTTCTCCGCCCGCCATGTTGCCAAAAGAGGAAGAAAGTCACCCCGGCTGCCGCCTGATCGTCTGCAGGGGTCCTAGTGCGGGGCGGGGATGCGGAGGCCGGAAGGTCGACTAGGGTCTCAGGATGGCCGGTGCAGCAGCGGCCTCAGTGCTTGGACTTCTCTCTGCTTGAATCTGCACAGTGCCTGTCGGTAGGCTTACTGGAAAACACGGTGCAAAGTTGCTGGAGCTATTCGTCGCAGACTTGGTAGATATTTGTGCAGGCAATACTGAGGGCAGCCACCCAAACCCCCGCCCCCTGGGCCCATGCGAGGCGGGTCGAAAATATATTTTCAGTTGACCACAGATAAATACTTAAAAAATTAATGGACCATTGTAATCTATTTATATGAAAATGGATCTTGTATATACAGCCTGCTATTACATTTCTAAGAAGACACAAAACCAGCAACACACTGAATAATTCTACACTAAATATTTTTCTTCTTTAAGAAGATTAATTATTAATATATTTATTTTTTGTTCGAAACAAATAGCTATGTCGTGGTTTATATTATAATTTTCATTTCTTCAAATTATGTTGGAGTGATGACCATTAATAGATGCTATATTGGAGATTTATTACAATAGCTTTATTGAGGTATAGTTTATATACAAAAAAACTGTGCATTTTTAACGTATACAATTTGATGAGTTTGGACATATGCATACATTCGTAATACCATCACCCAATGAAGATAGTAGGCATGTTTATCATCTACAAAGTTTTTCTTGAGTACCTTTATTTTGGGAGCAGAGGGCAAGTAAGACACTTGACATGAGATCTACCCTCCTAGCAGATTTTAAAGTGATCAACGTATTGTTGCTAACTATACGTACTATGTGGTACAGTATATCTCTAGAACTTATTCGTCTTTCGTAACTGAAACTTAACCAATTGAAAGTGAGTCCCTGGTAACCACCATTCTCTGTTCCTATGAATTTGACTACTTTAGATAACTCATATAGTATAATCATAAAGCATTTGTTCTTCTGTGACTGGCTTATTTTATTTAGCTTAATGTCCTCAAGGGTCATTCATGTTGTCATGAATGGCAGAATATTCTTTCTTTAAGGCTGAAGAATATTCCATCATATGTACATACTACATTTTCTTTATCTGTTCATCTGTCAGTGTACATTTAGGTTGTTTAAATATTATTTATTCTTGATAATCCTACCATTGATGTGGGAGTGCAGATATCTCTTCAAGATACTAATTTTAATTCTTTTGGATATACTGTATACCCAGAAGTGATATTATTGGGTTATATGGGTAGTTTTACTCTTAATTTTTGAGGAAGCTCTATACACCTTTTTCATAGTGCATTCTTATCAACAATGTGCTAGGGTTCCAATTTCTTCACATTCTTACCAACATATATATATATATATATATATATATATATATATATATATATATATCTTCAT
The DNA here is from genome assembly GCF_000001405.40 of Homo sapiens. Classification (NCBI taxonomy): domain Eukaryota; kingdom Metazoa; phylum Chordata; class Mammalia; order Primates; family Hominidae; genus Homo; species Homo sapiens. Next base: position 10,504,450 of record NC_000012.12, on the reverse strand, counting down.
ATATATGTATATGGATATATTCGTTTTAAGGAAGAGGGTAATAAATGAAAGTGAGAGGATGGCTCATCTCCTTCTTCTGGGTATATATGAATGAATATATGGATATGTGAATGTATCCATATATATATATATATATATATATATGTAAAATAGTCATCCTAACAGGTGTTAGGTAGCATCTTAGAATATTTCCCTAATGATTAGTGATGTTGAGCATTTTTTTATATACCCACTGGCCACATGCATGTCTTTTGTGGAGAAATGTCTATTCAAGTCCTTCATCCATTTTTTAAAATTGGGCTATTTTTTGTTTTTGGTATTAAGTTGTAGAGGTTCCTTATATATTCTGGACATTAATACCTTAACAGATATGTTATTTGCAATGTTTTCTCAAATCTATAGGTTGCCTTTCACTCTGCTGTTTCCTTTGCTGTGCAGAACATTTTTAGTTTGATGTAGTCCCACTTTATATAATTTTGCTTTGGTTACTTATGCTTTTATGAAAATTTAATGTAATCAAATACATCTATAGATTCAAGGCAATTCTGTTCAAAATCACAATTGCACTTTTTTTTACAAAAATAGAAAAATATTCATTAAACTCATGTAGAACCACAAAAGACACTGAATAGCCAAAGCAATCTCCAGGAAGAAGAACAAGGTTAAACAAGGTTAAAGGCATCATACACCCTGAATTCAAAACTATTACAAAGCTACAGTAGTACTGGCATAATAACAGACATACAGATCAAGGGATCTTTGAGAAATGCAAATCAAAACCACAATGAGATACTGTCTCTCACCAGTCACTATGGTGATTCAAATTTGGCATTTTGATTAAAATGTGAAAGAATAAGAGATGCTGGTGAGGTTGCCAAGAAAAGGGACACTGATACACTGTTGGTGGAAATGTAAATTAGTTAAGACACTGTGGAAACCAGTTTGGAGATTTCTCAACGAACTTAAAAACACAACTACCATTCAGCCCAGTTATCCCATTACTGGGTATATACCCAAAGGAAAATAAATCATTCTACTAAAATACACTGGAATTTGTATGTTTATCACAGCATTATTCACAATAGTAAAGATATGGAATCAACCTAGGTGCCCATCAAAAGTGGATTGGATAAAGAAAATGTGGTACACATACACTCATGGAATACTATGAAGCCATAATAAAGAATAAAATGATGTCCTTCACAGCAACATGGATGCAGCTGGAGGCCATTATCCTAATCAAATTAACACAGGAACAGAACACCAAATACTTACATGTTCTCACTTATGAGTGGGAGCTGGACATTGAGTACACATGGACATAAAGATGAGAACAATAGACACTTGCAACTCCAAAAGGGGGGATGAAAGGAGGAGTGTAGGGGTTGAAACCCACCTATTGGGTACTATGCTCACTATGTGGTGATGGGGTCAAATGAAAACTAAACCTTGGCATCACGCAATATATTTATGTAAAAAATCTGCACATGTACCTCTTGATTCTAAAATAAAAATAAAAGATTGAGATAAAAAGAGATAAAGTGTATTTAGTACAGTCTATTAGGACATTCCTAGATTTAAATTGTTTCTATATAATATTTCTTATATGTAAACTGTTCCTCTATGTTTTCTTCTAGGAGTTTAAAAGTTTTAGTTCTTACATTTAAATCTTCAGTTGATTTTGATTTGATTTTGTGCCTGGTGTATGATGAATCCAACATCTACATATGGATATTCAGTTTTCCCAACATGATTTGCCAAAGAGACTGTCATTTCATGGCATCCTTATATTAATATAAAAATTAGTTTACCATGTGGGTTTATTTTGGTGTTTTCTATTCTGTTCCATTGGTCTATATGTCTGGTTTTCTTTTAATCAGTACCATGCTGTTTTGGTTATTGTAACCATGTACTATAGTTTTAAGCTAGGTAATGTGAAGCCTCCAGCTTTTTTGTTTGTTTGTTTGACATTTGGGCTCTTTTTTGGTTCCACATGAATTTTATAATAGTTTTTTTTCAGTTCTGTGAAGAAAGACATTGGTAATTTGATAGGAATTGCACTGAGTCTGTAGATTGTTCTGAATAGTATGGACATTTTAACAGTATTTAATTTTTCCAATCCTTGAGCATAGAATATTTTTACTTTTGTTTGTGTCATCTATTGTTTCTTTTGGCAATGTTTTATAGTTCTTCTTGAAGAGAGCTTTCCTGTCTGGTTAGATGAATCTCAAGTTATTTTATTATTTCTGTGGTTATTGTAAGTGAGATTGCATTCTCGATTTTTTTGTCAGCTTGAACATTATTGGTGCATAGAAATGCCACTGATTTTTGTATCTCAAAACTTTACCGAAGTCATTTACTGGATCTAGGAGTCTTTTGAAAGAATCTTTAGAATTTTCTAGTGTGGAATCATACTCTCAACCACACGAATTTACAACCAAAATCTACCAGATGTATAAAAATGTACTGGTTCACTAGGCTGTAGAAATACAAAATATTGATAATATTATGTCTTTTTTCTTGTGGTTTATTCATGAAAACTAGGCCAAGAATAAGAAAAATCAAGGCGGGGATAGTTATTCCCTTTATAATTTCAGAAACAAGTAGACAGCAGAGAATTCTGCTGAAACCTAGGTACCCACTGAAATAAAACTATACAGAAAGAGCTAATGGTAGTTGCTTAAATTTAAATTCTCCTACAATAGCCTTAAAATATATATATATATTACATGCAAAAATAAAAATGAAAGCAGACAAATGTATGTCTTTAGCATGACTAGGGGTCAGAAAATACTAAAACTTCAAATTATTGTAAATTAAAAAAAAAAAAACTTACAGTGTTATTCCTAGATCCCATCTCTATCCTCTCATGGTGCCCTAGGGGTTTCAGATAAACTGGCAACTACCTCAGAAAGAGCAAGACCACACTAATTGTGAAAATTTAAAAAGGAATTCCAAAAGGATCAGATTGGTGGGCAGAAGGAAAGTGTGTTTTGGACTTGAAGAGTTAGTCTTGGAAAACGAAACTTCTGAGAAGAGGGTAAAACATAAGAAAGGAAAAAGCACATTTAAAATCTGCTCAGTAAATGAGGGAAAAAAGCAAGTGCGTGTATGTGTTGAAGAGAGGTGTTAGGATAGACAAAATGACATTCAAAAGACAAAACAAAAGAAACTTCTCTCCCCCAAATCATTCATTTAAGAGAATACATTGCAATATTTTGACAGAAGAGGACACTCTTGACATAGGAATCCAATACAGTGCTCCAACTATCATTCCAGTCCACAAAAAGCATTTTTAGTCTATTAATATATGAAGATACTATGGAAAGAACACAGAAAATGAGAATTAAAACATTCAAACTGATTTTTTAAATGCCCCATGAAGAACAATCATGAAACACAGAAAAATACGATGCAGCACTTCAAACTGATTTAAATATCCTAAAAACAAATAAAAATTGAACTAGTATACCAAAAATTCACAAGTTAAAAACCAAACTGTATAAAGCAGGAAGAAATGCAACAGTTCTTTTATTTTCCCATTTTCACTCACCTATTGTTATCGGGACTTTTTTTCATCTAAATTACAGACTTTATAACTAAAAGCTTCTTCCTAGGAAGATCCTATATTTTAGAAACTTTCAGTATCGATTTTCCTTATATAAATCTTTATCAAATTCACTTATCAAGCTAATTTTTCTCTGGAATCGTACAATGATAAATTATTTCCTGCCTCAGTAAATTTTTACTTCCCGGATTTTAATTATTTCTGTCATATGAAATGATGTATCTGAGTCCTGTAACCACTAAATCCTTTCTAATTTATTTTCTTTATATACATTTTCACAGAAACCCTGGAATCTGGATAACCTGTTGTGTAATTTACGCTAGAATAACCTTTTATAAAGTGTTTTAAGCACTATTTATCTGACAATTATAAGACAAGACTCAGAAAAAAATGGATCAATGAAACAGAAAATGTCCCAAATGAGATGGTCAAAATAATCTATGACTTGGAAAATAAAAGCAGGAACTAAGACTGTGGCCGTGAGTGTTTGAGGAACTAAATTCCTAGTGTTTAAGTCCTGAAAGAATAAAGTTTCAGCTAATATGCGTTCTGTTCCTATTGCTTTGATAATTAATCGTGGCATTTTCATTTTTTTAGATGACTGTAATTCTCTGACTTTGCTTTAAAAAATTAATTCTCTCAATTTAATCACAGCTTATTCGAAAGAGATGACATGTGTATAGATCTGTGGTTTCTGTCACAAGAAAATCACTTCTTAGGAGAATTTTCTATACATAACCAGTTTTAGAAATGCAAAAGGTAATTTTAATTTATTTTTGTTTTATTTTCCTATAATATTGATTATAAAAGATAGGAAAAATTAATATAAAGAAAATGACTGATTTTTAAAAATGTATCTTTGTGCATATCCTAAAAAACCCTGATCTCTACATAAACATATCTATTATTATTTTTCTTCAGAATTTCAGAAGTAACAAAAGAGAAGAAAATTTTACGGAAATCTGGATTTCCATCTCATTAAAATAGACTGAGGAGGGATTTGGAATGTAGACACTTTATCTTATTTCCTTATCTTATTCTATTCATGTTAATATCTGTAACTAAAATAATCTTTCTTTGACTAGCTGGTTTATGCTATTTTTAGAACATAATGCTATATATTCTGTTGGAGTGGTTATTTAGTAGAATATTTTGATATAAAACCATAATCCAAACATGTGACAACTAAAATTGTTTGAAAGGACTTCTTAAAAGTATAAATGGAATAGCTTACAACTGATGCATGCTTTTGTAAAAAAAAAAAAAAAAAAAGTTGTTAAATCAATTAAATACCAAAGAAAAACTGATATTGGAAACATTAGTTAAACCATAATGGAAAAATTTCCAAGTTTTTAGATTTTTGTCTGAGTTTACTCCTTAATACCTACAGAGTTTGGGGTTAGGTTTATTAGTTTGAGGTGTCAGTTTGGTTTCATTTTGGTTTGAAAGAAGAAACAGAAATTAAGAGAGGGATTTTGAAAAAGAAAGAAGTCATGGAAAGTGTGAGGCACAAACTATGCTAACAAAATTCAGTCAACCCTTTTGCTAAGAACATAACTATATCTCTCATCAGTCAGAATGGCAGTTATTAAAATGTCAAAAAATAAAAGATGCTCTTGAGGTTTCAGAGAAAAGTGAACACTTATACACTATTGGTAGAAATGAAAATTAATTCAGGCACTGTGGAAAGCAGTTTAGAGATTTTTCAAAGAACCTGAAGCAGATCTATCATTTGACCAGCAATCCCATTACAGGGTATATAACCAAAGGAAAATCAGTTGTTCCACCAAAAAGACGTATGTATGTTTATGTCCCTCATGGTGCTATTCATAACAACAAAGACAGAATCAATGTAGGTGCCCATTAATGGTGGATTGAATAAAGAAAATGTGGTATGCGTACACCATGGAATACTATGCATACATAAAGATAAATAAAATCATGTTTTTTGTGGCGGTATGTATGCAGCTGGATGCCAAAATCTTAAGTGAATTAATGCAGAAACAGAATCTCAAACACTGCATATTCTCACTTATAAGTGGGAGTTAGACATTTGGTACACAAATATATAAACCTGGAAAAACAGACATTAGCGACTGTTAGGGGATGGGAGAGAGGCTGGCGTGGTACCCAAAACTACCTGTTGGGTACTATGGTTACTACTTGGGTGATGGGATCATCTTTATCCCAAACCTTAGTATTACACATATACCCATGTCACACACTGTCATGTGCCCTCTGAATCCAAAATAAAAGTTGAAAAAAACGAATTAACAAAATCAAACATATTAGATTTTAATTTTTATATATTACATGCCTTTCACAAAGACTTCTATTTTTCTTCATGCTGCTTAAAAGTTATGGCTGTAAGAAAAGTTAAAAAAAAGAAATACCTATATTGTATCTTAAATATCATTTTGTGCTTTTCTACCTGTGGTGCAGAATGAATAGATGCTCTGGGAAATGACATCAATTCTATATCATTTATTTATTCACTGAACTCACATTTATTGGGTTAACATATGTGGCCAGTTGCTGTGATAGCCCCAGGGTTATAAAGGTTAAGTAAGCATGGTCCATTAAGGTACTTACAATACATAGGGGAGCAAGTCACAGAAGTCAGAGTTCCAGCACAAAGCTAGGTGTAAGCCTGGACTGTGATAGGAGTATGTAAGATGGACCTTATCCAAAATGTTAGGCTGCCCAGTGTTTGCACATTTGAAAGTCGTTTTCTGGGATATTTAATATTGAGTCAAATAAAAAAATGAAAAGAATATTTTGTACAAGACAGCACATTCAAAGATATACTATTTTCTGGTCAACATTTTTTTTATGCTCCAGAAAGCTACAACAACAGATATTTCTTGGCTCCCAGGGGCTATGATGAATTTCAAAAGGAGGTGGTGTAACTTCTATGCTCAGAAAGCACTTACAAGTTAACTATGAGCAATAAAGTTGAAGGTATATAAAAACTTAGAATAACAATAGTAAGTAGAAAAATGACTGTGTATGAGTGGTTGAGTGTGTGCAATGGATGTTTCTGCTCACCCCTGTAGAGATACAGCAAACCCCAGTGCTGCCAAGGCTGTGGTGGAACCTCTGTGGCTTCTAGGGGAGGTGTGTAGTTCAGCCCATGACGTCGATATGGTTCAGGGTGCTATTTACTGGCTATTTGGCTGGAACAATCTCCTGAATTTTATGTGAACTGCTTAGTGGAAAGTTTTAAAATCAAGCAATATCTGTAAATATATTTCTTGGCAAGAGAAATAGTATGAAAAGGATAAAGTGGGAAACTTTTCTGGGCAGTGAGGTGAATAAAACACTGGTAGAGAAAATGAGACTGATCTAAAGATATTGACAAATATATTAGAAAAGAGGAAAAGAGAAGATTAAGTTCTCATACTTGCCAGCAAACAAAATTTGATCATTCATACATTATGTGAAGAGAAGTCTGAAAGTTTAGGAATTGTGTTGATACAGCTTGCACTAAAATTCAATCAGCTTTTTATTAGAAATGATATTAACACACGTAAGTTCATAGCTTACTACTGATTACAGTAAGTTCATAGCTTACTATTGATTACATTTACAAGAACAATAATACAAACAGAATTCGTTGATGTAAAATAAATTTGCTAGCAAAAAATTTAAATCTATAATTGTGAGTCAATGACTGGAAATGACTTTACAAATCTATTACAAATATTAAATATTTTGTTACACTGAAGAAATATGTTTCCTAAAAAAGCATTTCATTAAACATATGAGGTCTGATTATGCACACATTGTGGAATTTCATGTGTACAAAATTGTATGTTTCCACACTGGTTTAGGAAATAATATTAAAAAATTTTTTAATTGAAAGAATAATTTGTTTTTCCTTTTTTTCTCCTTGAAAGTTATCTGTTTAAAAAGTAATTTATCTTAATATTTCAGTTATAGAACCAAAGAATTATGCTTTACAGACTTGAAATTTCCTCTGCACAGTGGTGCGATTTCTGGGGAATTGATGTATAAAAAATACTATTTACTAGACATTGTATGAAATAGCATGTTTAATGTTTAGTTGTATGTCTTTGCTTTCCATTTTCGATAAGTAGATTTGTCGAAATTCCTCTAGCCCGAAAGAAGTGAGTGTCTTTGGTGTGTCAGTCACAAAATCAACTATCCACTCATTGAGAAAGAAAAGGAGAAATACTAGGTTAAATTTCGAAAAGCCATGGCTGGTAAGGTGTTTTTAAATATGTGGCTTAAAATTCTAGAAAATCCTGAGCCAGGATTGCAGAAATTGGCATTTTGATTCTGAGGTGTGTACAAACTTGAGAAGTTTGAAGAAAACCTTTGGAATTTTAAAGGAATAGTAATAACTTTAAATCTTTGATTGTGTCAGTGACACAGTCAATTTTGCAAAGATGTAAAAACATAATAAAAGAACGGGTATGTCTTTATAAATTCATAATAAAATTGCAAAGCATCCTATTCTCCCCTAGAAAAAAGGGTAAATTTTTGCTTAGCTTTGAATTATATTGTCAGAACCCAGTAAAGCGAAAAATTTCATTCAGAAAACACCATTCAATTTGAGCTCTGTTGATAATTCAATTAGATTTAGTCTCATTGTTAGGATATTTACTTACTCGATGGTGCTTATTTGAATGGGGAAAATTTTATTTATGGAAATACATTTTATTATAGGACTTAGAATGTATAGACATAATACAAATTATATTAATCTGCATGCTGATATTCCAAAGAGCTTTTGGGGAATTTTCTGTTTGCTATTTTCCTTCAGGAAATATTTCAGGAATCTTAGCCAGGTTTAAATTGCTATATCTGTGAAAATAATGTGAACGTTGATATACATATTTAATTTAATTTATAATGATGTATTTAATAAAGATTCTAACTCAGAAGATTTCTTTTTTTCTGAGACAGACTTAGGAAACAAGTCTGTCTTCTTTAAAAGCAGAGCTTCTGAAGAGAATAGATCCCAGACTAAATTCAATACGATTTTCAAATGTTTACCCAGAGACATAAAGAATTAATTCTGTTTTTGTCAGACTCAGCCTACTAATGTGTTTTATATATGGCAGCGTAGGTCCTAAACCTATCTTTCAAGCAGTTGATATTGTCAAATCTTTTTCCTTTCTAGAAGGTTTAAAAATAAGAAAGCTATTATTCTATTCCTTCTGCTATCAAAATTCAACAGTGAGATGTTACTGTCAGCAACCCAGAATTAAGTATTGAATATTGGATGTTGAGAATTATCCAGAATGGGATACGGTAGACAGTGGACAGTCTTGTCTTTGAAGGGTTATTTTAATATTCCCTTCATATATTTGGGTGCTCTAATATATGTTTATAATTGTTATGTCCTCCTGGTTATCTGATCCTTTATCATTATAACTTAACATTTATTTTATCTGATGTAAATACGGCCACCCCTTTTTCTTTTGGTTCCCATTTGCATGGAATTTCTTTTTCAGTCCTTTCATTTTCAGACTGTGCGTGCCCTTACATCAAAAGTGTTTCTGTTATAGACAGAATACAGTTAGATCTGGCTTTTTACTCATTCAGCCACACTGGGTCTTTTTATTGAATAATTTAATCCACTTATACTTAATTAATTACATGAAAGGATTTACTATTGCCATTTTCTTCAGCGCTTCTTGTATTTCTTGTAGTCATTTTGTTTCCTTTTTCCTCTGTTTCCCTTTTTTTGGGGGGTGCTGGGGACAGGGTCTCACTCTGTCACCCAGGCTGTAGGGCAATTCTGGGTTGAAAATTCTTTTCTTTAAGAATGTTGAATATTGACCCCCCCACTCTCTTCTGGCTTATAGGGTTTCTGCAGAGGGATCCTCGGCCTTTGTGGATGACCTGACCTTTCTCTCTGGCTGCCCTTAACCTTTTTTCCTTCATTTTGACCTTGGAGAATCTGATGATTATGTGTCTTGGGGTGGACCTTCTTGTGGGATATCTTTGTGGCGTTCTCTGCATTTTCTGCATTTGAAGACTGTCCTGTCCTGCTAGGTTGGGGAAGTTCTCCTGGATAATATCCTGAAGTGTGTTCTCCAGCTTGTTTCCATTCTCCCCGTCTCCTTCTGGTACTCCAATCAATCGTAGGTTTAGTCTTTTTACCTAGTCCCATTTTTCTTGGAGGCTTTGTTTTTTTTCATTCTTATTTCTTTAATCTTGTCTGCATGCCTTATTTCAGCAAGGTGGTCTTTAAACTCTGATATCCTTTCTTCTGCTTGGTCAATTTGGGTGTTGATACTTGTGTATGCTTCACGAAGTTTTTGTGCTGTGTTTTTCTGTTCCGTAAGGTCATGCGTGTTCCTCTCTAAACTGGTTATTCTAGTTAGCAGCTCCTCTAACCTTTTATCAAGGTTCTTGGCTTCTTTGCATTTAGTTATAACATGCTCCTTTAGCTCAGCAGAGTTTTTTATTACCCATCTTCTGAAACCTACTTCTGTCAATTCGTCCATTTCATCCTCTATCCGGTTATGTGCCCTTGCTAGAGAAGCACTGCCATCATTTGGAGGAGAAGAGGCACTCTGGCATTTTTGGTTTTCAGCGTTGTTTTGTTGATTTTTTTCTCATCTTCACGAGTTTATCCAGTTTTGATCTTTGAAGCTGCTGACCCTTGGATGGGGTTTTTGTGGGGATTTTTGTTGTTGTTGTTGATTCTATTGTTGTTGCTTTCTGTTTGTTTGCTTTTCTTTCAATGGTCAGCTCCCTCTTCTGTAGGGTTGCTGCATTTTGCTGGGGGTTCACTTCAGGCCTGTTCAACTGGTTCACTCCCTCGCCTGGAGATGTCACTCAAGGTGGCTGGAGAACAGCAAAGATGAGTGCCTGCTCCTTCCTGTGGGATCTCTGACCTCAAGAGACACCAACCTGACACCAGTAGGATCACTCCTGTATAGGGTGTCTGACAACCCCTGCTGGAGGGTCTCACCCAGTTGCGTGGCACAGGGAACAGGACCCATTTAACGAAGCACTCTGACAGTCCCTTAGTGGAGGGATGTGCTTCGCTGAGAGGAAACCCACTCATCTGGACTGCCTCGTTTCCTCAGAACTACCAGGAGGAAAGGTAGGTACAGTATTCCTGGTTAGCATTTTTTCCCAGCACTTTGAATATCTTATCCCACTTAATTCTGGTGTGCTATGTTCCTGCTAATAAATCTGCCGATAATCTTATGGAAACTTTCTTATACATGATTAGTTGCTTTTCCTTTGCTGTTTTCAAGATTCTTTGTCTTTGACTTTTGACAGGGTATAATGAGTCTCAGTGTCAATGTTTATTGTTCATCCTAGCTGGAGTCCTTTGTGTTTCTACAGTTTAATGTCCAATTACGTGGATTTAGGAAGTTTTCTCATATTATTCTTTGAATAAGCTCTCTGGAAAAGTTTGTTTTAAAACATCAAGAGAGGCCGGGCGCGGTGGCTCACGCTTGTAATCCCAGCACTTTGGGAGGCTGAGGCAGGTGGATCACGAGATCAGGAGATGGAGACCATCCTGGTTAACACGGTGAAACCCCGTCTCTACTAAAAATACAAAAAATTAGCTGGGCGTGGTGGCGGGCGCCTGTAGTCCCAGCTACTGGGGAGGCTGAGGCAGGAGAATGGTGTGAACCCGGGAGGCGGAGCTTGCAGTGAGCCGAGATCGCGCCACTGCACTCCAGCCTGGACGACAGAGCGAGACTCCGCCTCAAAACAAACAAACAAACAAACAAACAAAAAATCAAGAGAACTGTGTTCTTTAAAGATTTGGAAGAGTTAACCAGTAAAATCATTTGAACCTACTGTTTCCTTTGTTGCAAAATAATTAACAAAAATTTAACTTTAATTGATGCAGTTCAATGTAGGGCTTCTAATTCCTGTATAGGCATCTTTAGTTGTATTTTTCAAGGAATCGATTTTAATCTAAGTCAATACATTTATTGGCATTTGTTCATAAGTCACTCATTCTCCATTTAATATCTGTAAGATTTTTGCAAATGTTCCCCACACCTTTTCATTCAGATAATGATAATTTTTGTCTTGTCTCTTTTTTTCTGTTAACTCTAGTTATTTCAAACTTACTGATCTATTCAAAGACTGGCTTTCACAGTAATCAATTTTATCTATTAAGTTCTTATTTCATACTTTTCTGCTGTATTATTATTTCTTTCCTTTTGCTCATTTGGGGTTAACTTATTTTTCACTTGGTAGTACGTTAGGGTAAAGCTTAAGTCAATTATTTGAGACCCTTTATTTTTTACTTAATGAAATAATTATCTTTCTACTCACTATTAACACATCTCCCAAATTTTGATAGGTGTTTAATTTTTATTTATTAAAATATTTTGTAATTTTATGTCTCATGGATTTATGTAGAGGCATGCTTTTAATTTTCTAAATATTAGTGGATTTTCTAGTGTCATCTTGCTAACAATTTCTAATTTATTTTTATTGTATGAGAGAACATACTGTGCATAATTTCTATCCTCCAAGACTTATTGAGTCTGGTTTTATGTCCAGTGTATGAACGAACTTGGTGAATGTTTCGTATGCAGTTATGAAGAATCTTCATTCTGCTGCTGTTAGTGGTAGTGTTTGCTCTAAACATGCAAACAAAGTTAAGCTGGTTGATATTGTTAATAAATTATTCTGCAACCTTACTAATTTTCCCTCTTTTTGTTTTATCAATTAAAGGTGGGAGCTTGAAAAGTCAATCTCATAGAAGTAGAGAGGAGAATAATAGTTACCAAAGCCTGGAAAGCGTATATGGAGGGGAGGGGATAAAGAGAGATTGGGTACAAACATGGTTAGATAAAATAAACGACTTCTAATGTTAGCTAGCACAGTAGTGACTACAGTTAAAAACAATGTATTGTATATTTCAAAATAGCTAGAAGAAAGAACTTGCAATGTTTCCAACGCAAGAAATGACAAATGTTTGAGTTATGGATATCGTAAATACCCTAATTTAATCATTACACATTCTATGCATGCCACAAAATATCACATGAACCCCACAAATATGTACAAATATACATCAAAAAATGTTTTTAAAAAGAAAAGAGAGTTAAAATATCCAAATGTAATTTTGTATTTTTTCTAATTTCATTTTATTTTTAATCATTAAGCATTTTGAATCCCACTTAATAGATGCACACACATTTAGTGTTTTTATGTCTTCTGGAATGTTTGATTAATTTATCATTATGTGATACTGCTTTTTATTCATGGTAATATTTCTTCTTCTGAATTACATTTTGTCTGGCGTAAATATAACCACTCCTGGTTTCTTTAGATTAATGTTTACATGGTACATAATTTCCATATTTTAACTGTTAGTATATTATTTATTCATATAAACGTAAATGGTTTTACAAATACAGTATATCATTGAATAATGTTTCTTTATCCAATCTGATATTATATGTCTATTAACTGTAGTCAGACCATTTATATTTAATGTAATTGTTCAAATGGTTGAATTTACATCTATAATCTTTCTCTTTGTTTCTGCTTTGTCCCATAATTACTACCTTCAATTATATTGAGTTTTTAAAATTACTTCATTTTTTTTCAATACTGGCTTATTAGCAATAACCTTTTCTTTTGTTTTTATTGGTTGTTCTATATTAAAAGTTATCCAAACTTCCCTACACAGTCTATCTTTAAATAGTATTATATCACTTATTGTGTAGTATAAAACTTTATAATAGTATGCTGAATGTTCCTTTCTGACTCTTTTTGAGTGAGAAATACTTTTAATATTTTTCCATATATATTTTTTATGTTCCATATTGTCTCTCATGTTCTTTTGTGACACCGATTATATATGTGGTGTATTTTCTTGTATTGTCTAACCACTAATTCTTTACTGTTCGGTCCTTTTACATATTTTTGAAGCTTTCTTCTGTTTTCATTCTGGATAGTTCTTATCCCTGATTTATTCTTTTGCATTGTGTAATCTAATCTAGTATTTATCTTGTTTATGATGTTTTTATTTCCAGTATTGTATTTTTTTTTTTTTTTTGAGTTTCACTCTTGTTGCCCAGGCTGGAGTGCAATGGTGCAATCTCAGCTCACCTCAACCCCTGGCTCCCAGCTTTAAGCGATTCTCATGCCTCAGCCTCCTGAGTAGCTGGGATTACAGGTATGCACCACCACACCCAGCTAATTTTGTATTTTTAGTAGAGACAGGGTTTCTCCATGTTGGTCAGGCTGATCTGGAACTCCTGACCTCAGGTGATCTGCCCGTTTTGGCCTTCCACAGTGCTGGGATTACAGGTGTGAGCCACTGCGCCCATCCATCCAGTATTGCATTTTAATTTCTAGAAGTTCTATATGAAATATAAAAAGTAGAATAGGAATAGATTATATTTGTTTCTTTCAAATGTTAGACCACAAAACAGGACTTTAAAAAATTCAAAAAAATTGAACTCATAGCAAGTATGTTTTCTGACTACAGTGGAATAAACTAGAAATTGACAACAAGAGGAACTTTGGAAACTATACAAATACATAAAAATTAAGCAATATGCTCCGGAATGACCAGTAAGTCAATGAAGAAATTAAGAAGGGAATACAAAATTATTTTGAAACAAATGAAAATGGAAATATACAATAACAAAACTTATGGGATACAACAAAAGTAGTGCTAAGAGGAAAGTTTAGAGTAATAAGCAACTTCATGAAAAATGTAGAAAAACTTCAAATAAACAACCCAACAATGGATCTTGAAGTAGAAAAGTGAAAGCAAACCAAACCCAAAATTAGAAGGAAAGAAATAATAAAAATCAGACTTGCAATAAGTGAAATTGAAATTTTAAAAAATACAAAAGATTAATCAAAAAGTTTGTTTTTCAAAAAGATAAACAAAATTGACAAACTTTTAGCCAGACTACGAAAAAAAGAAAGAAGACCAAAATAAAAAAATCAGAGATGAACAAGGAGACAATACAACTGACACTGCAGAAATTTAAAGAATCATTAGAGACTGCTCTGAGCAGCTATATGCCAATGAATTTGAAAACTTAAAGTTGGATAAACTCATAAACACATATAACCTCCCAAGATTGAACCATAAAGAAATTCAAAACCTGAATAGACCAATAACAAATAATGAAATCAAAGCTGCAATAAAAAGTCTTCCAGCAAAGAATAGCCTGAGACCTGATGGCTTCACTGATAAATTTTACCAAATATTTAAAGAACTAATACCAATCCTACTCACACTATTCTGAAAAAATAGAGGAGGAAGTAATAAGCTTCAACTCATTCTATGAGGCCAATATTACCCTGGTACCAAACGAGACAAAGACACATCAGAAAAAGAAATCTGCAGGCCAATATCCCTCATGAACATAGATACAGAAATCCTCAAGAAAATACTAGCAAACTGAATTCAGCAGTACCTCAAAAAAAACAATTCACCACAATCATGTGGGCTTTATTCTTGGAATGCAAGTTTGACTCAACATATGCAAATCCATACATGTGATTTACCACATAAACAATCAAAAACAAAAAAAATATCATCATCTCAACAGATGCAGAAAAATTTTTTGATGAAATCTAACATGGCTTCTTGATAAAAACTCACAACAAACTAGGCACTGAAGGAACATATCTCAAAATGAGAAGAGCTATCTATGACAAACCACAGGCAATATCATACTGAATAGGCAATAACTAGAAGCATTTCCCTTGAAAACTAGAAAAAGACAAGGATGCCCACTCTCATCACTCCTATTCAACATAGGACTGGAATTCCTAGCCAGAGCAATCAGGGAAGAGAAATAAATAAAACACATCCAAATAAGAAAAGAAGAAGTCAAGCTACCTCTCTTTGCAGATTATGTGATTTGATACCCAGAAATCCCTAAAGACTGCTCCAAAAGAACCCTTGCACTGATAAGTGGCTTTAATCAATTTTCAGGAAACAAAGTAAATATACAAAAATCAGTAGCATTTCTATATACCGATAATATTCAAGCTGAGAGCCAAATCAAGAACATAATCCCATTTATAACAGCCACACACACACACACAACATACCTAGGAATACATCTAACAAAGGTGGTGAAAAATATCTATGAAGAGAAATAGAAAACACTGCTAAAGAAGTCATAGATGACACAAACTAATAAAAAGAAATTCCATGTTCATGGGTAGGAAGAATCAATAATGTTAAAATGGCCATATGGCCCAAAGTAATCTATAGACTTAATACTATTCTTGTCGCTATTTCTATGAGTTCAACTGTTTTTGGAATATACATCCATGTTAGATCATATGATATATGTCTTTATATGGCTGGCATTTTTCACTTAGCTGGATGTCCTCTAGATTCATTTATGTTGTCACAAATGACAGTTTCCTTCTCTTTTAAGGCTGAGTCATATTCCTTTGTTTGTACATACCACATTTTCTTTATCTATGGATCCACTGATAAACGCTTAGTTTGATTACATTTCATGGCTATCTTAAATAATGCTGCAATATACGTGGACAAGGAGATAGATTGTTGATATATTAATATGCTTCCCTTTGGAAATATAACCAGTAGTTGAATTGTTGGATCATATGGTAGCTTTATTTTTTAATTTTGTGAGAAATCTCCACACTGTTGTTCATTACTACTGTACTAATTTACATTTCCACTAAGAATGTGCATGGGTTCCCTTTTTTTCATATCCTAATGAACATGTGACATCTTTTGTTTTTTTTATAACAGCCTTCCTAACAGATGTCAAATGATTAGTTATCCTGTTTGTAATTTGCATTTTCCTGATGATTAGTGATGTTGAGCATGTTTTTATATATCTGTTGGCCATTTGTATATCTTCTTTTAAGAAATACATTTTCAGGTTCTTTGTCCATTTTTAATATATTTTTTATTGAGTTGTTTAGTTCCTTATATATTTTGATTATTAACCTTTTGTCAGACATATGGTTTGAAAATATTTTCCCTAATTTTTTAGATTGCCTCTTTACTCTGTTGTTTTTTTTTTCTTTTTCAGTGCAGTAGCTTTTTACGTTTGATGTAATTTTGTTTGTCTCTTGCTTTTTTTATTATTACACTTTAAGTTCTGGGGATACATGTGCAGAACTTGCAGATTTATTACATAGGTATACATGTGCCCTGCTGATTTGCTGCACCCATCAACCCGTCATCTACATTAGGTATTTCTCCAAATGCTATCCTTCCCCTAGCCCTCCACTCCCCGACAGCTCTCAGTGTGTGATGTTTGCCTCCCTGTGTCCATGTGTTCTCATTGTTGAACTCCCACTTAATGAGTGAGAACATGCAGTGTTTGGTTTTCTGTTCCTGTGTTACTTTGCTGAGAATGATGGTTTCCAGCTTCATCCATGTCCCTACAAAGGACATGAGCTCATCCTTTTTTATGGCTGCATAGTATTCCATGGTGTATGGTGTATATGTGCCACATTTTCTTTATCCAGTCTATCATTGGTGAGCATTTGGGTTGGTTCCAATTCTTTGCTATTGTCAACAGTGCTGCCATAAACATACATGTGCATGTGTCTTTATAGCAGAATGATTTATAATCCTTTGGGTATATACCCAGTAAGGGGATTGCTGGGTCAAATGATATTTCTGATTCTACATCCTTGAGAAATCGCCACACTCTCTTCCACAATGGTTGAACTAATTTACACTCCCACCAACAGTATAAAAGCGTTCCTATTTCTCCACATCCTCTCCAGCATCTGCTGTTTCCTGACTTTTTAATGATCGCCATTCCAACTGGCATGAGACGGTATCTCATTGTGGTTTTGATTTGTATTTCTCTAATGACCAGTGATGATGAGCTTTTCTTCATATGTTTGTTGGCCACATAAATGTCTTCTTTTGAGAAGTGTCTCTTCATATCCTTTGCCCACTTTTTGATGGGATTGCTTGTTTTTTTTTCTTGTACATTTGTTTAAGTTCCTTGTAGATTCTGAATATTAGCTCTTTGTCAGATGGATAGATTGCAAAAATTTTCTCCCATTGTGTAGGTTGCCTGTTTACTCTGATGATAGTTTGTTTTGCTGTGCAGAAGGTCTTTAGTTTAATTAGATCCCATTTGCTAATTTTGGCTTTTGTTACCACTGCTTTTGGTGTCTTAGTCGTGAAGTATTTGCCCATGCCTATGTCCTGAATGGTATTGCCTAGGTTTTCTTCTAGGGTTTTAGGTCTTACATTTAAGTCTTTAATCCATCTTGAGTTAATTTTTGTATAAGGTGTAAGGAAGGGGTCCAGTTTCAGTTTTCTGCATATGGCTAGCCAGTTTTCCCAACACCGTTTATTAAATAGGGAATCCTTTCCCTATCGCTTGCTTTTGACGGGTTTGTCAAAGATAAGATGGTTGTAGATGTGTGGCGTTATCTCTGAGGCCTCTGTTCTGTTTCACTGATCTATATTTCTCTTTTGGTACCAGTTCCATGTTGTTTTGGTTCCTGTAGCCTTGTTAGTATAGTTTGAAGTCAGGTACCATGATGGCTCCAACTTTGTTCTTTTTGCTTAGGATTGTCTTGGCTATACAGGCTCTTTTTTGGTTCCATATGAAATTTAAAGTAATTTTTTCTAATTCTGTGAAGAAAGTCAATGGTAACTTGATGGGAATAGCATTGAATCTATAAATTACTTTGGGCAGTATGGCCATTTTCACGATATTCATTCTTGCTGTCCATGAGCATGGAATGTTTTTCCATTTGTTTGTGTCCTCTCTTGTTTCCTTGAGCAGTGATTTGTAGTTCTCCTTGAAGAGGCCCTTTGCATCCCTTGTAAGTTGTATTCCTAGGTATTTTACTCTTTTGTAGCAATTGTGAATGGGAGCTTACTCATAATTTGGCTCTCTGTCTATTGTTGGTGTACAAGATTGCTTGTGATTTTTGCACATTGATTTTTGTATGCTGAGACTTTCCTGAAGTTATTTATTAGCTTAAGATTTTGGGCTGAGACAATGGGGTTTTCTAAATATACAATCATGTCTTCTGCAAACAGAGACAGTTTGACTTTCTCTCTTCCTATTTGAATACTCTTTATTTCTTTATCTTGCCTGATTTCCCTGGCCAGAACTTCCAATACTATGTTGAACAGGAGTGGTGAGAGAGGGCATCCTTGTCTTGTGTCAGTTTTCAAAGGGAATGCTTCCAGCTTTTGCCCATTTAGTATGATATTGGCTGTGGGTTTGTCATAAATACTTCTTATTATTTTGAGATACATTCCATCAATACCCAGTTTAGTGAGTTTTTAGCATTAAGGTGTGTTGAATTTTATTGAAGGCCTTTTCTGCATCTATTGAGATACTCATGTGTTTTTGTCATTGGTTCTGTTTATGTAATGGATTACATTTATTGATTTGCATATGTTGAACTAGCCTGGCATCTCAGGGATGAAGCTGACTTGATCGTGGTAGATAAACTTTTTGATGTGCTGCTGGATTTGGTCTGCCAGCATTTTATTGAGGACATTCACATCGATGTTCATCAGGGATATTGGCCTGAAACTTTCTTTTTTTTTGTTGTCTTTGCCAAATTTGAGTGTCAGGATGATGCTGGCCTCATAAAATTAGTTAGGGAGGAGTTTCTCTTTTTCTATTGTTTGGAATAGTTTCAGAAGGAATGCTACAATCTCCTCTTTGTACCTCTGGTAGAATTTGGGTGTGAATCCGTCTGGTCCTAGGCTTTTTTTGGTAGGTATGCTATTAATTACTGCCTCAATTTCACAACTGGTTATTGGTCTATTCAGGGATTTGACTTCTTCCTGATTTAGTCTTGGGAGGGTGTATGTGTCCAGGAATTTATCCATTTCTTCTAAATTTTCTAGTTTATTTGCACAGAGGTGTTTATAGTATTCTCTGATGATAATTTATATTTCCGTGGGATCAGTGGTGATATTCCCATTATCATTTTTTATTGTGTCTATTTGACTCTTCTCTCTTTTCTTCTTTATTAGTCTGGCTAGTGGTCTATGTTTTTTGTTCATCTTTTCAAAAAACCACCTCCTGGATTCATTTATTTTTTGAAGGTTTTTTTTGTCTTTATCTCCTTCGGTTCTGCTCTGATCTTAGTTATTTCATGTCATCTGCTAGCTTTTTAATTTGTGTACTTGTGTTTCTCTAGTTCTTTTCATTGTGATATTAGGGTGTCAATTTTAGCTCTTTCCCACTTTCTCCTGTAGGTATTTAGTGCCATAAATTTCCCTCTAAACACTGCTTTAGCTGTGTCCCAGAGATTTTGTTATGTTGTGTCTTTTTTCTCATTGGATTCAAAGAACTTATTTATTTCTGCCTTAATATTGTTATTTACCCAGCAGTCATTCAGAAGGTTGTTCAGTTTCCATGTAGTTGTGCAATTTTGAGTGAGTTTCTTAATCCTGAGTTCTAATTTGATTGCACTATGGTCTGAGAGACTGTTTGGTATTATTTCTGTTCTTTTGAATTTGCTGAGGAGTGTTTTACTTCCAATTATGTAGTCAATTTTAGAGTAAGTGTGATGTGGTGCTGAGAAGAATGTATATTCTGTTGATTTGGGGTGGAAAGTTCTGTAGATGTCTATTTGGTCTTCTTGGTCCAAAGCTGAGTTCAAGTCCTGAATATCCTTATTAATTTTCTGTGTCGTTGATCTGTCCAATATTAAGAGTGGGGTGTTAAAGTCTCCCACTATTACTGTGTGGGAGTCTAAGTCTCTTTGTAGGTCTCTAAGAACTTGCTTTATGAATCTGGGTGCTCGTGTGTTGGGTGAATATATATTTAGGATAGTTAGATCTTCTTGTTGAATTGATCCCTTTACCATTATGTAACGGCCTTTGTCTCTTTTGATCTTTATTGGTTTAAAGTCAGTTTTACCAGAGACTAGGATTGCAAACCCTCCCTTTTTTTTTCTTTCCATTTGCTTGGTAAATCTTCCTCCACCCCTTTATTTTGAGCCTATGTGTGTCTTTGCATGTGAGATGGGTCCCCTGAATACAACACACCAATGGGTCTTGCCTCTTTATCCATTTGCCAATCTGTGCCTTTTAATTGGGGCATTTAGCCCATTTACATTTAAGGTTAATATTGTTATGTGTGAATTTAATCCTGTCATTATGATGCTACCTGATTATTTTGCACATTAGCTGATGCAGTTTCTTCATAGTGTCATTGGTCTTTATATTTTTGTGTGTTTTTGCATGGTTGGTACTAGATTTTCCTTTCCATACGTAGTGCTTCCTTCAGAAGCTCTTGTGAGGCAGGCCTAGTGGTGACAAAATCTCTCAGCATTTGCTTGTCTGTAAAGGATTATTTTTCTCCTTCACTTATGAAACCTAGTTTGGCTGGATATGAAATTCTGGGTTGAAAATTCTTTTCTTTAAGAAGGTTTAGTATTGGCCCCCACTCTCTTCTGGCTTGTAGGGTCTCTGCAGAGAGATCTGCTGTTGGTCTGATGGGATTCCCTTTGTGGGTAACCCGACCTTTCTCTCTGGCTGTGCTTAACATTTTTTCCTTAATTTCAACCTTGGTGAATCTGATGATTATGTGTCTTGGGATTGCTCTTCTTGAGGAGTATCTTTGTGGTAGTCTCTGTATGTCCTGAATTTGAATGTTGGCCTGTCTTGCTAGATTCGGGAAGTTCTCCTGGATAATATCCTGAAGAGTGTTTTCCAACTTGGTTCCATTCTCCCCATCACTTTCAGGTACACCAATGAAATGGAGGTTTGGTCTTTTCACATAGTCCCGTATTTCTTGGAGGGTTTGTTTGTTCCTTTTCATTCTTTTTTCTCTAATTTTGTCTTCACAATTTAGTTCATTAAGTTTATCTTCAATCTCTGATATCCTTTCTTCCACTTGATCGATTTGGCTATTGCTACTCGTATATGCTTCACGAAATTCTCTTGGGGTGTTTTTCACCTCCATCAGGTCATTTATGTTCCTTTCTAAACTAGTTATTCTAGTTAGCTATTCCTCTAACCTTTTTTCAAGGTTCTTAGCATTCTTGCATTGGGTTAGAACATGCTCCTTTAGCTCAGAGAAGTTTGTTATTACCCACCTTCTGAAGCCTATTCTGTCAATTCGTCAAACTCATTCTCCCTTATTTTGTTCCCTTGCTGGCGAGGAGTTGTGATCCTTTGGAGGTGAAGAGGCATTCTGGTTTTTAGAGTTTTCAGCCTTTTTGCACCAGTTTTTCCTCATCTTCATGGATTTATCTACATTTGGTCGTTGATGTTGGTGACCTTTGGATTTTTGGTGACCTTTGGGGTTTTGGTGTGGACATCCTTTTTGTTGATGTTGATGCTATTCCTGTTTGTTAGTTTTTCTTCTAACAGTCTGGCCCCTCTGCTGCAGGTCTGCTGCAGTTTGCTGAAGGTCCACTCTAGACCCTGTTTGCCTGGGTATCACCAGTGGAGGTTGCAGAACAGCAAAGATTGCTACCTGTTCCTTCCTATGGAAGCTTCGCCCCAGAAGGGCACCCGCTAGATGCCAGCAGGAGCTCTCCTGTATGAAGTGTTTGTCACCCCTGCTGGGAGATGTCTCCCAGTCAGGCGGCATGGGGGTCAGGGACGCACTTGAGGAGGCAGTCTGTCTCTTATCAGAGCTCGAGCGCTGTGCTGGGAAATCTGCTGCTCTCTTTGGAGCTGCCAGGCAGGAACATTTAAGTCTGCTGAAGCTGCACCCATAGCCACCCTTCCCCCAGGTGCTCTGTCCCAGGGAGATGGGAGTTTTATCTATAAGCCCCTGACTGGGGCTGCTGCCTTTCTTTCAGAGATGCCCTGCCCAGACAGGCGGAATCTAGAGAGGCAGTCTGGCTACAGGGGCTTTGCTGAGCTGTGGTGGGCTCCACCCAGTTCGAACTTCCTGGTGGCTTTGTTTACACTGTAAGGGGAAAACCACCTACTCAAGCCTCAATAATGGCAGATGCCCCTCCCCACTCAAGCATCACAGGTCAACTTCAGACTGCTGTGCTGGCAGTGAGAATTTCAAGCCAGTGAATCTTAGCTTGCTGGGCTCCGTGGGGGTGGGATCCACTGAGCTAGACCACTTGGCTCCCTGGCTTCAGCCGCCTTTCCAGGGGAGTGAATGGTTCTGTCTTGCAGGTGTTCAAGGCACCACTGGGGTGTGAAAAAAACTCCTGCGGCTAGCTCGGTGCCCGCCCAAATGGCCACCCAGTTTTGTGCTTGAAACCCAGGGCTCTGGTGGTGTAGGCACCTGAGAGAATCTCCTGGTCTGCAAGTTGTGAAGACCATGGGAAAAGCCTAGTATATGGGCTGGAGTGCATCATTCCTCATGGCACAGTCCCTCACAGCTTCCCTTGGCTAAGGGAGTGAGTTTTCCGACCCCTTCCACTTCCCAGGTGAGGCATCACCCCACCCTGCTTCAGCTCGCTCTTTGTGGGATTCACTCACTGTCTAACCAGTCCCAATGAGATGAACTGGCTACCTCAGTTGGAAATGCAGGAATCGCCCACCTTCTGTGTTGATCTTGCTGGGAGCTGCAGACAGGAGCTGTTCCTATTTGGCCATCTTGCCAGCCACCCTCTTGCTTTTGTTTTGAGGTAATGTCAAAATGTCTTTGCCCAGATCAATGTCAAGAAGATTTTTCATTGTGTTTTCCTTTAGTAGTTTTACAGCTTCATGTCTTACATTTAGTTGTTTATTTTGTGTTGATTTTTTATAAAGGATAAGAAAAGGGTCCCATTTCTTTTTTATGCTTGTGAATATCTAGTTTCCTTTACACTATTTATTGAAAAGATTGTCTTTTGTCTATTGTGTTTTCTTGGCACTTGTTGAAAGCAAGTTGACCATAAATGTGTGGATTTACTTCTAGGATCTCCATTCTGTTCAGTTGGTCTACATATCTCTATTGTGCCAATACCAAGCTGTTTGGATTATTCACCTTTGTAGCAAATTTGAACTAAAATAGTGATATTTTCAGCTTTGTCCTTTCTGCTGAAGATGTCGGCTATTTGAGGTCTTCTGTGATTTTATATGAATTTTAAGACTATTTTTCTCTATTTCAGTAAAAATGCCACTGGGATACTGATGAAGATTACATTGAATTAGTAGGTTGTGTTGGGTGTTACGAACATTTTAATAATATTGATTATTCCAGTTCATGAAAACAGGATATCTTTCTATTTATTTTTGTCTTCTTCAATTTTTTTCATCATTGTTACATAGTTTTCAGTGTACAGATCTTTTACTTTTTTGGTCAACTATATTCCTAAGCATTTTTTAATGCTTTTGTAAAGTGAGATTGTTTTCTCAATTTTTTTTCAAATGGCTTACTATTAGTGCATTGAAACATTATTAATTTTTGTATGTTGTTTTGGTATCCTGTAAATTTACTGAATTAATTGATTATTTGTAACAGTTTTTTGGTTAAGACTTTATGGTTTTCTGTATCTAAAATCAAGTTGTCTGCAGAGCCAATTTAACCTTTTTCTTTCCAATTTGGGTACCTTTAATTTTTTTTAGCCTAATTGCTATGGCTAGAACTTTCAGTACTATGTTGACTAAAAATGGTGAGAGTGAATATCCTTGTTTTGATCCTGAAATTAGAAATATCTTTTAATTTTTCACAATGGAGTATGATGTTAGCTGTGGGCTTGTCATATATGCCCTTTAATTATGTAAAGATGTATTTTATATATACTTAATTGTTGATAGTTTTTATTTTAAAAAGATGTTAAATTTTGTCAAATGTCTTTCTGCATCTATTGAGATGACCATATAGTTTTTTGTCATTTATTCCATTAAAATGGTGTATTATGTTTATTGATTTGCATAGGTTGAACTACACTTGCATTCCAGTAATACATCCCACTTAATAATGGTAAATGATCCTTTTAACATGCTGTTAAATTCAATTTGGTACTATTATGTTGAAGATTTTTGCATCTATGTTCATTAGGGATATTGTCCTGTTATTTCCTGTTATTTTCTTTTTGTAGTGTGCTTGTTTTGCTTTAGTATCAGGGTAATGCTGGACTCATAAAATGAGTTAGAAAGTATTCCCTCCTCTTTGAATTTTTAGAAGAGTTTGTGAAGGATTAGTATTAGTTCTTCTTTTTAAATTAGATTAAATTTAATTATATTTCAATAGTTTCGGGAGAACAGGTGGTTTTTGGTTATATGGATAAGTTATTTAGTGGTGATTTCGGAGATTTTGGTGCACCCATCACTCAAGCAGTGTACACTGTACACAGTATGTATTCTTTTATTCCTTGCCCCCCTCCTACCCTTCCCCTGAATCCGCAAAGTCCATTATATCATTCATATGCCTTTGTGTCCTCATAGCTTAGCTCCCACTTATAAGTGAAAACATAAGTGATTTTCCATTTCTGAGTTACTTCACTTAGAATAATGGTCTCCAGCTCCATCCAAGTTGCTGCGAATGCTATTATTTTTTTTCTTATTATGAGCGAGTAGTATTCCAGGGTGTGTGTGTATGTGTGTGTGTGTGTGTGTGTGTGTGCGTATAATATATATATATACCACATTTTCTTTATCAACTCCTTGGTTGATGGGCATTTAGGCTAGTTCTATGCATGTAGAAGTGTCTTTTTCATGTAATGACTTCTTTTCTTCTGGGTAGATACCCAGTAGTGGGATTGCTGGATCAAATGGCACTTCTACTTATAGTTCTTTAAGGAATCTCCATACTGTTTTCCATAGTGGTTGTACAAGTTTATAGTCCCATTAGGAGTGTAAAAGTGCTCCCTTTTCACCACATTGACACCAAATTCTTGAATCCAAAACAGAGCCCACATAGCCAAAGCAAGACTAAGCAAAAAATAAAAATAAAAATAAAGGAGGTTCCAAGATGGCCAAATAGGAACAGCTCCATTCTGTAGCTCCAAGCATGAGCAGTGCAGAAGACGGGTGATTTCTGCATTTCCAACTGAGGTACCGGGTTCATCTCACTGGGGCTTATCAGACAATGGGTGCAGCCCACAGAGCAGGGTGGGGCATCACCTCACACGGGAAGCGCAAGGGGTCTGGAATTCCCTTTCCTAGCAAAGGGAAGCTGTGACAGACAGTACCTGGAAAATTGGGGCGCTCCCACCCTAATACTGTGCCTTTCCAATGGCCTTAGCAAGTGGCACACCAGGAGATTATATCCTGCGCCTGGCTCGGAGGGTCCCATGCCATGGAGCCTCACTCACTGCTAACACAGCAGTCTGAGATCAAACTGCAAGGTGGCAGTGAGGCTGGGGGAGGGGCGTCCACTATTGCTGAGGCTTGAGTAGGTAAACAAAGTGGCTGGGAAGCTCAAACTGGGTGGAGCCCACCACAGCTCAAGGAGGCCTGCCTGCCTCTGTAGACTGCACCTCTGGGGGCAGGGTGTAGCTGAACAAAAGGCAGCAGAAACTTCTGCAGATGTAAACATCCCTATCTGACAGCTTTGAAGAGAGTAGTGGTTCTCCCAGCACGGAGTTTGAGATCTGAGAACGGACAGACTGCCTCCTCAAGTGGGTCCCTGAACCCGAGTAGCCTAACTGGGAGACACGTCCCAATAGGGGCCAACTGACACCTCATACAGCCAGGTGCCCCTCTGAGACGAAGCTTCCAGAGGAAGTATCAGGCAGCAACATCTGCCGTTCTGCAATATTTGCTGTTCTGCAGCCTCTGCTGGTGATACCCAGGCAAACAGGGTCTGGGGTGGACCTCCAGCAAACTCCAACAGACCTGCAGCTGAGGGTCCTGACTGTTAGAAGGAAAACTAACAAACAAAAAGGACATCCACACCAAAACCCCATCTGTACATCACCATCATCAAAGACCAAAGGTAGGTAAAAACCACAAAGATGCGAAGAAACCAGAGCAGAAAAGCCAAAAATTCTAAAAATCAGAGTGCCTCTTCTCCTCCAAAGGAACACAGCTCCTCACTAGCAATGGAACAAAGCTGGATGGAGAATGAATTTGACGAGTTGAGAGAAGAAGCCTTCAGAAGATCAGTAATAACAAACTTCTCTAAGCTAAAGGAGGATGTTCGAACCCATCACAAAGAAGCTAAAAACGTTGAAAAAAATTAGACGAATGGCTAACTAGAATCAACAGTGTAGAGAAGTCCTTAAATGACCTGATGGAGCTGAAAACCATGGCACGAGAACTATGTGATGCATGCACAAGCTTCAGTAGCCGATTTGATCAAGTGGAAGAAAGGATATCAGTGATTGAAGATCAAATGAATGAAATGAAGCGAGAAAAGAAGTTTAGAGAAAAAAGAGTAAAAAGAAACAAACAAAGCCTCCAAGAAATATGGGACTATGTGAAAAGACTAAATCTACATCTGATTGGTGTACCTGAAAGTGATGGGGAGAATGGAACCAAGTTGGAAAACACTCTTCAGGATATTATCTAGGAGAACTTCCCCAACCTAGTGAGGCAGGCCAACATTCAAATTCAGGAAATACACAGAATACCACAAAGATACTCCTTGAGAAGAGCAACCCCAAGACATATAATTGTCAGATTCACCAAAGTTGAAATGAAGGAAAAAATGTTAAGGGCAGCCAGAGAGAAAGGTCGGGTTACCCACAAAGGGAAGCCCATCAGACTAACAGCAGATCTCTCGGCAGAAACTCTACAAGCCAGAAGAGAGTGGGGGCCAATATTCAACATTCTCAAAGAAAAGAATTTTCAACCCAGAATTTCATATCCAGCCAAACTAAGCTTCATAAGTGAAGGAGAAATAAAATACTTTACAGACAAACAAATGCTGAGACATTTTGTCACGACCAGGCCTGCCCTAAAAGAGCTCCTGAAGGAAGCACTAAACATGGAAAGGAACAACTGGTACCAGCCACTGCAAAAACATGCCAAATTGTAAAGACCATCAATGCTAGGAAGAAACTGCATCAACTAACGAGCAAAATAACCAGCTAACATCATAATGACAGCATCAAATTCACACATAACAATATTATCTTTAAATGTAAATGGGCTAAATGCTCCAATTAAAAGACACAGACTGGCAGATTGGATGAAGAGTCAAGACCCATCACTGTGCTGTATTCAGGAGACTCATCTCACGTGCGGAGACACACATAGGCTTAAAATAAAGGGATGGAGGAAGATCTACCAAGCAAATGGAAAACAAAAAAATGCAGGGGTTGCAATCCTAGTCTCTGATAAAACAGACTTTAAACCAACAAAGATCAAAAGAGACAAAGAAGGCCATTACATAATGGTAAAGGGATCAATTCAAGAAGAAGAGCTAACTATCCTAAATATATATGCACCCAATACAGGAGCACCCAGATTCATAAAGCAAGTCCTTAGAGACCTACAAAGAGACTTAGACGCCCACACAATAATAAGGGAGACTTTAACACCCCATTGTCAACATTAGACAGATCAATGAGACAGGAAGTTAACAAGGATATCCAGGAATTGAACTCAGCTCTGCACCAAGCGGACCTAATAGACATCTACAGAACTCTCCACCTCAAATCAACAGAATATACATTCCTCTCAGCACCACATCACACTTATTCCAAAATTGACCACATAGTTGGAAGTGAAGCACTCCTCAGCAAATGTAAAAGAACAGAAATTATAACAAACTGTCTCTCAGACCACAGTGCAATCAAACTAGAACGAAGGATTAAGAAACTCACTCAAAACCGCTCAACTACATGGAAACTGAACAACCTGCTCCTGAATGACTACTGAGTACATAACGAAATGAAGGCAGAAATAAAGATGTTCTTTGAAGCCAATGAGAACAAAGACACAATGTACAAGAATCTCTGGGACATTTAAAGCAGTGTGTAGAGGGAAATTTGTAGCACTAAATGCCCACGAGAGAAAGCAGGAAAGATCTAAAATTGACACCCTAACATCACCACTAAAAGAACTAGAAAATTCGCTGGGCACGGTGGCTCACATCTGTAATCCCAGCACTTTGGGAGGCCAAGGCAGGTGGATCACGAGGTCAGGAGATCAGGACCTTCCTGGCTAACACAGTGAAATCCTGTCTCTACTGAAAACATAAAAAATTAGCCAGACGTGGTGGGTGCCTGTAGTCCCAGGTACTCGGGAGGCTGAGGCAGGAGAATGGCGTGAACCCAGGAGGTGGAGGTTGCAGTGAGCCGAGATCACGCCACTGCACTCCAGCCTGGGGAACAGAGCAAGACTCCATCTCAAAAAAAAGAACTAAAAAACAAGAGCAAACACATTCAAAAGCTAGCAGAAGGCAAGAAATAACTAAGATCAGAGCAGAACTGAAGGAGATAGAGCCAAAAAAAACCCTTCAAAAAATCAATGAATCCAGGAGCTGGTTTTTTGAAAAGATCAACAAAATTGATAGATCGCTAGCAAGACTAATAAAGAAGAAAAGAGAGAAGAATCAAATAGATGCAAAATAAATAAATGAATAAATAAATAAAGGGGATCTCACCACCGATCCCACAGAAATACAAACTACCATCAGAGAACACTGTAAACACCTCTACGCAAATAAACTAAAAAATCTAGAAAAAATCGATAAATTCCTGGACACATACACCCTCCCAAGACTAAACCAGGAAGAAGTTGTATCCCTGAATAGGCCAATAACAGGTTCTGAAATTGAGGCAATAATTAATAGCCTACCAACCAAAAAAAGTCCAGGACCAGACGGATTCACAGCTAAATTCTACCAGAGGTAAAAGGAGGAGCTGGTACCATTCCTTCTGAAACTATTCCAATCAATAGAAAAAGAGGAAATCCTCCCTAATTCATTTTATGAGGCCAACATCATCCTGATACCAAAGCCTGGCACAGACACAATAAAAGGAATTTTAGATCAGTATCGCTGATGAACATCGATGCAAAAATCCTCAATAAAATACTGGGAAACTGAATCCAGCAGTACATCAAAAAGCTTATCCACTACGATCAAGTTGGCTTCATCCCTGGGATGCAAGGCTGGTTCAACATATGGAAATCAATAAACATAATCCATCATATAAACAGAACCAAAGACAAAAACCACATGATTATCTCAATAGATGCAGAAAAGGCCTTCAACAAAATTCAACAACCTTTCATGCTAAAAGCTCTCAATAAACTAGGTATTGATGGGGCATATCTCAAAATAATAAGAGCTATTTATGACAAACCCACAGCCAATATCATACCGAATGGGCAAAAGCTGGAAGCATTCCCTTTGAAAACTGGCATAAGACAAGGATGCCCTCTCTCACCACTCCTATGCAACATAGTGTTGGAAGTTCTGGCCAGGGCAATTAGTCAGGAGAAGGAAATAAAGGGTAATCAATTAGGAAAAGAGGAAGTCAAATTGTCCCTGTTTGCAGATGACATGATTGTATATTTACAAAACCCCATCATCTCAGCCCAAAATCTCCTTAAGCTGATAAGCAACTTCAACAAAGTCTCAGGATACAAAATCAATGTGCAAAAATCATAAACATTCCTATTCACCAATAACAGACAAACAGGAGCCAAATCATGAGTGAACTCCATTCACAATTGCTTCAAAGAGAATAAAATACTTAGGAATCTTACTTACAAGGGATTTGAAGGACCTCTTTAAGGAGAACTACAAACCACTGCTCAACAAAATAAAAGAGGACACAAAGAAATAGAAGAACATTCCATGTTGATGGATAGGAAGAATCAATATTGTGAAAATGGCCATACTACCCAAGGTAATTTACAGATTCAATGCCATTCCCATCAAGCTACCAATGACTTTCTTCACATAATTGGAAAAAAACTGCTTTAAAGTTCATATGGAACCAAAAAAGAGTCCACATTGCCGAGACAATCCTAAGCCAAAAGAACAAAGCTGGAGGCATCACACTACCTGACTTCAAACTATACTACAAGGCTACAGTAACCAAAACAGCATGGTACTGGTATCAAAACAGAGATATAGACCAATGGAACAGAATAGAGCCCTCGGAAATAATACCACACATCTACAACCATCTGATCTTTGACAAACCTGACAAAAAGAAGAAATGGCGAAAGGATTCCCTATTTAATAAATGGTGCTGGGAAAAGTGGCTAGCCATATGTAGAAAGCTGAAACTGGATCCCTTCCTTACACCTTATACAAACATTAATTCAAGATGGATTAAAGACTTAAATGTTAGACCTCAAACCATAAAAACCCTAGAAGAAAACCTAGGCAATACCATTCAGGCCATAGGCATGGGCAAGGACTTCATGACTAAAACACCAAAAGCAATGGCAACAAAAGCCAAAATTGACAAATGGGATCTAATTAAACCAAAGAGCTTCTGCACAGGAAAAGAAACTACCATCAGAGTGAACAGGCAACCTACAGAATGGGAGAAATTTTTTACAATCTACCCATCTGACAAAGGGCTAATATCCAGAATCTACAAAGAACTCAAACAAATTTACAAGAAAAAATCAAACAACCCCATCAAAAAGTGGGCAAAGGATATGAACAGACACTTCTCAAAAGAAGACATTTATGCAGCCAACAGACAGATGAAAAAATGCTCACTATCACTGGCCATCAGAGAAATGCAAATCAAAACCACAATGAGATACCATCTCACACCAGTTAGAATGATGATCATTAAAAAGTCAGGAAACAACAGGTGCCGGAGAGGATGTGGAGAAATAGGAACACTTTTACACTGTTGGTGGGAGTGTAAACTAGTTCAATCATTGTGGAAAACAGTGTGGTGATTCCTCAGGGATCTAGAACTAGAAATACCGTTTGACCCAGCCATCCCATTACTGGGCATATACCGAAAGGATTATAAATCATGCTGCTGTAAAGACACACACACACGTATGTTTATTGTGGCACTATTCACAATAGCAAAGACTTGGAACCAACCCAAATATCCATCAATGACAGACTGAATTAAGAAAATGTGGCACATATACACCATGGAATACTATGCAGCCATTAAAAAGGATGAGTTCATGACCTTTGTAGGGACATGGATGAAGCTGCAAACCATTATTCTCAGCAAACTATCGAAAGGACAGGAAACCAAACACCGCATGTTCTCACTCATAGCTGGGGATTGAACAATGGGAATACTTGGAAACAGGATGAGGAACATCACACATTGGGGCCTATTGTGGGGTGGGGGGATGGGGGAGGGATAGCATTAGGAGATATACTTAATGTTATATCGATATATCGATATATACTTAATGTTATATACCTGTTAATGACGAGTTAACAGGTGCAGCACACCAACATGGCACATGTATATGTACGTAACAAACCTGCACGTTGTGCACATGTACCCTAGAACTTAAAGTATAATAAAAATAAATAAATAAATAAATAAAAACTACATCTAGAGCATCACATTACCTTACTTCAAACTATACTACCAGGCTATAGTTACCCAAACAACATGGTACTAGTTAAAAAAAAAAAAAAAGTAGGTATGTAGGCCAATGGTATCAGCTATTATTTAAATGTTTGTTATAAAGCTGTCAAGCCCTGCAGTCCTTGAGAAATCTTGATTACTTTTTCAATGCCCTTACTAATTATTGATCAGTTGATATTTTCTATTTCTTAGTGATTTATTCTTAATAGATTGTATGTTTCAAGGACTATATCAGTTTCTTCCAAGTTATCCAACTATTTGATGTATAATTGTTCACAATAGTCTTTTATGGCACTGTACATTTATACAATGTAAGTTATAATGCTGCCTCTTTCATGTCTGATTTTATTTACTTGATTATTCTCCCTTTATTCTTAGTCTAACTAAATGTTTGTCAATTTCATTTATCTTCTCAAAAAACTAACTCTTAAGCTCATTAACTTTTCTATTGTTTTATAGGTTATTTCGTTGATTTCTAATTTGTTCTTTATTATTTTCTTTCTTCTACAAAATTTATGCTTTGTTGTTCTTCATCTAGTTCCTTGAGTTGTAAAATTGAATTCTTTATTTCAGATCTTTCTTCTTTTTTATGTAGGTGTTTATTGCTATAAATTTTCTCCTAGAACTGTTTTTTCTGCATACCATAAGTTTTACTATTTCCATTTTCATTTGTCAGTCTCAAGATCTTTTTTATTTCCTTCTTGATTTCTTCTCTGATCCATTGGTTATTCAGGAGCATGTTGTTTACTTTCTGCATATTTCGGGATTTTTAAAATCTCACCCTGTTAATGGTTTTTCATCTCATACCTTTGTGGTCAGAAAAAATGCTTAGTATGATTTCAATCTTTTTAAAATTTTTGAAGACTTTTTTGTGGCCTGACATGTAATCTATCCTGGAGAATGACTTATGTGCGCTTCATAAGAATGTTTATTCTTCTGCTTTGGGATGAAATGTTCTGTATATGTCTGATAGACTTATTTGGTTTAAAGTTCATTTCAAGTCCTGTGTATTATTGAATTTCTGTCTGAGTAATCTGTTATTGAATTGACATATCGAAATCCTCTACTATTAATGTATTGCTATCTATCTTCCTCATCAGACCTATTAATATTTGGCCTATATATTTAGGTGATCTCTTGCTAAGTGTATATATTACAGTTTTTGAGTTATAGTTTATTTTGTCTGATAGAAGTATAGCTATTCCTGCTGTCTCTTGGTTTCTATTTGCATGAATTATCTTTCTTTATTCCTTCCCTTTCAGTCTACATTTGTACTTAAGCTGAAATGGGTCTCTTGTAGGCACCATATAGCTGGGTGTCTTGTTTTTCCATTCAGCCAATCTATGTCTTTTGATTGAATAGTTCATTCTTTCTTGATTCAAGGTAATCATTGATAGAAAAAAATTTGCTACTACCATTTTATTGTTTGTGGTTTTTTGGAGATCTTTTGTTCCTTTCTTTTTCTCTTTTTTTATACTTTTGTGATTTTATTATTTTCTGTAATGGTATATATATTAATCCATTCTCACACTGCTATAAAAATACTACCTGAGACTGGGTAATTTATAAAATAAAGAGGTTTCATTGACTCACAGTTCTGCATGGCTGGGGAGGCCTCAGGAAACTTACAATTACAGCAGAAGGGTAAGCAGGCATGTCTTACATGGTGACAAGGGAGAGAACACGTGAAGGAAGTGAAGGGGGAGGAGCCCCTTATAAAACCATCAGATCTCAAGTGAAAACTCACTCACTATCATGAGAACAGCGTGGGAGCAACTGCCCTTATGATCCAATCACCTCCCACCAGGTCCTGCCCTCCACATGTAGGGATTATGGGGATTACAATTTGAGATGAGATTTGGGTAGGGACACAGAGCCAAACCATATCAGTATGTTTTGATTTCTTTCTCTTTTTCTTTTGTGTATCTGCTATAGGTTTTTGATTTGTGATTAAAATGAAGCTAACATAGAAAATCTTGCAGTTATGCCAATTTATTTTAAACTAATAACAACTCCAGTTTGATTGCATATCACAACTCTACACTTTTTCCCTCATTTAATGTTTTTGATGCACAATTTACATTTTTAAATGTTGTGTATCCTTTAACAAATTATTGTAGGTATAAGTCTTTTTGATAGTTTTGTCTTTTAAGTTTATACTAGTAATATAAATGATTTACACGACTATTACAGTATTAGAGTATTCTGAATTTGACTACATATTTACCTTTACAAGTGAGTTTTTTTATTTTTGTTTTTAATGTTATTAATTAGCGTTATTTCATTGCAACTGTGGAAATTCTCTTGAGCATTTCTTGTAAGGCAAGTCTAGTGGTGGTGAACTCCCTCAGCTTTTGTTTATCTGGAAATGTCTTTATTTTCCTTTCATTCCTGAAGAACAGTTTTTCCAGGTTTAGTATTTTGGTTTGAAGATTTTTTTCTTTTTCAGCACTTTGAATATATCAGCCCACTGTCTTTTGTCTTGCAAAATTTTTGTTAAAATGTTTGCTGATAGTATTATGTAGTTTCCCCTGTATTCGATTATGTCATTTCTTACTGATTTCAATATTCTCTCTCTCCTGGCCTGGGATAGGTACAGAGCCAAGGGGACCTTTCTACCATGGAGAAAGGGTGAGTGAGCAAGAATCCCAGGGGACCAACACTTCTGCAACAGAACTTTCATTCCTGGGCATGGGAGATCCCCTCTAACTGCTTTCTCTCCCCTAGCCTTCAGACCAACATGAAGATCTGCCTGCTATCTGGGTAGAGAGGCTTCTCAGGCCCATGTGTAGTCCCATAGGTCTTGCATTCCTCAAGGAATGCAAGGTCCTCTGTTGTTGAGGACCTCAGCAACAGATCCCATAGGCCTCCCAACAAGAGTTGTCAGGCAGTCTTAAATACCCTCATGTTATTGGCCACATCCACAGTGCTGAGGAGCAGATGGACTTCAGGCCTTGCCTCTGCTGCATCTCTCCAAGCAAAGCCAATTGGCCTGTTACCATGATGTAGCCACTCCATTCCTGCCTGAGCACTACAGCTGGTTGTAGCTCTTTATTTCTCTGTAATGGAGCTCCCAGATGTAACTGACAGGCTTGCTGTGAATGCTGCTGTCATGCTCCCTGCCACTGCTGCCGTCAGGCTGGGGATGGAGTGAATAGCCCAAGAACTGTCATTGGCCTCCAGCGTGCTGCACTGCCATATGGAAAAGTGGCCAGGCCATTGTCCACATGGCTTCTCGACCCTGCTACATCTTACTGGGCAGGATCTCCTGGCCTGGGGCCCAATGCAGCTGCCTTTCCCCTGCCTGATCACTTTATTCAATGGCAATGGCCGTCCTGTATTGCTCTAAAGTGGAACTCCCAGAGGCAACCATCAGGCTCTCTGCCATTGCCTCCACAGTGATTCCAGTCCCTTCTCCCCCTAGGATATGGAGGATACAAAGAGTCTGACTAATTTCAGGCAATTAAAGTGCCAGTGGCCATCCTACAAAGAGGACAGCTCATCTTCCCCGATAGTCTCTGACCCTTCTGGTTTTGCCAGGCATAGCCCTCTGGCTTGGGCCTGCAGTGCAGACACCCTAGCCCTGGATGATTACTCTGATTGGTAGTGGATCTGTGATTCTCCCAGAGGCAACTGAGAGCCCCTCTATGACTGCCTACTGTGGTACCCACCCTTGCTGTTCCTGGGCTGGAGAAGGAACAAATACCCTGATTGCTTTGCTTCTTTGTTCATGCCTCCAATACATCGCAGCCACCCTGTGGAGAGACAGCCAAACTGTCTTCCCTGTGTGTCCCATTGAAAGTTTTCAGAAATGAAGCCAAGTGACTAAACTTACCCCACAGTTAAAAGAACATCCGTCCTCCCAGATGAGAAAAAACTGGTGCAAGAACTCTGGCAATTCAAGCAGCCAGAGTTCTCTCTTACCTCCAAACTAGTCCACTAGCTCCCCCGCAATAGTTCTTCACCAGTCAGAAATGACTGGACAAACATAGAATTCAGAATCTGGATGGCAAGAAAACTCATCAAGATTCACAAGAAAGTTGAAACCTAATCCAAGGAATCCAACAAATAGAGTAAGACAATAAATGAGCTGAAAGATGAAATAGTCATTTTGAGAAATAACTGGACTGAACTTCTGGAGCTAAAAATTTCACTACAGTATTTTATAATACAATCAGAAGTACTAACAGCAGAATGGACCAAACTGAGGAAATAATCTCTGAACTCAAAGACCAGATCATCAAATCAACTCAGTCAGACAAAAATACAGAAAAAAGAATTTTAAAAATTGAACAAATCCTTCAAGAAATGTGGGATTATGTAAAGAGACAAAATCTACAACTCCTTGGCATCTTCGAGAGGAGGAGAGAGAATAAACAACTTAGAAAACATATTTGAGGACATAGTCCAAGAAAATTTCCCTAATCTCACTAGAGAGGTTGACACACAATCTAATAAATATAGGGAATCCCAATGAGATACTATACACAATGACCAGACTGAAGGCACATAGTCATCAAATTCACAATGTCAATACAAAAGAAAAGTATCTTAAAGGCAGCTAGATTGAAGGGTGAAGTCACAGACAGAGGGGATGCCATTAGGCTACCAGCAGACATCTCAGCAGAAACCTTAGAAGCCAGAAGATATTGGGGGCATATTTTCAGCACCCAGAAGGAAAAAATTCCAACCAAGAATTTCATATTCCACTGAACTAAGCTTCTTAAGTGGAAAAAAATCCTTCTCAAGCAAATTTTGAGGGAATTTTTTTAAACAAATCGGCCTTACAAGAGGTTATTAAGGGAGAGCTAAACTTGGAACTAAAAGATTGACACCTGCTACCACAAAACACACTTAAACTTATGGCCCATAAGTACTATAAAGCAAATTCACAATCAAATCTACATAACAACCTGCTGACCACATGGTGACGGTTTCAAAATCACACATATCAATACTAACCATGAATGTAAACAGGCTAAACAACCCACTTAAAAGACAGAGTGGCAAGCTGGATAAAAAGAAAATAACCAACCATCTGCTGCCTTCAAGAGACTCATCTCACAAGTAACAACACCCACAGTCTTAAAATAAAGGGATAGAATAAGGACTGCCATGCAACCAGGAAAGAAAAAAAAAACAAAGAACGGGAGTCATATTATCACATCAGAAAAAAAGATTTAAACCAACAAAAATGAAGGACAAAGAATGACAATACAGGATTTCAGGCCAGCTCCAGTCTGCAATTCCTATTGACACCAATGCAGAAGGCAGGTGATTTCTGCATTTCCAACTGAGATACCCAGTTTATCTCATTGGTACTGGTTAGGCACTGGGTACAACCCATGGAGGGTGAGCAGAAGCAGGGTGGGGCATCACTTCACCTGGGAAGTGCAAGGAGCCGGGGGAACCTCCCTCCCACAGTCAAAGGAAGCCATGAGGGACTGTGCTATCTGGTGCAGATACTACATGTTTTCCTATGCTTTTGCCATGGTTTTTGCAATCTGCAGATCAGGAGATTCTCTCATGTGCCTACGCCACCTGGGCCCTGAGTTTTAAGAACAAAGCTGGGTGGCTGTTTGGGCAGACACTGAGCTAGCTGCAGGAGTTTTTTTCATACCCCAGTGGCACCTGGAACCTCAGCAAGACAGAACTGTTCACTTCCCTGGAAAGGGGGCTGAAGCCAGGGAGCCCAGTGGTATTGCTCAGTGGGTCCCACTCCCATGGAGCTCAGCAAGCTAAGAACCACTGGCTTGATATTCTCACTGCCAGCAGAGCATTCTGAAATCAACCTGGGATGATCCAGCTTGGTGGGGGGAGGGGCATCTGCCATTACTGAGGCTTTAGTAGGTAGTTTTCCCCTGATAGTGCTAAGGAGGCTAGGACATTTAGACTGGGCAGAATTTACCACAGTGCAGCAGAGCATCTGTGGCCAGACTGCTTCTCTAGATTCCTCCTCAATGGGCAGGGCATCTCTGAAGGAAAGGTAACAGCCCCATGGGGCTTACAGATAAACTCCCGTCTCCCTGGGACAGAGCAGCTGGGCGAAAGGGCGGCTGTGGATGCAGCTTCAGCGGATTTAATCTCTCCTGCATGCTGGCTCTGAAGAGACCAACTAATCCTGACAAGAGGGATTCTCCCAGCACAGCACACCAGCTCTGCTAAGGGACAGACTGCCTCCTCAAGTGGGTCCCTGAGCCCCCATGCCTCCTGACTGGGAGAGACTTCCCAACAGGGGTCAACAGACACTGCATACAGGAGAGCTCCAGCTGGCATCAATTCGGTGCCCCTCTGGGACAAAGCTTCCAGAGGAAGGAGCAGGCAGTAATCTTTGCTGTTCTGCAGCCTCCACTGGTGATACTCAGGCAAAGAGGGTCTGGAGTGGACCTCTAGCAAACTGCAGCAGATCTGCAGAAGAGAGGCCTGACTGTTAGAAGAAAAACTAACCAAAAAAAAAACAATAGCATCAAGATCAGCAAAAAGGACCCCTCCACAAAAATCCCATCTGAAGGTCATCAGCCTCAAAGATCAAAGGTAGATAAATCCATGAAGATGAAGAAAAAACAGCACAAAAACACTGAGAATTCCAAAAACCAGAATGCCTCTTCTCCTCCAAATGATCGCAGTTCTTCTTCAGCAAGGGCACAAAACTGGATGGAGAATGAGATAGACAAATTGACAGAAGTAGGCAAATCAATACACGTAATCCATCACATAAGCAGAACCAGTGACAAAAACCACATGATTATCTCAATAGATGCAGAAAAGGCCTTTGATAAGATTCAACACCACTTCATATTAAAAATTCTCAATAAACTAGGTATTGATGGAACATATCTCAAAATAATAAGAGCTATTTATGACAAGCCCACAGCCAATATCATACTGAATAGGCAAAAACTGGAAGCATTCTCTTTGAAAACCAGCACAAGACAAGGATGCCGTCTCTCGCTACTCCTATTCAACATAGTATTGGAAGTTCTGGCAGGAAAATCAGGCAAGAGAAAGAAATAAAGAGTATCCAAATAGGAAAAAAGGACGTCAAATTGTCTCTGTTTGCCATTGACATGATTGTATATTTAGAAAACCCCATCGTCTCAGCCCAAAAACTCCTTAAGCTTATAAGCAACCTCAGCAAAGTCTCGGGATACAAAATCAATGTGCAAAAGTCACAAGCATTCCTATACACCAACAATAGACAAGCAGAGAGCCAAATCATGAGTGAACTCCCATTCACAATTGCTAGAAAGAGAATAAAATACCTAGGAATACAACTTACAAAGGAGATGAGAGACCTCTTCAAGAAGAACTACAAACCCTTGCTGAAGGAACTAAGAGAGGATACAAACAAATGGAAAAACATTCCATGGTCATAGATAGGAAGATTCAATGTCGTGAAGACAGACATACTGCCCAAAGTAATTTATAGATTC
Source organism: Homo sapiens (assembly GCF_000001405.40). Lineage (NCBI taxonomy): Eukaryota > Metazoa > Chordata > Mammalia > Primates > Hominidae > Homo > Homo sapiens. Next base: position 10,465,132 of record NC_000012.12, on the reverse strand, counting down.
AATGGTATTCCCATCAAGTTACCATTGACTTTCTTCACAGAATTAGAAAAAACTACTTTAAATTTCACATGGAGCCAAAGAAGAGCCCGTATAGCCAAGAGAATCTTAAGCAAAAAGAACAAAGCTGGAGGCATCACACTACCTGACTTCAAAGTATACTACAAGGTTACAGGAATGAAAATAGCATAGTTCTGGTAAGTAAACAGCTATATATACCAATGGAACAGAACAGAAGCCTCAGAAATAACACCATACATCTACAACCATCTGATCTTTGACAAACCTGACAAAAACAAGCAATGGGGAAAGGATTCCCTGTTCAATAAATGGTGCTGGGAAAACTGGCTTGCCATATGCAGAAAGTAGAATCTGGACCCCTTCCATACACCTTATACAAAAATTAAATCAAGATGGATCTGACACTTGAAAGTAAGACCTAAAACCATAAAAACCCTAGAAGAAAACCTAAGCAATACCATCCAGGACATAGGCATGGGCAAAGACTTCATGACCAAAACACCAAAAACAATTGCAGGAAAAGCCAAAATTGACAAATGGGATCTCATTAAGCTGAAGATCTCCTGCACAGCAAAAGAAACTATCATCAGAGTAAACAGGCAACCTACAGAATGGGAGAAAATTTTTGCAATCCATCCATCTGACAAAGGTCTAATATCCAGAATCTACAAGGAACTTAAGAAAAAAACAAAGAACCCCATCAAAAAGTGGGAAAGGATATGGAGAGACACTTCTCAAAAGAAGACATTTATGTGGCCAACAAACATATGAAAAAAAGTTCATCATCACTGCTCATTAGAGAAATGCAAATCAAAATTCAATGAGATGGTATCTCATTGTGGGACCATCCACACTCAGAGACGAGAAAGAACCAAAGCAAGAACTCCAGTAACTCAAAAGGCCAGAATGTCTCCAGACAACCGCCCCAGTTATCCAACGAGAGCTCTTAACCAGGTAAGCTGGCTGAAACGACAGAAATGGAATTCAGAATATGGATACGAATGAAGATCATTGAGTTTCAAGAGGATAATAAAACCCAATTCAAGGAAACTAAGAATCACAGTAAAGTGATATAGGAGCTGAACAATGAAATAGCCAGTGTAAAAAAGAATTTAACAGCTCTGACAGAGCTGAATAACGCAGTACAAGAATTTCGCAGTGCAATCGCAAGAATTAACAACAGAGTAAATCAAGCTGAGTAAAGAATCTCAGAAGTTGAAGACTGGTTCTCTGAAATAAGACAGTCAGACAAAAATAAAAAGAAATGAACAAAACTTCTGAGGAGTATAAGATTCCATATAAAGAGGCCAAATCTATGAATTATTAGCATCCCTGAAAGGGAGGGGGAGAAAGCATACAACGTGGAAAACATATTCCGGGATATCATCTATGAAAATTTCCCCAACCTTGCTAGAGAGGCCAACAGTCAAACTCAGGAAATACAGGGAACTCCTGCAAGATTCTGCACAAAAAGATCATCCCCAAGACATATAATCATCAGATTTTCCAGGGTAGAAATGAAAGAAAGAATGTTAAAGTCAGTTCAAGAGAAAAGGCAGGTCAACTTCAAGGAAACCCCATCAGGCTAACAGCCAGTCTCTCAGCTGAAACTCTACAGCCAGAAGAGACTGGGGGCCTGTATTCAACGTTCTTAAAGAAAAAAATCTTCAGCCAAGAATTTCATATCTGACCAAACTAAGCTTCCTAAGTGAAGGAGAAATAAGATTCTTTTCTGATACAAATCTTGAGGGAGTTTTTTGTCACCAGATTTCCTTACAAGAAATTTTGAAAGGAGCACTAAATATAGAAAGGAAAGACCACTACCAGCTAAAACAAAAACACACTTAAACACTCAGACCAGTGTCACTATAAAGCAACCACACAAACAAGCAAACATAACCAGCTAACACACATATCAATACTAACCTTGAATGTAAATTGGCTAAATATCCCCACTAAAAAGGCAGAGGAGTGACAAGATGGATAAAAAAGCAATACTCAATGGCATGCTGTCTTCAAAAGTCCAATCTCACATGTAATGACACTCATAGGCTCAAAATAAAGGGATAGAGGAAAATCTACCAAGCAAATGAAAAACAGAAAAAAGCAGGGGTTTCAATCCTAATTTCAGAGAAAACAGACTTTAAACCAACAAAGATCAAAAAAAGACAAAGGACATTACATAATGATAAAGGTTCAATTAGACAACAAGACCTAACTATCCTAAGTATATATGCACCCAACAAAGGAGCATCCAGATTTATAAAGCAAGTTCTTAGAGACCTACAAAAAGAGATAGACTCTCACATAATAATAGTGGGAGACTCCAACACTTCACTGACACTATTAGACAGATTATTGAGGCAGAAAATTAACAAAGATATTCAGGACCTGAACTCAACAATGGATGAAATGGATCTGATAGACCTTAACAGAACTCTCCACACCAAAACAACAGAATATACATTCTTCTCATCATCACATGGCACATACTCTAAAGTCAGTCACATAATTAAACATAAAACCATCCTCAGCAAATGCAAAAGAATGAAAATCATACCAAGCACACTCTCAGACAATAGCACAATCAAAAATAGAAGTCAAATCTATAAAAATCGCTCAAAACTATGCAATTACATGGAAACTAAACAACATGCACTTGAATGACTTTTGGATAAATAATGAAATTAAGGCAGAAATAAAAATGTTCTTTGAATATAATGAGAAAAAAGATACAACATAGCAGAATCTCTGGGACACAGCTAAGGCAGCATTAAGAAGGAAATTCATAACACTAAATACACACATCAAAAGTTAGATCTCAAATTAACCACCTAACATCACAACTGAAAGAATTAGAGAAGCAAGAACAAACCAGCCCCAAAGCTAGCAGAAGACAAGAAATGACCAAAATTGGAGTTGAACTGAAGGAAATCAAGACACCAAAAGCCATTGAAAAGACCAATGTGTCCAAGAGTTGTTTTTTGAAAAAAATAATACAATAGATAGACCACTTGCTAGAATAATAGACCCAAATAAACACAATTATGAATGATGAATAGACTGTTACCATTGACCCCCCAGAAATAAAAACAACCACCAAAACTACCACAAATACCTCTATGCACACAAAGTGGAAAACCTAGAAGAGATGGATAAACACCCGGACAGATACACCCTTCCAAGACTGAACCAGGAAGAGACCAAGAGCAAGCTTTGAAATTGAATCTGTAATAAACAGCCTACCAACCAATAAAAGCCCAGGACCCAATAGAGTCACAGCCAAATTCTACAAGTTCTACAAAGAAGAGCTGGTACCATTCCTATACAAGCTATTCCAAAAAATTGAAGAGGGGGGACTCTTCCCTAAGTTATTCTGTGAGGCTAGCATCATCTTGATACCAAAACTGGTAGAGACACAACAAAAAAAGAAAACTTCAGGCCAGCCGTGGTGGCTCATGCCTGTAATCCCAGCACTTTGGGAGGCTGAGGCAGGTGGATCACGAAGTCAGGATCCTGGCCAACATGGTGAAACCCCATCTCTATTAAAATACAAAATATTAACTGGGCATGTTGATGCGTGCCTCTAGTCCCAGTTACTCGGGAGGCTGAGGCTGGGGAATTGCTTGAACCTGGGAGGCAGAGGTTGCAGTGAGCCAAGATGGCGCCACTGCACTCCAGCCTGGTGACAGAGCAAGACTCTGTCTAAAAAAAAAAAAAAATACTTCAGGCCAATAACCTTGATGAACATCAATGCAAAAATCTTCAATGAAACACTTGCAAACAAAATTCAGCAGCACATCAAAAAGCTAATTCACCATGATTGAGCAGGCTTCATCCCCAGGATTCAAGGCTGGTTCAACATATGCAAATCAATAAATGTGATTCATCACATAAACAGAACTAAAGACAAAAACCAAATGATTATTTTAATAGATACAGAAAAGGCTTTTGATAAATTCAAAACCCCTTCATTTTAAAACTCTTAACAAACTAGGTATTGAAGGAACATACCTCAAAATAATGAGAGCTGTCTATGACAGATACACAGTTAACATCATACTGAATGGGCAAAAGCTGAAAGCATTTCCCTTGAAAATCAGCACAAGGCAAGAATGACTTCTGTCACCCCTCCTATTCAACATGGTATTAGAAGTCCTAGCCAGAGCAATCAGGCAAGGGAAGGAAATAAAGGACATCCAAATAGGAAGAGAGGAAGTCAAACTCCCTCTTTTTGCAGGCAACATAATTTTACATCTAGAAAACCCCATAGTCTCACCCCAAAATCTCCTTCAGCTGATAACTTCAGTAAAGTTTCAGGATACAAAATTGACATACAAAAATTACTAACATTCCTGTACACCAAAAACAGTCAATCTGAGAGCCAAATCAGAAAGGCAGTCCTGTTCACAACTGCCACAGAATGAATAAAATACCTAGGAATAAAGCTAACCAGGGAAGTAAAAGATGTCTACAATGAGAATGACAAAACACTGCTCAAAGTAATCAGAGAAGACACAAACAAATGGGAAAACATCCCATGGTCATGGATAGGAAGAATCATTATTGTTAAAATGGCCATACTGCCCAAAGCAATTTACAAATTCAGTGCTATTTCTATCAAACTACCACGATATTCTTCACAGAACTAGATAAATAAAACTATTTTAAAATTCATCTGGAACCAAAAAGAGTCTCAGTGGCTAAGGCAATCCTAAGCAAAAGGAACAAAGCTAGAAGCATCACATTACCTGACTTCAAACTATAATAGAGGGCTATAGTAACCAAAACAACATGGCACTGGCACAAAAACAGGCACCTAGACCAATGAAACAGAATAGAGAGCCCAGAAATAAGGCTGCACACTCATGATCATCTGATCTTCAAAAAAGCTGGCAAAAACAAGAAATGGGGAAAAGACTCCCTATTCAATAAATGGTGCTGGGATAACTGTCTAGCTATATGCAGAAGAATGAAGCTGAACCCTTTCCCTACACTATATACAAAAGTTAATTCAAAATGGATTAAAGACTTAAATTTAAAACCCAAAACCATAAAAACCCTGAAAGGCAACCTAGGCAATACCATCCTGGACATAGGAATGAGCAAAGATTTCACGACAAAGACACTAAAAGCAATTGCAACAAAAGCAAAAATTGACAAGTGGGATCTAATTAAACTTAAGAGTTTCTACACAGGACAAGAAACTATCAACAGAGTCAACAGTCAACCTACAGAATGGGAGAAAATATTTGCAAACTATGCATCTGACAAAGGTTTGATATCCAGAATCTATAAGGAACATAAATAAATTTACGAGAGAAAAACAAACTCCATTAAAAAGTGGGCAAAGAACATGAACAGACGCTTTCCAAAAGAAGACATACATGCAGCCAATACGCATATGAAGAAAAGCTCAATGTCACAAATCGTTACAGAAATGCAATCAAAGCCACAATGAGATACCACTTTACACTAGTAAAAATGACTATATAAGAGTAAAAAAAAAAAAAAAAAAAAAAAAGATGCTGGCAAGGTTGTGGAGAAAAGGGAACACTTATACACCATTTATGAGAGTGCAAATTAGTTCGACCCTTGTGGAAAGCAGTATGGTGATTCCTCAAAAAGCTAAAAGAGGAACTACCATTCAACCCAGCCATCCCATTACTGGGTATATACCCAGAGGAATATAAATGATTTTACGTTAATGACACATGTATGCAAATGTTCACTGCAGCACTATTTATGATAGCAAAGACAAGGAATCAACCTAAATGCCCATCAATGACAGATTGGATAAAGAAAATGTGGTACATAAACATCATGGAATAATATGCAGCCATAAAAAAGAACAAGATTATATATTTAGTGGGAATGTTGGTGGAGATCAAGGCTATTATCCTCAGAAAACTAACAGGAGCAGAAAACCAAACACTGCATGTTCTCACTTATAAGTACAAGTTAAATGATGAGAACATATGAACACAAGGAAAGAAACAACAGACACTGGGGCCTACTTGAGAGTGGAGAGTGGTGGGAGGAGGGAGAGGAGCAGAAAAGATAACTATTGGGTACTGGGCTTCATACTTGGGTGATGAAATAATTTGTAAATAAACCCCCACGACATGAGTTTACCTATGTAATAAACCCTCACATGTATTCTAAACCTAAAACTAAAAGATGAGAAAAAGACTGCCAAAAGGCTACCAGAACTGATAAATGATCTTAGTAAGGTCTCAGGATATCAAATCAATGTATCAAAAGCAGTAGCATTCCCATACACTAATAATCTCCAGGCTGAGAGTAAAATATAAAACACAATCCCATTTATGATACACACAAAGAAAATGAAATACATAGGAATAAATACAGCCTACCAGGGAGGTGAAAGATCTCTACAAGGAGAACTACAAAATTCTACTGAAAAAAATCAAAGATAACACAAATTAATGGAAAAACTTTCCAAGCTCATGTATTGGAAGGATCAATATTGTTAAAATGGCCTTACTGCTTAAGGCAATTTACAGATTCAGTGCAATTCCTATCAAACTACCAATGCCATTCTTCACAGAATTAGAAAAAAACTATTCTAAAATTCATATGGAACCAAAAAAGAGCCTGAATAGCTAAAGCAATTTTAAGCAAAAAGAAGAAAGCTGGAGGCATTACACTGTCCAACTTCCAATTTTACAATAAGACTACGGTAATCAGAACAGCATGGTATGGTACAAAGTAGACATCTATCCTAATGGAACAGAATAGAAAACTCAGAAATAAAGCTGCACACTTACAGCCATCTGATTTTCAAAAAGACAGACAAGAAAAAAAGGAATATAAATGGACTGCTTATACAATAAATGATGCTATGAAATCGCCTTGTTGTCTAGGGTAATATCTGAGGTTTGTTGTCCCATGACCACAGAAAACTAGGACGTGAACACACCAGAGTGAGGTTAAGACAGGAAGTTTAATGGGCAAAAGAAAGAGAAGAGATCTCTGCCCAGGGATGGGTACTGGAGAAATGGGTTGCTGCTTCTGCAGTGAAATGTAGAAGGTTTTATAGATGAGCTTGAGGGGGCAGTGTCTGATTTACATAGGGCACGAAAGATTGGTCGGACTAGGCATGCCATTTGCATAGCGCTTAAAGAAGCTGGCCACTCAACCCTAGTCTTTTATTATGCAGATGGTTGTCTACCTGGCCTGTGCCATGTTGCCTGGTTCTTTATTAGTGACAAAGAAAAGGGAAGATGGAGCCTCCAGGTTGAAAATGCCTGGCTTCCAGTCAGCCCCTTTTCTATTGGCACAGCTGCCAGCATGCACACATGCAAGTCTCCAGCCTGCTTATCTATGTCTGCTGCTTCATTTTTCAGGCTGCTCTTTGTTAGAAAAGAAGTTATTTGGGGCTGCTTTTTGTTAAAAGGGAAGCCTTGCTGAGAATTCCTTTACCCTCACTATCTGCCTAAATAATTTCTTTCTCGTTCCTGTATCACTAGTGTAACTGTCTAGCCATGTGCAGAAGAGTTAAAATGGACCCTTACCTTTCACCATATAGAAGAATTAACTCAAGATAATTAAAATTTTAAATGTGATACCTCAATCTGTAAAAATTTTAGAAGAACACCTAGGAAATACCTTTCTCAACATCAGCCTTGGCAAACAATTTTTTGGCTATGTCCTTAAAAGCAAGGGCAATAAAAACAAAAATTGACAAATGAGACCTAAACTAAAAAGCTTCTGCACAGCAAAATAAACTATTAATGAAATATACAGACAACCTACAGAGTGGGAAAAATTATTTGCAAACTATGCATCTGACAAAGGTCTAATATCCAGAATCTATAAGGAATTTAAACAGAACAACAAGGAAAAACAATAACCTCATTTAAAAATGGGCACAGGACATAAACAGACACTCCTTAAAAGAAGACATACAAGTATCCAGCAAGCATATTAAAAAACACTTATCATCACTAATCAACAGAGAAATGCAAATCAAAACCACAGTAAGATACCATCTTACACTAGTCAGAATGACCACTATTTAAAAGTCCAAAAACAACAGATGCTGATGAGGCTGCAGAAAAAAGAAAATGCTAATACACTATTGGTGGGAATGTAAACTAGCCTAACCGCTGTGGAAAGTAGTTTGGAGATTTCTCATAATACTTCAAACAGAGCTACCATTTGACCCTCAATTGCACTACTGGGAATATAACCAAATGAAAATAGATCATTATATCAAAAAGACGCATGCACTCACATTTTTATCACAGCACTATTCACAACAGCAAAGATATGGAATCAACTTATGTGCTCATCAGTGGTGGACTGGATAAAGAAAATGTGGCATATATACACCATGGACTAGTACTCAGCCATAAAAAAGATAAAACCATGTCCTCTACAGCAACATGGACAGAGCTGGAGGCCATAATCCTAAGCAAATTAATGCAGGAACAGAAAACCAACTACTGAAGGTTCTCACTTATAAGTGGGAGCTAAACACTGAGCACCCTTAGACGTAAATATGGGAACAAAAGACACTGCAGACTACTAGAGGGGAGAGGAGAGCAGGGAAGAATGGTTCAGAAAACTACCTACTTTGGATTATACTCACTATTCTGGTATAATATACCCATGTAACAAACCAGCACATGTACTCCCTGTATCTAAAAATAAAAGTTGAAAGAAAAAAAATTGGAAAAATTCTCAAGGACAGTTGACTGGCCAAAGATTTTTTGAGTAATACCCCACAATCACAGGAAACCAAAGCAAAAATGGACAAACGAGATCACATTAAGCTAAAAAATAAACAAAACCCCCCCACGAGATTCTCTTATCTTAGACTTTTGACAATTTGATTATATTATGCCTCATAATAGTCTTTTCTGGGCTGATCTTGCTCATGATTCATTGAGCTTCATGAATCTGGATTTCCATATCCTTCCCAAGTGAGGAAGGTTTTCAGACAGTATGTCTTTAAAGAAAAAATATTTTTGACTTTTTATGTCTCTCTTCTCCTTCTGAAGTTTCTATACTTTCTATACCATATTCTTGGTGGTGTCTCAAAGGTCTCATGCTTTCTTTGCCACTTTTTATTCTTTTTTTACTCTAATTTGTTAATTTTAAAAGACTCTTTTTTTGAGTTCACTAATTCCTCTGCATGATTGAGTCGGGCATTAAAACTCTCTATTGACTTATTTATTTCTTTCATTGTGTTCTTCAGCTCCAGAATTTTTGTTTGGTTCTTTTTAATAGTTTATATTTCTTTATTAAATTTTTATTTTGTTCATGTATTTTTTGTTTTAGTTGTATTTTTTGTTTACTCTTTTCTTTTGCATCTCACTGAGATTTTTTAAGATGATTGTTTTGAATTACTTTAAAGGAAACTTATAGATCTCCATTTATTTGGATCAGTTGCTAAAGCTTTATTAGTTTCCTTTGGTGGTGTCATATTTGTCTGATGCTTTGTTATTTGTTTATCCTTGTACTGATGTCTGTGCATTTGAAAGAGCAGACTCTCTTTCAGTCTTTACAGACTGGTTTCGGTAGGTTAAAAGCTTCTCCTGTTAGTGTCCTGGGCTGATGAGATTGCCTTCAGTATCATGGTTGAATGGGGTTACAGCCAGATCACATGGTTGCTTACGGGTCCAGAGTGGGATCTTTGGTTCATGATCCTTTTACTAGGGCTTCTAGCAGGCTTGTATCCTATTTAGTGCCTCAGAGGGCCAAACTGGCTCTAGAATCATACTGTATAGGGCTGGGGAGGGGATGAGGGTCCACTTCAAGGTCTGTAAATGGTGGGTCTATTATTAGGTGTGTAGTTGGGGAAGAGTTTATCTAGTTTGCTGGGAAGGCTGCTCATGGGTCTCTGAGTGGGTTCCTCAACCTGTGGCACAGAGGAGTTAGTGCTAAGTCACAAGGTTTCCTCGGGGTCTATAGCTGAAACCAGTGTCTTCATGTCTGTCTCTGGGGTCATGGTTGAGTGTGTTTTCTGGCAGGTCTGTGGGCAGGCAGATTTGCCTCAGACTGTAGTTGAGTTGGGCTGGAGCTGGATCCAGAATTGTTTCAAGATCTGAAATAAAACTAAGGTCTGTGCCTGCAGGGGCACTAATGATGTCTCTCTCCAGGTCCCTGTATGGGCAAACTGCTCTCTAGCATAGCTGAGAAGTGTCGAAGCCCCTTTTCTGTCCAATTAAAGGATCTGCTGTGAAACCTAGGTCAATGGTCTCCTAGTTGGGACATGGATGCACATGTCCTCCCTCTGTATCCCTGAGCTGGCAAGACTGCTCACAGTCCACAGCTGAGAAGGGTGAAGGTCAAGATTCAAGGCTGTTTCAGAAACTACCGTGGAACTGAAGTCAGCAAGCCTGTACTGCTGACAAAGATGATTGAGTCTCACAGCAATTTCCTGTGATTAACTCAGGTCACAGTTGAGAGGAGTTTGAGTGGAGATTCAGGGCCATTTTAGTATCTTCTGTAGGACAGAGGTCAGCAAGCATGCCCCAGAGGTACAGATGTATATGTCTCCCAGGAAGTCTCTGTGGGTGAAGGACTGATCTCAAGTTGTGGCTGACACTAGTTAAAGCCAAGTTAGAGGGCTGTTTCAGGGTCTACATTGAGACTACAGTTGATATGCCTACCTCCTGAGACACTAGTGTGTGAGTCTCCTCCTGGGCCCCTGGGCAAATGGTTTTGGCAGCATGACCAAGGCCTAAATGGGGCTGAAGGCAAGCACAGGAGGATGGGTCCCTTTTCAGGTCTGGAGATGGAATCACTGTTGGTAAGTCTGCCACTTGGATGCAAATCTATTCCCTAAAACAACCTTCCTAGGTCTTGGGTTCCACTGGCATTTTACAAACTCCTACTTGAATTCCAAACTCCCTCAAAGGAACTTTTGTCTGTGGATGGCTGAAAAATTATTGTTGCTGTGGGGGCATATGTGTGGGGGACCACCTATTCTGCCAATTTACTGACTTTCCTCCTAGTAAGATTTTAAAATTACTTTTTCCCCATACATAGTTTGACTTCAGTTTTTGTCATTTACAACTAAATATTTCTATGAAAGTCGACATAATTTGTTATGGCGGAGGATGAATAAATGAAGAATGTAATGAATAGCTATTTAATATTTCAATTTCTGGTATGCTAATATATTTCAAAATTGATTAATATTTTACCTATCCAAGATATTTTTATCAAGGGTAATCTGAAGATTAAATAATCTATTTTTAAAAATTAAGTGCAAAAATTTAAGAACTAAGAGAAGTTAATAATATAACTTTGGCAATGATGCTTTTTGTGCCAGCTACAATCAATTGAGTAATTACTGCAGTAATTTTTCAGAATAATTAAGGAAAAAATCAGTAGATATCAGTTGATAATATTACTATGAGTTTTAGAATGTTTTCTATTATAATGGAAGTGACATAATAAAATAATATAAAGAAAAGAAGTATGCAATGTTAAGATTTAGCAACCTAGTCTAAAAGGCACTCTTAACAAGGTGAGGGTTGACAATGTTCGTGATCAAGACAGAAAAAAAAAAAATTCTCATAGGCACTTGAAAAATGAACCAACTAAATGACACACTTTCAAAGTCAACCTTGTACTTTTAATAGACCAAGTATCCTATATTTTGGAGGTGTGTGATGAGATAAAACTGATTTCACAATAGCCCATGTGTAGAATTTCCTGTTCAAACCTTAGTAACACGTTGATGAGAAATCTACTTTTTCCACTCTTGACTCACTCTGAGCCTTCACAGGGCAGTCTGCGAAGATTGCAGGCATTGTTTGTTCTTGTCTTGGATTTATGCCTTTAAATTTCACCTTTTATTACACAGCTATAGCAGGCCTTTTTATGAGACTAACCTGGCCTCTCCACTAAAGGATGTGTGACTTTCTGGGGACAGAAGGTATGTATTGCTACTCTCCAACTCTCTACTAGCCTACCTCATTTAGTGGGTGATTTCAAGTGCTCAATATGATACAAAGGAGGTATAATTAATATACAATAAAATCAAAGTAGAATATTGCTGTCTTCATTTGAATAACTCAGGGTAAAAACCTAAAATATGAAATATGTTGAAGGATTTCTTAAAGTTTTCAAATTATTGTTTGTGGAAATCTAGTGGGTTTGTTGATCAATATCGTTTAAGGGAAAGCTATTAACATCACAATAATGAACAATTAATTTTGTATTTTGTAATCAGTACATCATGTATCTTTGAATAATAATTTATATTTAGCTTAGCCATTAAAGATTATTAAAATAAATCAATCAATTGATGAAAGCCAAATACAATTCCTCAGACACGTAGATTAGAGAAAAGCAGTTTTTATTTTTAATAAAAATCAGAATGAGGTAGATTACATAAAATGCTAAAGGTATTACAAAGCAATAAAAATACTTTTTAAAAATTGATCAAAATATTGCAAAAAAAGATGTAGCGCATGGACATAGGAGACTTATCTGAAGATTTATTTTCCATGCTTTAACTGACATGAATCAGAAACAGTAACATAACAATTGTGACTAAAATAATAATTAAAGTAGCTAATGCTTATTGAGAACTTTAAGTGCCAGGTTGAGTGGTAAATGTTTTACATGCAACGTTTTATATGTTCTTATGCCCATTTTAGATTAACAAACTGGGTTATTAAAAATAGAATAACTTTTTAAAGGTCGCACATTATAAGTGTCAAAGCTAGAATTAATTCTAGATCTCACTGACTCCAGAGCCCATTGACTAAATGATTTAATTACATTATCTGAAATTTTACAAGTACTTATACAACTAAAGTGGCCTTTACTCACTTTGACAACCATAAAATCATTCTATAAGTTTAAATGAAATGTGCTTTAACATGAATTACCTATACTTTTATTTATCATTTTTTGGTTCATAATTTAGCCAGGAAATAAATTACCAATTACTAATTAAATTACCAATACTTCTGTAAGTATTAACAATTTATGTAGTGTTCCTAATACTATTTAGGTTATGCATAAGTTAACTGTGTCACATAGCATTTTCTGTCATATACAAATATTTAATTTTTTATAATTTTTAATAAATAATTTTTAATAATTTCTTAGAACATTTCAGCCATTAAGAAAAGACCATTTAATTACCTCTATTGATTTTCATTAATGTGTATAAATTACTAATTAAAAGTAATGTAGTGCAAGAAATTTTTATATATATATATGTCAACTTTACTATTACTCATGTGCAGACCACATAGTCTTAACCATTACTGGATTTCAAAATTAACATAAAAATGAGTGCAGAAGTTTTTCTAATACAACATTTTAATTTTTAACACAGGTAAAACATCAGACTTTAAGAAATATATTTTTATTCCTGAACTTCTTTATTCCTTAGTAATTTATTGCTTCTCATTGCCCCAGCAATAATATTTTGTCAAATGCAGAAAATTTATCTTTTTTTTTTGAGTCGGAGTCTCACTCTGTCGCCCAGGCTGGAGTGCAGTGGCACAATCTCCGCTCACTGCAACCTCTGCCGCCCATGTTCAAGAGATTCTCCTGCCTCAGCCTCCCGAGTAGCTAGGACTACAGGCGCCTGACATCATGCCCGACTACTTTTTGTATTTTTAGTAGAGACGGAGTTTCACCGTGTTAGCCAGGATGGTCTCGATCTCCTGACCTCGTGATCGGCATGCCTCGGCCTCCCAAAGTGCTGGGATTACAGGCGTGAGCCACCGCGCCCGGCCTAAAAATCTTTTTTTAAAACAAATATTCATAAGAAACGTGTTTAGGCTTGAAGAAAATCAGAGAAAGAACTTTAGATTATTTAATGCAAAATGAGCTCCAATACTCGTTCTCCACCTCACCCTTTTAATTGCACTAGGGAATCCTGTATATAAACCATTTATTAACTTCTTAACTACTGTTATTATAGAGTACAGTCCCTGACATCACACACTGCAGAGATGGATAACCAAGGAGTAATCTACTCAGACCTGAATCTGCCCCCAAACCCAAAGAGGCAGCAACGAAAACCTAAAGGCAATAAAAACTCCATTTTAGCAACTGAACAGGAAATAACCTATGCGGAATTAAACCTTCAAAAAGCTTCTCAGGATTTTCAAGGGAATGACAAAACCTATCACTGCAAAGGTAAAGCATTTAAAAGATCCTCAATATAACAGTCTAGGATGTGCAGCTTGGGGTACAGGAATGTGGGGAAAGAGAAGGGAGTGCTCATATATCTTCTATTTGCAAAGATCAGAATTCCAAGTTGAGATATGCTATTTCAATGTAAAGTATGAAGACTGATTGAACTCATTGTTGAAGTTTGTAGTCTTTGTCAAATAATTCATGGAGCATTATTTTTCCTGAAAATTCAATGGTATATTATTCTGAGAAAAAGATTACAATGGGAGATGAGGGTTTGGGGTCCAAGTTTCTCTGTATGATTCCTGTGCATTCAGGTTCTCTTGTCTGTGAATCTTCTAAACGACTGTATCCACCTCTCCTTTCGCACTGTTCCCATTTCTCTCCCTGCAGATTTACCATCAGCTCCAGAGAAGCTCATTGTTGGGATCCTGGGAATTATCTGTCTTATCTTAATGGCCTCTGTGGTAACGATAGTTGTTATTCCCTGTAAGTCTATTTTCGAAGATTACAAGGGGAATTTTCACGTTAATGATTGAATGTGCCTCTAAACATTTCATATTTTCAGGGAATAGAGTTCTCATTGTAATGTATATATTTGGACTAAATGTGGAATGATTATTCTGAATTTGTCAAAGAATAAATGAAAGAATAATTGTTGAAAGTATTCGCTTCTGATGCAATCGTATGTATATATTTGGATTTCATAACTCAAAAATATGTTCTAGGAGTCTGAAAAACCTTACTGAGAAATAGAAATTAATTTTTGAAAGTAGTTAAATCAAGAATTATAAGAACTATATGAGATGGTGAAATTTGGTTCTTTAGATCTATGAAATACTTTTCCAAAAAACCACCATTACTTTATCAAATTTTTCTTAAAATCAATTTTATTCCATATTATTCTAACTCTAAATAATACAAAAAAATTCAAACAAAAACTTAAAATTATTATGATTGATTTAGATGCTAATTTTTTTACAAAGATTACTTTAATTTTTCTAGCTACATTAATACAGAGGCACAACAATTCTTCCCTGAATACAAGAACTCAGAAAGGTATATAATAATTTTTAAAGTTTTAATATTGTACAGTTTATTTTTTCTTGATCTTAGGCTGTACAAAAATAAAATTTTGGGTGAAAAATTATAAAATTTGGCAATAAGTGTTCATAAATAAAATTAGAGTAAGGCATTCACTTGTCATCAACTATAAGTAAAATCACTATGCTTTCTTTTTATCTGTTGTGTTCAAATTCTTACTGCTATAATATGATAAGATACAAGTTATTTATTGTTCCTTAAAAATCAGATTAGTTCATTGATTTTTCAAGACATGTATAGAGTGGATTTTTGTTTGCTGGTTTGCTTTATATGGGAACACAATTAGGAGATGAAAGGCTGACCCTTTATTGCGCATGTGTGTATAAGTGACTGGGTATTTTGACACTATATATTTACCAGCCCATGAAGATGTATAGATATGTTGCATACGTATAGGTTTATATGTTTGCAAATA
Source organism: Homo sapiens (assembly GCF_000001405.40). Taxonomy (NCBI): domain Eukaryota; kingdom Metazoa; phylum Chordata; class Mammalia; order Primates; family Hominidae; genus Homo; species Homo sapiens. The sequence continues at coordinate 10,449,453 of NC_000012.12, read as the reverse complement.
TGTGAACTAATTTTCATTTTTAAAAATTCATATTGGTCTAGATAGTAATTCATATCTTTATTTAGCACGTCATTGTGGCCATTGTCCTGAGGAGTGGATTACATATTCCAACAGTTGTTACTACATTGGTAAGGAAAGAAGAACTTGGGAAGAGAGTTTGCTGGCCTGTACTTCGAAGAACTCCAGTCTGCTTTCTATAGATAATGAAGAAGAAATGGTAAGATGTAAATGTTTTAAACACTTTATGAAAAGCTTCTTTCGGTCGATAATATATTTGTAGAAATCATCCATATGTGTGGGTATATACATTTAGCTTATATGTTTTCAAGTTTATGTAGTATTTAATTGATTGACTTAATAATGTTTTAAAATTCATATACTGCTAATGTACTTTTGATTATTTTCAGTTTTTGCTTTTCATGGAAAACCATGCTTCTAGAAATGCTTTCAATCCACAATACATTTTGCTATCTAATTTTATCGGGCATGATGTGATCTGGTCATGCAGATTGATCACAAAGTGAATGAACTCCTGTGATACAAGTCAGATCATGAAATAAAAGTTTCCAGCTCTAGTAGTTCCACCCCTGTGTATGCCCTCATCACTTATCCTGACTCCTCTCCAAAACACTGTCTTGACTTTTAATGTTATAAATAACGTTTACCTGCTTTTGAATTTATATAAAGGGAATCATACACTGTGAATTTCATGTCTGTGTTTTTCACTCCTATCTGATATTTATGCAATTCCTCCATATTATTGCGGTTATCTGTCGTTTATTACTGTTCACTGCTGTAGTATGTACAAAGAACACTAAGAATCCATTCAATCCTGTGTCTCTGGATGGGGAAGTGAGTCTCATGCCCTCAGGGACAAAGAGGACCCTGGGTGGTGCACTGGTAGTCATTGGGTTCCTTTGCTGATCCTCCTCACCCACATCCACTCTGGTGTCTCTTGGTATGAGAAGGAAGTACTTCCTCTGGCTGTATTGGTAGCAAGTCTCCTGGTAGATCATCCTTGCCAGTGGTACCAGCCTTGCCTGTTGTTGCGGAGGGGACTCCCCTTCAATACAGAACAGGAGTGAGCTTTGCTGGGCCTCCTCCTATTGCCAGGTTGGGTGTAGGGAAACAGCAGGCCTAGGTCACCTTCTTCTGTCGTGTGGAGGACTTAACATGCTCGCTCGGACACTTGGTTGATCCCTGATGCTAGGGTCCCAGACAATTTCATCTTTCTCTTTCCACCTTTCAGAGTTCTCCATTGCTTTTGTCTTTCATTAATCCCAGAGTTTATAGTTGTTTTTAGTAGGGAGTAGCAGAGAGAGACGAGTCTACACCACCTGGTCAGGATCACTGTTATTCCACCAAAACCAAATCAGATAAAAAAGTGAGGGCTTATCTAGTTAAAGAATGGTGTGGTACCCAGAAAACCCAATATGTAGCTTCCATGTCATTTATTTCTGAATCACAACCTCTAATTTCTCTTCTAAATCTCCAACTCTGAGAAATATAGCACAAAAATAGTTTGATTTAGTCACAGTATCTGGAGGAATGAATGCACAGTATCAGGAGACTTATTTAAATCCTTACTGTGTTTATTCAGTCAATTGGGGTAACTATTATAATGCAAGAATTAAAACTTCTTTATTAACATGAGAAGAATAAAAGTACTAAGTATAAACATTGACGGGTTCATTTATATCAAAATTATAAACATTTATGAAAGTTTTTGGCACTGCAAATAGTGGTTTTCAAATTTAATATATTGTTTTTGTAATGTTTTCATAATTATTATTTAAGTGAAAATTCTTTCTTTTCTTTTAGAAATTTCTGTCCATCATTTCACCATCCTCATGGATTGGTGTGTTTCGTAACAGCAGTCATCATCCATGGGTGACAATGAATGGTTTGGCTTTCAAACATGAGTAAGTTGTTTTGTATGGCGCTATATAACAATATATATATAAAGGATAAATTCAGAAGAATAATATGAATAAATCTATGTGGAATCATAGAGATGAAGAAAGATGTGGAAAGTTAGTGAAATGCTGACATAAATATTTTACAATAGACCATAGTAGTCCATATATTTCAACCGCTCATTGGTCAGCTAGTAACCTTCTTGATTATCAGGTGTCCAATCTTTGGCTTCTGTGGGCCACATTGGAAGAAGAAGAGTCTTGGGCCACACATAAAATACACTAACACTAACGATAGCTGACGAGCAAAAAAAAGAAAAAAAAAATCACAGAATGTTTTAAGAAAGTTTACGTATATGTATTGGGCCGCATTTGAAGCTGTCCTGGGTCACATGCGGCCCGTGGGCAGCGAGTTGGACAAGCTCGAGCTGGACTATCAGGGAATTGCAGTGCTTGTTTTTATTAAAAAGCCACACTTACTTTTTTTCTTAAGAATATCCTCAAAGCACAAGAGTAGTGCTGTTGGCATATTGCTATAATTTTGTTATTAGTAGTTATTGTTGTCAATCTCTTATTGTGCCTAATTTATAAATTAAATTTTATCACAGTTATGAATGTGTAGAGAAAACATAATCTCTCTATAGGTTCTGCACTATCTGCCGTTTCAGGCATCCACTGGAATCTTGAAACATATCCCTCGTGGATGAAGGGGGACTACTCTGTTGAGTGTTCAGAATAATGACTCTTACTAATATTATGAAAAATTTAATTACCCTTTTCCATGAAATTATTTTCTTACAGTACATGGAAAATGCTTTCGTCTCATGAATCATTTGCTTAAAATGTAACAGAATATGGATTTTTCTCCATTACAGGATAAAAGACTCAGATAATGCTGAACTTAACTGTGCAGTGCTACAAGTAAATCGACTTAAATCAGCCCAGTGTGGATCTTCAATAATATATCATTGTAAGCATAAGCTTTAGAGGTAAAGCGTTTGCATTTGCAGTGCATCAGATAAATTGTATATTTCTTAAAATAGAAATATATTATGATTGCATAAATCTTAAAATGAATTATGTTATTTGCTCTAATAAGAAAATTCTAAATCAATTATTGAAACAGGATACACACAATTACTAAAGTACAGACATCCTAGCATTTGTGTCGGGCTCATTTTGCTCAACATGGTATTTGTGGTTTTCAGCCTTTCTAAAAGTTGCATGTTATGTGAGTCAGCTTATAGGAAGTACCAAGAACAGTCAAACCCATGGAGACAGAAAGTAGAATAGTGGTTGCCAATGTCTGAGGGAGGTTGAAATAGGAGATGACCTCTAACTGATAGAACGTTACTTTGTGTCGTGATGAAAACTTTCTAAATTTCAGTAGTGGTGATGGTTGTAACTCTGCGAATATACTAAACATCATTGATTTTTAATCATTTTAAGTGCATGAAATGTATGCTTTGTACACGACACTTCAATAAAGCTATCCAGAAAAAAAAAAAAAGCCTCTCCTGGGATTATTTGTGACTGCATTTATTCTCTAAAGTAATTTTTAAAGATTAGCTTCTTTATAATATTGACTTTTCTAATCAATATAAAGTGTTTCCTTCAATGTACTGTGTTATCTTTAATTTCTCTCTATTGTATTTTGTATTTTGGGGGATTGAAGTCATACAGAAATGTAGGTATTTTACATTTATGCTTTTGTAAATGGCATCCTGATTCTAAAATTCCCTTTAGTAATTTTTGTTGTTATAAATAGAAATACAACTGATGTCTGCATTTTGATTTTATATCTACTTATTCCACTGATTTTATATATGTAAATCTATTATGTCAACTATTGATTTATTTCTGGGTGTTCTATATAACGAGCAATTTTATCTGCACATGATCACACTTTTATTTTTTTAATCTATATGCTATAACGTAGTTTTATTTTCATTTATTTTCACTGGCTAGGGTTTTATACCCATAGTTGAATAGAAGGTACAATCAAAGTTCTGTGTGTATCATATGTATCGTTTTCTGATTTTGGCAAAAAATACTTAAACATATTATTCATATTTACAAAGCTTGGTGTTGTTTTCATCCTATCTTTCTCATATCGAAGCAGTTTTATAATATTCCTATTTTCTAATAGATTTTATCAATTGTAACATTTTTATTAATTTGTAGCAGTTGGAATGATATATGTTGTATTTATATAACATTTTATAAACTACTTTTATTTTTTCAAATGTTAAACCAGCCTTTGTTTCTGAAATAAATCCATGGTGATCATTGTATATTTCCCTCATAAAATATCAGTGCTGGCCGGGTGTGGTGGCTGATGTCTGTAATCCCAGCACTTTGGGAGACTGAGGCCGGTGGATCAGGAGGTCAAGAGATTGAGACCATCCTAGCCAACGTGCTGAAACCCCATCTGTACTAAAAATACAAAAACTAGCTGGGTGTGGTGGTGTGCACCTATAGTCCCAGCTACTCGAGAGGCTGAGGCAGGAGAATCACTTCAAACCAGGGGTCGGAGGTTGCAGTGAGCCGAGAGTGCACCACTGCACTCCAACCTGGCGACAGAGGGAGACTCTGTCTCAAAAAAAAAAAAAAAAAAAAAAAATTAGTGCATATATATTTTATGTAGGGTAAGATTTGTTTCTTCATCCACGTTCACAAGGATATTTGACCATGTTTTTATTCATAGCTATATACTTGAAAGGTTTTGATATCAAGGCTATCTTGGGAAGAATTTCTCTTTTTCTATAACCTAGAAGCATTTATTGAGCGTACTGCTTTATTTTTAAATGTTATAATTCACTAGTTATGCCATCTGAGTTTGTAGACTATTTTTCTAGGAAAGTTTATGTCTAAACTGAATTTCTTTAAAACATGTAGGATATACTCGGATTTCTATTTGATGCACTGCGTTTGGTAATGAGTATGTATGAATTTTCTATTTCATATAGACATTAAAATGTAATGAAAATACAGTTTTATTGCCACTAAATAACTGTAAAGACCATAATGGTATTGCCATGTTTAATCTAGAAATAGGCCAGTTGTGGTGGCTCAAGCCTATAATCCCAGCACTTTGGGAGGCATCATTGTGCCTGGCCCTTATCAATTTTTTAAAATGTTAAATTTATTATTTTTGTGGATACGTTAGTAGGTGTATATTTTTAGTAGTCGTTCATCAAGTTTTAAAAGCATTTTCAATGAAAATACCTTTGGCCTTGCTGTTCTCTCTATTGTAACATTATTCTTTATCGTGATTTTTTACTGTTTATTCATTATTTTCTTATACACCACTTGTATTTAGTTTTAGCTTTTCTATTTTTAATTTATTTTAGTGCATTCAATGGTTATTTAATTTTTAGGTCATCTTTTGTAATATATGTACATTGAGGGCAATCAGTTTTTACAAGAGAGATTTTCATTCTATTTTCCTTATAATTCATATAAAAATTGTGACCATTCATTTTGATAATTTATTTCACCCATATGTTATTTGGATATATATTACTGAATTTAAAACCATTGAGGTTGTCAGATTTTTTTATTGACTTCTATTGTAGGTAAACTGTAGTTAGAACATTTTCTATGAAGCTGGAAATATTCTTCATCTTTGTATGCAAAGATGTGGCTAGTGTGCTGAGAAACTGGCTTTATATGTTATTTATTTGGTATTAATTAATGTTGAATTAGAATAGCTATTTTTTAACTATCCACTGGCCAAGCTTGGCTAGTGGTACTACATTGAAATCATAGTCCTATATTTTTTACTAATATGCTTAGAATTATGAGATTACAGTGTATTTGGGAAAAATATGTGAAATTAAATATGTGAGTATTCTACGTGTGTGAGTGTGTGCATATGAGTGATAACTACGTGTCTAGTTCAGATCTTTCTGTCAGCTCTGTGGCTTGTTTATGTGTTAAGCACTGAGAGAAAAGGGTTTAAAATCCCATTTATGATTGTTACTTATTCACTTTATTCAATTATATGTTGAACTTGTAGCATTAGGTACATGCAATGATAAAAAATGTATATTACTAGTGGTTTGGAAAATTAATCTTACATTATGAAGCATGCTTCCTCAATTCCAGTAAAGGGCTTGCCTTATATTAAGACGGCACTATTACAACTGTAATAGTGTTCTACCAGTTTGTGAGGCATGGTATATGTTGTTAAATATTTTATCCTCATCTTTCCTTGTTTAAATATTTTAATTTTAATTTCAGTGCGTACATAGTAGGTGTATATGTTCATGGGGTCCGTGAGCTGTTTTGAGGGAGACATGCAGTGCATAATAATGACATCATGTAAAAATGGTGTTTCCATCTCCCTAAGGATTTATTCTTTTGTTACAAACAATCCAGTTATACTCTTTAGTTATTTTTAAAAGTACAATTAAATTATTATTGACTGTAGTGACCCTGTTGTGCTATCAAACACTAGGTCTTACTCATCCTTTCTATCTTTTTTTCGTACCCATTAATTAACCATTTTCACCTCCCTACTACTACCCTTCCACTATCCTTCTCAATCTCTGGTAACCATCCTTCTACTGTCTCTCTCCATGAGTTCAATTGTTGTGATTTTTAAATCCCACAGGTAAGTGAGAGCATGTGATGATTGTCTTCCTGCGACTGGCTTATTTTATTTAACATAATGACCCCTGGTTCCATTCATGTTATAGCAAATGACAGGGTCTCATTCCTTTTTTATGGCTGAATATTGCTCCATTGTTTATATATACCACATTTTCTTTGTCCATTCATCTGTTGATGGACACTTAGGTAGCTTCCAGATCTTAGCTATTGTGAACAGTGCTGCAACAAACATGGGAGTACAGCTATCCCTTAGATAAACTGATTTTCTTGCTTTTGGGTATATACCTGGGAGTGGGATTGCTGGATCATATGGTGGCTCCACTTTTATATTCATTTTTCTTTATGCTTACATGAAAGGCATGTCTAATAAAGACAACAAACAGTTATTACTGAATATATACATTCTTTGCTTTTAAATTCAAATTACTCTATACTTAATATAATTATCAATATCTAAAATATAATTCTTATGTATTTTATTTATATGGAAATATGTAAGCACAGGTATTAATTATAACTTCATTTTTATTACATTCTGATTGAACATTACCAAGTGTTTAAACTCTGTTGTTCCCTTATGTTTTCATAATAAATATTTTCATTGTTTACTTTCCACATAGAAACTTGTTAATTTAATACAATTTACAACACACCTGCTGGCACTTTGATCTGGGACCTCCCTGTTGTCTGAACTGTGAGTAATATATCTGTATGGTTAATAGATTGCTTAGTTTGTGATATTTTATTATAGCAGTACAAACAAAGTAAGATTACTCTCTATTTTATTTGCCAGTTAGCCTGTATCTGCTCCCCAAATTCTAATACAAATATTTATTTCAATGTTGGAAACTTTGTCATTAATACACTATCTATTCAATATCCAATTAGGTATATCCACATAATTCCTTTACTTTAAGTCTTCTTTTTGAATATCCAAGTTTTCATTGGGAAGGTGTGCTTAATCTATTGAAGAAATTTGAATTTTATTTTCTTTAGAGTTTGTAATAACTAATTCACTCCAATTTCTTAAACTGCTTGAAAATTATTTTATTTCATGTTACATTAAAAGTATATTTTCACTTCTTATTGACTTCCAACTTAGCCATAACCCATAGGAAACCAGATATTGCCATTATTTGCAATAGTCACAGTAATTCATATGTAGGTTCGGTGTTAGGGTTCTCCAGATGGACAGAACTAATAGGATACGTGTATATATGAAAGGGAGTTTATTAGGGAGAATTGGCTCACACGATCACAAGGCAAAGTCCCACAATAGGCCATCTGCAAGCTGGGGGAAGAAAGAAGCCAGTAGTGGCTCAGTAAAAGCCTCAGAAGCAGAGAAGCCAAAAGTGCAGCCTTCAGTCTGTGGCCGAAGGCCTAGGAGCCCCTGTAGAACCACTGGTGTAAGTACAAGAGTCCAAAGGCTGAAGAACCTGGAGTCTGATGTCCAAGGGCAGGAGGAACGAAGGAAGCATCCAGCACGGGAAAAAAATGAAAGCCGAACACAGCAAGCCAGCTTACCCCACCTTCTTCTAGCTGCTTTGTTCTACTCGCTCTGGCAGCCATTGGATGGTGCCCACCCACACCGAGGATGGGTCTTCTTCGCCCAGTCCACTGAGTCAAATGTCAGTCTCCTCTGGCAACACCGTCACAGACACAGCCAGAAACAACACTTTACCAGCTATCCAGGCATCCTTCAATCCAATCAGGCTGACACCTAATATTAATCATCGTAAGTTCTGTGTGTGTGTGTGTATTTACATCATATAAACATATATATATACACATATCATATAGAGTAAATTCTAAGTGCTCCAGTTATCGTGTGTAATTTTTGTTTTTATATATATTTGTTTTTATATATTTGTGTAATTATATATTGTGCCTTTATATAAGCATAAACATCATTCACGTTAAATACTCAAACAGTAGAAATCTGTATTGTTTCGATTAACAAAGGACATGATATACAGTCACGTGCCACAAAATGATGTTTTGGTCAATGACTGACTGCACGTAGATAGTGGTCCCACTAGATTATAACGGAGCTGGAAATTTCCTATGACTTAGTGACGTCATAGCAATAGTTTCAGTACAGTGTATTATTCACATGTCTGTGGTGATGCTGGTGTAAATTACCTTGCTGCCAGTGGAATAAAAGTATAGCACAAACAATTACATACACTACATAATATTTGATAATGATAATAAATGACAATGTTATTGGTTTATGTATTTACTGTAGTATACTTTTAATTATTATTTTAGAGTGTACTCCTTCTACTTCTATAAAAACAGTTACCTGAAAAACAACCTTGGGCAGGTCCCTCAGGAGGAATTCCAGAAGAAGGCACTGTTACCATAGGAGAGGACAGCTGCACGTGTGTTATTGCCTGAACCTTCCAGTGGGACAAGATGTGGAGGGGATGACAGTGAGATTGATCTTGCTGACACTGCGTAGGCTTAGGCTAATGTATGTTTTCGTGTCTTCGTTTTTAAAAAAAGTTTAAAAAGAAAAAAATTAAAATGAAATATAGAAAAAAGCTCATAAAAAAGAATATAGTTGTTAAGACTGTGCAATTTGTGTTTTTAAATAAAGTGTATTTAAAAAGAGGCAGAAGATTTTTAAAATATGAAAAATTTAGAAACCAACAAAGGTGCAGTAAAGTTAATTTATTATTAGCTCAAGAAAAAAAGTGCTGCATAAATATAGTGTACCCTAGTGTACAGTGTATAAATCCTACAGTAGTGTGCTGTAATATCCTAGGCCTTGACTTTCACTTGCTACTTACTCACTGACTCACCCAGGGAAAATTCCATTTCTGCAGTCTTCATTCATAGTAAGTGCCCTATAAAAGGATGCCATTTTTAACCTTTTTTTAAACCATATTTTACTGTTTTTTGGTTTATATATAATTAGATAAACAAAAATTACCATTCTGGTCACTGCTTGCATTATTCACAACAGTAACATATTGTACAGGTTTGTATCCTTGGAGCAATAGCCTATCCCATATAACACAGGAGTGTAGTAGCTGTACCATCTAGGTTTGTGTAAATAAACTCTTTGATGTTGACACAGGGATGAAATTGCCTAAAGACATATTCCTCAGAGGTATCCCTGTCATTATGCAAACAATAACGGTATAACACTAATGGAAAACACCAAGTGGATGTTTGTAGCAATAGTAGACATCAGCACTTCAAACTTAAATAGAAAACATCAGTGAATGATACATTATGTGGCATCTTTAGTGAATGATTTTATTGTTTTAGTTCCATAACGTGACTAATAGAAAAAGTAACCTAGTTTATGAAAATGTAATAAAATGTAAATATAAATATACTTGTAATAGAAAAAGATACAATATGAACACAAGCATATATGCATATGACATTATTAATTAATTTTGTGAAAATATATTACAATATATTTTACAGAAAAACATATATACCTAGCCACCATTAGCCATTCTGATGGAAGGGCAAATAATAATTCTCATTGCAAAGAAATAAATATGGGTTTAAATTCCAACTTTTTAGATTTTAGAGAATAGCCGGGCACAGTGGCTCACGCCTGTAATCCCAGCACATTGGAAGGCCGAGGCAGACGGATAACGAGGTCAGGAGATCGAGACCATCCTGGCTAACACGGTGAAACCTCATCTCTACTAAAAATACAAAAAAAATTAGCTGGGCCTGGTGGCACACGCCTGTAATCCCAGCTACTCAGGAGGCTGAGGCAGGAGAATCGCTTGAGCCCAGGAGGCAGAGGTTGCAGTGAGCTGAGATGGCACCACTGCACTCCAGCCTGGGCAATAGAATTATGCATAAACATTCCCCCTTTTCTTGATAGAAAATAAATGATGAAAAGATTTTTATTTAATACAACTAGATAATTTATAGTTTTTTCCCTGATGTTCATATACCATTTATTTTTTTAAAATTTTTGTTTATTTGTTTTTGAGACAAGGTCTGGCTCTGTTGCCCAGGCTACAGTGCAGTGACACTAACAGTTCACTGCAGCCTTGACCCCAATGGGCTCAAGCGATCCTCTCACCTCAGCCTCCAGAGCAGATGGGACTACAAGCAAACACCAGCATCCTCGGCTAATTTTTATATATATATATATATTTTTTTTTAAGAGATGGGGTTTCATCCTGTGTATCATGCTAACCTCAAACTCCTGAGCTCAAGTGATCCTGGAGTGCTGGGATTACTGACATGAGCTACCACGCCCGGACATTCATGTATCATTTTACTTGTGTTTTAAAAAAATCTCCATTTTCTGGCCTCCCCATTTTTAAGTAGGTGATGTTTTAAAAATTGCTTTAACCTCCCTTCATAGTTTAACTTAGGCTTTAATCATTTACAACAAATATTTCTATTAAAATGTAGACAATAAGTCATGATTAGAGAAGGAACCGGTGAACAATATAGTAGGTAGTTTTTTTTATTATTTCAGTCTCTGGCATAGAGATATAGCTCAGTATTGTTTAATATTTTATTCTTTCAAGAGACATTTATTTTAATCAGAGGAATCTGGTTAACTTATATAAAGAAGAAAAATTGAATGAGGGAATTTTAAGAACTAAGGCAAAGAAAGCAAGAAGATAAGTTTGAGAATGCATGTCAGTTACAATTAAGTTGAAAATGCAGCATTTTCTCAAAATAGTGACAAGTACATTAAATTCCTATTGATAAAATCATTATTTAAATTTTGTTATTATGATAGCAGTGATATTATAGGGGTATATGATAAAGAAGTATATAATGTCAAGTTTCAGCCACCTTGTCTAAATGTAGAAAGCAACCACCTAAGATCCTTTTGAAAAGTTACAAAACTTTGGTGTTTGTGACTGAGATGGAAACAATCACCAGCATGGATCAAATCTCTGCTCTCCCCTCATCTTGTCGACCATAAAAATAATTTCTAAGAGGCACTTTAAAATGGACAAACTAAATGACACACTAGCCACCCAAAGTCTCCTATATTCTAAAGTGTGTGATGAGACAAACTGATTCAAAATAGCCCTAGGGTGAGAATTTCCTGTTCAAATCTGCAGTGACACATTGGTGAGGAATCTACTTTTTCCACTCTTGCCTCACTCTGACCCTTCAAAGGGCAGCCTGTGAAGATCACAGATAACGTTTGTGTCTTTCAGAGGTAACCTGACCTCTCCACTGAAGGGCGTGTGGCTTTCTGATGACAGTAGGTAAGTGTTGCTCCTCTCCCTGTTTCTCTACTAGCTCATCTCATTTAGTAGAAGATTGTAAGTACTGGCTGTGATGCACCTGAGGTAAAGTTGATATAGACGAAAATCAAGGTAGAACTTTATTCACGTGAATAATTCAAGGTGAAAAACGAGCCAAAATATAAACTATGTTTAAGGATTTCTTAGAGTATTCACATCATTGCCGCTGGAGAATCACTCAAGTAGATGCATACATAATAATAGGTTTGCCAATCCATGTAATTTAGAGTGAAACCCATAACCATCATGACAATGAACAATTAATTTTGGATTTTGTAACCATTACATTTTGTATATTATATTTAGACCAAACTTTAAAAATAAATTTTTAATATGGATACATCAAATTGTGAATGTCAAACATTAATTCTCAATCACACACCTAGATTTCATGAAAGCAGTTTTAATTTTTAATAAAAGTAAGGATGAAATCATTTCCATAAAATGCAAATCTGACCTTAATTATAAACAATTGGAAGACTTAAAACAATTGAACCAAACATTGCAAAAAAGATGTACCACACTGACATGAGACGCCTAATTAATGAGTTATTTTAACACACTCTAATGCAAATCAGAAATAATAAAATGGCAATTGTGTTAAAAATAGTTGAAATATCTATTATGTATTCAGTGGTAACATGTGCCAGGTTGTGTGTTTAGTTTTTTACATACATTATACTTTATAAATTATTTTTCCCAATGTAGATTAGTAAACTAGGTTAGTAGACACTAAGTAATTTAGTACAGGTCACATATTACAACTTGCAAAGCTAGAATTAATTGTAGTCTCACTGACTACAGAGCTCATTGACTAGATTATTAAATTACATTATCTGAACTATTACAATTACTTATACAACCAAAGCAACCCTCACTGACTTATACAATCATAGGAGCTTTCTGAAAGTTTGATTGGACACTATTCTTCCATAGACGGCCCACACGTTTATTTATCATTTTAAGTTTTCCTATTTTAGTCATTAAATCAATTACCAATTTCTTGTGTAAAAGCAGCAATTTAAAAATACGTTTTCAATAATATTTATGCATACAGTAATGTAATGTTTTACAAGATATATTTTTAAAATTTTAATGATTTTTCTGATTTCCTAATTTAGAAAAAAAATCATTTGACAATACCTCAGGTCCTTTTAATAAATGAATGTAAGTCACTAACAATGTATTTTAGTATAAGAAGATACTCTATATGCTGACAGAACTATTTTATCTTATGGCACACAATCCTTAACCATCAATGACTCTTAAAACTATGATAAAATTTGTGTATTTCTAAATACAGTATTTTGATTGTTGACATATGCAGTCTATTGGTGTTAAACATTTTTGAAGAATCTAACCTTAATTTAATACCAATTTTTCATGAACTTCCTAGTTCTCATAAGTTTAATGTTTTTATTGTTCCCACTAGTAATATTATGTCAAATACAGAATACATCTAAAAAATTGCCAATTATATCGTGTGATTTTTGTTTAAAGCTTTAGGAAATTAGTAGCAGAATTTTACATTGGTTAACAGCAAAGTAAACATTATTACTCAGCCCCAACACATGCACATTGCCTATACCAGGGATCCTGTCAAAATATACACCATTTATAGCTTCTTAAGTGCAGTTATCATAGAGCACAGTCCCTCACATCACACAGCTGCAGAGATGAATAAACAAAGAGGAACCTTCTCAGAAGTGAGTCTGGCCCAGGACCCAAAGCGGCAGCAAAGGAAACCTAAAGGCAATAAAAGCTCCATTTCAGGAACCGAACAGGAAATATTCCAAGTAGAATTAAATCTTCAAAATCCTTCCCTGAATCATCAAGGGATTGATAAAATATATGACTGCCAAGGTAAAACATTAAATATATCTTCAATATTATTGTTCTAGGATGTGCAGTTGAATGCAGAAGGGTGAGGAAAGATTAGGGAATATTTTGCACTTGTGAGAATCGGAGTTCATAATTGGGATCTAAAATTCTAATATGAAATCAGAAGACTAATTTTATTCGGGCATTGTTCAACTGTAATCTGCGGTCCACTCATGGAACATTATATTTACTGAAAATGAAATGGTATATTCTGAGAGAAAGATTACTAGAGTAGATGTAGATTTAGAGGCCAGAGTTTATCATTATGTTTCCCTGTGCATGTGGGTTCTCTAGTATGTAATTCTCTAGTATGTAATCCTAATCAACTCTCTATCTCCCCTCTCTCAGTGCCTCTATTTCTCTCCCTGCAGGTTTACTGCCACCTCCAGAGAAGCTCACTGCCGAGGTCCTAGGAATCATTTGCATTGTCCTGATGGCCACTGTGTTAAAAACAATAGTTCTTATTCCTTGTAAGCATATTCTTGAAAGATTAGAAGGGAACGTTTTACTTTAATGCTTGGAAGTGCCTCAAAATATTTCATACTGTTGAAGAATAGAACTCTTATTTTACTGTTTCTTTCAAAGATCTATTACTTCATTTATTTTTATAGAAAAAGTTAATTTTATTAAAGATTGTCCCCATTTTAAATAACACACAAAGTTTCAAAGTAAGAAACTAAACTCATTATGGTTTATCTAAATATTACTTTTTATAAAAATCATTTTAATTTTTCTGTTACAGTCCTGGAGCAGAACAATTCTTCCCCAAATACAAGAACCCAGAAAAGTACATTTTTATTTTCAAAGTTCTGATATTAGTACAATTTGGAACCAAAAGTAATATGGTTATTCTGAATTTTTCACAACATAAATAACAAAATCATTGTAGAGAACATGTGTTTATTTTTTGTGTGTAATCTATATATATGTATATACATACACACACAAAGATATTTTCTGATTTCATAATTCAAAGGCATGCTATAGAAGAAAAGTATTTAGAAAAACAAATTAATTTTTGAAAGTGGTTACATCAAATACTACAAGAGATGGTGAAGTTTGTGCTAAAGTCTTTAAAAATGTTTATTTCAAAGGTCTATTACTTTATATATTTTTATAGAAAAAGTTAATTTTATTAAAGATTCTCCCCATTTTAAATAACACACAAAGTTTCAAAGTAAGAAACTAAACTCGTTATGGTTTATCTAGATATCAGTTTTTATAAAAATCATTTTAATTTTTCTATTACAGTCCTGGAGCAGAACAATTTTTCCCCGAATACAAGAACGCAGAAAGGTACATTTTTATTTTCAATGTTCTGATATTAGTACAATTTATATTTTGTGTCTGTTTTAAGGCATGTAAAAGAATAGTGGCATTTTTGCAGAAAATAAGCCATAAATTCAGCCATAAATATTTATAAAGAAAGATTATGAGGCAGCATTTCCTTTTCTCCAGTGAGTAGAAATACTCACTTAAAATCATTCTACCCTCTTTCTCCCAATTAACAGAGGTTTCCTACTGCTGTGAGATGATACCAAATAAATAATTTTACTATTCTAAAAAAGCAGTTGTGTATCAGCGATGTTCAACACATGTGTAGAGTGTATTTTTGTTTGTTCATTTGCTTTATATGGGAACACAATTAGGGAGGAGAGGCTAACCCTTGTCTGTGCATGTGTGTATGACTGACTCAGTTATTAAAAATATACATTTATAAGCCTGTAAGGATGCGTAAATATGTTAAGCACATATATGTTTATACTGTTGAAATATGTGAACTAATTTTCATTTTTAAAAATTCATATTGGTCTAGATAGTAATTCATATCTTTATTAGCACGTCATTGTGGCCATTGTCCTGAGGAGTGGATTACATATTCCAACAGTTGTTATTACATTGGTAAGGAAAGAAGAACTTGGGAAGAGAGTTTGCTGGCCTGTACTTCGAAGAACTCCAGTCTGCTTTCTATAGATAATGAAGAAGAAATGGTAAGATGTAAATGTTTCAAACATTTTATGAAAAGCTTCCTTCAGTGAATAATACATTTGTAGAAAACATCCATATGTGTGTACATATATTTATCTCATATATTTTCAAGTGTATGTAATATTCAATTGATTGACTTAATAATGTTTTTAAAGTTATATACTGCTAATGTACATTTATTTTCAGTTTTTGTTTTTCAAGGAAAACCATGCTTCTATAAGTGCTTTGAATCCACAATAAATTTTGCTATCTAATTTTATCGGGCATGATATCATCTGGTCATGCAGATTGATCACAAAGTGAATGAATGCATGTGATACAAGTCAGATCATGAAATAAAAGTTTCCAGCTCTAGCAGTTCCACCCCTGTGTATGCCCTCATCACTTATCCTGACTCCTCTCCAAAACGCAGTCTTGACTTTTAATATTATAAATAATGATTGCCTGTTCTTGAATTTATTTATATAAAGGGAATCAAGCAGTGTGAATTTCATGTCTTTTTCAATCCTATCTGATATTTGTGCAATTCCTCCATATTATTGCAGTTATCAGTAGTATGTTACTGTTCACTGCTGTACTATGTACAAAGAACAGTAAGAATCCATTGAGTCCTTGTCTCTGGATGGGGAAGTGGGTCTCATGCCCTCAGGGACAAAGAGGACCCTAGGTGGTTTACGGTGCACTGTTAGTCATGGGGTCCCTTTGCTGATCCTCCTCATCCACAGCCATCCTGGTGTCTCTTGGTATGAGAAGGAAGCACTTTCTCTAGCTCCATATTGGTAGCAGGTCTCCTGGTAGATCATCCTTGCCAGTGGCACCAGCCTTGCCTGGTATTGTGGAGGGGACTCTCCTTCGATACCCTCCTCCTATTGCCAGGTTGGGTGTAGGGAAACAGCAGGCCTAGGTCACCTTCTTCTGTCGTGTGGAGGACTTAACATGCTCACTCGGACACTTGGTTGATCCCTGATGCTAGGGTCCCAGACAATTTCATCTTTCTCTTTCCACCTTTCAGAGTTCTCCATTGCTTTTGTCTTTCATTAATCCCAGAGTTTATAGTTGTTTTTAGTCGGGAGTAGCAGAGAGAGACGAGTCTACACCACCTGGCCAGGACCCCTGTTATTCCGCAAAAACCGAATCGGATAAAAATTGAGGGCTTATCTAGTTAAAGAATGGTGTGGTACCCAGAAAACCCAATCTGTAGCTTCCATGTCATCTATTTCTGAATGACAACCCCTCAATTCCCTTCTAAATCTCCAACTCTGAGAAATATAGCACAAAAATAGATTGATTTAGTCACAGTATCTGGAGGAATGAATGCACAGTATCAGGAAACTTATTAAAACCCTTCCTGCGTTTATTCTGTTAATTGGAGTAACTATTACATTGCAAGAATTAAAATGTCTTTATTAACATGAGAATAAGAATGAAAGTACTAAGTATAAACGTTGAAGAGTTCATTTAAATAAAAAATTCAAACATTTATGAAAGTTTTTGGCACTGCAAATAGTGGTTTTCAACTTTAATATATTGTTTTTGTAATGTTTTCATAATTATTATTTAAGTGAAAATTATTTCTTTTCTTTTAGAAATTTCTGGCCAGCATTTTACCTTCCTCATGGATTGGTGTGTTTCGTAACAGCAGTCATCATCCATGGGTGACAATAAATGGTTTGGCTTTCAAACATAAGTAAGTTCTTTTGTATGGCGCTATATAAAAAATATATATAAAGGATAAATTCAGAAGAATAATATGAATAAATTTATGTGGAATCATTGACATGAAGAAAGATGTGGAAAGTTAGTGAAATGTTGATATAAATATTTTACAATAGACCATAGTAGTCCATATATTTCAACCGCTCATTGGTCTGCTAGTAACCTTCTTGGTTATCAGATGGACCAGGGGTGTCCCATCTTTGGCTTCTGTGGGCCACGTTAGAAGACGAATAGTCTTGGGCCACACATAGAATACACTAACACTAACGATAGCTGACGAGCTAAAAAAAAAAAAAAAATCACAGAATGTTTTAAGAAAGTTTACGTATTTGTGTTGGGCCGCATTCAAAGCTGTCCTGGGTCACGTGCGGCCCATGGGCAGCGAGTTGGACAACCTCGAGCTGGACTATCAGGGAACTGCAGTGCTTGTTTTTATTAAAAAGCCACGCTTACTTTTTTACTTAAGAATATCCTCAAAGCACAATAATAGTGCTGTTGGCATATTGCTATAATTTTTTTATTATTAGTTATTGTTGTCAATCTCTTATTGTGCCTAATTTATAAATTAAACTTTATCACAGTTATGAATGTGTAGAGAAAACATAATCTCTCTATAGGTTCTGCACTATCTGCCATTTCAGGCATCCACTGGGGTCTTGAAACATATCCCTCGTGGATGAAGAGGGACTACTCTGTTGAGTGTTCAGAATAATGACTCTTACTAATATTATGAAAAATTTAATTACCCTTTTCCATGAAATTCTTTTCTTACAGTACATGGAAAATGCTTTCGTCTCATGAATCATTTGCTTAAAATGTAACAGAAAATGGATTTTTCTCCATTACAGGATAAAAGACTCAGATAATGCTGAACTTAACTGTGCAGTGCTACAAGTAAATCGACTTAAATCAGCCCAGTGTGGATCTTCAATGATATATCATTGTAAGCATAAGCTTTAGAAGTAAAGCATTTGCGTTTGCAGTGCATCAGATACATTTTATATTTCTTAAAATAGAAATATTATGATTGCATAAATCTGAAAATGAATTATGTTATTTGCTCTGATACAAAAATTCTAAATCAATTATTGAAATAGGATGCACACAATTACTAAAGTACAGACATCCTAGCATTTGTGTCGGGCTCATTTTGCTCAACATGGTATTTGTGGTTTTCAGCCTTTCTAAAAGTTGCATGTTATGTGAGTCAGCTTATAGGAAGTACCAAGAACAGTCAAACCCATGGAGACAGAAAGTAGAATAGTGGTTGCCAATGTCTCAGGGAGGTTGAAATAGGAGATGACCACTAATTGATAGAACGTTTCTTTGTGTCGTGATGAAAACTTTCTAAATTTCAGTAGTGGTGATGGTTGTAACTCTGCGAATATACTAAACATCATTGATTTTTAATCATTTTAAGTGCATGAAATGTATGCTTTGTACATGACACTTCAATAAAGCTATCCAGAAAAAAAAAAGCCTCTGATGGGATTGTTTATGACTGCATTTATTCTCTAAAGTAATTTTTAAAGATTAGCTTCTTTATAATATTGACTTTTCTAATCAGTATAAAGTGTTTCCTTCAATGTACTGTGTTATCTTTAATTTCTCTCTCTTGTATTTTGTATTTTGGGGGATTGAAGTCATACAGAAATGTAGGTATTTTACATTTATGCTTTTGTAAATGGCATCCTGATTCTAAAATTCCCTTTAGTAATTTTTGTTGTTATAAATAGAAATACAACTGATGTCTGCATTTTGATTTTATATCTACTTATTCCACTGATTTTATATATTTAAATCTATTATGTCAACTATTGATTTATTTCTGGGTGTTCTATATAACGAGCAATTTTATCTGCAAATGATCACACTTTTATTTTTTTTAATCCATGTGCTATAACTTAGTTTTATTTTCATTTATTTTCACTGGCTAGGGTTTTATACCCATAGTTGAATAGAAGGCACAATCAAAGTTCTTTGTGGATCATATGCATCATTTTCTGGTTTTGGCAAAAAATACTTCAACATGTTATACATATTTAAAAAGCTTGGTGTTTTTTGCATCCTATCTTTCTCATATCGAAGCAGTTTTATAATACTATTTTCTAATAGATTTTATCAATTGTAACATTTTTATTAATTTGTATCCGTTGGAATGATATATGTTTTGTTTATATAACATTTTATAAACTTTTATTTTTTCAAATGTTAAACCAGCCTTTGTTTCTGAAATAGATCCATGATGATCATTGTATATTTCCCTCATAAAATATCAGTGCTGGCCGGGTGTGGTGGCCCACGTCTGTAATCCCAGCACTTTGGGAGGCTGAGGCAGGTGGATCATGAAGTCAAGAGATCGAGACCATCCTGGCCAACGTGCTGAAACCCTATCTGTGCTAAAAATACAAAAATTAGCTGGGCGTGGTGGTGCGCACCTATAGTCCCAGCTACTCGAGAGGCTGAGGCAGGAGAATCACTTTAAACCAGGGGTCGGAGGTTGCAGTGAGCCGAGAGGGCACCACTGTACTCCAACCTGGCGACAGAGGGAGACTCTGTCTCAAAAAAGATGAATAAAAAAAAATTAGCGCATATATATTTTATGTAGGGTAAGATTTGTTTCTTCATCCATGTTCACAAGGATATTTGACCATGTTTTTATTCATAGCTATATACTTGAAAGGTTTTGATATCAAGGCTATCTTGGGAAGAATTTCTCTTTTTCTATAACCTAGAAGCATTTGTTGAGAGTACTGCTTTATTTTTAAATGTTATAATTCACTAGTAATGCCATCTGAGTTTGTAGACTATTTTTCTAGGAAAGTTTATGTCTAAACTGAATTTCTTTAATACATGGTGGGATATACTCAGATTTCTATTTGAGGTACTGCATTTGGTAATGAGTATGTATGAATTTTCTATTTCATATAGACATTAAAATGTAATGAAAAATAGTTTTATTGCCTCTAAATAACTGTAAAGACCATAATGGTATTGCCATGTTTAATCTAGAAATAGGCCAGTTCTGGTGGCTCAAGCCTATAATCCCAGCACTTTGGGAGGCATCACTGTGCCTGGCCCTTATCAATTTTTTAAAATGTTAAATTTATTATTTTTGTGGATACGTTAGTAGGTGTATATTTTTAGTAGTCGTTCATCAAGTTTTAAAAGCATTTTCAATGAAAATACCTTTGGCCTTGCTGTTCTCTCTATTGTAACATTATTCTTTATCGTGATTTTTTACTGTTTATTCATCTTTTTCTTATACATCACTTGTATTTAATTTTAGCTTTTCTATTTTTAATTTATTTTAGTGCATTCAATGGTAATTTAATTTTTAGGTCATCTTTTGTAATATATGTACATTGAGGGCAATCGGTTTTTACAAGAGAGATTTTCATTCTATTTTCCTTATAATTCATATAAAAATTGTGACCATTCGTTTTGATAATTTATTTCACCCATATGTTATTTAGATATGTATTACTGAATTTAAAACCATTGAGGTTGTCAGATTTTTTTATTGACTTCTATTGTAGGTAAACTGTAGTTAGAACATTTTCTATGAAGCTGGAAATATTCTTCATCTTTGTATGCAAAGATGTGGCTAGTGTGCTGAGAAACTGGTTTTACATGTTATTTATTTGGTATTAATTAATGTTGAATTAGAATAGCTATTTTTTAACTATCCACTGGCCAAGCTTGGCTAGTGGTACTACATTGAAATCATAGTCCTATATTTTTTACTAATATGCTTAGAATTATGAGATTACAGTGTATCTGGGAAAAATATGTGAAATTAAATATGTGAGTATTCTACATGTGTGTGAGTGTGTGCATATGAGTGATAACTACTTGTCTAGTTCAAATCTTTCTATCGGCTCTCTGGCCTGTTTGTGTGTTAAGCACTGAGAGAAAAGTGTTTAAAATTCCATTTATGATTGTTACTTATTCACTTTATTCAATTGTATGTTGAACTTGTAGCATTAGGTACATGCAATGATAAAAATGTATATTACTAGTGGTTTGGAAAATTAATCTTACATTGTGAAGCATGCTTCCTCAATTCCAGTAAAGGGCTTGCCTTATATTAAGACGGCACTATTACAACTGTAATAGTGTTCTACCAGTTTGTGAGGCATGGTATATGTTGTTAAATATTTTATCTTCATCTTTCCTTGTTTAAATATTTTAATTTTAATTTCAGTGCGTACATAGTAGGGTATATGTTTATGGGGTCCGTGAGCTGTTTTGAGGGAGACATGCAGTGCATAATAATGACATCATGTAAAAATGATGCATCCATCTCCCTAAGGATTTATCCTTTGTGTTACAAACAATCCAATTATACTCTTTAGTTATTTTAAAATATACAATTAAATTATTATTGACTGTAGTGACCCTGTTGTGCTATCAAACACTAGGTCTTACTCATCCTTTCTATCTTTTTTTCGTACCCATTAATTAACCATTTTCACCTCCCTACTACTACCCTTCCACTATCCTTCTCAATCTCTGGTAACCATCCTTCTACTGTCTCTCTCCATGAGTTCAATTGTTGTGATTTTTAAATCCCACAGGTAAGTGAGAGCATGTGATGATTGTCTTCCTGCGACTGGCTTATTTTATTTAACATAATGACCCCTGGTTCCATTCATGTTATAGCAAATGACAGGGTCTCATTCCTTTTTTATGGCTGAATATTGCTCCATTGTTTATATATACCACATTTTCTTTGTCCATTCATCTGTTGATGGACACTTAGGTAGCTTCCAGATCTTAGCTATTGTGAACAGTGCTGCAACAAACATGGGAGTACAGCTATCCCTTAGATAAACTGATTTTCTTGCTTTTGGGTATATACCTGGGAGTGGGATTGCTGGATCATATGGTGGCTCCACTTTTATATTCATTTTTCTTTATGCTTACATGAAAGGCATGTCTAATAAAGACAACAAACAGTTATTACTGAATATATACATTCTTTGCTTTTAAATTCAAATTACTCTATACTTAATATAATTATCAATATCTAAAATATAATTCTTATGTATTTTATTTATATGGAAATATGTAAGCACAGGTATTAATTATAACTTCATTTTTATTACATTCTGATTGAACATTACCAAGTGTTTAAACTCTGTTGTTCCCTTATGTTTTCATAATAAATATTTTCATTGTTTACTTTCCACATAGAAACTTGTTAATTTAATACAATTTACAACACACCTGCTGGCACTTTGATCTTGGACCTCCCTGCTGTCTGAACTGTGAGTAATATATCTGTATGGTTAATAGATTGCTTAGTTTGTGATATTTTATTATAGCAGTACAAACAAAGTAAGATTACTCTCTATTTTATTTACCAGTTAGCCTGTATCTGCTCCCCAAATTCTAATACAAATATTTATTTCAATGTTGGAAACTTTGTCATTAATACACTATCTATTCAATATCCAATTAGGTATATCCACATAATTCCTTTACGTCTTCTTTTTGAATATCCAAGTTTTCATTGGGAAGGTGTGCTTAATCTATTGAAGAAATTTAAATTTTATTTTCTTTAGAGTTTGTAATAACTAATTCACTCCAATTTTTTAAATTCCTTGAAAATTATTTTGTTTCATGTTACATTAAAAGTATATTTTCACTTCTTATTGACTTCCAACTTAGCCATAACCCATAGGAAACCAGATATTGCCATTATTTGCAATAGTCACAGTAATTCATATGTAGGTTCGGTGTTAGGGTTCTCTAGAGGGACAGAACTAATAGGATGCATGTATATATGAAAGAGAGTTTATTAGGGAGAATTGGCTCACACAATCACAAGGCAAAGTCCCACAATAGGCCATCTGCAAGCTGGGGGAAGAAAGAAGCCGGTAGTGGCTCAGTCCGAGTCAAAAGCCTCAGAAGCAGAGAAGCCAAAAGTGCAGCCTTCAGTCTGTGGCCGAAGGCCCAGGAGCCCCTGTAAAACCACTGGTGTAAGTACAAGAGTCCAAAGGCTGAAGAACCTGGAGTCTGATGTCCAAGGGCAGGAGGAACGAAGGAAGCATCCAGCACGGGAGAAAAATGAAAGCCGAACACAGCAAGCCAGCTTACCCCACCTTCTTCTAGCTGCTTTGTTCTACTCGCTCTGGCAGCCATTGGATGGTGCCCACCCACACAGAGGATGGGTGTTCTTCGCCCAGTCCACTGAGTCAAATGTCAATCTCCTCTGGCAACACCGTCACAGACACAGCCAGAAACAACACTTTACCAGCTATCTAGGCATCCTTCAATCCAATCCGGCTGACACCTAATATTAATCATCGTAAGTTCTGTGTGTGTGTGTGTGTGTATTTACGTCACATAAACATATATACACACACACACACATCATATAAATTCTAAGTACTCCAGTTATCTTGTGTAATTTTTGTTTTGTTTTTATATATTTATTGTGCCTTTGTATAAGCATAAACTTCATTCACAGTAAATGCCCAAACAGTAGAAATCTGTATTGTTTCGATTAACAAAGGACATGATATACAGTCACGTGCCACAAAATGATGTTTTGGTCAATGACTGACTGCACATAGATAGTGGTCCCACTAGATTATAACGGAGCTGGAAATTTCCTATGACTTAGTGACGTCATAGCAATAGTTTCAGTACAGTGTATTATTCACATGTCTGTGGTGATGCTGGTGTAAATTACCTTGCTGCCAGTGGAATAAAAGTATAGCACAAACAATTACATACACTACATAATATTTGATAATGATAATAAATGACAATGTTATTGGTTTATGTATTTACTGTAGTATACTTTTAATTATTATTTTAGAGTGTACTCCTTCTACTTCTATAAAAACAGTTACCTGAAAAACAACCTTGGGCAGGTCCCTCAGGAGGAATTCCAGAAGAAGGCACTGTTACCATAGGAGAGGACAGCTGCACGTGTGTTATTGCCTGAACCTTCCAGTGGGACAAGATGTGGAGGGGATGACAGTGAGATTGATCTTGCTGACACTGCGTAGGCTTAGGCTAATGTATGTTTTCGTGTCTTCGTTTTTAAAAAAAGTTTAAAAAGAAAAAAATTAAAATGAAATATAGAAAAAAGCTCATAAAAAGAATATAGTTGTTAAGACTGTGCAATTTGTGTTTTTAAATAAAGTGTATTTAAAAAGAGGCAGAAGATTTTTAAAATATGAAAAATTTAGAAACCAACAAAGGTGCAGTAAAGTTAATTTATTATTAGCTCAAGAAAAAAAGTGCTGCATAAATATAGTGTACCCTAGTGTACAGTGTATAAATCCTACAGTAGTGTGCTGTAATATCCTAGGCCTTGACTTTCACTTGCTACTTACTCACTGACTCACCCAGGGAAAATTCCATTTCTGCAGTCTTCATTCGTAGTAAGTGCCCTATAAAAGGATGCCATTTTAACCTTTTTTTAAACCATATTTTACTGTTTTTTTGGTTTATATATAATTAGATAAACAAAAATTACCATTCTGGTCACTGCTTGCATTATTCACAACAGTAACATATTGTACAGGTTTGTATCCTTGGAGCAATAGCCTATCCCATATAACACAGGAGTGTAGTAGCTGTACCATCTAGGTTTGTGTAAATAAACTCTTTGATGTTGACACAGGGATGAAATTGCCTAAAGACATATTCCTCAGAGGTATCCCTGTCATTATGCAAACAATAATGGTATAACACTAATGGAAAACACCAAGTGGATGTTTGTAGCAATAGTAGACATCAGCACTTCAGACTTAAATAGAAAACATCAGTGAATGATACATTATGTGGCATCTTTAGTGAATGATTTTATTGTTTTAGTTCCATAACGTGACTAATAGAAAAAGTAACCTAGTTTATGAAAATGTAATAAAATGTAAATATAAATATACTTGTAATAGAAAAAGATACAATATGAACACAAGCATATATGCATATGACATTATTAATTAATTTTGTGAAAATATATTACAATATATTTTACAGAAAAACATATATACCTAGCCACCATTAGCCATTCTGATGGAAGGGCAAATAATAATTCTCATTGCAAAGAAATAAATATGGGTTTAAATTCCAACTTTTTAGATTTTAGAGAATAGCCGGGCACAGTGGCTCACGCCTGTAATCCCAGCACATTGGAAGGCCGAGGCAGACGGATAACGAGGTCAGGAGATCAAGACCATCCTGGCTAACACGGTGAAACCTCGTCTCTACTAAAAATACAAAAAAAATTAGCTGGGCCTGGTGGCACACGCCTGTAATCCCAGCTACTCAGGAGGCTGAGGCAGGAGAATCGCTTGAGCCCAGGAGGCAGAGGTTGCAGTGAGCCGAGATGGCACCACTGCACTCCAGCCTGGGCAATAGAATTATGCATAAACATTCCCCCTTTTCTTGATAGAAAATAAATGATGAAAAGATTTTTATTTAATACAACTAGATAATTTATAGTTTTTTCCCTGATGTTCGTATACCATTTATTTTTTAAAAGTTTTTGTTTATTTGTTTTTGAGACAAGGTCTGGCTCTGTTGCCCAGGCTACAGTGCAGTGACACTAACAGTTCACTGCAGCCTTGACCCCCAGGGCTCAAGCGATCCTCTCACCTCAGCCTCCAGAGCAGATGGGACTACAAGCAAACACCAGCATCCTCGGCTAATTCATATATATATATATATATATATATATTTTTTTTTTTTTTTTTTTTTTTTTTAAGAGATGGGGTTTCATCCTGTGTATCATGCTAACCTCAAACTCCTGAGCTCAAGTGATCCTGGAGTGCTGGGATTACTGACATGAGCTACCATGCCCGGACATTCATGTATCATTTTACTTGTGTTTTAAAAAATCTCCATTTTCTGGCCTCCCCATTTTTAAGTAGGTGATGTTTTAAAAATTGCTTTAACCTCCCTTCATAGTTTAACTTAGGCTTTAGTCATTTACAACAAATATTTCTATTAAAATGCAGACAGTAAGTCATGATTAGAGAAGGAACCGGTGAACAATATAGTAGGTAGTTTTTTTATTATTTCAGTCTCTGGCATAGAGATATAGCTCAGTATTGTTTAATATTTTATTCTTTCAAGAGACATTTATTTTAATCAGGAATCTGGTTAACTTATATAAAGAAGAAAAATTGAATGAGGGAATTTTAAGAACTAAGGCAAAGAAAGCAAGAAGATAAGTTTGAGAATGCATGTCAGTTACAATTAAGTTGAAAATGCAGCATTTTCTCAAAATAGTGACAAGTACATTAAATTCCTATTGATAAAATCATTATTTAAATTTTGTTATTATGATAGCAGTGATATTATAGGGGTATATGATAAAAAAGTATATAATGTCAAGTTTCAGCCACCTTGTCTAAATGTAGAAAGCAACCACCTAAGATCCTTTTGAAAAGTTACAAAACTTTGGTGTTTGTGACTGAGATGGAAACAATCACCAGCATGGATCAAATCTCTGCTCTCCCCTCATCTTGTTGACCATAAAAATAATTTCTAAGAGGCACTTTAAAATGGACAAACTAAATGACACACTAGCCACCCAAAGTCTCCTATATTCTAAAGTGTGTGATGAGACAAACTGATTCAAAATAGCCCTAGGGTGAGAATTTCCTGTTCAAATCTGCAGTGACACATTGGTGAGGAATCTACTTTTTCCACTCTTGCCTCACTCTGACCCTTCAAAGGGCAGTCTGTGAAGATCACAGATAACGTTTGTGTCTTTCAGAGGTAACCTGACCTCTCCACTGAAGGGCGTGTGGCTTTCTGATGACAGTAGGTAAGTGTTGCTCCTCTCCCTGTTTCTCTACTAGCTCATCTCATTTAGTAGAAGATTGTAAGTACTGGCTGTGATGCACCTGAGGTAAAGTTGATATAGACGAAAATCAAGGTAGAACTTTATTCACGTGAATAATTCAAGGTGAAAAACGAGCCAAAATATAAACTATGTTTAAGGATTTCTTAGAGTATTCACATCATTGCCGCTGGAGAATCACTCAAGTAGATGCATACATAATAATAGGTTTGCCAATCCATGTAATTTAGAGTGAAACCCATAACCATCATGACAATGAACAATTAATTTTGGATTTTGTAATCATTACTGGTTTAATTGTATATTATATTTAGACCAAACTTTAAAAATAAATTTTTAATATGGATACATCAAATTGTGAATGTCAAACATTAATTCTCAATCACACACCTAGATTTCATGAAAGCAGTTTTAATTTTTAATAAAAGTAAGGATGAAATCATTTCCATAAAATGCAAATCTGACCTTAATTATAAACAATTGGAAGACTTAAAACAATTGAACCAAACATTGCAAAAAAGATGTACCACACTGACATGAGACGCCTAATTAATGAGTTATTTTAACACACTCTAATGCAAATCAGAAATAATAAAATGGCAATTGTGTTAAAAATAGTTGAAATATCTATTATGTATTCAGTGCTAATATGTGCCAGGTTGTGTGTTTAGTTTTCTACATACATTATACTTTATAAATTATTTTTCCCAATGTAGATTAGTAAACTAGGTTAGTAGACACTAAGTAATTTAGTACAGGTCACATATTACAACTTGCAAAGCTAGAATTAATTGTAGTCTCACTGACTACAGAGCTCATTGACTAGATTATTAAATTACATTATCTGAACTATTACAATTACTTATACAACCAAAGCGACCCTCACTGACTTATACAATCATAGGAGCTTTCTGAAAGTTTGATTGGACACTATTCTTCCATAGACGGCCCACACGTTTATTTATCATTTTAAGTTTTCCTATTTTAGTCATTAAATCAATTACCAATTTCTTGTGTAAAAGCAGCAATTTAAAAATATATTATGTTTTCAATAGTATTTATGCATACAGTAATGTAATGTTTTACAAGATATATTTTTAAAATTTTAATGATTTTTCTGATTTCCTAATTTAGAAAAATAATCAGTTGACAATACCTCAGGTCCTTTTAATAAATGAATGTAACTCACTAACAATGTATGTTAGTATAAGAAGTTACTCTGTATGCTGACAGAACTATTTTATCTTATGGCACACAATCATTAACCATCAATGACTCTTAAAACTATGGTAAAATTAGTGTATTTCTAAATACAGTATTTTAATTGTTAAAGTATGCAGTCTATTGGTGTTAAACATTTTTGAAGAATCTAACCTTAATTTAATACCAATTTTTTTCATGAACTTCCTAGTTCTCACAAGTTTAATGTTTTTATTGTTCCCACTAGTAATATTATGTCAAATACAGAATACATCTAAAAAATGGCCAATTATATCGTGTGATTTTTGTTTAAAGCTTTAGGAAATTAGTAGCAGAATTTTACCTAGGTTAACAGCAAAGTAAACATTATTACTCAGCCCCAACACATGCACATTGCCTATACCAGGGATCCTGTCAAAATATACACCATTTATAGCTTCTTAAGTGCAGTTATCATAGAGCACAGTCCCTCACATCACACAGCTGCAGAGATGAGTAAACAAAGAGGAACCTTCTCAGAAGTGAGTCTGGCCCAGGACCCAAAGTGGCAGCAAAGGAAACCTAAAGGCAATAAAAGCTCCATTTCAGGAACCGAACAGGAAATATTCCAAGTAGAATTAAACCTTCAAAATGCTTCTCTGAATCATCAAGGGATTGATAAAATATATGACTGCCAAGGTAAAACATTAAATATATCTTCAATGTTATTGTTCTGGGATGTGCAGTTGAATGCAGAAGGGTGAGGAAAGATTAGGGAATATTTTACACTTGTGAGAATCAGAGTTCATAAATGGGATCTAATATTCTAATATGAAATCAGAAGACTAATTTTATTCAGGCATTGTTCAACTGTAATCAACTGTAATCTGCAATCCACTCATGGAACATTACATTTACTGAAAATGAAATGGTATATTCTGAGAGAAAGATTACTAGAGTAGATGTAGATTTAGCGGCCAGAGTTTATCATTATGTTTCCCTGTGCATGTGGGTTCTCTAGTATGTAATTCTCTAGTATGTAATCCTAATCAACTCTCTATCTCCCCTCTCTCAGTGCCTCTATTTCTCTCCCTGCAGGTTTACTGCCACCTCCAGAAAAGCTCACTGCCGAGGTCCTAGGAATCATTTGCATTGTCCTGATGGCCACTGTGTTAAAAACAATAGTTCTTATTCCTTGTAAGCATATTCTTGAAAGATTAGAAGGGAACGTTTTACTTTAATGCTTGGAAGTGCCTCAAAATATTTCATACTGTTGAAGAATAGAACTCTTATTTTACTGTTTCTTTCAAAGATCTATTACTTCATTTATTTTTATAGAAAAAGTTAATTTTATTAAAGATTGTCCCCATTTTAAATAACACACAAAGTTTCAAAGTAAGAAACTAAACTCATTATGGTTTATCTAAATATTACTTTTTATAAAAATCATTTTAATTTTTCTATTACAGTCCTGGAGCAGAACAATTCTTCCCCAAATACAAGAACCCAGAAAAGTACATTTTTATTTTCAAAGTTCTGATATTAGTACAATTTGGAACCAAAATAATATGGTTATTCTGAATTTTTCACAACATAAATAACAAAATCATTGTAGAGAACATGTGTTTATTTTTTGTGTGTAATCTATATATATGTATATACATACACACACAAAGATATTTTCTGATTTCATAATTCAAAGGCATGCTATAGAAGAAAAGTATTTAGAAAAACTAATTTTTGAAAGTGGTTACATCAAATACTACAAGAGATGGTGAAGTTTTGTGCTAAAGTCTTTAAAAATGTTTATTTCAAAGGTCTATTACTTTATATATTTTTATAGAAAAAGTTAATTTTATTAAAGATTCTCCCCATTTTAAATAACACACAAAGTTTCAAAGTAAGAAACTAAACTCATTATGGTTTATCTAGATATCAGTTTTTATAAAAATCATTTTAATTTTTCTATTACAGTCCTGGAGCAGAACAATTCTTCCCCGAATGCAAGAACCCAGAAAGGTACATTTTTATTTTCAATGCTCTGATATTAGTACAATTTATATTTTGTGTCTGTTTTAAGGCATGTAAAAGAATAGTGGCATTTTTGCAGAAAATAAGCCATAAATTCAGCCATAAATATTTATAAAGAAAGATTATGAGGCAGCATTTCCTTTTCTCCAGTAAGTAGAAATACTCACTTAAAATCATTCTACCCTCTTTCTCCCAATTAACAGAAGTCTCCTACTGCTGTGAGATGATACCAAATAAATAATTTTACTATTCTAAAAAAGCAGTTGTGTATCAGTGAGGTTCAAGACATGTGTGGAGTGTATTTTTGTTTGTTGGTTTGCTTTATATGGGAACACAATTAGGGGAGAGAGGCTAACCCTTTTCTGTGTATGTGTGTATGACTGACTCAGTTATTAAAAAATATATACTTATAAGCCTGTAAGGATGCATAAATATGTTAAGCACATATATGTTTATACTGTTGCAAATATGTGAACTAATTTTCATTTTTAAAAATTCATATTGGTCTAGATAGTAATTCATATCTTTATTAGCACGTCATTGTGGCCATTGTCCTGAGGAGTGGATTACATATTCCAACAGTTGTTATTACATTGGTAAGGAAAGAAGAACTTGGGAAGAGAGTTTGCAGGCCTGTGCTTCAAAGAACTCTTCTAGTCTGCTTTGTATAGATAATGAAGAAGAAATGGTAAGATGTAAATGTTTCAAACATTTTATGAAAAGCTTCTTTCAGTGAATAATACATTTGTAGAAAACATCCATATGTGTGTACATATATTTAGCTTATATATTTTCAAGTGTATGCATTATTCAGTTGATTGACTTAATAATGTTTTTAAAGTTATATACCGCTAATGTACTTTTATTTTCAGTTTTTGCTTTTTATGGAAAACCATGCTTCTATTAATGCTTTGAATCCACAATAAATTTTACTATTTAATTTTATTGAGCATGATATGATCTAGTCATGCAGATTGATCACAAAGTGAATGATCTCATGTGATACAAGTGAGATCATGAAATAAGTTTCCAGCTCTAGCAGTTCCACCCCTGTGTATGCCCTCATCACTTATCCTGACTCCTCTCCAAAACACTGTCTTGACTTTTGAAGTTATAAATAAGGTTTGCCTGTTCTTGAATTTATAAAAAACGGAATTATACAGTGTGAATTTCATGTCTGTCTTTTTCACTCCTATCTGATATTTGTGGAATTCCTCCATATTATTGCGGTTATCTGTAGTTTGTTACTGTTCACTGCTGTACTATGTACAAAGAACACTAAGAATTCATTCTGTCTTATGTCTCTAGATGGGG
The DNA here is from genome assembly GCF_000001405.40 of Homo sapiens. NCBI lineage: Eukaryota > Metazoa > Chordata > Mammalia > Primates > Hominidae > Homo > Homo sapiens. The sequence continues at coordinate 10,417,717 of NC_000012.12, read as the reverse complement.
AAGTGAGTCTCATGCCCTCAGGGGCAAAGAGGACCCTGGATGGTGCATTGGTAGTCGTGGGTCCCTTTCCTGATCCTCCTCACCCACAACCACCCTGGTGTCTCCTGGTATGAGAAGGAAGCACTTTCTCTAGCTCCGTATTGGTGGCAGGTCTCCTGGTAGATCATCCTTGCCAGTGGCACCAGCCTTGCCTGGTATTGTGGAGGGGACTCTCCTTCGATACCCTCCTCCTATTGCCAGGTTGGGTGTAGGGAAACAGCAGGCCTAGGTCACCTTCTTCTGTCGTGTGGAGGACTTAACATGCTCACTCGGACACTTGGTTGATCCCTGATGCTAGGGTCCCAGACAATTTCATCTTTCTCTTTCCACCTTTCAGAGTTCTCCATTACTTTTGTCTTTCATTAATCCCAGAGTTTATAGTTGTTTTTAGTAGGGAGTAGCAGAGAGAGACGAGTCTACACCACCTGGCCAGGACCCCTGTTATTCCACAAAAACCGAATCGGATAAAAATTGAGGGCTTATCTAGTTAAAGAATGGTGTGGTACCAAGGAAACCCAATCTGTAGCTTCCATGTCATTTATTTCTGAATGACAACCCCTCAATTCCCTTCTAAATCTCCAACTCTGAGAAATATAGCACAAAAATAGATTGATTTAGTCACAGTATCTGGAGAAATGAATGCACAGTATCAGGAAACTTATTAAAACCCTTCCTGTGTTTATTCTGTTAATTGGAGTAACTATTACATTGCAAGAATTAAAATGTCTTTATTAACATGAGAATAAGAATGAAAGTACTAAGTATAAACGTTGAAGAGTTCATTTAAATAAAAAATTCAAACATTTATGAAAGTTTTTGGCACTGCAAATAGTGGTTTTCAACTTTAATATATTGTTTTTGTAATGTTTTCATAATTATTATTTAAGTGAAAATTATTTCTTTTCTTTTAGAAATTTCTGGCCAGCATTTTACCTTCCTCATGGATTGGTGTGTTTCGTAACAGCAGTCATCATCCATGGGTGACAATAAATGGTTTGGCTTTCAAACATGAGTAAGTTGTTTTATAGGGTGCTATATAAAAAAATATAAAGGATAAATTCAGAAGAATAATATGAATAAATCTATGTGGAATCATTGATATGAAGAAAGATGTGGAAAGTTAGTGAAATGTTGATACAAATATTTTACAATAGACCATAGTAGTCCATATATGTCCACCACTCATTGGTCAGCTAGTAACTTTCTTGGTTATGAGATGGACCAGGGGTGTCTAATCTTTGGCTTCTGTGGGCCACATTGGAAGAAGAAGAGTCTTGGGCCACACATAAAAGACACTAACACTAACGCTAGCTGATGAGCTAAACAAAAAAATTGCAAAAATATCTCAGAATGTTTTAAGAAAGCTTATGTATTTGTGTTGGGCCGCATTGAAAGCTTCCTGGGCCACATGCGGCCCATGGGCCGTAAGTTAGACAAGCTTGAGATGGACTATCAGGGAATTGCAGTGCTTGTTTTCATTAAAAAGTCACCCTTATTTTACTTAAGAATATCCTCAAAGCACAATAGTAGTGCTGTTGGTATATTGCTTACAATTTTTTATTAGTAGTTATTGTTGTCAATCTCTTATTGTGCCTAATTTTTAAATTAAACTTTATCACAGTTATGAATGTGTAGAGAAAACATAATCTCTCTATAGGTTCTGTACTATTTCAGACATTCAGTGGGGTCTTGAAACATATCCCCCGTGGATGAAGGGGGAGTACTGTATTGAGTGTTCAGAATAATGACTTTTAGTAATAGCATATGAAAAATTTAATTACCCTTTTTCATAAAATTATTTTCTTACAGTACATGGAAAATGCTTTTGTCTCATGGGTCATTTGCATAAAATGTAACAGAATTATGGATTTTTCTCCATTACAGGATAAAAGACTCAGATCATGCTGAACGTAACTGTGCAATGCTACATGTACGTGGACTTATATCAGACCAGTGTGGATCTTCAAGAATCATTGTGAGCATAAGCTTTAGAATTAAAGCGCTTGAGCTTGCAGTGCATCAGATAAAATTTTATATTTGTTCAAACAGAAATGATATTATGATTGCATAAGCCTTAAAATGAATTGTGTTATTTGCTCTAATAATAAGAAAATTCCAAATCAATTATTGAAATATAATACACACAATTACGGAAGTACAGATACCCTCGCATTTAAGTCAGGCTCATTTTGCTGAACGTGATGTTTGTGGCATTCAGGCTTCCTAAAAGTTGCATGTTATGTTGGTCAGTTTATATGAAGTATCAAGAACAAGCAAAACCATGGAGACAGAAAATAAAATAGCGTTGCTAATGCCTAAGGGAGGTTGAAATAGGAGGTGTCCACTAATTGCTAGAATGTTTCTTTGTGTCAGTGATGAAAACTTTCTAAATTTCAGTAGCAGTGATGGTTGTAACTCTGTGAATACACTAAACATCACTGATTTTTAATCATTTTAAGTGGATGAAATTTATGCTATGTGCACCGTACCTCAATGAAGCTGTCCAAAACAAAAATATATACTGTCCTGGGATTGCTTGAGTCTGCATTTAATCTCTAAAGTAATTTTTAAAGATTAGCTTCTTGACATTTCCATACAATATCATATTGTGTCCTTCAATGTACTGGGTTCAATGTATGGGGTTTTCTTTAATTTCTCTCTATCATATTATGTATTTTGGGGGTTTGAATCATACAGAAATGCAGATATTTTACATTCATGCTTTTGTAAATAGCATTCTGATTTTAATATTCCCTTTAATAACTTTTGTTACTGTAAATAGAAATACAACTGATGTCTGCATTTTCACTTATTTTACATATTTAAATCTATCATTTCAAACAGATTTTTCTGGATTTTCTATATAAACAGCAATTTTATTTTCTTTTCTTTTTCTTTTTTTTTCTTTTTTTATTATTATTATACTTTAAGTTTTAGGGTACATGTGCACAATGTGCAGGTTTGTTACATATGTATACATGTGCCATGTTGGTGTGCTGCACCCATTAACTCGTCATTTAGCATTAGGTATATCTCCTAATGCTATCCCTCCCCCCTCCCCCCACCCCACAACAGTCCCCTGTGTGTGATGTTCCCCTGCCTGTGTCCTGCAAATAATCACACTTTTATTTTTTCTATCCATGTGCCACAACTTATTTTTTCTTCATTTATTTTCTCTGGCTAGTACTTTATATCCAGAGTTGAATAGAAGGTACAATCAAATTTTACATGTATCATATGTATCATTTTCTGGTTTTGGCAAAAAATAATTCAACATATTATTCATATTTACAAAGTTTGGTGTTTTTTTCATCATATCTTTCTTATATTGAAGTGGTTTTATAATATTCCTTTTTTCAATAGATGTTATCAATTGTAACATTTTTATTTTTTATTACTTAGAATGATATATGTTTTCTTTATACAACATTTTATAAAATAATTTTATTTTTGTCAAATGTTAAACTAGGCTTTGTTTCCGAAACAAATCCATGCTGATCATTGTATATTGCCCCTTATAAAATATCAGTGCACATACTACTATATCTAGGGTAAGATATGTTTCTTCATCTATGTTCACAAGGATATTTGACCACGTTTTTATTTGTAGCTATGTACTTGAAAAAGTTTTGGTCTCAAGGCTATCTTGGGAAGATTTTCTGTTTCTCTATAACCTGGAAGCATTTGTTAAGAGTACTGCTTTAGCCATAAAAAAGGATGAGTTCATGTCCTCTGCAGGGACATGGATGAAGCTGGAAACCATCATTCTCAGCAAACTATCACAAGGACAGAAAACCAAACACCGCATGTTCTCACTCATAGGTGGGAATTGAACAATGAGAACACATGGACACAGGGAGGAGAACATCACACACCGGGGCCTGTCGGGGGGTGGGGGGTTGGGGGAGGGATAGCATTAGGAGAAATACCTAATGTAAATGATGAGTTGATGGGTGCAGCACACCAACATGGCACATCTATGCCTATGTAACAAACCTGCACGTTGTGCACATATACCCTAGAACTTAAAATATAATAATAATAATAAAGAGTACCGCTTTATTTTTAAATGTTATCATTCACTAGTTATGCCATCTGAGTTTGCAGGCTATTTTTGTAGAAAAGTTTATGGCTAAACTGAATTTCTTCAATACATGTAGGGTTTACTCAGATTTCTATTTGAGGTACTATATTTTGGTAATGAGCATTTCCCAGGAATTTTCTATTTCATATGGACATTAAAATGCATTGATAATATAGTTTTATTGCCTGTTTAATAACTGTAAAGACCATAATGGTATTGCCATGTTTAAACTGGGAATAAAATATCTGTGCCTTTTCAAAATCTTCCCTTAGTAGTCCTTTGTGACCATTCATCTTGATAATTTCTTTGGCCCATATGTTATTTTGACATATATTACTGAATTAAAAACCATATAAGGTTCTCAGATTTTTGTTTATTGACTTCTGTTGTAGGTAAAATATAGTTAGAACATTTTCTATTAAACTGGAAATGTTCTTCATCCCTTTATAAATGTGGCTCATGTGGTGAGGTACTGGTTTTAAATGTTATTTATTTTTATTAATTAATGTTAAATTTGAATAGCTACATTTCAACTGTCTCCTAGCCAAGCTTGGCTAGCGGTACTACATTGAAATTGAGTATCCGTGTGAGTATATGTGTGTGAATGCATTCATATGAGTGATGGTTACTTGTCTAGTTTAAATCTTTCTATAGGCTCACTGGCCTGTCTTGTATTAAGCATCAAGAGAAGAGTCTTTAAAAATCCCATTTATGATTGTTTACTTGTTCACTTTATTCAACTATATGTTGAACTTGTATCATTAGGTATATGCAATGATAAAAAATATATTACTAATGGTTTGGAAAATTAATTTATCATTATGAAGTATATTTCCCCAATTTCAGTAAATTTCATCTCGGCTCACTGCAGCCTCGACCTCACCTCCAAGGCTCAAGCGATCCTCCCACCTCAGCAACCAGAGTAGCTGGCTACAGGCCAATACCATCATGCTGGCTAATTTTCGTATTTTTTTGTAGAGACGGGGTTTCATCATGTTGACCAGGCTGGTCTTGAACTCCTGAGCTCAAGAAATCAACACATCTTGGCCTCCCAAGTTGCTGGGATTACTGACACAAGCCACCGCCCCTGAGTGCTCATGTACCATTTAGCTTGTGTTTTAAAAATCTACTTTTTCTGCCCTCCCTATTTTTAACTAGATGATGTTTTAAAAATTACTTTTCCCTCTCTATATAGTTTGATTTAAGCATTAGTCATTTACAACAAATATTAATATTAAAATGCAGACCGTTATGATTGGAAAATAAATCAATGAACAATATAATGAGTGGTTTTTATATATTTCAATCTCTGGCGTGGTGATATAGTACAATATTTTTTAATTATTTATTCTTCCCAGAGACATATATTTCAATGAGAGTTATCTGATTAATTTATTTTTAAAAAACTGAATGAGAGAATTTTAAGAACTATCAAGAAAGTAAGTTGGGAATTTAACTTTGAGAATTGATGTCAATTACAATGAAGTGGAAATGTATTTTCTCAGAATAATTAGTGACAAATACATTAAATTCCTATTGGTAAGATTATTATTTTAAAAATTTATCGTCATATTAGCAGTGATATTATAGGGGTATATGATAAAGAAGTACGTAATCCCAAGTTTTAGCCACCCTGTGTAAATGTAGAAGTTAAACATGTAAGAGACTCTGAAAAAGGTATAAGATTTTAGTGTTTGTGATTGAGATGGAAACAACTGCATGGGTAGTAGTCTTTGTTCTCCCCAAATCTTGTTTACTATAAAAATAATTTCTAAAAGTCACTTGAAAATGGACAAACTAAATGACACCCTAGCAGCTCAGTCTCTTATATTCTGAGGTGTATGATGAGATAAACTGATTCAAAATGGCCCTAGTGTGAAAACTTCCTGTTCAAATCCGAAGTGATACATTGATGAGGAATCTGCTTTTTGCACTCTTGCCTCACTCTGAGCTTTCACAGGGCAGTCTGTGAAGATCAGAGATATCTGTTTTTTGTTTTTTGTTTTTTTCTGAGACAGAGTCTCGCTCTGTCGCCCAGGCTGGAGTGCAGTGGCTCCCGATCTCAGCTCACTGCAAGCTACGCCTCCCGGGTTCAACCGTTCTCCTGCCTCAGCCTCCCAAGCAGCTACAGGCGCCCGCCACCACACCCGGCTAAGTTTTTGTATTTTTAGTAGAGACGGGGTTTCACCGGATCACAGATGTCTTTTGTGTCGTTAAGAGGTAACCTGACCTCTCCACTAAGGGGCGTGTGACTTTCTGATGACAGAAGGTATGTGTTGCTAGTCTCCTGTTTCTCTACTAGCTCATCTCCTTTAGTAGAAAATTGTAAATATTAAATGTGATGCAACAAGGTAAAGTTAATACAGAATAAAATCAAAGTAGAACTGTCTGTACATGAATAATTCAGGGTGAAAAGCAACCCAAAATATAATATATGTTTGAGGATTTCTTAAAGTATTTACATTATTGCCTGTGGAGAATTAGTCAAGCACATGCATACATCATAATAGGTTTGTTAATCAATATAATTTAGAGTGAAACCGATAAATATCACGACAATGAAGAATTAATTTGAAATTTTATAATCATTATAGATGTAATAATACTTTATATTTAGCCCAGACTTTAAAAATGCATTTTTAATGGATACATCAAATTGTGAATGTCAAACATAATTTCTCATACACATACTTATATTTAATTGAAGCAGATTTTATTTTTTTAAGAATGTAATAATGAAGTAGTTTCCATAAAATGCAAATCTAAACTTAATTATAAATAATAGGACGACCTAAAAAAAATTGAGCCAAACAAACATTGCAAAAAAGATGTACTACACTGACATGAGACTCCTACCTCATTAGTTATTTTACACACTCAGTATGAATTAGAAATAATAAAATGGCAATTGTGTTAAAAATAATTAAAATATCTAATATGTATTGAGGACTAATGTGTGCCAGGTTGTATGTTAAGGGTTTTATATACATTATACTTCATAAATTATTTTCCCCAATCTAGATTAGTAAACTGGTGTTGTAGACACCAAGTAACTTTGTAAAGGTCATGCATTATGAGTTTCAAAGCTGTAATTAATTTTAGGTCTCACTGGCTACAGAGCTCATTGACTAGATTATTAAATTATATTTTCTGATTTATTACAATTACTTACACAACCAAAGTGACCCTCGCTGCCTTTTAAAACAACCACAGGGTCTTTCTGAAAGTTTGAACTTAAAGTGTTCTTTCATAGATGGTCCAAACTTATATTTATCATTTTCAGTTTTCCTATTTTAGTCATTAAATCAATTACCAATCAATTCTGTAAAATAAAGAGTTAAATCTTTTTCAGTAGTATTTAGTTTATGCATAAGTTAATGTAATGTTTTACAAGGTATAAAATATTTCTTTAAAATTTTAACAATTTTTCTGTTTTCCTCAATCATTCAGAATAAAAAACATTTGCCAAGACCTCATGCCCTTTTAGTAAACGAATGTAAGTCACTAACTTAATGTATTTTAGTATTAAAAGTTGTTCTATATGCCAACAAATTATTCCTCCATCTTTAGCGCTCAATCCTTACATTAATGAATTTTAAAATTGTCATACAATTAGTGCATTTTATTTTCAAATTTCAATTTTAGTTTTTTACACAGGTATTCTATTGGTGATAAAATATTTCTGTAGAATCTGATTTTAAATTAATAAAGATATTTATATTCAGTTACTTCTTAGTTTTCACAAATGTATTGTTTTTTATTGTTCCCATTAATAATATTATGTCAAATATAGAAGGCCTTTTAAAAAGTGACCTATTGTTTAAAGAGATTTCAGTTTAAAACTTTAGGAAATTAGTACCAGACTTTTATATTGGTCAACAGCAAAATGAACATTACTACTCAGCCTCCAACACATGCAGTTTGCCTATACCAGGGATCCTGTCAAAATATACACCACTTATAGCTTCTTAAGTGCAGTTATCATAGAGCACAGTCCCTGACATCACACAGCTGCAGAGATGAATAAACAAAGAGGAACCTACTCAGAAGTGAGTCTGGCCCAGGACCCAAAGAGGCAGCAAAGGAAACTTAAGGGCAATAAAATCTCCATTTCAGGAACCAAACAGGAAATATTCCAAGTAGAATTAAACCTTCAAAATGCTTCTTCGGATCATCAAGGGAATGACAAGACATATCACTGCAAAGGTAAAACATTAAATAGATCTTCAATATTATTGTTCTAGGATGTGCAGTTGAATGCAGAAAGGTGGGGAAAGATTAGGGAATATTTTGCACTTGTGAGAATCAGAGGTCAAAGTCAGGATCTAATATTCTAATATGAAATCTGAAGCCTGATTTTATTCAGGCATTGTTCAATTGTAATTTGTGATTAACAACTCATGGAGCATTATATTTACTGATAATGAAATGGTATATTCTGAGAGAAAGATTACTAGAGTAGATGTAGATTTAGAGGACAGAGTTTATCATTATGTTTTCCTGTGCACGTGAGTTCTCTTGTACGTAAACCTTCTCATCAACTCTCTATCTCCCCTCTCTCAGTGCCTCTTTCTCTCCCTGCAGGTTTACTGCCACCTCCAGAGAAGCTCACTGCTGAGGTCCTAGGAATCATTTGCATTGTCCTGATGGCCACTGTGTTAAAAACAATAGTTCTTATTCCTTGTAAGCATATTCTTGAAAGATTATAAGGGAACTTTTCACTATAATGATTGGAAGCGCCTTGAAACATTTCATAATAATGAGGATTAGAATTCTCTGTTTAATGTATATCTCTGAACCCCAAGATAATATGCTGCTTCTGAACTTTTCAAATTTATAAATAACAGAATAATTGTAGAAAACATTTATTTTTTTGTGTGTACTAAATATATATGTATATATGATACACACACAGAGAGATGTATTCTGATTTCATGACTCAAAGACATGTTTTAAGAGAAAAAATATTTAGAAAAACAAATTAATTTTTGAAAGTGGTTAGATCAAATACTATAAGAGATGGTGAAGTTTTATGCTAATGGCTTTAAAAATATTTGTTTTAAAGATCTCATTATTTTTATAGAAAAGTCATTTTTATTTCAGATTGTTCCAATTTAAAATAATTTTAAATTTTGTATTTCAAAGTAAGCAACTGAATTTATTATAATTTGTCTAGATATTAATTTTGTAAGAATCACTTTAATTTTTCTAGGTATTGGAGTACTGGAGCAGAACAATTTTTCCCTGAATAGAAGAATGCAGAAAGGTACATTATGATTGTCAATGTTCTGATGTTAGTACAGTTTATATTTTGTCTCTAAAGGGATGCAAAATGATAATAAAATGTTTTGGGAAAATAAACTATAACAATGAGCCATAAATGTTTATAAAATAAAGATTATATGAGGGCATGTCCTTTTCTCCAATAATAAGTAGAAATGCTCAGTTAAAATCATTATACCCTCTTGTTGCATTTAATTAACTGAAATTTCCTACTACTATAAGATGATAAGAGATAAATAATTTTACTATACTTAAAAAGCAGTTTTGTTCAGTGATGTTTAAGATGTGTAGGGTGGATTTTTGTTGGCGGGCTTGTTTTGTATGGGAACACAATTAAGGGATGAGAGGTGGACCTTTTATTGTGCATGTGCGTATGAGTGACTCGTTATTTTAAAATATATATTTAACAACTTATGAGGATGCAGATATTGTGTACCTGTATGTTTATAGCTTTGCAAATATATAAAATAATTTTCATTTGTAAACATATTGTTTTGCATAGTAATTCATATTTTTATTTAGCACGTCATTGTGGCCATTGTCCTGAGGAGTGGATTACATATTCCAACAGTTGTTATTACATTGGTAAGGAAAGAAGAACTTGGGAAGAAAGAGTTTGCTGGCCTGTGCTTCGAAGAACTCTGATCTGCTTTCTATAGATAATGAGGAAGAAATGGTAAGACGTAAATGTTTCAACACTTTACTAAAAGCTTATTTCTGTCAATATCATATTTGTAGAAATCATCCATATGTTTATACATATATTTACTTCATATATTTTTAAGTCTGTGTAGTATTCAACTGACTTCATAATATTTTTATATTCATATACTGTTAATGCACATTTGGTTATTTCCAGTTTTGCTTTTCATGGAAACCCATGCTTCTATAAATGTTTTTATCACAAAATAAATATAAAGAAAACTAAGCATGTCATGGTCATGCATATTGATCACAAAGTGAATGGATTCATGATACAGGGCAGATCATGAAATAGAAGTTTCCAGCCCCAGCAGTCCTGCTCCTGTGTATGCCTTCCTCACTTTTCCTGCCTCCTCTCCAAACCTTTGTATTGATGTTTAATGTGATAAATAAGCTTTGCCTGTTCCAGAATTTATGTCAAGGGAATCATACAATGTGTATTTTCATGTGTGTCTTCTTTTACTCCTATATGATATTTGTGCAATAATGCAGTTAGCTGTTGTTTGTTGCTTTTCATTGCTGCATGATGTGCATAGAACATTTACAATCTGTTCAGTCCTGTGTCTCTGGATGGGGAAGTGAGTCTCGTGCCCTCAGGAACAAAGAGGAACCTGGATGGGCACGTGTAGTCATGCGGTTCCTTTGCTGATCCCTCTCACCGCACCTACCCTGATGTCTTTTGGTTTGGGAGGAGAAGCACTTCCTCTAGCTCCTAACTGGTAGCAGGCCTCCTGGTAGGTCATCCTTGCCAGTGGTACCAGGCTTGCCTAATGTTGCTGGCAGGACTCCCTTTCAATACAGAGTGGGAATGGGCTTAGCTGACCCACCTCCTGTTACCAGATTTGGTTCTGAGAAACAGAGGACTAGATCACTTTCTTCTGCTGAGTGGGGGACTGAAGATGCCCGGACACTCTGTTGATCCCTGATTCTGGGGTCCCAAACTATTTTGCCTTCCTCTTTCCACCTTTCAGAGTTTTCCTGTGTGTCTTTCATTACTTGCAGAGTTTAGAGTTGTATTTATTAGGGAGTAGCAGAGAAAAAGGAGTCCATGTACCTGGTCAAGACCATTGTTATTCCACCAAAACCAAATCAGATAAAAGTGAGGGCTTATCTAGTTAGAGAGTGGTGTGGTGCCCAGAAAAGCCAATTTTTGGCTGCTGTGTCATTTATTTCCTCAATGGCAACCTTTCAATTTCCTTCTAAACTTCAAGGAGGAAAAGTTCCACTATGAGACACATAGTGGAAAAATACATTTATTTAATCAGAATATCTGGAGAAATACATGCACAGTATCAGGAAATTTATTTCAGTTCTTACTGTGTCTGTCTTACCAACACAAGCAACTGTTAAATTACATGAATCACAATTTTGCTTGTTAAAATAAGAAGAATGAATGTACTAAGTATAAAAATTGAAGAGTTCATTTTAAGTCAAAATTACAAAAATTTGTAATAGCTTTTTACACTATAAAAGTTGTTTTCAAGTTTACTATTTTGTTTAAGGTATTTATTTTGTTTTGAAAATTAAGCATCCTTTGAAAGAATGTATTACCTGCACTTTTAAAAATTAATAAAAGTTTAGAATTCAAAGAAAGCACCTAAAAATTAGTAAAATCTTTTATAGTTATTATTTAAATGAAAATTTTTTATTTTTCGTTAGAAATTTCTGGGCTCCCTGTCAGTTCTCTCATGGGTTGGCATCTCTCGTAGTAGCAGTGATCATCCATGGGTGTCAATAAATGGCTCAACGTTCAAATTGAAGTAAGTTTTTTGAATGATGCTATATAGTAGAAGAATATAAAAGGACAGGTTCAGAATAACATTATGAATAAATTTAAGTGCAATTATAGCCATAAATAAAGATGTTGAAAGTTAGTGAAATGTTGATATAAATGTTAAGGAATGATCCACAATTACATTTTCTGTGGTTTTAGTTACCCAGGCTCAACCACGGCCAAAAATATTAAAAGGAAAACTCTAGGAAGAGAAAATCCATGAGTTTTAAATTGTTCACTCTTCTGAGTAGTGTGATCAAATCCTTTATATAGTGTATGGCTCCATCTCACCTGGGACATGAATCATTGCTTCGTCCAGGATACCTGCACAGCCTAAGTTCCCTGTCCATTAGTCACTCAGCTGTCGCAGTTATGAGATTGACTAAGGTGGTATGGTACCGCTTGTGTTCAAGTCACTCTTAGTTTACTTAATAAGGGCCCCAAAATGCAAGAGTATTTATGCTGGCATATTGTTATAATTGTTCTTTTTCATTATTATTAGTTTGTTTTAATCTCTTACCGTGCCTAATTTATAAATTAAACTTCATCAAAGGTATGTATGTATAGATAAAACACAGTATATATACAGTTCAGTACTATCTATGATTTCAGACATCCACTGGGGGTCTTAGAACATATCCACTGTGCAGATGAAAGGACTACTTCATTCAGTTTTCATATTATGATATGCAGTTTTCCCAGCATTATTTTTGAAGAGACTATCTTTTTTTTCCAATGTATGTTCCTGGCACCTTTGTCAAAAGTGAGTTGTCTGTAAACAAATGGATTTGTTTCTGGATTCATTGGTCTGTATGTCTGTTTTAATATGAGCACCATGCTGTTTTGGTTTCTGTAGCTTTGTAGTATATTCAGGTAATGTGATGCCTCCAGCTTTGATATTTTGCTCAGAATTGCTTTGGCTATACTGGATGTTTTGTGGTTCCATATAAATTTGAGGATTGCTTTTGCTATTTCTGTGAAGAATGTCACTGGCATTTTGATACAGATTGCATTGAATCTGGACTAGCTAAGGTTTTATTTTGAATGTTGAATAGAAGGCACAGAAAGGTTATATGTATATCATATGTATCAGTTCCTATTTTAGGTAAAAAGATTGCAACATTTCATCCATATTTACAAAGTGTGTTCGTTTTTATTATACCTTTCTCATATTGAAGCAGCTTTATCATATTCCTGTTTTTCTAATAGATTTTGTTATCAATTGTAACATTTTTATTATTTTGGCATCAGTTGGAATGATACATGTTTTCTCTGCATAATCTTAATAAGTAAACTATTTCAATTCTCTCAAATGTTAAACCAGTCTGAAATAAAACCATACTGGTCATTCTGTATTGCCTGTTTAAATTTATTAATGCACAGGAGATTATACTGTGTTTTTATTTATAGCTATGTACATGAAAGCCTTTTCTCTTAAGGGTATATTGGGAAGCATTTCTCTTTTTCTATAACCTAGAAGACTTTGTGTAAGGGTACTGTTTTAAAATGTAATTATTCATTAGTGATGCCATCTGAGTGTGTAGAATGTTTTTGTAGGAAAGTTTATGTAGGAAAGTCAATTTCTTTAGCACATACAGACATTTCATCCATATTTACAAAGTTTATATTTATAGAGGTTACTCAGATTTCTGTTTGTTGTATTGCAATTTGGTAATTTGCATATTCAAGAATTTTCTATCTCATATAGATATAAAAGTATTCATAATATGGTTTCATTATCTGTTTAATATCTGTAAAAACCATAATGGTTTTCCCTTATTTAATCTAGAAAATTATTTGAGCCTTCTCAAATTCTTTAAGTCTTTTATCAATTTTATTAAGTCCTTTCAATGAAAATATCTTCAGCCTCATTGATCTTCTCTACTGTAATTTTGCTCTTTGTCATGATTTTTTACTATTTATTGTTTTCTTCCTACCACTTTACTTCTATTTAATTTCAGTTAATTTCATATTTCTGTTTTTATTCAGACAATTCAGTATCTGCAATTTTGTTGCAATATATGAATTTAAGGCAATCCATTTTTCCCAAGAAAATATTTTGCTCTATTTTCCTTTTAATTGATGTAAAAATTGTGAACATTTATTGTGATAATTTATTTGGCCCTTAGGTTATTTAGAATTATATTACTGAATATAAAACCATATAAAGTTCCTAAAGTTTTGATTATTGACTTCTGTGTTAGTAAACTGTAGTTAGAACATTTTCTGTGAGGCTAGAAATGTTCTTCATCTCTGTGTAAATATAGCTAGTGTGACTAATAAACTTATGTTTAATGTTATTTACTTCTAATTAATTAATATTAAACTTGAATTGGTGCATTTTAACTGTCCACTGGCCAACTTTGGCTAATGCTACTGTACTTATAGCAAACTTCTAAATTTTATATTAAAATGCATAGGTTTATGAAAATACAGTGTAGCTTAAAAATATTAGTATTCCGAATTAGTATACAGTTTATATGTGTGTGTATACACAGGTGTGTTGGCTAATTGTCTAGTTTAAATCTCTGTATAGAGTCAGTGATGTATCTGTTTGTGTGATGAGATGTGAAAGAGAAGTGACTAAATCCCTAAATTTATTAATTACTCATTTATTTCTTTCAACTTTATATTAAATGTGTATTATTAGGTACATACAAATTATTTTAAAATTACTAATGGTATAGATAATAAATATATCACTATGAATATGCTTCTTCATTTTTAATAACAACTTCTGTTTTATATTATTACAGTATATTAAAGTGGTTTTCTACCAGTTTGTGTTGCATGGTATATTTTTTCCATTTTTCATCTTCATATTTTTTATGTTTATGTTAAAGGAGTATTTTTATGAGTATCTCATAAAGACAGCAAACTACTATTTTTAAATACAAGCACTTTGTAACAAATCAAAATCATTCCATATGTATTTGTTAAATTTTAAAATAATTATTTATATTTTCAATTGTATGTATAAACGTGTAAATATAATATGTTTATTGACTGTAATATTATATTATTTCATTTCAGTTAAACACTTCCAATTCTTGACCTCTCTTTTTCTTAACTTTTATATTAAGCTCTGGAGTACCTATGCAGGTTTGCTATATAGTTAAACTCGTGTCACGGGTTTGTTGAACAGACTATTTTGTCATCCAGGTATGAATCCTAGTACCCATTAATTACTTTTCCTGATCCCTTTCTTCCCCCACCCTCTACCCTCAGGTAGGCCACAGTGTCTGTTATTTACCTCTATGTGCCCATGTGTTCTCATCATTTAGCTCCACTTATAAGTGAGAACATGCAGTATTTGGTTTTCTGTTTCTGTGTTAATTGGCTTAGAATAATGGCCTTCCACTGCATCCATGTTGCTGCAAAGGACATAATCTTGTTCTTTTTTTATGACTGCCTAGTATTTCATGGTGTGTATGTACCACATTGTCTTCATCCAGCCTATCCTTGATGGGCATTTAGGGAGATTCCATGTCTTTGCTATTATGAAGAATGCTGTGATGAACACGCAAGTGCATGTGTCTTTTGGGGGATATACCCAGTAGTAAGATTGGTGGATCAAATGGTAGTTCTAAGTTCGCTGAGAAATCTCTGGACTGCCTTCCTCAGTGGCTGGACTAATTTACATTCATACCTTCAGTGTGTAAGTGTTCCCTTTTCTCCAAAGCCTTGCCAACATCAGTTGTCTTTGACATTTTAGTAATAGTCCTTCTGACTGGTGTTAGATGGAATCTCATTTCAGCTTTGATTTGCATTTCTCTGATAATTATGTTTCATATTTTTTTCATGTGTTTTTTGGCCGCTTGTATGTCTTCTTTTGAGAATTGTCTGTTATGTCTTTTGCCTATTTTAATGGGATTATTTATTATTTGATTATTTAATTGTTCCTCATAGATTCTGGATATTGGACCTTTGTCAAGTGCATAGTTTGCAAATATTTTTCCCATTCTGTAGGTTGTCTGTTTATAGGAGCTTAAAGTTTCTTTTGCTGTGCACAAGTTGAGCTTATTTTGTATGTGGTATGAGGTATAGATCAAAATATTTTGTGTGTGCATATTGATAGCCAAGTGTTTAAACATTTGTTAAAAAGATTATACTTTCTCCACTGAATGCCTTTACATCTTTCTTGAACTATTCTACATTCCATATATTTGTGGATACATTTTTGCACTTTGTAGTCTATTTGATTAATCTAGGTATCTATTTATATACTGGTTCCACATCTTGTGAAAATTGAGAGAAAGCTACAGAGACTTCCCATGGTCCTCACTCATGCACTACTTCTCCCATGATCAATATCCCCCATCAGCATGGTATATTTGTTACAATTGAAACATCATTATTATTGAAAGACCATAGCTTATGTTAAGTTTCACTCAGTGTTTTACACTTTATGGGTCTGGCCAAATATATAATGATAATGACATGTCTTTATCATCATAGATCATACAGAATAATTGCATTGCCCTGAAAATCTTCTGTGCTCTGCCCATTCATCCTTTCCTCCTTCAAACACATGGCAAGCATCGATTTTTGTACTGTCTCCATAGTTGTTTACTTTTCCAGAATGTCATATAGTTGAACTCATACAGTATGTTACATCTGAGCCATTACATCTTAACCATATCATATATCTCAACCATTTTTAAGTGAACAGGTCAGTAGTGTTAACTATATTCACATTTTACAACAGATTTCTAGAATTTGTTCATTTTGCAAAACTGAAACTCTATACACATTGGACAACTCCCCTTTTTGCCCCTAGCAATCAGCATTCTACTTTCTGTTTCTATGAGTTTGAATACTTTAGATATCTCATATAAATAAAGCAGGCAGCATTTTTTTTGTGTGACTGGCTTATTTAACTTAGCATAATGTCCTTAAGATTTATCCATGTTGCAGCATGCAACAAGACTTCCTTTTTTAAAATAAAGTATATTATCCTTTTTAAAAATGTTTAAACAACTTTATTGAAGTATGATTGACATACAAAAAGCTGTACATATTTAATGCATACAACTTGATAAGATTAGAGATAAGTGTATAACCATGAAACCACCACAATCTGTGTCATAAACATATCTGTAATCTCCAGAAGTTTCCTTCCACCTTCTTTATTATTATTTTTTGTGATACAAACACTTAAGATCTACGCTCTTAGCCAAATCTTTAGTATACAACATTATTAACTACAGGTTCTGTGTAGTAAAACAGATATCTAGACCTTGTTCATCTCGTATAACTGAAAGTTTGTACCCTTTGACTAATACTCTCCTGTTTTTCCCTCTCCCAGCCCCTGACAACCACCCTTCTACTCCCTGCTTCTATGAATTTACTATTATTTTACTCAGCATAATGTCCTTCAGGTTTATCCATGTTGTTGCAATAGCTTTTTCTTCTTTTTAATGGCAGAATTGTATTCCATTTTATACACATGCCACATTTTCTTTATCCACCAATTCATCAATGGGCTTGTATGTTGCTTCTATGTTTTAACTGTTGCAATGAACATGGGAGTGCCGATACCTGTTCAAGTTCCTGATCTCAACTCCTTTGGCTCTACAGAAGTAAGATTGTTGGTTCATATGTCAACTCAATTTTAAATTTTTTGAGGAACCTCCATAATGTTTTCCATAGTGACTGTACCATTTTACATTTTCATTAACAGTGCACAAGGGCCCAAATTTCTTCACAACCTAAGCAATAATTGTTATTTTCTGCTTTTTTCATAGCGGCCATGCTAATGGGTATGAAGTGATATTTAACAGTGGTTTTGATTTATGTTTTTCTGATGATAGTAATGTTGAGCATCTTTTCATATGCTTATTGGACATTTGTATATCTTCTTTGGAGAAATATCTATTTGAATCCTTTGTCCATTTTTAAATAGGGTTATTAGGGTTTTTGTCATTGGATTACATAAGTTCTTAATATATTCTGGATATTAATCCCTTATTAGATACATGATTTTGTTGCTTCAATCATTTGCTCTGCAGACATTTTTAAGTCTGATGTAATCCCATTTGCCTATTTTTTGCTTTTGTTGGCTGTGATTTGGGTGTTTTATCAAGAAATGATTGCTAAATCCAATTTCATGAAGCTTTCCTCACATGTTTTCTTCTAGAAGTTTTACAGTTTTGGATCTTATCATTAAGTCTTCAATACATTATGAGTTAATATTTGTAGATGGTGTAATGTAAGGCTTTGATTTCACTCTTTTGCATATGTTTAGCCAGTTTTCTCAACACTATTTCTGGAAGATACTGCCCTTTTCCCATTGAATGGTCTTGGCACTCTTATTGAAAATCACTAGTCCATATGTACCGACGTTTATTTCTGGATGTATTAAGTTGTTGTTTCTATGGGGAGCAAGTGCTGGGGTATGCTATTCCTCTATCTTGTTGATGTTGCCTCCTTCCAATCTAGAATAGTATTCAGGGCAAATGTGGGTTCTCTGGAAGGTAATGTGGTCAAAATACTCCTGCTGGTGGGGGATACCTCAACCATTCCCTGGCATTCACACAGACTCAAGTCATCTCATAATCCGTCCTACCTGTTCCACAAGATTATCTCAGGGTCTTTGTCTTAAAATCCTCTTCAATCATTTGATTATGATGTTTTGAGATGGGGATTTCTACATGCTGATTCTATTAGTCATTAGTTTGCTTAGCATCTTGGATGTATACATTTTTAAAAAAGCAAATTTGAAAAGTTTTTAAGTCAGTTTTGTCTTAATATTATTTTTCTACATCTTTCTGTATTCTCTTTTTCTCTGGGATGAATAATTTCTATTAATATATCCCAAAGTTGATGAATTCTTCCTTTTGAATCTCAATTTTTTTTCTAGCCAATTTAGTGAATTTTTCGTTTCAAGTAATGTACTTCTCAACTCAGAATTTGGTTTATTTCTTGGTTTTCATTTCTCTGACAAAATTTCCTACTTGTTTTCTCATTGCCATCATATTTTCATTTAATTAATTGAACATACTTTTCTGTATAATTTAAGTACATTTATAATAGTTACTTTAAAATATATTTTCTGATAAATCTACCATCTTGTCCCAGAAAAAGTCAGATTTTATTGACTGATTGTCTTTCCCTCCAAGTATGGAAGACATTTTCCAGTTTCTGCATGTTTTCTAATTTCTTATAATAGACATTTTTTATAATATAGTATCATACAAATAAATTTGGGGGGTTTATAAAGATTTTGGGGGGGTAACTTACATAAAATTTTACTGCAGAATCTTTCTCCTTTAAAATGCATTTGCTGATGTTTTTGTTTCAAATTCTAATTTTTTATTTTTATTTTTTAGCCCCATTTCCTAGGGATTGCCCTTGTGAATTGCATAGCTTGGTTGTCAGCCAATATATTATTTTAAAAGGTTTATTCGAAAACCTTAAGTTAGTAGAGGCTCCACTCTGTGCTAGCGGTGTGTGTGTGTGTGTGTGTGTGTGTGTGTGGTGAAGGAAGTGTTCATAAATTTGCAATCAGTTCTCAAGTCTCCTTGGGCTTTTACTTTTTACTGGAATCACCCTGGTCTCCTCTACACATATGCATATTTTTTTCAATAATCAAGAATAAAATCCTGTCATTTATACAACATGGATGAACCTGCTGAGCATCATGTTAAGTGAAATAAGGCAGATACAGAAAGACAAATATCACATAATCTCACTCATGTAGAAATAAAGCAAAAAAGAGCTGATATTATAGAAGCAGAGCGATCACCAGAAAAACACCAGAACAGTGGTCAACAGAGACTGGAGGAGAGAAAAAGAGGGGGACAGGGTGAGAGCTTGGTCAATGGGTACAAAGTTATAGTTAGGTAGGAGGAATAAGTTCTGTTCTATTGCATAGTAGGGTGATGATGGTTAACAGTAAGATATTGCATATTACAAAATAGCTAGAACAGAGGCTTTTGAACGTTCTCACCACAAAGAAATGATAAATACATGAGGTAGACAGATACACTAAATACCCTGATTTGATTATTTAATGTAACATATATATGTATTGAACATCAAGTTGTACCCCATAAATATGTACAATTACAATGTGTCAATTTAAAAAAAAATTTAAAGAATATGTAGAGGGCTAATGTCATGAGGTCTATTGCACTCTCATGTTTAGGATTTTGTTATATTTATGGCTGGCACTGTTCTTGCCCCAGAGGAGACTACACCTCAGACTAAAAAAAATAAAAAACAACAAAAAATGGGGTTTTCTCATTCATTTCCTGCAAAATTCAGCACTTTCAGTTGAAAAGCAGTGGTCTGTTACACTATGCCCCAACCTCTGACCGCTAATCAAGTCTGTCCTTGTGGCAAAAAACACTGTTGATTTTCCCCCAGCTGTAAAAACTGCAACTGTTACTCACTGTGCTGGGTGTGGTGGGTGGGCAGAAGGCACGGGAGCAGCACTAGGTAAACTTACTACAAATTTGCTGCACTCTTCCTTGAATCTCTAGCAGTTTTTCCAAGAATAAATAGTTCACAAATGATTATTAGCCTTTGATCAATTTCCAGGGCCTCGGAATTGCTTTGTTAATTTGTCCTCTTCATTCAGTCACAGCAATACATTTGTATGTGTTCAGTGCGTAACACTCATTATCTTAGTGAATTGAAAGACTGAAAAGTAACAAGAATTAGCTTTGCTATTACAAAATTTAAATTAGTATAATAGTATTGATTTTGCATCTCATAAAATTTGTTTTCTTATACAAATTCTCAAACTCTGCCAGTAATTTTTTATGGATTGCAGTCTCCCGCAAAACCAATAATCATTTGCAGGTGTGGCCAAATGGCCCAGCTTTCTATTGCAAACACTAATCTTCTTGAGAACGTCTATATTTTATACCTAGAAGGAATAACATTACAAAGAAAAGAGCAATATGTGAACAATTGTATAAATATTTGTTTCCATAGACAAATTATATAGAAAATATTCAGATTTAGATACGTAACTATTAAATAAGTCATCTATTCATAAAAAAATTGTTATATATTACCAGTATTAGCAATACATTTCCAATATCTTCAGAGAGGAACAAGAACTGTGCACATCTGAATTTTTACAAAGACAAACTTCTTTTGAATTTTGTTCGGAAATAAAAACATGCTTGTAAACACCAGCTTATAAACATGCTTATAAACACTTAAGTGTTATAGCTTACACAAACTTAATATAACATTACTCCCACCATCTGTAAAGAACATACTTCTAGTTGCTTCAAAAGCCATACAATTAGGTTCTTCGAACTATTTTTAAATCTTTACATTATTTTAAAAATACATATCCAGGTACATACTCTTTCTTTCTTTGAGACAGAGGCTCGCTCTGTCACCCGTGCAGTGGCAGTCTCGGCTCACTGAGATCTCAGCCTTCCAGGCTCAAGCAATTCTTCGGCCTCCACCTCCGAAGTAGCTGGGACTACAGGCACTCACCACCATGCCTGGCTAATTTTTCGTAGAGATGGGGTTTCGCCATGTTGGCTACGCTGGTCTCAAACTCCTTACCGCAAGCAATCTGTCCACCTCGGCCTCCCAAACTGCTGAGATTACAGGCGTGAGGGATTGTAGGCGTGAGGGATTACAGGCATGAGCCACCGCGCCCTGCTATGTTACTTATTTCTTAAACACCTGCAATTCATTAAAATACACCATGTATAAATTATAAATCATAATATTATCAAGAACTGTTATTTCTAAGTGCTGAATAAAATGAATATTTCCACGATGAATTAATTTCTTCTAGTCTTTGAAGGTGTTTAAAATGACAATTCAACAATTGTGGGTGGCCCTAGGACAGGGCAGTTCTAAAACTAGCAAGTTGAAATTGGCGAGGATGGATCTCACGCTGTGACTGGCCAGGAGGAAGAGTTTTCATTCCAGAGTGCTGGAGCTAGATACCGGAAGGCATGTAACAGGGATCCGGACAGCTAACAAAAACTTGCTGGAGGGTAAATACCGCAGGATGTTATGCAAACATGCAGCTGGTAGCCACAGTCATAGGAGCAAAAGGAGAGAAAGTATCATAAAACCAGGAAGAAAAACCCTTTTTCCTCCAGACTACACACTGCCTTTTAGGGACAAAATTTATCATATAAGCTGGCAAGGGAGAAATTTTATGGGCTCTGCTTTCATTATGGTAGAGCAGGATGGTGAAGGATAGATTTGAAACTAAGAGGCAATAAATTGGTAATAAACACACAAGGTTACTATGCAGCAACCACAATGTTGCTATATAACAATAACAGCCATTTAGATACACCCCACTTCCTCAGAGAAGGAAACCAACATTACATTCTAAATCTGTTCTAGTGTAGCATTGTCAGTAATTAGTTCTCCTTTCTGGTAGAGATTGGTATTTCCACTGAGAAATAGTTTTCTTTGTTAATATCACAGTTCCACGTAAAAACATCATTTGCTTCTATGGCATGTGGCCCTTAACCATTTGTGCCTGTTCTAGCCCCATTAATATCAAATTCATTATCTTCTGAGTAGGTCACATTGTCTGCTCAAAGCATGGAAACCCTGCCTTGTTAACCTCTTCCTTAAAACCCCTCAAAGGCTTTTTACTGACTACATGGTACTATCAAACAACATAGCTTAGATTATAAATCTTTCTTCTCACTTGAAGGGGTGGCCTGCCCCTCCACACCTGTATTTCTAGTCGGGTGGGACGAGAGACTGAGAAAAGAAATAAGACAGAGACAAAGTATAGAGAAACAACAGTGGGCCCAGGGGACTGGCGCTCAGCATACCAAGGAGCTGCAGTGGGCACTGGTCTCTGAGTTCCCTCAGTTTTTATTGATTATTATCTTCATTCTTTCAGCAAAAAGGAATGTAGTAGGAGGGCAGGGTGATAATAAGGAAAAAAACATGTGAGCAATAGAATCTACGTCATAATTAAGTTCAAGGGAAGGTACTATGACTGGACGTGCACGTAAGCCAGATTTATGTTTCTCTCCACCCAAACATCTCAGTGGAGTAAAGAATAACAAGGCAGCATTGCTGCAAACGTGTCTCGCCTCCCACCATAGGGTGGTTTTTCCCCCATCTCAGAATTGAACAAATGTACAATCGGGTTTTATACCGACACATTCAGTTCCCAGGGGCAGGCAGGAGACAGTGGCCTTCCTCCCTTTCTACACAGACACAGTAACAGTCTGATCTCTCTTTCTTTTCCCTACATCACTCACACCCTTTCTTGTGGTTCCAGGTTGCCCCAGGCTGTTTTCATCTCCAGCTCTTCATAACGCCACTTAATAAACCAACAATACTGGACTGCATATAGCATTTTTTATTCATTTTAATGTCTCTCTTCTATGTTTTAGAGATTTCTGTCTTTGGTATTTTGTATGTTTTAACAACATTACCTTGATTTCTAACGTTTTTTTTTTAATCTCCAGAAATCACCCAATCTAGGACACCTTCTCTAACACCATTTTCTCACATTTAATACTGGAGACCTATTAGAAAATTGTCCTTTATAATACTATCATTTAAAACACCCAGAGTTTGTGTCTACCGTTGTGAATTACATACTAATTTAAAACCATCTGCTTCTGTGTATGCCTTAAATAGAGTGTGGACAACTAGATGATAGGAACTGTGCTTTATACTTTATTGAACTTTGTTTATTCATGGCCAAACAATATGCTTGCTCCATAATAGATAAAAGCTCAATAAATAAATATAGAATGATATTATGAAAATATCAGTAATTTCCTATTTACTTATTTTTGTTAAGCTTTGGTACTATTACTTCTATGTCAAATTATGAAGACAACATTATTACAGTGCAGAAAAACGCCAGGACCTCTTGGCTAAGACCTCAAGAGGAACATTGTAAGATTTTAGTAGTGATTTTTATATTCGCCAAAATATAATGCAAGCGTTGTAGACTTTTAACCACTTGCATTTTTTATTCCTTTGCACACAAATGAAGCTACTGGGGATAAAGGAAGGAGAAATAAGTCAACTAAAATTTGAGCACCTGCTAATAGGTACGTAAGAGGGAAAAAAATGTGACTTGAGACACCTTGCTTCACTCATTTCTACAATTAATGAGCCATTTTCCTTAGGAAGAAAAATGCTGTCTTATCCCTATATCTGTGTCTTTAGGCACTTGTGGTAAGTAATGTCACAAATTTAAGTCATCTTCAAAATTCTAGACTTCTTTGATATTTGAAGCACTGAAGTAAACACAAAATCCATTTGAATCCAAGATGCAGAAGTCGTTAAAGGCATCGTTCCATCTATGAATGTGGAGATTATCACTATAGCAGGAAATGGAAGGTTTAATGGCAATCAAATAAGCAATCAGAGAAAAGTAACCAGGATGCTAATAAAAAATATGATGTCATCTGACCTGCAAATCATGCATGTGACTTACTTGAGAGCAATTGTTTAAAGTTACTATTTATGTATGGCTATTTATGCACAATTATAAAGATAATACCAGAGTGGGAAAAACACTTTTCTGTTCCGTTATACCATATAGATTGCAATTAAACAATCAAAACAATGGTGTGTCCTAGCATGGATTAAGTTAATATAACACAAATATTTGCTAAAGATATTTCAATTGAATTGCTAAATTTTAGAATTATACAAAATTTCAACTGAGATGGGGCAAAAAAATCATTTAATCATTCCTGGCTTAGGAAGCTGTGCCAGAGAAAATTAATTAATTGCCAAGATGATGACCTGTTTTTCCCCAAAGTATAAATTCCAGATTTATGGAATCTCTGCCTTGAGTTCATATAATTACAATACACCAGTTAACATTATATGTCAGTATGTGTAGCCCAGTACTTAATACCTAGCTGAATGGAAAATAGGTTCTGAAAATATATATATACATATTTCTTAAAATATGTTTGCAGACTTTTTTACTTTTACATTAGTCATCATTTCACTTCTGCTTCAATATGCCCATGCGTGTCCAGACGAGACTGGATGCATCATGGTGGTGTGGCCATAGATGCCCCTGCATATCCAAAGACTCAGCTCTATTTCTTCCACTCCTTTTTATTTTCTTTATTGTCCATGTGAATTTTAAAAATTTGTCCTTTTTGACATGTCTTTTGTCAATTCAAACACATTTACCAAAAGGTCAAGATTACAAAATTTTTGCTTGGCAATAGCTGCACATCTTAAGCTTTCATATTTGGGCAAGCGTCCAGTAAACGCCTCTGACCACATCCAGCTTTAGTGTCACAGCTTGAAGCCAGCAACCTGCCAAGCACTCTGTTTCTAACCACAAGTTGGCTGCGTGTTAAGTCTTTCCTGTGTACCAGAAGAGAAGGGTTTTCTGAGGCCACAGTGCGAGTTAGCTTACTGACCAAAAAGGCCGGTTGATTGTTGGCTCTTCTCAACTAATGAAAGTAATTAAATAGTTTATTGTGGTGATGGATGTTCTCAAATGACTTGAGCCCAGGCTGTTTGCAAAATATTGTAATTTTTCTTCTAACAATAGTTTTTGAAAGTTATATAGATACGTCTATATGAAGTTTGTTCAGGTACTTTTATAGTCAAATTATTCTTTCTGCAGAAGTTAATTGCGTTGGTTTTATTTCACTTATTAGAAAGTATTTTATCTGAAAACTATGCTATGTCCTTTTGCAATTCACATAGAATAAACCAGTACAAATGCCCAGCAAATCCCCAATAAGTTTACTATCATGACTACAGCAAAGTGAGTGTATGTTCAACATTGAGAAAGAAATTGGAGTTTTAACATACTATTTCTTTATCTAACTAATTGTTTTAACCCGACATACAGGACCCATTTTAGAATTTTCTTCTTTAAGAATCCTTTCCACACTCTGTCAGTTGGTTTAGGGACCTTTATATATGACAATAAAACTCTCCCTGGTGCTTAGCTTTATCATGGTATTTATTTCAGAAATCTTCTTTTAGGTATGTGTGGGGACTTCCCAGTTGGCTGTAAGTTGCCATTTGAACTAAACGAAATAGGTAGGATATTCAAATGTTCTTTTTTATCCTATTCCTATCCCCCTTTTCTCAATTCTGTATTTAAGAGACAATCTCTATTCAATCGAAAACTACATATATAAAAATAACTCTTCAGGAAATTGTGATTCAGGTTTTTCCCATAAAAAGCCTGCATTTACTCATTTATTCATTTCCTTTCAAAAACCAAATATTTGTTAAAATGTAGTTGTTAGAAAATATCAGCCTATATTTCCTCTATATAGATCTATTTTTACTATATAAAATAGCTAATAGAAAATGTTGATTAGCTGAAAAGAATCTTGGTATGTCAGAAAATAACATATTTTCTTCAACTTGTTTTATATTCACCTATCTTGTTTAATTTTGAATTTGTTTTATACTTATTCATTTTATATCACCTAAACTAAAAAGTAATTTCCAGCTGGGTGTGGTGGCTCACGTCTGTAATCTCAGCACATTGGGAGGCTGAGGCAGGAGGATCACCTGAGGTCAGGAGTTCGAGACCAGCCTGACTAACATGGTGAAACCTCGTCTCTACTAGAAATACAAAAATTAGCCAGGTGTGGTGGCACATGCCTGTAATCCCAGTTATTCTGGAGGCTGAGACAGGAGAATTGCTTGAACCCAGGTGGCGGAGGTTGCAGTGAGCCGAGATCGCCCCGTTGCACTCCAGCCTGGACAACAAGAGTGAAACTCCATCTCTTAAAAAAAAAAAAAAAAAAAGTAATTAATTTCCATGTGGGCAAAAACTTTCTTTTGGATTGTTTACTTTGACATTCTCAAGATCTAGAAAAGTGCATAGCAAATAGCATTCGCTAAAGAAAAAAAATGTTGAATAAATTTATTGTCCAACTTTAACACATCACCACATGAAAGCTGTTTTCCTTCCTTATATTTCAGAGTTTTAAGATTAATAGCTTTGGTTTTTGTTAAAATGTTATAATGTGTTCATCTTATATTACTTTATATGATGTCTTATGTTAGTATTTTAAATTAATAAACATAAAATATATATTTAGCTTATCTTGTTCATTGGTATCAATTCATATATTATTCTTATGTATACTGGGGTATATATTTAAGTTTCTAATTCTCCTGCATATGATGTAGATATGACAGAGATGCAATTTCATGTTTTTTATATTAAAATTTAAAAATTCCCAGGACTAATTTTTTGTAACTTAAAGGCCAGTGTGATAGTAACCCAGGACAAATTATTGAATAGGAGCTAATTTCCCACTTTATCTGCAATGTTACCTTATATTTTTTAATCTATGCACATGACTTTTTCTTGTCTGTATTTTTACCCTTCTCAATTTGTCTATCTATGCCCCACATGCCACTTTGCCTTTATTAATACGGTTTTAACATAGGTCTTACTATCTAGTAAAACAAGGCTCCCACATTTTCTTCATCTTCAATTGTGACTTTCCTAGTCTTGACTTTTGTAATTTAATGTACATGTAGAATTCTGCTTTGTAAGTTCTACAACAAAACCTGAGGTATTAACTGGAATTGAATTGAATCTCTAAAATATTTAGGATTAAATGGCATCATTTAAATTCATCATTTTCAAATCCTAAAATGTTATTTAAAATAATGGCAAAACTACAATTACTTTTGCACCAACCTAACATTTATCCAACAATGGGTGGTCTTAACTCTTTTACCAAATTAACAATATTTTTGTAGTGATAAGGCGGAAGTACTGTGGTTTATGTTTTTCCACAGGAAGATGAGATTATAATATTTGTCACATCTTTCTCAAAGATAGAAATTCACTAAGTATCTCCACTTTCAATTCTAGATCAGGAACTGAGGACATATCTAAATTTTCTAGTTTTATAGAAGGCTTTTATCCACAAGAATCAAGATCTTCCCTCTCTGAGCAGGTGTGTGTATGTGTGTATGTGTGTGTGTTTATTATTCAAGATATGAGAAATTATATTTCAACCTCAAAAAAATAAAAATATTTACACTATAAGGTAATTCTAATTGTTTCTTAGATGCTTGAATAGAACTCCTGAGGATACGGAATGCTTATCATTTCTGATGTATATTCTATCACTGTATCTGATGATAGGTAATTAGGATATACTTATTGAAGAATCAGAAGTTGTAATATTACTATAAGAAGAAGCCTTGTCTCTAAGCAAAACTAGAAAAATGAATCTTTACATTTAGGATGAGAAGAATTGAGATTCAATTTAAATTGTCAAATTTTTGAGTTTTCTGATGCTGTAGGGGGCACTTACCTTTGATACACATCTTTACATGCAAGGTGAAACAAGTTATATCTGTGCTTTCCAACTATCATAATCAAATATGAAATAGCTTTTATTTTTGAAATCTAAGCACTATGCTTATTTATTAAATGGTTTTTTCTGGAAGCTCTGCTGTGCATTGCTAAGATGTTACTATATAAACATGTGAGATTAGTTTTGTTAATGATGATGGTGATGATAATTTGTTGATGATGATGATATGGGCACGTTGGATTAAAATGCACTAGAAAAGGACATTCAACAAAAGTGCATATAACTTACCTGAGTTTAGCTTGCAGAAAGAAAACTAAATTATTGCCAGATAAAATAAACAACTGGAAACACTTGATCTTAGCTAAAAGGCCAAGAAGCAATAAACGACTATAAACAGAAAACTGGGTGTGTTGTTATCTAATATCAGTAAAGTAAAATATTGGTATTAAATATCTCAATGTAGGTGAATTAATAGGTTCATTATATTGTTATGACATTTTGAAGTAATTGGCGATTATTTTACAACCAAGAGAAATGTATAAAATTAATTTTGCCTGGCTTTATGTGAATTGTCATTTCTATTCTTTTCTTAAAGGCATGCACAGGGGAAAAGTTTCTGCATTTTACTTTTCTATTCAAAATATTTTATCTCACCACGGGAAAGAGAACAAAAAACAAATGCCCAGTTTTATTTTATTCAGGAATCCTTTGTGCATTGAAGACTTTAGATTCCTCTCTGCGGTAGACGTGCACTTATAAGTATTTGATGGGGTGGATTCGTGGTCGGAGGTCTCGACACAGCTGGGGTATGTTTTTACCACATAAGTGTGTAGTTTTGTTTTTATACAATTTTAAGATACCAAGAATTTCATACAAGCATATAAGGCATAGGCAAGCAATTTACTCTGATTCTTTTCATGTTCTATTTATGTTGATTTCATGTTATGTTCATATTGTATTTTAAATCAAGTCTTCCAAAACTTAAAAACTTTTTTCCCTTTATTTTATTAACTATATTATGGTAAAGTCGCTCACAACTTGGGACAGCTTGAAATAGTGAAATAGATGTGGAGTCAGACTTGAATTTTACTCAAACTTTTACCGCTCTCTAGATTTGAAGGGTCAATTTGCAACCTCTGTGTAGTTTAGTTTAGTTTCTTTTTCTATCAAATACAGGCATGAAACATTCCATATTTATCTTAGATTTGTGTAATATTCAAATCAACTGACATGTATGTTAAAGCACTTTTTATCCTAAAGGTGTTTATAAATTTATAACTTATTCACAGTTGGTAACATTATATTAAATAAGCTTTATGATTTTGGCCATCTCTAGCATTCAATTTCTTCATCCATAAAGTGATACCTACTCTCTTTACTCCATATGTAAAATAACTGAGTTAGGTATTACATGCGCAATCAATGTCTAATTTTACCTATAAAATATAATTCATATTATCATTTAATTTATAAAAGGCTTTTGTACAACAAACCCCCGTGACATGAATTTACATATGTAACAAACCTTCGCATGCACCCCTGAACCAAAAATAAAAGTTTAAAAAAGGCTTTTAAGTAAATATTAATCATCAGTAAATAATTAATATTTCAAGAGAGCAAAATGATTCTTTAGGTATTTTGTTCAGAGGCAAGATTATCTGTCTTTGTTCTAAATCATTAGACCCCACTATTTTAGCCTATGTATGTCCTTCATTATAAAGAAAATTAGATGGCTGGGCACAGTGGCTCATGCCTATAATCCCAGAAATTTGGGAGGCTGAGGTGGGTAGATCACCTGTGGTCAGGAGTTCGAGACCAGCCTGGCCAATATGGTGAAACCCCGTCTGTACTAAAAATACAAAAATTAGCCAGGTATGGTGGCACAAGCCTGTAATCCCAGCTACTCAAGAGGCTGAGGCAGGAGAACCGCTTGAACCCAGGAGGCGGCGGTTGCAGTGAGCCAATATCACGCCATTGCACTCCATCTCAAAAAAAAAAAAAGAAAAGAAGAAAATTAGACACACTGCTATTTACTAAAAGCTTACTAAATGATTGATGTTATTGATGCTAAGTTCATTATATTTTTATTTTATTTTTAAAATACCCATACTGGATTGTGACAGTATCCTTTTCTTTTTTATTTCTTTCGTCTTTTGCAAATTAGGAAAACTGGGATGCAAAAGCTAGGTTATTTGTGAAGTTATCAAGTTTGTATATGTGGATCTGTGATTTAAATACATGTCTTTCTCCCTACATCTGCCTTTTCACTAACCAAGTCCCTTTCTGGTAATGTTAGGTTTCATTATACATTACGAATTAACTAATTTTAATAGTATATAGGATTTTGCTAAGGGTACTTTCCATGGCATAAATATAGTTTTATTTATATAGTAAAGTGTAAACATAATAATGTAGTACTATAAAACAAAAGTAAGTTCATGTTGTACTTTAAAAAGGATAGTCAGGGGAAGTACATAGATGGAAATGGCAAGCTGAATTTTTAAAATTTATGCCCCAAATGGCAGAAAGGCCATGACTCATATAAGCCTGAATTCTTTTTCTCTAGAGATGAGTGAATTTCATAATTATAACTTGGATCTGAAGAAGAGTGATTTTTCAACACGATGGCAAAAGCAAAGATGTCCAGTAGTCAAAAGCAAATGTAGAGAAAATGGTAAGTCCTATGTTCCATTTGTCTACTCTCAGTATATTGAAATGAATCTTGGAAACTATGTGATTAAATGAATGGCAATCATTCAGTTGACTTTATCTTCATGAGGAAAGCAGGAATAACATGAACTCTCATATAATATTAAAATATATAATAAAATTATGGTATTAAAAGCTATTGAGTTTAGAATATTGTCACGCCCTAAAAAATGATGAGTTTATTATCATGATAATATAATCGAGGCAGGAGTTTCTAAGAGATCACTGAAAAGAAAACTAAATAGAAATGAAAAAGAGAAGAGAAAAGATATTTTAAAAACCCTCCAGAGATATGTTCCTAAACATTATAGAAGTGGTAGCTTGATTATTATTTATAGAATTGTTTCTGAGTTCAGTGAAGAAGATATATTCTCCAATGACTTTTTTCAAAGCAGAATATTATTGGTAATAGACCTTTATATAGTTTGTATGAAAAGGAAAACAACAGATGACCCTCACTTATCAATTTTTATTAAAAACTAAGAAACAAATTATTAACAAATAGCATCTCTTTACAAGAATTAATTTAAGGAATGCAAAGTGCTATATGTAAAAATCCCTTTTTGGACTAAAATATTCAATTGTTACCAAAATTTAAAACACACATGCCCTTTCCCTCAACAATTATCATTGTGGGAATTTATCCCAGAGAGAGACTCAAAAATATGCACAGATGGGTATGAAATGTATCATTATTTCTCATAGCAAGACCTAAGAAACAATTTAAATATCCACTGGAAAAAAAAATTGACAGTCCGTCAAAAATTAGATCTGTCCAGAGTTGTCAGTGAAATACAATGCAGCTATTTATAAATTTGGTATCCTTATACGCCATGAGGACTAATCACCAGGATATTGTCTTAGGTAAAAAAAAAAAAAAAATTCATAGGATATTTTGTGTATTATAGTTTCTTTAAAATGTATTTTTAATATGTAGTTAAGGGGAACGGTAATTTTTGTTTATTTTTAGTTGGCATGTAATAATTATACATATTTATGGGATACAGTGATATTTCCATTCAACTATACAATGTCTAATGACCAAATCAAGGTAATTAGCACACCCATCACCTCAACATTTATCACTTCTTTGTGTTGGGAACATTCAAAACCTTCTCTTCTAGCTATCTGAAAATATACAATAAATTACTCTTAACAGTACTCTCCCTACAGTGCTATAGAACACTAGAAAAATCCCGCATGTAGCTGTAATTTTGTATTCATTAACCAACCTCTCCCAATCTTCTCCTCCCCCCTATTCTTTCTAGCCTTAAATAACCACAATTCTACTCTCTACTTCTGTGAGCTAAAAGTTTGTATCTCCTACATATGAGTGAGAACATGTGGTATTTATCTTTCCATGCCTGATTTACTCTACGTAACATTATGTACTTCTGACTCATCCATGTTGGTGCAAATAATAGGATTTCATTCTTTTCATTCTTTTTTTTATGACTGAATGGTATTCCTCTGTGTGTGTGTGTGTGTGTGTGTGTGTGTCTGTGTGTGCTTAGCTATTTATCTGTTAATGGACACAGGTTAATTCCATATCTTGGCTATTGTGAATAATGCTGCAATAAACATGGGGGTGCAGACGTTACTTCAATATACTGATTTCCTTTCCATTGGAGAAAGACCCAGATTGCTGAGTCATATGGTAGTTATATTTTTAGTTTTTTAAGGGACCTCCATACTGTTTCCATAATGGCTATACTAATTTACATTCCCACCAAAATTGTATAAACATTAGCCTTTCCCTGCATCCTCACTGTCATTTGTTATTTTTTGTCTTTTTAAATAATAGCTATTCTAACTAGGGTGAGATGATATTCATTGTGGTTTTGATTTTCATCTTCTTGATGATGAATGATGTTGAATTTCAAAAAATATATCTGTGGCTATTTGTATATCTTCTCAGAAATATCTATTCAGATCCTTTGCTCATTTTCAAATCAGTTTTTGTTGTTGCTGTTGAGTTGTTTGAATTCCTTGTATATTCTGGATATTGGTCTCTTGTTAGAGGAATAGTTTGCGAGTATTTTCTCTTATTCTACAAGTTGTCTCTTCACTCTGTCAATTGTTTCCTATGCAGTAGAGAAGTGTGTTAGTTTGATACAATCTCATTTGTTTCTTTTTGCTTTTGTTGCCTGTACTTTTGAATTCTTACCCATAAAATCTTTGCCTAGACTAATGTCCTGTGGTGTTTCTCTTATCTCTTCTAGTAGTGTTATAGATTCAGTTCTTATATTTAAGTCATTAATCCATTTTGAGTTGATTTTTGTATATGGTGTGAGATGAGGGTCTAATTTCATTCCTCTATGTGGATATCCAGTTTTTTCAGCTTCATTTATTGAAGAGGCTCTCCTTTCCCAGTGTATGTTATTGGTGACTTTCTGGAAAAATCAGTTGGCTATAATACATGGATTTATTCCTGGGTTGTCTATTCTGTTTTATTGGTCTAGGTGTCTATTTTTATATCAATGCCATACTGTTTTGGTTGTTGTAGTTTTGTCGTATATATTGAAGTCAGGTAACGTGATGCCACCAGTTTTCTTCATTTTTGTTCAAGATTGCTTTGGCTATTCAGTCTTTTGTGGTACCATATAAATTTTAAGATATTTTTCTATTTCTGTAGAGAATGTTACTGGTATCGTGTTAGGAATTGCACTGAATCTGTAGATTGCTTTGAGTCATATGATTACTTTAACAATATTCTTTCTGTCTATGAACATGAGATGTCTTTCCATTTTTTTGCATCCTCTTTGGTTTCATTCATCAGTATTTTACAGTTTTCATTGTAGAGGTCTTTCACTTGTGTGATTAAATTTATTCCAGGGTATTTTATTATTTGTAGGTATTACAAATGGAATTGACTTCTTGATTTCTTTTTCATCCAGTTTGTTATTGGTGTATAGAAACACTACTGATTTTTGTATGCAGATTTTTGATCCTGAAACTTTACTGAATTTGTTTATTTGTTCAAAGGCATGTTGTTTAATTTTCATGTATCTGTGCAGTTTCCAAAGTTCCTCGTTATCAATTTCTAGTTTTATTCCATTGTTGTCAGAAAATTTACTTGATATAATATTGACTTTTGGAAATGTTTTGAGACTTATCACCTAGCATATGGTCTGTCCTGATGAATGTTCCATGTGCTGATAAGAAGAATGTGTATTTTGCAGCAGTTGGATGAAATGTTCTGTACATTTAGTTAGGTTCATTAGGTCTATATTATAGTTTTACTCTGATGTTTCTTTTATGATTTTCTGCCTGAATGATCTGTCCATTGCTTAAAATGTGTTGTTGAACTCCCCTGCCCTTATTGTATTCATCTATTTCTCCCTTCAGATCTATTAATATTTACTTAATATATCTGAGTGCTGTAATATTGGGTGCATATGTATACTTATAAATACTATATTATATTGCTGAAGTGACCCATTTGTCATTATATAATGGTCTTCTTTGACTCTTTTTTACTCTTTTTGACTTAAAGTCTATTTTATCTAAGTATAGCTGTGCCTGCTCTTTACTGGTTTTCATTTTCATGGAATATCTGTTTTCATCCCTATACAGTCAGTCTATGTGTGTTTTTATGAGCAAAGTGGGTTTCTTGTAGGCAATATATTGTTTGGTTTTTTTTGTTTTTAATCCATTCAGTCACTCTATGTCTTTTACTTGGAGAATTTAGCCCCCTTGCATTTAATATTATTATTGGTATGTAAGAACTTACTATTGCCATTTTGTTCCTTGTTTTCTAGTGGTTTTGTAAGTCTTCCTTTCTTCCTGTCTTCCTTTGTGATTAAGTTGCTTTCTCTGGCAGTGTATTTTAATTCCTTGATTTTCATTTTAGTGTATCTATTATAGGTTTTTGTTTTGTGGTTACTGTGAGACTTACAAGGACATCTTATAGCTTATAGCAATTATTTTATACTGATGACAGCTTAACTTTGATCACAAAGCAAAGAAAAACAAAACAACAAAAGAAAAAACTAAACAACTCTACACTTTAACTCCATCTCCTCTCACATGTTGACTTATGTTTGTATGGATTTACATCATTTTATATTGACTATCTCTTAATAAATTGTAATTACTATTATTTTGATAGAGTTGTCTTTTGGTCTTCATAAGATCTGAGTGGTTGAGGCACCACAATTACAGTATTAGAATATTCTGAATTTGTCTGTGTACTTACTTTTATCAGTGAGTTTTATACATTCAAATGTTTTCTTATTGCACATTTGTGTTCTTTTTTTTCTGACTGAAAAAACTCTCTTTAGCATATCATGTAAGACAGGTCTGGTGGTAATAAATTCACTCAACTTCTGTTTGCCTGAGAAATACTTTTTCTCTCCATCATGTCGATAGTTTTGCTGGGTACGGTATCTCAGTTGGCATTTTGTTTTCCTTGGGTCTTTGAATATGTCACCCCACTTCCTCTTGGCCTATAAAGTTTCTGCTAAGAAGTCTGCTAACAGATGTGTTGAAGCTTCTTTATATTTATTTTGCTTTTTAAATTTTGCTTCCTTTAAAATTCTC
Organism: Homo sapiens; assembly: GCF_000001405.40. Lineage (NCBI taxonomy): Eukaryota > Metazoa > Chordata > Mammalia > Primates > Hominidae > Homo > Homo sapiens. The sequence continues at coordinate 10,382,325 of NC_000012.12, read as the reverse complement.
ACTTTGTCTGGAGCTTTGAACATTTAAATTTTATATGTCTTGTGGTGATCTCATTTGGGTTGAATCTGCTTGCTAATCTTTGACCTTCCGGTATTTGGTTATTCATATCTTTCTCTGGGTTTGGAAAGTTTTCTGTTTGTCCACAGCCTCCCAGACCAGTGCTGTGCCAGGGCTTGCCCAAGGGCCATGGTTGCTATGGCCTGCAACCACTGAAATTTTCTTGGGACCAAGGCCACTTTAGTCAGCTGGTGATAAAGTGGGCTGAGACTAAGGTTCTTCCTGCCTAAGCAGTGGATTCACCTCTGGCCCACGGTGGGTCAAAATGCTCCCCATATGAGCACTGGTTTGGAATCAAGGGCCATGGGGTCTCTGTCTTTTGCTGTGTTCCAATGTGGTGGGGCCAGGTCTAAGTTCCGACACAAAGTCCCACACTCTTATTTCCATTTCCCAAGCAGGCAGTTTTTCTCTAAGCACTGCACTATCTGGGTTTGGAAGAGAGGCGTTTAGGCAAGGCAAGACCATCTTTTCTTACCTCTTTAATGTGTTTTTTCTCGTTATCATGCTAAAATCAGGGTACTGTGATAGCGCACCTAATTTCTTGAATTCTTTTGAAGGTATTTTCTTGCATGGATAATTATTTAATTTGATGTTTCTGTGAGAAGATAATCACTAAAGGGTTCTTCACAGCCAGCTTGCTCTTCTGCCATTTTCTTAATTGTTTTCTGATATACCTGTTGTTTTGCCTACCCATTGATTTTTTTCTCCTCTATCATTATTTATCTTTGTGGTTTGGTGGTTCTCTGTAGCCATAATGTTTGATTCCTTTCTCTTTCTTATTTGTGTATCTGCTCTACCAACCAGTTTTATACTTTTGTGTATTTTTATGATGATAGATATTGTCCTTTTGCTTCCAGATATAGGACTCCCTTAAGCATCTCTTGTGGGGCTAGTCTAGTGGTGATGAATTCCCTCAGTTTTTGCTTGTCTGGAAGAGTATTTCTCCTTTATTTCTAAAGGATAGTTTCGCTTAATACAGTATTCTTGTTTGGGAGGAGGTATTTTTTTTTTTTGGCATTTTGAATATATCATCCCATGCTTTTCTGGCCTGCTGCTGGAGAAAGTGGGATTGCTGGCAGTGGTGGCACTGGGCTCCAAGTGAGTGGCTCTGGGAATCTGGGGGGGCGCATGCATGACTCTCTCTATGCTGAGGACAGACTCTGTGCTTGGCTGCATCTCCTGTTCCCTGGGCATAGGGCTCTGTATAGGCTTGATGCAAGGGTCATGACTACACCTTTGGTTGGGATCACCTGGTGTGGCTATGCTACAGTCCTCTAGGTGGATTTGGTGGAATGTCAGCAGGGCCCCAGGGATGTGAAGATGCATAAGCTATTGGGCCCCAAACATGCGAAGATAAAGGAACTATTAGGCCCCAGGGCAGAGCGTACTTTGGTGGTGGCTACACTCTCAAAATGGTGCAGTGCTGCTGCAGCCTGTGTTCCAGAGAAGAGGAGGGACCCCAGTGTGAATTCCCACTCTGGAATAATGCAGTTATGTGGATGTCAGTGAACTCCCTATACTGGACTCAGGGATCGTGAGGAATGTGGAGCTCTCCTATACCTAGGATAGCAGGTATTTATAATGGGAATGTGGACTGCTGGGGAGCTCCTGTTTACCTTTTCTCCTCAGTGGAGAGTCCCTCTTGGCTCCAAGCTGATCCATGTCACCTGCTTCTCTTCCCTTTCTATGCTATCGCCCTGAGCATCTGTGCCTCAGAGAGACTTGGTCACTTTCTTGCTGAATTCCAGCCTTCTCCCTTCAACACTCTATTCAATGTGTGGTTATCTACTTGTTGTTTTGGTCCTTTGTGGAAGTGAGTGCTGGGTGCCTGTAGTTAGCCATCTTGATGATGCTTCCTCCTTCTTTATGTTTATTATTGTATCTGCATAAAAATAATAAATCACGGCCGGGTGCGGTGGCTCACGCCTGTAATCCCAGCACTTTGGGAGGCCGAGGCGGGCGGATCACGAGGTCAGGAGATCGAGACCGTCCTGGCTAACACGGTGAAACCCTATCTCTACTAAAAATACAGAACATTAGCTGGGAGTGGTGGCGGGCACCTGTAGTCCCAGCTACTCGGGAGGGTGAGGCAGGAGAATGGCGTGAACCCAGGAGGTGGAGCTTGCAGTGAGCCGAGATCGCGCCACTGCACTCCAGCCTGGGCGACAGAGCGAGACTCCGTCTCAAAAAAAAAAAAAAAAAAAAAAAACAATAACAACAAAAAATCATAAGCATAATTTACTCTAGGGATGACTGGGGAACTTGTAGAGAAGTATAGAAGGAAATATTACATTGTTGTACTCTAGTTTTTGATCATTTGCGAGGTATTTATGTTCTGTTCTGGAAAAAATTATTAAGGCAGAAAAAGGATCAATACCACCTTCTCATTTAAAAAACTCTAATATTTATATTAAATACAAAGATACCCAAACCTTTTATGCTTCTTTCTCTGATCTGTGTCTTTTTTCTTTGACAGCATCTCCATTTTTTTTCTGCTGCTTCATCGCTGTAGCCATGGGAATCCGTTTCATTATTATGGTAACAATATGGAGTGCTGTATTCCTAAACTGTAAGTGACAACAGAGAAGTAGATTGCAACATTGTCAATTTAACAATGCTAATGTATTATTTTTGTTAGTATTCATAAACACAGACACATAAACTAGAAATATTAAATGTATCTTTGTCACATTTTTGCTATTAGTCCAGAAATTTGTAAACTATATTTGCTTATACTATAAGTTACTAACAATACAAACTTTTAATACTTATGGTTATTTTAATAGCATTATTCAACCAAGAAGTTCAAATTCCCTTGACCGGTAAGTGAATTTTTAAAATATTTTAGATCATATATTATATGTATCTACCTACATTATTGTGTAGACATGTATTCCATGATTAAAAAAGGAAAAAGTAATTAATTCTAGTCTGTAATACACTATGGCTTCTGTTTTCCTTTTAACAATGAGGGAATACTTGTAAAAAGTAGAGGCTACTTAGGTTTGACATCATCTTTCTCTCTCTCTCTCTCTTTTTTTTTTTTTTTTTTTTGAGATGGGGTCTCACTCTGTCACCCAGGCTGGAGTGCAGTGGGGTGATCTCAGCACAATGCAACCTTCGCCTCCCAGTTTCAAGCAATTCTCATGCCTCAGCCTCCCAAGTACCTGGGACTGCAACCTCTACCTCCTAGGTTCAAGCAATTCTCCTGCCTCAGCTTCCAAGTAGCTGGGACTGCAGGCGTGAGCCACCACACCCGGCTAATTTTTGTATTTTTAGTAGAGGCAGGGTTTCACCATGTTGGCCAGGCTGGTATCAAACTTCTAACCTCAAGTGAGTCACCTGCCTTGGCCTCCCAAAGTGCTAGGATTACAGGCATGAGACACCACACCCAGCCTGGCTTCTCTCTATGAATATGTAGAGATATGCCTTTGGTTATGACTGTAATAATTTAATAATCTGAAATTTTAGAGTTGGAGTGAAAAAGGCATTTAATTTGTCTAGACAAAATCTGCTATAATGGTTCAGATGTGTAGAATTAATAATATATTCTCCTTTTCCAGAAAGTTACTGTGGCCCATGTCCTAAAAACTGGATATGTTACAAAAATAACTGCTACCAATTTTTTGATGAGAGTAAAAACTGGTATGAGAGCCAGGCTTCTTGTATGTCTCAAAATGCCAGCCTTCTGAAAGTATACAGCAAAGAGGACCAGGTTGAGTATTTATTTTAATTTCCCATCCTGTATTTAATCCTAACATCTGAGACAACTCACTGGAATATGAACCTAGAACATATAAGGGACACTGTGACTTGGTTATTCTAATACCAACCCTAAATCTTTCTTCATTGAAAATAACAAAGCACAGAAATTGTAGGTATCATGTATGTGTGCTCGGATGAGAATTATGCCAGTTAGTGGACAGAATGCATTTTTTTACAAGTGTGAGAACAGATGAAATGGTTATGGTCTTGCGTTTACTAAAATTATCAACACTGATTTTACTTATAGTTTATTTGTGGTTTCAAACAGGATTTACTTAAACTGGTGAAGTCATATCATTGGATGGGACTAGTACACATTCCAACAAATGGATCTTGGCAGTGGGAAGATGGCTCCATTCTCTCACCCAACCTGTAAGTCTCTGACCCAATGAGTCTCTTCTTTTTAATTTTTTTCCTAAGTTTTCCCTGTAATAATTCTAATCACTCATCTCACATAATCCCAGGACATTTGCACATTCTAATAGATTTAGTAAAAAGTGCTTAGGCCCTAAATTTGGGAGAAAGTTGTATTAGTTGTAGAGCAGCCAACACAAATACTAGTAAGTAATACAAATTGTTTACTATATGGTAAGTACTGTGGAAGGCAGGTCTAATATGTTCGTTTTACAGATAAAGAGACAGAAACAGAGAGGTTAAATATTACATACATTTCTTTTTGAATTTATTACCAGACATGTTGAGATATAATTAACATATAATAAATTGCACATATATAAAGTATACAATTTGATAAGTCTCGAGAACTATATGAGCCCATGAAAACATAAAGAACATCAAGATAGTTAACATATAAATTACCTGGAAAACATTCTCTAAGCATGCACCTTTGTGATTTCTCCTCTGTGTCCCTATGTCCTTACCTCTTTCTCTTTCCAGTCAATCAGTTTTCTGTCACTTTAGATTAGTTTGCAATTCATAGAATTTAATATAAATGAAGTCCTACAATATATATCATTTGCAATGTCTTATTTTCACTTAGAAAAGTTATCTTGAGATTCAGCCATCTCATTGCATGAGTAAAGAGTTAATTTCCTTTTATCTCTTCATTTATTGATGTATATTTAGGTAATTCCCAGTTATTGATCATTACAAATAATGCTACTTGCTAATAATATTTGTGTACAAGTATTTGTATCATATTAACGAAATCTTTCTTTCCCTTAACATAAACACCTAGAAACAAAATGGCTGAATCATATAAGTATATACTTAACTTTTTTTAAAGTGCCACACTGTTATCCAAAGTGGTGATGATATTTTACAAATTTTACTTTCTACCTAGCAGTATGTAAGAGAAAATCTGACAGAGAAGTTGCTTCACATCCTAGTCAACACTTGTTTTGATCAGCCTCTTAAATTTTATACTGGCTGGGTGCAGTGGTTTATGCCTATAATCCCAGCACTTTGGGAGGCCGAGGCAGGCAGATCACTTGAGGTCATGAGTTCAAGACCAACCTGGCCAATGCAGTGAAACCCTGTCTCTACTAAAAATACAAAAATTAGCTGGACGGGGTGGCAGGTGTCTGTAATCCCAGCTACTCGGGAGGCTGAGGCAGGGGAATGGCTTGAACCCGGGAGACGGAGGTTGCAGTGAGCCGAGATTGCGCCGCTGCACTCCAGCCTGAGTGACAGAGCAAGACCCTGTCTCATAAATAAATAAATAAATAAATAAGTAAATTTCAGACACACTAAATGATGTGTTTTGGTATATGAATGTAGTTTTAACTTGCATTTTACTAATGCAATGATGTTAAGTAGCATTTTTTTGTGTGTGCTTATTTGCCATTTAGGTAAAAATTTTCTTCTCACTGATTTCTGCTTTGATCTTTATTATTTACTGTCTTCTTATAGTAGGTTAAATTTGCTTTTTTAGTTTCTTATATTGAAAGCTGATATGTTGATTTGAAACCTTTTTTTCTAATAAAAGTTATACTATTAATATGTGAGATGATTTGGCAACATCCCGTCATATTTTGAGATACTACTTTTTGTTTCCATTCAGTTAAAAATAGTTTCTAAATTGTCTTTTGCATTCTTTGATTCATTGATTATTTACATGTGTCATTTAGTTTTCAACATTTGTGAATTTTTCAGACATTTTTATTATTGATTTCTAATTTAATTTCATTTTCATTAGCGAATTATTTTGTATAATTTAAAACTTAAATTTATTGACATCAGTGTTATGGACTAGACTATAGTGTGTTTTTAAAAATGTTTTAGGTGTATTTGATCAGAAATGTTTATTCTGCTGTTTTCTATGTATTCTATGTGATAACCTTTGAAATACAAAGTTTTGTAATATGGCTGGTAGAAACAGGCAAAATACTAGACCCTATGTTAGCACTAAGTATTGTTTACCCTAAATCTTTTCAGACAGTTCTTTCTCCATCCTGGAGTAGTTTTTTACATACATGCATTAGTAAGTACTCTGCTGAATATTCAAAGGTGACCTTCTGCATATCTTTACATTTCTTTATTTCTTCAAATCTCTTATCTCCATTTCTGTGTCCGGTGAACTACAGCTTGGTCTTTCTGGATTCTGAAGTGTCCCATGTCTGTAGTTTTTATAGCCTGCTCTTTTACCCACTTGATTGCACAGAGCAATTCAGCACACCCAGACTAAGTGACAACATCTTAATGTTCACTGATCTTATGAATATAGTTGTAATTCTCCAGATTAATGCTAGAGTATTCAAGAAAGGTCATTTCTACCATTTGAAAGATCTGACCTGTCACTACACTGTTCAGTAATTTCTTCATTCAGCTACAACGATCAGGAATGAAACCTAAGCATTTTGTCACTACTGCTTTTCCTTTTTTCAGTCTCATAATATCACAAATATTGCAGAAGTCCTCTAGATTGTAAATATTATAATTCTTTATTTCAAGGGGACTTTAGATATTTGAATTTCCAATTCTTCAATGTAATAAAAAGTCACAACAATATCAATGTTAAAATTAGGTTAATTAGGTGCTTCCTGTCTGTCAGACACAGATTTAAGCACTTAAATGTATCCTTTCATTAAATATACTTAACAATCCTGTATACAGGTGTTATTTTAACCTAATTCTAATGGTATACAACAGAATCTTAACATGTTAAATAACTCACTTAAGTTACAAAATGAATAATTGTTGCAATGAGGACTCAAATATATATATTTCTGGCTCTGGAGCCAGACTTACTATTAAATGACTAAAAAAGTGCTCTTTTCGCTGATTTTTAAATTTACTTTGCTACTTTAATGATTAATTGGCAATGATCAATGCACAACCTTTTACTCTCATGTGTTATTTTCAATTTTCCCCTTGTGTTTATTGTAGCAAGAACTCCCTACCTTCCTTCCTTATTATCTATTTGTAATTTGGAAGCCCCAGTATACCTTAGAATTGATCCAGGATGGCCTCATTTATGTATGGCTTGAGAGTTTTTTTAACAGAAAAAACATTGATTCTCTAAAAAATAAGAGTTTATATCATAGTTTCTCAATATTTTCCTATCTACAAGGACAAAATTTTTTTTCAGAAGCAAAACAACTAGCATACTAACTTTCTGTTTATGCATGTAGTAAATATTGGTTGATTACTGCACAATTTCCAGGAATTATGCAGAGATAACTACAGAGATGAGTAGAATAAAACTCATTTTAGAGCTTCAAACTCTAGTCAGAGATGTAGTTACAAACAAATAATCCAGTGTAGTTAGTTAGGTACTCTGGCAGAAGTGTAATGAAAGTAGTATGAAAAAACAGAGAAAGAAATCGAAGGAACACATGGACAAAGTGATATTAAAAAGAATGAGGCCGGGTGCAGTGGCTCACGCCTGTGATCCCAGCACTTTGGGAGGACCTGAGGTCAGGAGTTCAAGTCCAGCTTGGCCAACATGGTGAAAGCTCATCTTTACTAAAAATACAAAAATTAGCCAGATGTGGTGGCAAGTGCCTGTAACCCCAGCTACTCCTGAGGCTGAGGGGCAGCAGAATTGCTTGAACCCAGGAGGTGGAGGTTGCAGTGAGCCGAGATTGCGCCACTGCACTCCAGCCTGGCTGACAAGAGCAAAACACTGTCAAAAAAAAAAAAAAGAGAGAGAGGAAAGAAAGAAAAAAAGAACGAGACTCTAATGTAGACTGAACCTAGTAAGAGCAGTTATTAAAAAATCTCAGCTGGGGCCGGGTGCAGTGGCTCACACCTGTAATCCCAGCACTTTGGGAGGCCGAGGTGGGTGTATTGCTTTAGGTCAGGAGTTTATAACCAGCCTGGCAACGTAGTGAAACACCATCTCTACTAAAAATAAAAAAATTAGCCGGATGTGGTGGCACATGCCTGTAATCCCAGCTACTTACGAAACTGACACAGGAGAATCACTTGAACTTGGGAGGCAGAGTTTGCAGTGAGCCGAGATTGAACCAGTGCACTCCAGCCTTGGCAGCGGAGCAAGATTCTGTCTAAAAACAAACAAACAACAAAACAAAAACTCTTTAAGAATAGTTTTCTCCCTACAGTGGCCGATTGTTCAGTTACAGAACAGAGATCATTACATCGTCTTTTTAAATAGGGATAGCATCAGACCATAATCTTTTTATTTTTTTGTCAATTTTACATTGAAGTGACATCCTCACTCTTTCTTGAGCTTTCTATTTCCCATCTCTTATGAAAGAAAACAAAGTATCATTATTAATCATATAACTCCAAAAGATTAAAGATGCCAGAGTAAAACACATATATAGATATAGAAATCTCCACATGGAATGCCTAAACATATGCACACACACACACACACACACTTATACACACTTGTGAATGTGTGTATGTATGTATTAGATTTGAAATTTTATTTTCATTTCCTTACCAAGTAAAATTGCATATATCTGAAGAAAATGTTTTATTTTTCCACAAAACACAGTATCAAATTCTAAATTGAACACTGAATTTATTTCTCACTTAAATATTTGTTTTAAAATAAACATTCTAAAGTTTTCATTTAACTTGGGTATACATATGAAGAGATTTTAGACTTCAGAATTGGCTAGTTTCTGATGTATGATAAAAAGAGTGGCGCATTATTTATAATTTTTATTTTTATTATCTGAGTTGGCTATATTTTGTTTATGAATTAGGACCAGGCATGGTCCATAATCTCCTAAAATGGTATTAAGTTCCTGTATTTGAAGTTCAATAGGTATGATTCATTTTTATTTTCCCGCGTTAATAAAATCATGTATGTAATTTGTAATTGTCTCTCCTCTAGACTAACAATAATTGAAATGCAGAAGGGAGACTGTGCACTCTATGCCTCGAGCTTTAAAGGCTATATAGAAAACTGTTCAACTCCAAATACGTACATCTGCATGCAAAGGACTGTGTAAAGATGATCAACCATCTCAATAAAAGCCAGGAACAGAGAAGAGATTACACCAGCGGTAACACTGCCAACTGAGACTAAAGGAAACAAACAAAAACAGGACAAAATGACCAAAGACTGTCAGATTTCTTAGACTCCACAGGACCAAACCATAGAACAATTTCACTGCAAACATGCATGATTCTCCAAGACAAAAGAAGAGAGATCCTAAAGGCAATTCAGATATCCCCAAGGCTGCCTCTCCCACCACAAGCCCAGAGTGGATGGGCTGGGGGAGGGGTGCTGTTTTAATTTCTAAAGGTAGGACCAACACCCAGGGGATCAGTGAAGGAAGAGAAGGCCAGCAGATCACTGAGAGTGCAACCCCACCCTCCACAGGAAATTGCCTCATGGGCAGGGCCACAGCAGAGAGACACAGCATGGGCAGTGCCTTCCCTGCCTGTGGGGGTCATGCTGCCACTTTTAATGGGTCCTCCACCCAACGGGGTCAGGGAGGTGGTGCTGCCCCAGTGGGCCATGATTATCTTAAAGGCATTATTCTCCAGCCTTAAGTAAGATCTTAGGACGTTTCCTTTGCTATGATTTGTACTTGCTTGAGTCCCATGACTGTTTCTCTTCCTCTCTTTCTTCCTTTTGGAATAGTAATATCCATCCTATGTTTGTCCCACTATTGTATTTTGGAAGCACATAACTTGTTTGGTTTCACAGGTTCACAGTTAAGAAGGAATTTTGCCTCTGAATAAATAGAATCTTGAGTCTCATGCATATCTTGTTTGATGATATTTAGATAAGATTTTGGACTTTAGACTTTACAATTGATTCCGTAAAAAGCTAAGACTTGGGGTTATTAGAATGGAATTGTTTGAAATGCTTGTTCCCCGGTGTCATAAAGAAATAGGACTTGAACATAAATTTAATTTATTTAGTAAGGCCATTTTTTACTTCCTGCAGAAAGGGTACACTCACTAGCAGTTCTGCCATGAGAGTACACCGAACAAAGGAGACAGGGTCATTTATAACCTGACATGTCCACACTACTGCTGTGTCCGGTTTCCACTGGCTGGAACGGGACCTCACATTCTGTATTTGTCCCGATTGGCTAGCAACTTAGAACTTTTTAAAAGAGGCAAAGGTAGAGGAGAACAAAGGAAGGAGGAAGTAACTTGTGGAATGCTGAGAAAGATAAAAACACTTTTAAATAAGGAAGAGGAACAGGCTATGACCTAACGCTTGCTTGGACCAGTATAAGCATGCCAGGGCAAATATTTAGGAGCACAGGTCTTTGAATAAATTTTGCTTCTAAGAGAAGTTACTGTTTATTTCTAATTAGATGGGGAGGAAAGTCTTTGAAGAGGAACCTCTACTTTACTTTTTACAATATTCCCCCTTTTTTTATTTCATAATTCCTCCTCAGTCTTGTTTAATATGTTTTGACTTAATTCTTTGTCCTTCTAAGAGAGGTAATTTTTTTTCAATAGGGTGGAGGATAGTTAGGAGTTAACTCTGTAAGAGCAGCAGAGACAAGTTTTTGCATAAAACCTTGAAGGCAGGGCATAATATAACAGTCTACAAGAATAAGTACACCAATAGTAAGGGCAAACGAGGTGAGAATTGAATTGAAGTTAAATTTTTTTTTAATTTATGGTTACCTACCAGACCAACATGGATTTAAATTTTGCAGCTATTTGATTTTTGTGCTTTAAACTTATTTGGCACTTCTCACGGACCTTAATAACATTTACGTAAACCTGAGGATTAAAGGACTCAAGGAGTTTCCTTTGGCCTGCGGTGTTTTGTTTTTACCTTTTTAGATTGACGAAATGCCAGCGTGAAGCGGATAGCCAATTGGATTAGAGCACAAGTACTGCTCCAGTTATTTGGCCGAGTGTCCAGTAAAGGTCTTCCACAGTACCACTATACATTTGCTTGGGGATGGCTAAGCATGGACTGATGGGCAAGTTCTTGGAAAGGCTTGGGCTTCTTGTATCCTTTTATGCTTTCAAGGAACGCCAAATTTTCCTCCTGCCATGAGAGGCACAAAGTAAACTTGGCATTTAGAGGTGGAAGCTGGATTGCCCTCGGAGGCTGACCCGCAGGGTGTTGAATTTCAGGAAATAGCAGAGAGCGCTCAGTATGATGGATTATCCCAAGCAGTGGGATTTTGAAAAAGAACCACCATACACTCCATATCTGGATGACAAGGAGACCATCCAAGTGGAAAGGAGATAATCTGGGCCTCTGGCCTACCGTGTGTACAAGCGTAATAATCGCTTTTATTTAAAGTGTGAATGGATTATTTAATCCATTTCAGCCAGGAATTTGCATCTTGATATTTTGTCTTGATGGCTAAGGTCTGTCTTAGATATCTTATTTTTACAATAGACACCCTAGTTTTATTAGATGTAGGAGCAACTGGTGTGGGATCTAGAACTGAGGCTACTGAAGAAGGGGGAGATGGGGGAAAAATCCATATTTTAAAAATACCTAGGGGGTCTTTTCCATTTATGTCAATCCCCATACCACAGAAGCGACTAAGGGCAGGTCTAGAGTTAGTTAAGGTGGAGGTGGTGATAAAGAGAAGGACAGGGTTACACTGATAAGGCTGACAGTGAGAAGGGGTAGTCCTTTTAGTGAAATAGATGAGGGGTTTTAGATTTGCACAAACCTTTTTCGTGGAAGTCCAGCTTTGCTCCTGGGTAGTTTAAGGGATGTGGTCCCATTTACTACAAGGTTGCCAGCCTGTAGGAGCAGAAAATCAGCATCTTGGCTGCAGGTCATTACAACAATGACTGCTAGGGGTACCTGTGTCAGTTAGAGGGCTGGGACATAAATATTTGTGTGAAAAGGCTAGCTGTTGTTGATATTTTACATTTCCACAAGGTATGACAGAGCAAGAGTTAAAGGCAATGGTCTGAGGTGAGTCAGACTTAGTTACATTAATAACAACGGAGCTAGTAACAAAATACGGAAAGGAAAGGAAGCGATATAGAAGGTATATGAAAATTAAGCTTTCTTTAACTTTAACTTAGTAGGGCTTAATCCTAGTACAGTAACCCATGATTCTGAGAGGAAGATGTTTTCTTGACTCGAGTATGGTGGGACCATTTTTTTCTTGGCTGTGCGGACGGCAGTCTCAGTGGTTAATAGCATAAAATAGGGTTCTTCCCAGGCTGGCTTGAGTTTTTTTTTCTTTCTATCTTTTGATAAGGATGTGGTTTTCAGGCTGGTGCTGGTGTACTGGAAATTCTAGGGGTGCTACCTGTGCTAAAAGACTTTTAGCTCCAAGGGAAGGGAAAGTGGAAGATAGATTAAGTATATAATTTCTGCTGCATATCCTGGGGCTTGAGGCCTCATGGTTATGCCCCTTGCTCTATTCCTGCTCAGCGCTGCCCAGGAGACACTGTGGCCCTGCCCCCTCTTAATGTTTGGCCTTCTTATGGCCTTCACCACCCTGCACTCTGTGGCCTTGGGGATGAGGGTCCTTGTGACTTACCGGGTTGCCTTTAGGCCTTAAGAAAGCCAAACACCATTTTATATTTGACAATGTTTTTGTATGATTTTATACCAGATAAGTTAAATTTTACCATTATATTAATGTGCTATTGATGTTCAACTTAATTTTAATAAAATCTTGTAGACATTATTTATCCAATTTTAATGTCTAACTATAAGGTAAGACTTTTATAGATTCTTTAACTTTTTATAATTTTTGTTAAAGAGCAGGTTAGTGCTTTAAGAAAAATCTATAGTGATTTTATTGTAATATCCAGTTCACAGAAAAACTGGATGATACCCCTTTAACTTTAGCCAATATGTTAACACACAGAATTTCCTTTACAATTAACATTTTAAAACTTGCTTAAATCTTTAAAACAGAAAAAAAGTTTAGCCTTTAATGTAGGTAAAAATCTGTATTCTTATGCCTCTTTATAATCCTGTTATTAAAAGTATTTTTTTACATACCTTGTACATAAACTTTTTTTAATAATTTTACATTCAGGAGGCCTGTTTTTCAGTTATACAATATTTTTTGCATAAATTCCCTTTTATAGCTTTTCTTATGACTTTCACAGACAATCTTCAGCATGTCTTAACTTTCTGCCTTCCTTTTTCACTATTTTTCTAGTTTCACTCTCTGTATCTTCCTTTGATTTCTGTCTCTTCCAGTTTCTCTCTTACTTACTCTTTCCCTCTATTTCTCTCTCTCTCTCATTTGCGCTCTATTTTCCTCTCTCTCTCTCTCTCTCTCTCTCATCCTGTTTCCCTTTCTTTTCCCAAGTTCTCCTGCTCCTGCTGCGAGCCCTGCTGGGCCATGGCACGGGCCCCACCCCCACGCACACGCAGCTGTCTGTTTCTCCTGTGTTTTTTATTTTTCCTGATTTCCCTTTTTATATTTTTTCCTTTCTTTTTACACTTAGTTTCTCTGGCTGGGTGGGTGGGATTTGCCCGGCTGTAGTCTGGGCCCCAGGCAGTCACCGGCCCAGAGGATTGGCAGATGCCTGCCGCAAATTGCAAGAATTATGCCCTTTCACCTCCTCTGCTCTCCTCCCGGCACCAGTCCCCAAGCTCTTTGGGGAGAGGGACTTACCCCTTGGCGTGCCTGCCTGGCTGTTTGGCTCTATGCTTGCTGTTTTTGCTTTCTTTCCCTCTGACTTCCTCTCCTAGTTTTTTTCTTTTCTGCTGGTCTTTCTTTTTTCTCCACCTGTAGCAGGATTGATAAGGAATCAGGAACACCAAGGGGTTGAGGAGGATTTTTATTATTTAGGTGCACTGGCCCAGTTGGATTAACATCCAAATGACTGAGCCCTGAACAAAGAGTCAAGTTATCTTTTAAGTATTTTGTCTGTGGGGGAAGATTTGTGCAGGGGGAAGCATATTACAGAAGCAAGAAACAAAGACAGTTATTCAATTGAGACATACATTACATTGTTTCTTACTTTTCAAGGAAAAGCATGTTTTATGACTTGAGTTTGTCTGTCTAGTGACCTTGCAGCTGCACAGCTAGAGAAACAGGGTCTTCACAATGCCTGGGAAAGGGAGAGATAAGGCTCACTAGCCACGGAAAAACAGGCAGTTAATTTTTAAAGGACTCCAGTTCTTTCTCTTCCTCAGGGGGAATTGGGTTTTCTTACATACAACTGAGTTTTTGCTTACACATTCTTTAATTTCTTTTAATTCCTGTTCCATTCCCCCCTTTGGTGCTTTTTATAACAAATGTGTTAACAGAAAGCACCACTATTTGCCACGTCTTCGTGGAGCTGAGCTGCTGCTTCTACCAGCAGCGACTGATATCTGGTTAATGCCATCATCTGCATGGTAGTGTATCAGGCCACTATTGCCTCCATAGTTGACTGAATACTTCTAATAAACAGGGGTAAAAGGCAAGGGAGGATGAGGCAGATGCCAAGAATAACCAAGAACCCACCAATGAGGCTTTTGAATCCTCTAAAGGCTGAGAACCATCCTCCAAACAAGGAATCCGGGGACCACCCAGACCAAGTCTGAACTGGAATATGGGCCAATGTGTGCATTCTAGCGGTGATTTCCATGACAGCTCAACCATTATCATCGATTTCTAGGCAACAGTTGGTTAAATTAAATTTTCCACATACTCCTCCTCCTGAGGCTAAGAGGTAATCTAAAGCCAATCTATTTTGATATATAGCATTCCTCATTTCTGTTGTTGTATTTTTTTCCATGTGAGTTCCTTGGTGGAACTCTTTTAAAAATCTGGGGGCCACCATTTCAGGTATGGCTAGCCTCCCATTGGATAATATTTACCATCTCCTTTTAATGTAGTTTTTATTTTTCTGGGCAAAATAAGCCCTTTCATTTGGAGTGTAGCTTGGGATATCCAGGAGAGGAATCTCTGGGAGGAGAGGCATAGCTAAGGCTTCCTCTTTAAAAGGTGGAGTTGTCATTGCAGCCTGCTTTGCCTCTTTGTCTGTTTTCTTATTTTATTTTATTTTTTTAGCCTTTAGTATTCTTCCTTTTTGGTGCCCCTTGCAGTACATCACTGCCACCTTTTGGGGCCTATACAGCATTTAAGAGCTCTAGAATTTCTTCCTTATACTTTATTTCTTTACTTTCAGCAGTTAAAATTATTTTTTCTTTGTAAATAGTCTCATGAACATGCAAAGTGGCAGAAACATATCTGGAATATGTGTAAATATTTGTCTTTTGGTCTTTGGCTAGCCAGAGAGCTCTTGTCAGAGCTATTAGTTCTGCTTTCTAAGCAGAAGTTTTTGTAGGCAAAGACTGCACCTCTACTACTGAATCCAAAGTCACCACTGCATACCCAGCTTGGCGGACTCCGTTTAGTATGAAACTGCTTCCATTAGTAAAATATTCAATGTCCAGGTCCCTGAGGGATGTATCTGTCAAATCTCTCTGGCTTAAGAACACTTCATCTATCACATTTACACAGCAACGAAGGGGGTCTCCTGGCACTGACTCGATGAGGAGCAAGGTAGCCGGGTTTAGGGTATTCACCATCTCTAAAGTCAGTTTATTAGCTTCTTGTGCCAGTAGGGCAGTAGCAGCTAGTGCTTTAAAACAAGGAGGCCATCCAAGTGCCACAGAATCTAACTGCCTGGATAAGTGTGTCACTGGGCAATGCCATGACCTTATGGCTTGAGTTAGAATCTTTATGGCCTCCCTTTCACTTGTGGACATTCAAGAAGATAAGCTTAGTTAGTTAGATCTGGCAGTCCTAAAGCTGGGATCTGAGTCAAGGCTTCTTTGATTTTTTGAAAAGCCTTCTTCTGGTTGGCCTCCTAGAGGAGGAGTCCTTCTTTCCTCCTCTTTGTGGCTTTGTATAATGGCTTAGCCACAAGCAAGAAATTTGGGATCTAAATGCGGAAGAACTTTGCTGCCCTTAGGAACTCTGTTATTCGACGCCAGGTGGTTGGAGTAGGAAGTGCACAAACAGCCTGCTTTTGTTCACTACTAAGCCATCTTTCCTCTTGGCTTATGTAAAAGCTTAAGTACTGGACACTTTTCGAGCAGATCTGAGCTTTTTTCTGACCCTTTATATCCTGCCTTTCACAGCAGTCTTGGGTTTCTCCTGGGTGCAGTAGCCCTTGGCCAGTGGTTTTTTCATACCATGGCCTTGACCATTCTCCTTATTCTTTTGACATTTATCCTTCTAGTGTCCTTTTCTTTTGCACCATGTACATTAATCTCTCTCTAGCCTTGGCTGGCTTTCAAATTGCTGTCCAGACTAGCCTTTTCCACAACTGCATTCACACCCGCATCTATGCCTCCTTGCAAAGCCAGCCTCTCTTCCCATAAGGGCTGCTGCTTGTAAATAAGCCTTTATTAAGCCTCCAATCAGCTTTCTTCTTTGCCTCCTGGTCTCAGTTAATGTACACCTTGGTAGCCACTTTAATAAGCTGAGTAGCATTCACACCTACGGAGCTTCTAACTTCTGCAATTTATGCCTGATATCTCCTTGGGCCTGCCTTACAAATGCCGTATTTACTATTCACTGATTTTCAGCAGCCTCGGGGTTAAACAGAGTGTACAAGCAAAATGCCTATAAAACTGGCTGGTGCTTTTATCTGCACCATGGAGCACTTCTGAGATTTTTTTATATTGGTTGCCTTTTCCTTTTAACATCCTTTAGCCTTTGTAAAAGTGCTTCTCGGCACTTTTGTAGGTGCTGAAGCTGGACTGCATCGTCTGGGTCCTAGTGGGGGTCTGCTTGTCCTCTTAAGAGGCAGAAGCATAACTTGGGCATGACTTGACCTGAGACGGCCTGCCTACCTTTTTGAGCCTTTCGTTTTAACTTCCTGGAGCTCCGATTTCTCCTTCTCAGGTGAGAGTGGGAGCATGTATCTGTTTGAACTTACCTCCTTAGGGGCAATTAGCCTTGGTAAGGGGGGATAGATTGGAATATAGGTAGGAAGGATCTCTATTCCATCCTGTGATTCTTGCAAAACTGGTTTTCTCTTTCCTGAGACTCTTTTTTTTTTTTGGTCTGCATAGCTTCCAGGGCAGCTGACTTTCACTTTCACTTTTGGATCGGTGGTGCTAGAAGCCTCTGTGACTTTCCCTTTAACTCCGTAGCTGCCAGCACAGTTGGTTTATCTCGGCGTGAGCTGCGAGCATTCTACAATAAACTGCTAGGCAGGGCTGCGTACATTTAGCCATGAGTCAATATAAAGACTAGGTCTGAATGCCCTGGCTGTCCTCCGACCCTAGTCACCACCTTAAAACACACGGCCAATTTCTCTACAGTGCCTTCGGCCAGCCATCTGACACTAAAAGAGGGCTATTGTAATTCACAGTATGTCTTTAACTTTTGAACATCCAGTTTCATCCCACAATCACCTCTAAATCCTTTCTTTAAAATTTTTATCATGCACTCCAAAGGAGTTGGTTTTGACGCTTTCCCTCCCATTTCCTCCCTTGCGGCACACTCTCACTCTCACTCTCACTTTCACTCTCAGGTCCAGCAGACCCGGTCCTATTACAGGAGTTTCGGACACTGCTTAGCCAGGAAGGTGTCTTCCCCTGTCACAGCCTGCTACAGCTGCAAAGCTCGTCCTATCAGCTGTATGCAATGTCCTAGGTCTGATTTCCCCCCACACTCGCCTCAGAGCACACAGCCCGTGCTAAGGGATCTGTGCCTCCCCACGTCACTCCCTGCATTGGCCTCTCCCGAGACCATCGCTTTCACACACTTTCACACACCTTCCTTGCCCCAGGATTCCTCATTGGACGAAATGAGCCTCTCTCATGTCCCGGGTGAGTCTAGTTAGGCTCCCACTTTCACACACATACACCACTCCTACTGCAGGAGTCCTCATCGGATGGAATGAGCCTCTCTCATGACCTGGGTGAGCCTAGTTAGGCTCCCATATTCACACACATACACACACCACTCCCAGTTCCTGTCTCCAGATCCAGTGAACCACTTTCACTTTGTTAGTGGGGACATAAGCTTCATCCAAATTGGCAGGCCACTCCTGCTGCCCCCAGCCACTCTGGGTTGGATTAGTGGTCAGTCCCTGGGAGGTGATCAAGCTCCCCTTTGTCCCTATGGGACGGGCTTTCCTGCCTTGGGCCTATACTCCTTACCACAGTTCCTGAAGTGCTGGTATCGTCCTGCAGCCCCATCCTCGGTTCCATTGCGCTGCCAGGCAGGGTGCTGGGACGTGGGGAGAGCTGGTCTATATATCCGGGTGAAGCTCAGCTGTGGCACACCTTGGATGCCGGGTCTCTCCTGGCCCCGGGGACCTAGTATCGCAGGCAAAGGGGACAGTAAATCTGTCATCTCCAATCCTGATGAGCCCCCAGAAATGTATCGGGATATATAAGGAATCAGAGAGACCAAGGGATTGAGGAGGATATTTATTATTTAGGTGCACTGGTCCACTTGGATTAACATCCAAAGGACTGAGCCCCAAACAAAGAGTCAAGTTACCTTTTAAGCATTTCGTGGGTGGGGGAAGATTTGTGCAGGGGGAAGCGTATAACAGAAGCAAGAAACAAAGACAGTTATTCAATTGAGACATACATGACATCATTTCTTTTCAAGGAAAAACATGTTTTATGACTTGAGTTTATCTGTCTAGTGACCTTGCAGCTGCACAGCTAGAGAAATAGGGTCTTCATAATGCCTGGGAAAGGGAGAGATAAGGCTCACTAGCCACAGAAAACAGGCAGTTAATTTTTAAAGGACTCCGGCTCTTTCTCTTCCTCAGGGGGGAATTGGGTTTTCTTATATACAACTGAGTTTTTGCTTACACATTCTGTAATTTATTTTAATTCCTGTTCCATGCCAGCCACCTATGCTGCTGTTTTCCCCCTCCTTCCCCTTTCCCTAGGGAAGGGACTGGTGGCAGTGGGGCTATTCTTTCTTCCCCCAAGAAGAAAGGAAAGGGGGGTTCTGAATATTTTTCTTACTACTGGGAGTTTGTGTGAGGTTCAACGCCCCCCTCCCATGGGGATTCCTCACCTCTTTCTGAGGTTCAACCCGCCTCATGGGGATTTCTCACCTCTTTCTGAGGTTCAACACCCCTTCTATGGGGATTTCTCACCTATTTTTAACCTCCAAGACATCCCGACTAAGGAATAATCTACTGACCCTGCAGTTTCTCTCTCCTTGGTACGTCCTAACTAAGGAATGCTTTACCGTCCTGTGGCTTTTTTTTTTTTTTTTTTTTTAGTCCCGATCACCAAGGAAATACTTTATTGGCTCCCACAGCTTCTTCTTTCTTGGCCTGTGCACAAAGTTGTCGCCACAGTATGTGAGGATCCTTTAAGCTAGGTTGCTGGCCAGTTTCTTTTTTTTTTTTTTCTCTCTGTGTTGCTGAGAGTCTGGGTTTATTTGTCTCAATTTGTCATTCCTGAGGGCCCCTTCAATGAGGTAGGGGAGTGCACTCCCTCATGAGAGAGGACTGGAGACCACCCCTGGAGGAGAATGTATCCCCATACAGACTGCCACCAAATTGTTTGAAATGCTTGTTCCCCAGTGCCATAAAAAAATAGCACTTGAACATAGATTTATTTAGTGTGGCCATTTTTTTTTTTTACTTCCTGCAGAAAGGGTATACTCATCAGCAGTTTTGCCACGAGTGTACACCAAACAAAGGAGACAGCATCATTTATAACCTGCCGCATCCACCCTACTGCTGTATCCAGTTTCCATTGACTGGAACAGGACCTCACATTCTGTATTTGTCCCGACTGGCTAGCAATTTAGAACTTTTTAAAAGAGGCAAAGGTAGAGGAGAACAAAGGAAGGAGGAAGTAACTTGTGGAATGCTGAGAAAGGTAAAAACACTTTTAAATAAGGAAGAGGAACAGGCTATGACCTAATGCTTGCTTGGACCAGTATAAGCATGCCAGGGCAAATATTTAGGAGCACAGGTCTTTGAATAAATTTTGCTTCTAAGAGAAGTTACTATTTATTCCTAATTAGTTAGGGAGGAAAGTCTTTGAAGAGCAACCTCTACTTTACTTTTTACAGAATAAATGCAGGCAAAAAGAACATAAACTTTGCCATGGGCAGAATGTTATGGACAGAATGTTTCTGTTTCCCTGAAATTCATATTTGAAATCCTAACTCCCAATGGTATAGTATTAGGAGGTGCCTTTGGGAGGTAATTTAGGTGTGAAAGTTGATTATAAAAATTGAGTAATTCTTTTCATAACTAAATAAAACAGAGTGGAGAATCCAGTGGGAAAACATTCTGGGTACAAAGCATTGCTCCAAGAATGTAATTATCTGCAAGCCTGGCTGCTGAAACTGCCTGTTGTAACCAGAAACCAGTTTTATCTGTAGCTTCTGAAGTAGCTTACTGCAACTCTAGAACTAATGTTTGCTCACACTGTTGTCACGCAAAAATCGGAGCTTGCCAGCTCACCAAATCCTTACAAATATCAATGAACTTTCTCAAAAAGCAATATGTAAAACCTCTAACCTTCTCTTTGCTCTTTGGAGATACCGAAGACCACGTGTATGCCCTGAACTGCAATTCTTTCTTCCCAAATAAAACACTACATTTAGAGATTTGTGTCTGCATTTTTATTTTTACTTTGACATACTATTATAGGAGTTACTAAGAAATTCTTTTAGGCAGATAGGGAAAAAAAGGGGTCCTTGGGCAATTTTTGTTTCTTTTAAGGCAGCTCCAGAAACATTTCTTGTCTAGCAGGAAAGCGCTGGCTCTTAGAGCTGCCTGGCAAGCTTTGATGTGCGAATGCCAGCAATTAGAAACTGGGTCTACCCAATCATGGCAATTCCTGCCCTCTTCTTCCTGTTCTTGCCCCGACATGTGCCTGGTAACATGGCCGCCCCCACATATCCCCATGAGTATAGAACATCATGATGCCCTGCATTTGCATATTAAAAGGCTAGGGTAAGAGGGCCAAGTTTTTCATGGGCTACATGAGTGACATGCCTGATCAAACCAATCCCCTTAGCCCTATGCAAATCAAACACCACCTCCTACAGCCTCCTCATATAAGTGGCCACTTTTCTGCAGCACATGGGGTTTTCTCTTTGTTTAAATCCCTCCTCCCTCTGTCTCTACAAGGGAGCTGTTTTCTTCTTCCTTCTTTCTTGCTTATTAAACTCTCCTCTCCTTAAAACCACTCCACGTATGTCCAAGTCGTTTTATCTAATTCGGTGCAAGATTAAGGACACTAGTGTTCTTCCAGTCATCATAGCCATATCAATACTTGGTGTCAGAAGGAAGGACCAAAGGTGATTCACCTTAAGGAGACTCACCAGGCCTTGGAACTACAGCATGAGGTACCCACACTGGGGCTCTTTAGGGCCGCCGACCCTGACTTCCACGGGTCACTTCTTCTCCGGCTTGGAGAGTCTGTCTTAGAACTCCCAATTTTGATTTGTTTTCTGTTTTATTTGGGATTTGGTGAGGAAAGATCTTTTCCTCCTTGTTTGAATCTCTTGTTGAAGAGGACTCTTTTCCTCTGTTGACCTTGTCTATGAAGTTTGAACCTAGAGGTTTGAATGAGGAAATTTTTTTCTTCATTTGGAGAAGGCCATTGTTTTTCTTGGTAAGCATATACTTTATTTTTCTCCTGTGCTTGCATTTATTTTGCTTTTACATATTCAGTGCTTGAGTTTCACTGGAGTTTGTGCATTTAGCAGCTGACTAAATCACCTAAATAAATTTAGTTACAAATGAACTCTCAAAGTTCAATGACATGAGAATTAGGCTCTGATTTTTTTATCTTGCCCAAATTCATACCTAAGGAGTCTGGGGAGTCATGCCCTACAAACCATAAACTAACATCACATGGGTTTCATTTAACCCTGTATATCATGACTTACTTTCCAATCTGACTCTGGCATAACATTATGTGACAAAGAAGAAAGTCAAATGTTTTACCCCAAAACATGTTTACTTGCCATATTTTGAAATGGCCCTGCAAAGCTGTCCTTTGTGGGGAGAAATTTGCATATGTAAAGAATCTCTATTAAAATAACTGGATCTTTTTCTCCAGGCCCTCCCAATCCTAAAGAGATTAACTAAGAGTCTAGCACCTTTTAAATATCTGAATAGGATATCATTCTATTGTCTCTAAGAGCAGCCACTATAAGACTTCAAAAGAACCTTGGTCTCCACATCCTTTTATCTTAACCTGAATATTTATTTTCTATCGACCCCAGGTCTTTAGACAAACTCAACTAATTGTCAACCAGAAAATGTTTAAATTTACCTATAGCCTGAAACTACCCCCCCCCACCCCCCACCTTCCTAATCCCTGGCTTTGAATTGTCCCACCTTTCTGGACCAAACCAATGTATTTCTAATATGTCAGTAAATTGAGTTATATACCTATAATTGTATATATATATGTGTGTGTGTGTGTGTATATCCTTTGATAGATGATTTTATTGACTACTTTTTGTTTGTTTGTTTATAGCCCCTCTGGCTAATCTTTGTTCCCTTAAATACAGAGAACTTTGGGAGCTTTGGGAAGTTTGCTAATTTTTTCTTTTTTAGAATTTTTTTTTTTTTGCCTTGCTTTATATTCCTCAATTTTATCACAGAATTAGCAAATGGCTTGTAGGAAAAGTGAAGATTTGAACACTGTCTGTTTTGTGCTGCTCTAATAGAATACAAAGACCAGATAATTCATAATGAACATAAATGTATTGGCTTACAATTCTAGAGGCTGAGAAGGGGCCAGCATCTAGTGAGGTTCTTCTTGCTGTACTATCAAATGGAAGGAGGTGAGACCAGGAGAGAGAGAACCCACTCCTCAAAGTCATTTTTTTAAAGGCACTAAACTCACTCACATATAAAGGCGGAATTCTTATGGGCCTTAAAGGCCCCACCTCCCAATACCATTATATTTGCAATTAAATTTTAACCTGAGTTTTGGAGGAGACAAACATTCAGACTATAGGAAAAACCTTCAAATATTCAGTATTGTCACCCTAGTCCACATAACCACTACAAAAATTGCTGGTTTCACTTTCTGCAAACATAGGTTCTCTGTCTTGGCCAGACTCTGATCCATGAAAAAGAAAAATAACAAAAGTAGCAGATTGTTGATTTTTTCTCCCTGCTCTGGAATTAAAGTCATTTGGTTGTCATTCCATAGATCTCTGATTCCTTAAAAATGCATTTTTGGGGAGATCTGGCAAGATGGCTGAATAGGAACAGCCCCAGTCTGCAGCTCACATCAAGAGCAACACAGAAGGCAGGTGATTTCTACATTTCCAAATGAGGTGACCAGTTCATCTAATTGGGACTGGTTAGGCAGGGGAATGCAGCCCATGGAGGGCAAACAGAAGCAGGGTGGGGCGTTGCCTCACCCCGGAAGTGCAAGGACCTGGGGTACCTTTCTCCCCCAGCCAAGGGAAGCCATGAGGGACTGTGCTACCTGGCCCAGATACTACACTTTTCCTACAGTTTTTGCAATCCACAGACTAGGAGATTCCCTCATGCACCTACACAACCAGGGCCCTGGGTTTCAAGCACAAAACTGGGCAGCTGTTTGGGCAGACATCAAATTAGCTGCAGGAGTTTTTTTGTTTGTTTGTTTGTTTGTTTGTTTTCCCCAGTTGTGCCTGGAACCTCAGCGAGGCAGAATCATTCACTCCCCTGGAAAGGGGGCTAAAGCCAGGGAGCCAAGTGGTCTCGCTCAGCAGGTCCCACTTTCCTGGAGCCCAGCGAGCAAACAACAACTGGCTTGAAATTCTCACTGCCAGCGCAGCAGTCTGAAGTGGACGTGAGACAATCAAGCTTGGTGGGTGGGAGGGGCATCTGCCATTACTGAGGCTTGAGTAGGCGATTTTTCCCCTGACAGTGCTAAGGAGGCCAGGAAGTTCAAACTTGGCAGAATTCACCACAGTGCAGCAAAGTATCTGTGGCCAGTCTGCCTCTCTAGATTCTTCTCACTGGGCAAGGCATCTCTGAAAAAAAGGCAGCAGCCCCAGTCAGGGGCTTATAGATAAAACTCCCATCTCCCTGGGTCAGAGAACCTGGGGGAAGGGGCAGCTGTGGGTGCAACTTGAGCAGACTTAAACATTCCTGCCTGCCGGTTCTGAAGAGAGGAGCAGATCTCCCAGCACAGTGTTCGAGCTCTGCTAAGGGACAAACTGCCTCCTCAAGTGGGTCCCTGACCCCCATATGCCTCCTGACTGGGAGACAGCTCTTAGCAGGGGTTGACAGACACCTCATAGAGGAGAGCTCTGGCTGGCATCAGGCCAGTGCCCCTCTGGGACAAAGCTTCCTGAAAAAGGAGCAGGTGGCAGTCTTTGCTCTTCTGCAGCCTACATGGGTGATATCCAAGCAAACAGGGTCTGGAGTGGACCTCAACTACAGCAGGCCTGCAGAAGAGGAGCCTGACTGTTAGAAGAAAAACTAACAAACAGAAAGCAATAACATCAACATCAACAAGAAGGACCCCCACATGAAAACCCCATCCAAAGGTCATCAGCCTCAAAGATCAAAGGTAGATAAATCCATGAAGATGAGAAAAAAAACAATGCAAAAATGCTGAAAATTCCAAAAACCAGAATGCCTCGTCTCCAAATGATCACAACTGGTCTCTAGCAAACCTAGATGACGGATTGATAGGTGCAGCAAACCACCATGGCATATGTATACCTATGTAACAAACCTGCACATTCTACACATTTATCCCAGAACTTAAAAGTAAAAATATAATAAATAAGATTAAATTAAATTTAAAAAGATACTTCCATATGCATGTTTATAGCAGCACAATTCACAATTGCAAAAATGTGGAACCAACCCAAGTGCCCATCAATCAACGAGTGGATAAAGAACCTGTGGTATTATATGTATATGATGGAATACCACTCACTCACAGAAGGGAATGAATTAACGGCATTTGCAGTGACCTGGATGAGATTGGAGACAATTATTCTAAATGAAGTAGCTCAGGAATGGAAAACCAAGCATCATATGTTCTCACGCATTAGTAGGAGCTAAGCTATGAGGATGCAAAGGCATAGGAATGGCACAATGGACTTTGGGGACTCAGGGGAAAAGGGTGGGAAGTGGGTAAGGGATAAAAGACTACAAATAGGATGCAGTCTATACTGCTCGGTGATGAGTGCACCAAAATCTCACCAAATCACCACTAAAGAACTACCCATGTAACCAAACACCACCTGTTCCCCAATAACCTATGGAAATTAAAAAAAAAAAAAAAAAGTTTAATTTCATTTACTGCCACCTATTTTGTTGTTGTCATTGTTGTTAAATAATTTACTAATACATATAAGTGCTCGAACATATTGCCATTAATTTTGTTTTATGAGGTCAGTTAACTTACAGGATACTTGAGAAAAACTAATTATATTTCTCTTACAGTTACCAGTCTACCTTTCTGCATTCTTTCCTGTAGAAGCAGTTTCCCATCTGATACTGTTTCCCTCAGTAAAAAGAACATCCTTCAGCATTTCTTACAGTGTGGACCTGCTGGCAACACATTCATTCAGCTTTTACTAACCTGGAAATATTTTTATTTTGCTTCATTTTTTAAAATTAAGTTTTTAATTTGGTATAATTGTAAGTTCACATGTTACCATAAGGAATAACACCAAGAGATCCCATGTTTCCTGTCCCAGTTTACCCCAATGGCGATGTCTTGTAAAACTGTAACACAATATTACAACCAAGATATTGATAATGATACAATCAAAATACAGAAGAGCTCCATTATCACAGGGATCCCTATGATAGAGGAAGCCACACCCACCTTCTACCTCTCCCCCATTCTTGATTCCTGAAAACCATTAATTTGCTCTCCATTTTTATCATTTTACCATTTCAAGAATGTTATATAAATGGAATTGCATAGAATGTAAACTTTTTTAGTTTCAACATACCTGGAGATTTATACAAGTTGTTGCATGTTCCTTTTATAATTGAGTAGTATTCCACTGTATTTATGTACCACAGTTTAACTCATTGAAGGACTTCTGAATTGTTTTTAGTTTGGGGCTATTACAAGTAAAACCACTATGAAAATTTGTGTCCACATTTTGTGTATTTGTAAGTTTTTATTTCTCTGGAATAACTATCCAAGAGTGCAACTGCAGAGTTATGTGGGAGTTGTATGATTTGTTTTTAAGGAAACTTCCACAGGATTTTTCAAAGAGGCTGTATCATTTTACATTCCTACCAGAAATGCATGAGTGATCTAGTTTCTACTCGTCCTTGTTGACTTTTAATATTGTCACTATTTTTATATTTGCCATTCTGATAAGTATGTAGTGATATCTCAGTACAGTTTTAGTTTATTTTGCCATCTGTATATCCTCTGATTCTTTCCTCTGTCATCTTCATTACCCTATTGAACCTGTCTAGTGAGTTTTGCTGCTGTTGTTTTTGTGTCTTTCAGTTTTATAATTTATAATTTCTTTTTTCACACACACAAATGTGCGAAATGTGTGAAAGTGTTTCTTAAATATTACAAGATACAATATCAACTAAAAATACATTATATTAAAATTGAAAGCTTCTTGGCATATATTTTAATGCAATTTAGGTGTGTGGGTTGATATTGTCAAACAAGGGGAAAAAACGAAATAAAGTTCCAAAATTTTTTTTAAAAGTGCCTAAACATAAGCTGCACAGTTAATAGAAACCTATTCCTTTGCTTACAAAAAGTAAGAGAAAAAACTTTGAAAGTATTTTGATGAATATAAAACTTTGGCAAGACATACGAATGTGCTTCCTGAATTTGAAAGTAAATGAAAAAGTAACAACATTAAAAATGTACAACAGGCCAGGAGCAGTGGCTCATGCTTGTAATCCCAGCACTTTGGGAGGCCAAGGTGGGCAGATCGCCTGAGGTCAGGAGTTCGAGACCAGCCTGGCCAACATGGAAAAACCCTGTCTCTACTAAAAATAGAGAAAAATTAGCCAGGTGTGGTGGCACACGCATGTGATTCCAGCTACTTGGGAGGCTGAGGCAGAAGAATCCCTTGAACCAAGGAGGTGGAGGTTGCAGTGAGCTGAGATGGTGCCACTGCAACCAAGGAGGTGGAGGTTGCAGTGAGCTGAGATGGTGCCACTGCACTCCAGCCTGGGTGACAGAGTGAGACTCCATCTCAAATAAATATCTAAATAAATAAAATAAAATAAAATAAAAATGTACAACAAACTAATGAAAATACCATGATGGGAAAAGTGCACATCAAATAGAAATTGAGGTGATTGCTGGTACCCATTTGATTATTTTTTATAACCTGTATTTATTTGCTAATTTTTTTTTTCAAAAGAATTTGTAATGGCTTATTGAAGAGTTTTCATTTTTTTTCTGCTTTTTCCCTGCTGGAGCCAGGGAGGCTGGATGGCCTGGTGCCAAGAAGTGTTCCCTACAGCCCAACACACTGGCTGTGGCAGACTGTGGCCAGAATGCCCCTTCAGGCCTGACCCTGACTCATCCCTCTTCAATGGCCGGGGCCTCCCTGCAGGAACTTCAACAACTCCAGTGAGAGGTTCAGGGGACAGAATGCTAATCTCCCTGGGCCTGAGTCCCTATGGGGAGGGGTGGCTGCAGTCTCTGCAGACCAGCAGACTTAGCCTTTACTCCTGTTAGTTCTGACGAATCTGGGCAGCCCAGATGAGTGGGTTACCCCCCAGTGAAGCACACTCCCTCCACCAAGGGACAGTCAAAGTGCTTTGTTAAATAGTTCCTGTTCCCCATGCCACCCAACGGAGACCCTCCAACAGGAATTGTCAGACACCCTTTGCAGGACCAAATCTACTGGCATCAGTTTGGTGTCCCTCAAAATCAGAGACCCCAGGAGGAAAAGCAGACATCCATCTTTGCTGTTCTCCAGCCTCCTTGAGTGACATCTTCAGGCAGGAGAGTGAACCAGGTGAAAAAGGCCTGAAGTGAACCCTCAGCAAACCCCAGCAGCGCTACAGAAGAGGGACCTGACAATTGAAAGAAAAGCAAACATTGTTCAATTCCCACCTATGAGTGAGAACATGCGGTGTTTGGTTTCACACACCGGGGCCTATTGTGGGGTGGGGGGAGGGGGGAAGGATAGCATTAGGAGATATACCTAATGTAAATGACGAGTTAATGGGTGCAGCACACAAACATGGCACATGTATACATATGTAACAAACCTGCACGTTGTGAACATGTACCCTAGAACTTAAAGTATAATAAAAAAAAAAGAAAAAAAGAAAAGCAAACAAACAGAAAGCAAAAATAACAGCATTAACAACAAAAAAATCCCCACAAAAACCCCATCCAAGGATCAACAGCCTCAAAGATCAAAACTAGACAACACATGAAGATGGAAAAGAGTCAATGAAAAAATGCTGAAAACCCAAAAGGCCGGAGTATCTCTTCTCCAAATGATTGCCAGGACAAATCTACAGAAATAATTTCAATTTTTTTCAGTATTTAGTAGTAAAAGATATTAATGCATTAATGGCAATACATTTCTGGTTTAAGATAAGTTAAGGATGTTTTCTAGTTGTGCATGAATGCTGGCAACTTAGCAATTTTTGACAACTGTTTAAATATTAATGTTAACATTAGGTTTAAAAAAGTAAAGATGGTAAACTAGGTATTTGTCATTTGCCTTAAAAAAAAAAAAGAAAAAAAACACTCTCAAACTATGCATTGATGGAACATATCTCAAAATGATAAGAGCTATTTATGACAAACCCATAGCCAATATAATATTGAATGAACAAAAGCTGGAAACATTCCCTTTGAAAACCAGCACAAGACAAGGGTGCCCTCTTTCACCACTCCTATTTAACATATTGGAAATTCTGGCCAGGGCAATCAGGCAAGAGGAAGAAATAAAGGTATTCAAATAGGAAGAGAGGAAGTCAACTTGTCTCTGTTTGCAGACGACATGATTGTATATTTAGAAAACCCCATCATCTCAGCCCAAAAACTCCTTAAGCTGATAAGCAATTTCAACAGTCTCAGGATACAAAGTCAATGTGCAAAAATCACAAACACTCCTTTACACTAACAATAGACAAGCAGAGAGCCAAATCATGAATGAACTCCCATTCACAATTGCTACAAAGAAATAAAATACCTAAGAATACAGCTAAGAAGAGATGTGAAGGACCTCTTCAAGGAGAACTACAAACCATTGCCCAAGAAAATAAGAGAGGACACAAACAAATGAAAAAACATTTCATCCTCCTGGATAGGAAGAATCAATATCATGAAAATGGCCATACTGCCCAAAGTAATTTATAGATTTAATGCTATTCCCATCAAACTACCATTGTCTTTCTTTACAGAATTAGAAAAAAACTACCTTAAATTTCATATGGAATCAAAGAAGACCCCGTATAACCAAGACAATCCCAAAAAAAAAAGAACAAAGCTGGAGTATCATGCTACCTAACTTCAAACTATACTACAAGGCTACAGTAACCAAAACAGCATGGTACTGGTACCAAAACAGACATACAGACCGATAGAACAGAACAGAGACCTCTGAAATAACACCACTCATCTACAACCATCTGATCTGTGACAAACCTGACAAAAACAAGCAATGGGGAAAGGATCTCCTATTCAGTAAATGGTGCTCAGAAAACTTGTTAGCCATATGCAGAAAACTGAAACTGGACTCCTTCCTTACACCTTATACAAAAATTAACTCAAGATGGATTAAAGACTTAAATGTAAAACCCAAAACCATAAAAACCCTAGAAGAAAACCTAGGCAGTATCATTCACGACAAAGGCATGGGCAAAGACTTCATGACAAAAATGCCAAAAGCAGTGGCAACAAAAGCCAAAATTGACAAATGGGATCTAATTAAACTAAAGAGCTTCTACACAGCAAAGCAAACTGTCATCAGAGTGAAAAGACAATCTACAGAATGGGAGAAAAATTTTACAATCTACCCATCTGACAAAGGTCTAATATCCAGAATCTACAAGGAACTTAAACAAATTTACAAGAAAAAAACAAACAACCCCATCAAAAAGTGGGCAAAACAAATTAACAGACGCTTCTCAACAGAAGACATTTATGCAGCCAACAAACATATGAATAAAATCTCAATATCACTGATCATTAGAAAAATGCAAATCAAAACCACAATGAGATACCATCTCATGCCAGTCAGAATGGCGATTATTAAAAAGTCAAGAAACTATAGATGCTGGTGAGACTGTAGATAGGAACACTTTTACACTGTTGGTGGGAATGTAAATTAGTTCAACAATTGTGGAAGACAGTATGGTGATTCCTCAAGGATCCAGAACCAGGAATACCATTTGACCCGGCAATGCCATTACTGGGTATATACCCAAAGAAATATAAATCATTCTACTATAAACACACAGGCACACGTATGTTTATTGCAGCACTATTTACAACAGTAAAGTCGTGGAACCAACCC
The DNA here is from genome assembly GCF_000001405.40 of Homo sapiens. Classification (NCBI taxonomy): domain Eukaryota; kingdom Metazoa; phylum Chordata; class Mammalia; order Primates; family Hominidae; genus Homo; species Homo sapiens. The sequence goes on along the minus strand of NC_000012.12, from coordinate 10,351,744 downwards.
AATGCCCATCAATAATAGACTGGATAAAGAAAATGTGGTACATATACCACTGTGGAATACTATGCAGCCATAAAAAGGGATGAAATCATGTCCTTTGCAGGGACATGGATGAAGCTGGAAGCCATCATCCTCAGCAAACTAACACAGGAAGAGAAAACCAAACACCACATGTTCTCCTCATAAGTGGGAGTTGAACAATGAGAACATATGGACACAGGGAGGGGATCAACACACACCAGGGCCTGTTGGCCAGTGGGAGGCAAGGGGAGGGACCTTAGAGGACGGGTCAATAGGTGCAGCAAACCAACATGGCACATGTATGCCTATGTAACAACCCTGCACGTTCAGCACATATCCCAGAATTTAAAGTAAAAAGAAAGAAAAAAAAACTTTAGTAAGTTTATCCAAGGAGGTGAAAGAGCTATATACTGAAAACTATAAAACACCAGTGAAAGAAATTTAATCTAACACAAGTAAATGGAAAGATATCATATGTTCTTGGAGTGAGAGAAATATAAAATTTCCGTGCAACCTAAAGTGATCTACAGATTTAATGCAATCCCTGTTAAAATTCCAATTTTGTTTTATATGAGAATAGAAAAAGCATTCCTGAAATTCATATGGAATCACAAAAACCCTGAACAGCCAAAGCAATCTCGAGCAAACAGAACAAAGCTGGAAACGTCACACTCCTTAATTTCATGCTCTATTATAAAGCTTTGTAATCAAAACAGCATAGTACTAGTGTATAAACGACACATTGACCAACAGGACTGAATAGAAAGCCTAGAAATAAACCCACACATTTAAGGCAGTCGATTTTTGACAAAGGTGCTAAGAATACACAATGACAAAAGAACAACAATCTCTTCAATAAATGGTGTTGGCAAAACTGAATTTGTACATGCAGAAAAAATAAAGTTGGACCTTTATTTTACATCATACTGAAAAATCAACTCAAATTAGATTAAAGAATAAAATGCAAGACCTGAAATTATAAAACTACTAGGAGAAAACGTAGGGGAAAATTCCATGTCATTGATCTGGGCAATAATTTTTTGCATATGACTCCAAACCCACAGGTAACTAAAGGAAAAATAAATAAATGGGATTGCAACAAACTAAAAAGGTTTTGTACAACAAAGAAAACAGTTAACAAAGTGAAGAGATAACCCACAGATTGGGAGAAAATATTTGCATAATGTACTCTAATAAGGGGCTAATGTCCAAAATATATAAAGGAGTTGCACGATTAATTAGCAAGAAAACAAATAACTAAATTCAAAAATAGGCAAAGAACCTAAATGAACATTTCTGAAAAGATGACATATGAAGGACCACAGGTACGTGAGAAAAAAATGCTCAATCTCTAATCATCCGAGAAATGCAAATTCAAAACAAAATGAGAGGTTACCTCACACTTGGTACAATGGTTACTATCAAAAACTCAGTAGATAAGAAGTGTTGGGAAAGAAGTGGAGAAAAGGAAACTCAACTACATTGTTAGTGGAAATGTACATTAGTACAGCCATTATGAGAAACAGTATAGAGATTCCTCAAAAAGCTAAAAATACAATTACCCTATGATCCTGCAGTTCGGCATCTGGATATATATCCAAAGGAGTTGAAATGTATAAATCAAAAAGAGTTGAAATTGGTATGCTGAAGAGATATCTGAACTCCACGTTCATTGCAACATTAATCACAATAGCCAAGATATGGAATCAGCTTAAGTGTCCATCAACAGATGAATGGATAAAGAAAATATGGTGTATATATACAGAAAGAAATACTATACAGCAGGAGGAGCCAAGATGGCCGAATAGGAACAGCTCTGGTCTACAGCTCCCAGCGTGAGCGATGCAGAAGACGGGTGATTTCTCCATTTCCATCTGAGCTTTGAAGAGAGCAGTGGTTCTGCCAGCACGCAGCTGGAGATCTGAGAATGGGCAGACTGCCTCCTCAAGTGGGTCCCTGACCCCTGACCCCCGAGCAGCCTAACTGGGAGGCACCCCCCAGCAGGGGCAGACTGACACCTCACACAGCCGGGTACTCCAACAGACTGGCAGCTGAGGGTCCTGTCTGTTAGAAGGAAAACTAACAAACAGAAAGGACATCCACACCAAAAACCCATCTGTACATCACCATCATGAAAGACCAAAAGTAGATAAAACCACAAAGATGGGGAAAAAACAGAGCAGAAAAACTGGAAACTCTAAAAAGCAGAGTGCCTCTCCTCCTCCAAAGGAACGCAGTTCCTCACCAGCAACGGAACAAAGCTGGACGGAGAATGACTTTGACAAGCTGAGAGAAGAAGGCTTCAGACGATCAAATTACCCCGAGCTACGGGAGGACATTCAAACCAAAGGCAAAGAAGTTGAAAACTTTGAAAAAAAATTTAGAAGAATGTATAACTAGAATAACCAATACAGGGAAGTGCTTAAAGGAGCTGATGGAGCTGAAAACCAAGGCTCGATAACTACGTGAAGAATGCAGAAGTCTCAGGAGCCAATGTGATCAACTGGAAGAAAGGGTATCAGTGATGGAAGATGAGATGAATGAAATGAAGCGAGAAGGGAAGTTTAGAGAAAAACGAATAAAAAGAAATGAGCAAAGCCTCCAAGAAATATGGGACTATGTGAAAAGACCAAATCTACGTCTGATTGGTGTACCTGAAAGTGATGGGGAGAATGGAACCAAGTTGGAAAACACTCTGCAGGATATTATCCAGGAGAACTTCCCCAATCTAGCAAGGCAGGCCAACGTTCAGATTCAGGAAATACAGAGAACGCCACAAAGATACTCCTCGAGAAGAGCAACTCCAAGACACATAATTGTCAGATTCACCAAAGTTGAAATGAAGGAAAAAATGTTAAGGGCAGCCAGAGAGAAAGGTCGGGTTACCCTCAAAGGGAAGCCCATCAGACTAACAGTGGATCTCTCGGCAGAAACTCTACAAGCCAGAAGAGAGTGGGGGCCAATATTCGACATTCTTAAAGAAAAGAATTTTCAACCCAGAAATTCATATCCAGCCAAACTAAGCCTCATAAGTGAAGGAGAAATAAAATACTTTACAGAGAAGCAAATGCTGAGAGATTTTGTCACCACCAGGCCTGCCCTAAAAGAGCTCCTGAAGGAAGTGCTAAACATGGAAAGGAACAACCGGTACTAGCCGCTGCAAAATCATGCCAAAATGTAAAGACCTTCGAGACTAGGAAGAAACTGCATCAACTAATGAGCAAAATAACCAGCTAACATCATAATGACAGGATCAAATTCACACATAACAATATTAATTTAAATATAAATGGACTAAATGCTCCAATTAAAAGACACAGACTGGCAAATTGGATAAAGAGTCAAGACCCATCAGTGTGCTGTATTCAGGAAACCCATCTCACATGCAGAGACACACATAGGCTCAAAATAAAATGATGGAGGAAGATCTACCAAGCAAATGGAAAACAAAAAAAGGCAGGGGTTGCAATCCTAGTCTCTGATAAAACAGACTTTAAACCAACAAAGATCAAAAGAGACAAAGAAGGCCATTAAATAATGGTAAAGGGATCAATTCAAGAAGAAGAGCTAACTATCCTAAATATATATGCACCCAATACAGGAGCACCCAGATTCATAAAGCAAGTCCTGAGTGACCTACAAAGAGACTTAGACTCCCACACATTAATAATGGGAGACTTTAACACCCCACTCTCAACATTAGACAGATCAACGAGACAGAAAGTCAACAAGGATACCCAGGAATTGAACTCAGCTCTGCACCAAGCAGACCTAATAGACATCTACAGAACTCTCCACCCCAAATCAACAGAATATACATTTTTTTCAGCACCACACCACACCTATTCCAAAATTGACCACATACTTGGAAGTAAAGCTCTCCTCAGCAAATGTAAAAGAACAGAAATTATAACAAACTATCTGTCAGACCACAGTGCAATCAAACTAGAACTCAGGATTAAGAATCTCACTCAAAACTGCTCAACTACATGGAAACTGAACAACCTGCTCCTGAATGACCACTGGGTACATAACGAAATGAAGGCAGAAATAAAGATGTTCTTTGAAACCAACGAGAACAAAGACACAACATACCAGAATCTCTGGGACGCATTCAAAGCAGTGTGTAGAGGGAAATTTATAGCACTAAATGTCCACAAGAGAAAGCAGGAAAGATCTAAAATCAACACCCTGACATCACAATTAAAAGAACTAGAGAAGCAAGAGCAAACACATTCAAAAGCTAGCGGAAGTCAAGAAGTAACTAAGATCAGAGCAGAACTGAAGGACATAGAGACAGACAAAACCATTCAAAAAAATCAATGAATCCAGGAGCTGGTTTTTCGAAAAAATCAACAAAATTGACAGACCACTAGCAAGACTAATAAAGAAGAAAAGAGAGAAGAATCAAATAGATGTAATAAAAAATGATAAAGGGGATATCACCACTGATCCCACAGAAATACAAACTACCATCAGAGAATACTACAAACACCTCTATGCAAATAAACTAGAAAATCTAGAAGAAATGGATAAATTCCTTGACACATACACTTTCCCAAAACTAAACCAGGAAGAAGTTGAGTCTCTGAATAGACCAATAACAGGATCTGAAATTGTGGCAATAATCAATAGCTTACCAACCAAAAAGAGTCCAGGACCAGATGGATTCACAGCCAAATTCTACCAGAGGTACAAGGAGGAACTGGTACCATTCCTTCTGAAACTATTCCAATCAACAGAAAAAGAGGGAATCCTCCCTAACTCATTTTATGAGGCCAGCAACATCCTGATACCAAACCCGGGCAGAGACACAACCAAAAAAGAGAATTTTAGACCAATATCCTTGATGAACACTGATGCAAAAATCCTCAATAAAATACTGGCAAACTGAATCCAGCAGCACATCAAAAAGCTTATCCACCATGATCAAGTGGGCTTCATCCTTGGGATGCAAGGCTGGTTCAATATACGCAAATCAATAAATGTAATCCAGCATATAAACAGAACCAAAGACAAAAACCACATGATTATCTCAATAAATGCAGAAAAGGCCTTTGACAAAATTCAACAACCCTTAATGCTAAAAACTCTCAATAAATTAGGTATTGATGGGACGTATTTCAAAATAATAAGAGCTATTTATGACAAACCCACAGCCAATATCATGCTGAATGGACAAAAACTGGAAGCATTCCCTTTGAAAACTGGCACAAGACAGGGATGCCCTCTCTCACCACTCCTATTCAACATAGTGTTGGAAGTTCTGGCCAGGGCAATTAGGCAGGAGAAGGAAATAAAGGGTATTCAATTAGGAAAAGAGGAAGTCAAATTGTCCCTCTTTGCAGATGACATGATTGTATATCTAGAAAACCCCATTGTCTCAGCCCAAAATCTCCTTAAGCTGATAAGCAACTTCAGCAAAGTCTCAGGATACAAAATCAATGTACAAAAATCACAAGCATTCTTATACACCAGCAACAGACAAACAGAGAGCCAAATCATGAGTGAACTCCCATTCACAATTGCTTCAAAGAGAATGAAATACCTAGGAATCCAACTTACAAGGGATGTGAAGGACCTCTTCAAGGAGAACTACAAACCACTGCTCAAGGAAATAAAAGAGGATACAAACAAATGGAAGAACATTCCATGCTCATGGGTAGGAAGAATCAATATCGTGAAAATGGCCATACTGCCCAAGGTAATTTACAGATTCAATGCCATCCCCATCAAGCTACCAATGACTTTCTTCACAGAATTGGAAAAAACTACTTTAAAGTTCATATGGAACCAAAAAAGAGCCCGCATCGCCAAGTCAATCCTAAGCCAAAAGAACAAAGCTGGAGGCATCACGCTACCTGACTTCAAACTATACTACAAGGCTACAGTAACCAAAACAGCATGGTACTGGTACCAAAACAGAGATATAGATCAATGGAACAGAACAGAGCCCTCAGAAATAACACCACATATCTACAACTATCTGATCTTTGACAAACCTGAGAAAAACAAGCAATGGGGAAAGGATTCCCTATTTAATAAATGGTGCTGGGAAAAGTGGCTAGCCATATGTAGAAAGCTGAAACTGGATCCCTTCCTTACACCTTATACAGAAATCAATTCAAGACGGATTAAAGACTTAAACGTTAGACCTAAAGCCATAAAAACCCTAGTAGAAAACCTAGGCATTACCATTCAGGACATAGGCATGGGCAAGGACTTCATGTCTAAAACACCAAAAGCAATGGCAACAAAAGCCAAAATTGACAAATGGGATCTAATTAAACTCAAGAGCTTCTGCACAGCAAAAGAAACTACCATCAGAGTGAACAGGCAACCTACAAAATGGGAGAAAATTTTCACAACCTGCTCATCTGACAAAGGGCTAATATCCAGAATCTACAATGAACTCAAACAAATTTACAAGAAAAAAACAACCCCATCAAAAAGTGGGCAAAGGACATGAACAGACACTTCTCAAAAGAAGACATTTATGCAGCCAAAAAACATATGAAAAAATGCTCACCATCACTGGCCATCAGAGAAATGCAAGTCAAAACCACAATGAGATACCATCTCACACCAGTTAGAATGGCAATCATTAAAAAGTCAGGAAACAACAGGTGCTGGAGAGGATGTGGAGAAATAGGAACACTTTTACACTGTTGGTGGGACTGTAAACTAGTTCAACCATTGTGGAAGTCAGTGTGGCAATGCCTCAGGGATCTAGAACTGGAAATACCATTTGACCCAGCCATCCCATTACTGGGTATATATCCAAAGGACTATAAATCATGCTGCTATAAAGACACATGCACACGTATGTTTATTGCAGCACTATTCACAATAGCAAAGACTTGGAACCAACCCAAATGTCCAACAATGATAGACTGGATTAAGAAAATGTGGCACATATACACCATGGAATACTATGCAGCCATAAAAAATGATGAGTTCATGTCCTTTGTAGGGACATGGATGAAATTGGAAATCATCATTCTCAGTAAACTATCGCAAGAACAAAAAACCAAACACTGCATATTCTCACTCATAGGTGGGAATTGAACAATGAGAACACATGGACACAGGAAGGGGAACATCACACTCTGGGGACTGTTGTGTGGTGCGGGGAGTGGGGAGGGATAGCATTGGGAGATATACCTAATGCTAGGTGATGAGTTAGTGGGTGCAGCGCACCAGCATGTCACGTGTACACATATGTAACTAACCTGCACATTGTGCACATGTACCCTAAAATTTAAAGTATAATAATAATAATAATAATAATAATAGTAATAGTAATAAAAACTAAGAAAAAAAAATAAAAAATAAAAAATAAAAAATGTACAAAAAAAAGAAATACTATACAGCCTTTAAAAAGAAGGAACTTCTGTCATTCGTGACAACATAGAAACATGTGGAGGACATTATGCTAACTAAAAGAACCCAGGCACATAAGGAAAAATACTGCATGATCTCATTTATATTTGGAATCTAAAAAAGTTGAGCTCATGGAAGCAGCAAGAATAATGGTGGTTATCAGAGGCTGAAGGTACAGGGGGGTAATGAAGAAAAGGGAGACATTGGTCAGAGGGTACAAAGTGTTAGTTAGACAGAAGGAATAAGTTTTAGTAATCTATTCCATAGCATAGTGATGATAACTAATAATAATATATTGTATATTTTGAAATTGCTAAAAAAGTAAATTTTAAATATTTTATCACAAAAAATAAGTAGGTGAGTTGATGGCTATGTTAATGACTTTGATTTAATCCTTCTACAATGTATGCATATATCAATATATCACATTTTACGCCATAAATGCATAAAATTATTTGTCAGTAAAACTTTTAAAATAACAAAATAAAAAATAATAAAATGTGAATAGACTCAGAAGGCTATCAATAAGCCAAACTTTTGTTCACTGAACATCCAGAAGGAAAGAAAAAAAGATATCAGTGCATGAGCAGCTAAAACTCTGAGAGAAACATATTTTCCTTCTCAGACAAATCAGGAAAAAGGATTTCTGGAGCTGAGAAAATATGGGAAATTTCAGAGAGGACAAAGTTGGAGAAGAGGATAGCTTAATTTTGTATATGAGTTGACACAAGTACAGGGTTCACCTATTAATTACACAAGTATAGTACAAAGCCAAGATAGCGTGGCAAAGGATTTGGGAACTGAACTATGATTTGTACCACTATCTAAGTCCCACATTCATGACTGAGTGACTCATGAGCAGAGTGGACCCTGAGCGGCATAACGAAGGTTTTGAAACTGAACCTATATGGGACAATAATCCAAAGAAAGCAAAAGACACAAAGAAATTTGGGGCATGATGGACAAGTTTATTATCTTAACGGTCATTTCATAAATACAACACATATGTCGAAACACATGTACCTTTAAACATGTGCCCTTTAGGGTATGTATCAATTATACCTCAATAAAGCTGAAAAAAAAAAAAGAGCAAACGCTTTCAATTCACCAGCCACAAAATATTAGAAAATGAAAGTAGATAAATAAGACCATATTCTATAACACCATAAACTATTAAATACCTAAGAAAAAAATCTAACAAGAATTTTGTCAGACATTATTGCTAAAATTGGTGAAGTTTTTCTGTGAAAAAGTAAAGGCAGGCCAGGCGCGGTGGCTCACGCTTGTAATCCCAGCACTTTGAGAGGCCAAGCCAGGCGGATCACGAGGTCAGGAGATCAAGACCATCCTGGCTAACACGGTGAAACCCCGTCTCTACTAAAAAAATACAAAAAATTAGCCAGGCGTGGTGGCGGGCGCCTGTAGTCCCAGCTACTCGGGAGGCTGAGGCAGGAGAATGGCGTGAACCTGGAAGGCAGAGCTTGCAGTGAGCGGAGATCATGCCACTGCACTCCAGCCCAGGCAACAGAGCGAGACCCCGTCTCAAAAAAAAAAAAAAAAAAAAAGTAAAGGCAACCTAAATAAATAGACAGATAATTTTTGTTCATGGATTGGAAGATTCAGCACGGTTAAGGTGTTTGTTCTCTTCTAATACATGTAGAATCTAGAAATATAGCTTCCATACAATTTCAATATAAAATCCAGTCTGTGTGTATGTATGCAAAATACAAGGTAATTTACACACGCAAAAAACTTAGAAAATATATGTATATTATATGTATGCAAATATATATAATTAATAAATGGTAGCCAAAGGCTTAACAGACATTATACAGAAGAGGACATCCAAATGACCAAAAAGTTATAGGTGCCATTAATCATAAGAGAATTCAGATTTAAGCTACAATTATATGCCAATGTATAATATGGCCCAAAATATGTGAAGCTTAAAAAAAAAAAAGATCAACAATAGAAGTGTTGGCAAGGAAGCAGGCAATGTTACTGAAACAGCCATTGCTTACTGCACAGAAAGCAAACCACTGAGACAAGTGTTGCCAGAGAAGAAGGGTTTATTTGGGTGCCGCAGCTGAGGAGATGGGAAGTCAGTCTCAAATTCATCTCCTCAATTGACTAAAATTAGAGGTTTATGTAGCAGGAAAAAAAAAATGTAACTGTATGTGGGAAAATAGGAATTAGGGAGGGGTAAGGAAGAGGAGTTGGTCAACAGGAAGCAGGTGGTTGGTTAGGCAACTATGATGGGTTAGGTGTCTGGCTCTCATAGTCCAGATGTGGTGATCTGGTAAGTTTCAGTTCCTTGATACTTTCTGGGAGGTCTGATGGTTGGTTTCCTAGGAAGGAAACTCAGATTAGACAAATGTAGGTTTCTCAAGTTTTAAGACTGAGAGGGTCAATTTCTATGTTTGTTTAAAAGAAACAATAAACATCAGTTCTGTGGGACAATTTGGCTGGTTTCTGCAACAGAGAGTCATATAAAACCACTGGTAAAATTATACATTTTTCCCAGCACTTTGGAAAACTGTTTGGGATTACCTTCTAGATCTAAATACATGCCTCCACTATGACTTAGAAATTTATTTTTTCAATATGCATGTAAGGGAAATGAGGATACATATCCACTAAAAGCGTACATGTACAAGAAAAATAAAAATGTTTAGAGAAGTTTTATTCATAATATTAAAAAATAGGTAATAACTAAAGTGGCCATCACGAGTAGAACAATAGAAGCAAATTGTTGTATATTCATATAATGGAATTCTACTGGTAATAAAAAGTATCACACATAGGCATGAGCAAAGACTTCATGATGAAGATGTCAAAAGCAATTGTGACAAAACCAAAAATTGACACAAAAAATTGACAAACCTGATTAAACTAAAGAGCTTCTGCACAGCAAAGGAAACTATTATCAGAGTGAACAGATAACCTATGGAATGGGAGAATAGTTTTGCAATCCAACTATCTGACCATCGTCTAATGTCCAGCATCTACACAGAACTTAAACAAATTTACAGGAAAGAAACAACCCCATTAAAAAGTGGGAAAATGATATGAACAGACATTTCTCAAAAGAAGACTTACATGCGGCCAACAAACATATGAAAAAAAGCTCAACATCACTGATCATTAGAAGAATGCAAAGCAAAACCACAAGATATTATCTCACACCAGTCAGAATGGCTATTGTTAAAAAGTCAAAAAAACAACAGATGCTGGCAAAGTTGTGGAGAAAAAGAAACGCTTTTACACTGTTGATGGGAATGTAAATTAGTTCAACCATTGTGGAAAACAGTGTAGTGACTCCTCAAAGACCTAGAGGCAGAAATACCATTTGACCCAGAAATCCCATTACTGGGTATATATCCAAAGGAATGTAAATCATTCCATTATGAAGATACATGCACATGTAAGTTCACTGAAATACTATTCACAATAACAGACATATGGAATCAACCTAAATGCCCATCAGTGAGAGACTGGATAAAGAAAATGTGGTACATATATACCATGGAATACAATGCAGCCATAAAAAGAAACAAGATCGTGTCCTTCGCAGGGACATGATGGAGCTGGAGGCCATTATCCTCGGCAAACTAATGCAGGAACAGAAAACAAAACACCGCATGGTCTCACTTATAAGACGGAGCTGAATGATGAGAACACATGGACACATTGTGGGGAACAACATACCTTGGGGCCTGTCAGAGGGTGGGTGGGGAGGAGGGAGAGTATCAGGGAAAATGTCTAAGGGATTCTGGCCTTGATACCTAGGTGATGGGATGATCTGTGCAGCAAACCACCATGGCACATGTTTGCCTCTGTAGCAAACATGCACATTCTGCACATGTACCCCTGACTTTAAAATAAAATTTAAAAAAGTATCACAGACTTTAAGCTGAGAGAAAGGATGCAGATGCAAAGAATATGTACTTCATTATTTCACTTACATGATGTCCACAAAGAGGCAAAAATGATTTACAAAGTTAGACATCAGAATAGTGGTTTTCTTAAGGCTAAAAGAATAATTATTAATAGACACGAGGCATGAAGGAGGCTTTGTTGGTTCTAGGAACAGTCTGTATCTCAAACTGGTTAATAACTGTATGGGTGTATGCATGAATAAAAAATTCATCAAGTACTTATAATTTGTGCACTTTATTTGTGTTATCTCTCAAGTTTAAAAAATGAGGAAATTCGTAAGAGGGGAAGAGTTGATAGTCCTGATGTGTATGAATTGACTTCTAAGCTCTAATTAGAATAAAAAGCAGTTCCATAAATTTAAAAATGGCAGAAATGGTATACTATTTAGGAGCATGTAGATGTAGCAGGATTTTATTTTGGAAGAATAAACTTACACTTATTTGTGTGTGTTTTCCTTATGCCTCTATGCTTCCAATACATTGCTGTTCACTCAGCTAGATTATTCCATGTTAATTTTCTAATTTCATAGTAAAAGCATAAAAGAAAAAGAAAAAAGAAAAAGGTCTCTACTCAGAGAAATATCATGCCACAAACAAAAAGGATTTTTTTAAAGAAAATCTTGTATATAAAAGTGGTCTTCCCCTTCCCAAAGACTAGAAATAAATTCCCAGGAATGCAGGCAAGGGTCAGGGAGGAAGTATCGAGAAAAAGAGAGAAATCAGAAAGGCCTCTGTTAAGTATGACTAATAGGAAGGGGCCAAGCTGGCCGGGCGTGGTGGCTCATGCTTGTAATTCCAGCACTTTGGGAAGCCAAGGCGGGTGGATCACTTGAGATCAAGAGCCTGGCCAACATGATAAAACCCCATCTCTAATAAAAATACAAAAATTAGGTGGCCATGATGGCACTTGCCTGTAATCCCACCTACTCAGGAGGCTGAGGCTTGAGAATCTCTTGAACCCGAGGTCGGAGGTTGCAGTGAGCTGAGATCGTGCCACTGCACTCCAGCCTGGGTAGCAGAGCAAGCAAGCAAGCAGCCTGGGTGTCAAAAAAAAAAAAAAAAGAAGGAAGGGGCCAAACCATGAAAAAAAAAAGCTGCTCTGCCTTGGGCCACCACTAACCTCTACTCAAGCCAGCATCTTCTGCTATCAGTGCCCTGAAGTGATGTGAGAGCTGAAGGGGCAACAGGAACCTCCAAAGAAGCACAGCTCAGGCTCTAGTTGAGTGAGAAAAACGTGCTCCTTCTTAGGGGAAGGCAGCTTCTGATGTGGACTTCCTTTTGACAGCAGACACCACCATCCTATTTGAGACCATCTGGATCACCACTCCCCATACAACTGTTCATAAGACCGCAAAAAGGCAAATGGATCTCTGGACATCTGATAGGGTGGTGATGTGAAATGGATCACCCTCACCTTTACCTATACTTTGGTGTGGTCAAATATAGAATGAGAACTCTGGTTCTATCACAGAAAACCTCTGGAGCAAATGAAATCTCAAGAGAGAAGGATGGGGAGATGGGACAGGTGGGACAGATTTTGATGATAAGTTCTTTAGTATTTAGGGATATATTTTAATGTTAAGCATTATAAGTACCTCATTTTTATAAGGAGTGTATTTTAAAATTTAAAGTATATTGCTCTGGAAACAGTTAAGCCAAAACTTTGCATATATGCGAGAAATATAGTGCATAAACATGCTAAGTCAGTGTTCAAACATTTTGGCTGATATTTTCTAATTTGCATCTTTCATCATATAACTTGTGTCAGGCCTCTGAGCCTAAGCCAAGCCATCGCATCCCCTGTGACTTGCACATATACGCCCAGATGGCCTGAAGCAACTGAAGAATCACAAAAGAAGTGAATATGCCCTGCCCCACCTTAACTGATGACATTCCACCACAAAAGAAGTGTAAATGGCCGGTCCTTGCCTTAACTGATGACATTACCTTGTGAAAGTCCTTTTCCTGGCTCATCTTGGCTCAAAAATCACCCCCACTGAGCACCTTGCGACCCCCCCACTCCTGCCCGCCAGAGAACAAACCCCCTTTGACTGCAATTTTCCTTTACCTACCCAAATCCTATAAAACGGCCCCACCCTTATCTCCCTTTCCTGACTCTTTTCGGACTCAGCCCGCCTGCACCCAGGTGAAATAAACAGCCATGTTGCTCACACAAAGCCTGTTTGGTGGTCTCTTCATACAGACGCGCATGAAATTTGGTGCCGTGACTCGGATCGGGGGACCTCCCTTGGGAGATCAATCCCCTGTACTCCTGTTCTTTGCTCCGTGAGAAAGATCCACCTATGACCTCAGGTCCTCAGACCGACCAGCCCAAGGAACATCTCACCAATTTTAAATCAGGTAAGTGTCCTCTTCTTACTCTCTTCTCCAACCTCTCTCACTGTCCCTCAACCACTTTCTCCTTTCCACTCTTCAATCTCTCCCTTTTCTTAATTTCTATTCCTTTCATTTTCTGGGAAAGACAAAGGAGACACATTTTATCCATGGACCCAAAACTCCTGCGCCGGTCACGGACTGGGAAGGCAGCCTTCCCTTGGTGTTTAATCATTGCAGGGACACCTCTCTGATTATACACTCACGTTTCAAGGGTGTCAGACCACACAGGGACACCTGCCTTGGTCCTTCACCCTTAGCAGCAAGTCCCGCTTTTCTGGGGAAGGGGCAAGTACCCCAACCCCTTCTCTCCTTGTCTCTACCCCTTCTCTGCTTTTCTGGGACAGGGGCAAGTACCCCTCAACCCCTTCTCCTTCACCCTTAGCGGCAAGTCCCGCTTTTCTATGGGGTAAGAACCCCCAATCCCTTATTTCCGTGCCCCAACCTCTTATATCTCTGCACCCCAATCCCTTATTTCCGCACCCCAACCTCTTATCTCTGTGCCCCAACCCCTTTTCCCACTTTTCTGGAAGGTAAGAACCCCCGAACCCCTTCCCTCCATTTCTCTACTCTCTCTTTTCTCTAGGCTTGCTTCCTTCACTATGGGCAACCTTCCACCCTCCATTCCTCCTTCTACTCCCTTGGCCTGTGTTCTCAAAAACTTAAAACCTCTTCAACTCACACCTGACCTAAAACCTAAATGCCTTATTTTCTTCTGCAATGCCGCTTGACCCCAATACAAACTCGACAGTAGTTCCAAATAGCCAGAAAATGGCACTTTGAATTTTTCCATCCTGCAAAATCTAAATAATTCTTGTCGTAAAATAGGCAAACGGTCTGAGATGCCTGACATCCAGGCATTCTTTTACACATCAGTCCCTCCCTAGTCTCTGTGCCCAGTGCAACTCGTCCCAAATCTTCCTTCTTTCCCTCCCGCCTGTCCCGTCAGTACCAACCCCAAGCGTCGCTGAGTCTTTCTAATCTTCCTTTTCTACAGACCCATCTGACCTCTCCCCTCCTCCCCAGGCTGCTCCTCGCCAGGCTGAGCTAGGTCCCAATTCTTCCTCAGCCTCTGCTCCTCCACCCTATAATCCTTTTATCACCTCCCCTCCTCACACCTGGTCCGGCTTACAGTTTCTTTCCTTGACTAGCCCTCCCCCACCTGCCCAGCAATTTACTCTTAAAAAGGTTCCTGGAGCTAAAGACATAATCAAGGTTAACGCTCCTTTTTCTTTCTCCCAAATCAGAAGTGTTTAGGCTCTTTTTCATCAAATATAAAAATCCAGCCCAGTTCATGGCTCGTTCGGCAGCAACCCTGGGACACTTTACAGCCCTAGACCCTAAAAGGTCAAAAGGCCGTCTTATTCTCAATATACATTTTATTACCCAATCTGCTCCTGACATTAAATAAAACTCCAAAAATTGGAATCTGGCCCTCAAACCCCACAACAGGACTTCATTAACCTCACCTTCAAGGTGTACAATAACAGAAAAAAGTTGCAATTCTTTGCCTCCACTGTGAGACAAACCCCAGCCACATCTCCAGCACACAAGAACTTCCAAACGTCTGAAACGCAGCAGCCAGGCATTCCTCCAGAACCTCCTCCCCCAGGAGCTTGCTACACATGCTGGAAATCTGGCCACTGGGCCAAGGAATGCCTGCAGCCTGGGATTCCTCCTAAGCCACGTCCCATCTGTGTAGGACACCACTGAAAATCGGACTGTTCAACTCACCTGGCAGCCACTCCCAGAGCCCCTGGAACTCTGGCCCAAGGCTCTCTGACTGACTCCTTCCCAGATTTTCTCAGCTTAGCAGCTGAAGACTGACGCTGCCGGATCGCCTCGGAAGCCCCCTAGACCATCACGGACGCCGAGCTTCCGGTAACTCTCACAGTGGAAGGTAAGCCCGTCCCCTTCTTAATCAATACAGAGGTTACCCACTCCACATTACCTTCTTTTCAAGGGCCTGTTTCCCTTGCCTCCATAACTGTTGTAAGTACTGATGGCCAGGCTTCTAAACCTCTTAAAACTCCCCAAC
This sequence comes from Homo sapiens, assembly GCF_000001405.40. NCBI lineage: Eukaryota > Metazoa > Chordata > Mammalia > Primates > Hominidae > Homo > Homo sapiens. Next base: position 10,335,973 of record NC_000012.12, on the reverse strand, counting down.
TCTGGTGCCAACTTAGACAATACTCTTTCAAGCACTCCTTTTTAGTTATCCCCACCTGCCCAGTTCCCTTATTAGGCTGAGACACTTTAACTAAATTATCTGCTTCCCTGACTACTCCTGGATTACAGCTATATCTCATTGCCGCCCTTCTTCCCAATCCAAAGCCTCCTTTGCGTCCTCCTCTTGTATCCCCCCACCTTAACCCACAAGTATAAGATACCTCTACTCCCTCCTTGGTGACCGATCATGCACCCCTTACCATCTCATTAAAACCTAATCACCCTTACCCCACTCAACGCCAATATCCCATCCCGCAGCACGCTTTAAAAAGATTAAAGCCTGTTATCACTCGCCTGCTACAGCATAGCCTTTTAAAGCCTATAAACTCTCCTTACAATTCCCCCATTTTACCTGTCCTAAAACCAGACAAGCCTTACAAGTTAGTTCAGGATCTGCGCCTTAGCAACCAAATTGTTTTGCCTATCCACCCTGCAGTGCCCAACCCGTACACTCTTTTGTCCTCAATACCTTCCTCCACAACTCACTGTTCCGTGCTTGATCTTAAAGATGCTTTTTTCACTATTCCCCTGCACCTCTCGTCCCAGCCTCTCTTCGCTTTCACTTAGACTGACCCTGACACCCATTAGGCTCAGCAAATTACCTAGGCTGTACTGCTGCAAGGCTTAGTAGACAGCCCCCATTACTTCAGTCAAGCCCAAATTTCATCCTCATCTGTTACCTATCTCGGCATAATTCTCATAAAAACACACGTGCTCTCCCAGCTGATTGTGTCCCATTAATCTCCCAAACTTCAATCCCTTACAAAACAACTCCTTTCCTTCCTAGGCATAGTTAGTGAGGTCAGAATTCTTACACAAGAGCCAGGACCACACCCTGTAGCCTTTCTGTGCAAACAACTTGACCTTACTGTTTTAGCCTAGCCCTCATGTCTGCATGCAGCGGCTGCCGCTGCTTTAATACTTTTAGAGGCCCTCAAAATCACAAACTATGCTCAACTCACTCTCTACAGTTCTCATAACTTCCAAAATCTATTTTCTTCCTCATACCTGACGCATATACTTTCTGCTCCCCGGCTCCTTCAGCTGTACTCACTCTTTGTTGAGTCTCCCACAATTACCGTTGTTCCTGGCCCAGACTTCAATCCAGCCTCCCACATTATTCCTGAGACCACACCTGACCCCCATGACTGTATCTCTCTGATCCACCTGACATTCACCCCATTTCCCCAAATTTCCTTCTTTCCCGTTCCTCACCCTGATCACGCTTGATTTATTGATGGCAGTTCCACCAGGCCTAATCGCCACACACCAGCGAAGGCAGGTTATACTATAGTACAAGCCACTAGCCCGCCTCTTAGAACCTCTCATTTCCTTTCCATCGTGGAAATCTATCCTCAAGGAAATAACTTCTCAGTGTTCCATCTGCTATTCTACTACTCCTCAGGGATTATTCAGGCCCCCCCCCCCTTCCCTATACATCAAGCTTGAGGATTTACCCCCACCCAGGACTCGCAAATTAACTTTACTCAACATGCCCTGAGTAAGATAACTAAAATGCCTCTTAGTCTAGGTAGATACTTTCACTGGATAGGTAGAGGCCTTTCCTACAGGGTCTGAGAAGGCCACCGCAGTCATTTCTTCCCTTCTGTCAGACATAATTCCTCAGTTTAGCCTTCCCACCTCAATACAGTCTGATAACAGACGAGCCTTTATTAGTCAAATCAGCCAAGCAGTTTTTCAGGCTGTTAGTATTCAGTGAAACCTTTATATCACTTATATTACCAACTTAAAAAGGACTGGACAATACTTTAACCACTTTCCCTTCTCAGAATTCAGGCCTGTCCTCAGAATGCTACAAGGTACAACCCATTTAAGCTCCTGTATAGACGCTCCTTTTTATTAGGCCCCAGTCTCATTCCAGACACTAGACCAACTTAGACTGTGCCCCAAAAAACTTGTCATCCCTACTATCTTCTGTCTAGTCATACTCCTATTCACCGTTCTCAACTACTCATACATGCCCTGCTCTTGTTTACACTGCTGGTTTGCACTGTTTCTCCAAGCCATCACAGCTGATATCTCCTGGTGCTATCCCCAAACTGCCACTCTTAACTCTTGAAGTAAATAAATAATCTTTGCTGGCAGGACTATTCTGAATCTCCTTAGGCACTCTCTAATCGGATATCCTGAGTCGTCCCAATTCTTAGATCTTTTATACCTGTTTTTCTCCTTCTGTTATTCCATTTAGTTTCTCAATTCATCCAAAACCGTATTTAGGCCATCACCAATCATTCTATACGACAAATGTTTCTTCTAACATCCCCACAATATCACCCCTTACCACAAGACCTCCCTTCAGCTTAATCTCTCCCACTCTAGGTTCCCACGCCACCCCTAATCCCACTTGAAGCAGCCCTGAGAAACATCGCCCATTCTCTCTCCATACCAACCCCCAAAAATTTTCACTGCCCCAACACTTCAACACTATTTTGTTTTATTTTTCTATTAATATAAGAAGGCAGGAATGTCAGGCCTCTGAGCCCAAGCCAAGCCATCGCATCCCCTGTGACTTGCACATGTACGCCTAGATGGCCTGAAGTAACTGAAGAATCACAAAAGAAGTGAATATGCCCTGCCCCACCTTAACTGATGACATTCCACCACAAAAGAAGTGTAAATGGCTGGTCCTTGCCTTAACTGATGACATTACCTTGTGAAAGTCCTTTTCCTGGCTCATCCTGGCTCAAAAAGCACCCCCACTGAACACCTTGCAACCCCCCCACTCCTGCCCGCCAGAGAACAAACCCCCTTTGACTGTAATTTTCCTTTACCTACCCAAATCCTATAAAACGGCCCCACCCTTATCTCCCTTTGCTGACTCTCTTTTCAGACTCAGCCCGCCTGCACCCAGGTGAAATAAACGGCCATGTTGCTCACACAAAGCCTGTTTGGTGGTCTCTTCACACGGACGCGTGTGAAATTTGGTGCCAAAACCCGGGTACATCTTCCTGAATCAGGCTTCTGAGAACTGTTCCACTTTGCAGTCCTGTTGGATCTATATCTTGAGAAATAAATTAAAGAGCTTTTCCCTCCACAGTGACTCTTCGTATATTTGTAAACAAGTTTGGTTTTATTTGTTTTAATCATTTTGATTGAAATGTAGAACTAGAAACAAAATGATGGTGTCAAAAATAGTTTATTAGTTGTTAAGTTTTTAGGGAGTCAAAAGTTATATATGGATTGTCAACTGCAGAGGAGGTCAGTGGTCCTAATGCCCACATTGTTCAAGGTTGACTGTATGTGTGTAGACGTATATTTTTTTCTAGTTAAGGAGATAGCCATACAGTTTTACTTTTCTCATGAGCTTTATTTGTTCAATTTTTGTGAATGTTTCAGGTGCATTTGGAAAAAAATATATTTTATATTATCAGTGCATAGTGATCAATATGTATTCAAAATATCTGCTATACTATCTTATTTAGATCTTCCGGAAAATAACTTATTTTTGCCCACACTTTCTGCCTTATATTGAGAGTGGTATATTAAAATCACCCTGTATTAATATGTTATGGTCTTTTTTTTTCTTGCATCTCTTGTAATTTGTATTTTATATAAATAATCAGTGTATTAATTACTACATAAATTCTTAACTATGTACTCTTCATTGCAGTATGTAGATTTTAATATTATACAACATCTTTCTTTGCCTCATTTAGTTCTGTTTTTATGTCTACTTCTTTGGCATCAGAATTGCAACCCCTTTCTTATTGCTAACATTCATCTTGTAAATCTTTGTTCATTATTTTACTGTGGTATACTATTACCTCTCACAGTTCAACTCCTGTTTCATACCAACCTTATTATTTTTTTGGCATTTGTGGTCTTGTTTTTATGATTGCGTTAGAATGTCTAATTCAATTTGCAGTGTTTATTACACTTTTCATCTGCTTAGTGGTTGTTTCCTTTTTTGAGTGAGTGATTTTTCAAAAGAAAAATATTTTTATTTACATTATCTGAAGTTTTAAAGAGGTTTCACATAAATATGGTCTGTTTTTTCCTATTCCTGTTTCGTGGACAAGGAACCTAGTTAGAGAGCTCCCTCTTCTGTCAGTTCTGTCCTATTCAGCATAGTGTCCTCTATGGGTGGTGGTGATGATGGGATTGGGAAGGGCAAATGATAGTCATGTCTTTTTTCTCTTTCCTTTCTGCAGGATTCTTAAGTCCCTCACATTACTTATTTGCTTTGATAGTCACATTTCTAAGGAGTGTCACTCCTTTATTTTCTGCTTCTCTCCAAGAAACCATTGTTTTCCTTTCCAAGTTTTCCACTTCTGGTCTTCAGTTTCAAGCCTTTTCCCAGTACTATGAACTACCAAGTCCAAAATTGTGTTAAGTATTCTGGCATTGATTGTTGAAGTTTTATCTTTCAGGGTTTATTGTATCTGTGATTCATTTATGTCCTCTAGTCTTCTCTTCTGAGTATGTTAAAGACTAATCTCCCTATCCTGCACCGCAGGTATTCAGTGGTAGGCAGGAGCGAGTGTTCTTTTGCAATATTTTTTCTCTATTTATAGGTAATTTGAAGGTTGTGGTACTCTATGTGTCCTAGAGATGTTGAAAGGATAAGGTATTATGTGGTTTTATTTGCTTTTCTTATTAATTTTATGAGTTTGGGGGAGAGATAGGAGATATCTGGGATTAGACAACCATCTCTGCAACGTGAGAAACTGAGGATTTAGCTACTGTTATTTGTTAAAGTGCCCTTTCTCTTAAATCCTTACTCTGAAATCTATTTCATACTTCAAACCTGTCAAAGGTTGTATGGAAGACTTATTATAAGCTCTCAATAAATAAAAATTCTAAAATGTTAACCTCAGGTGACTGTGTTCTTAATGTACAGGCTTACTTTCTTGTAGCCTGTCTGTGTAATTTATTTAGTATTTTAACAAACAGCTGTCACCTATGTTGGCTGAAAAAATGCAAGTCTAACCATTTTAATGTTGGAGCAATTAAAACCATGTATGAAAAAAATATTACATTGGATTTTACAACATATGTGCATCATAGCTAGAAACACTTCTAAGAATATATTTAAGAAAACCTCAGTTGGCGAGTAGAAAATATCAGAAAGCCTACTTAGTACTATATGGGATTGTGTTATCATAGCTCATACAGGATGTTTGGTGGCGTTGTGTACAGTGGTATTTGTTCTCTCCATCATGAGGTAACTCCAGCCACAATTTTTTCCATTTACGCATGGTAATGTTTTGTCCATTTAAGATGCAATTAAATTTCATTGTATTGTATTCCAGTTTAGAAATACAGCAAATGTTTTTATATATACATTAAATTTAAAATATATACATATACATACACATAAATTATAAATATGTATCTTATTTTTATATATTTAAATTATAAAATAAATGGTGGAGTAAAATTAGCAAGATGACAGAGTGGGAAGCCCTGGTCTCTTTTCTCTCTACAAATGCACCAATTCAACTAAAAATTCATAGACAAATTTTCTTTGTGGGAAATTAAGAAACTAGTTGAGATGCTCCAATGCTGTTGGTGAAACTACTCATGTTGAAGCCTTAGGGAAATCTAAGGTACACTCCTTCCCTAATTCCTGCCCCCAGCACAGTGCCAAAAAACCAGGGAGAAACTCCCCTGCTCCCAGCTTTGCTCTTGGTTAATAAATGATGGATGGCATGTCCAATTCCCCAATTTTTCCAGGGGCTACTCCTAAGACTGGCTTCTCTCTAGCCTGTCTCAGTGTACTGATAGAACCAAGCATAGCCTGGCTGCGTGGGACCAGCAAGAACATAGATGGTGGGGTGAGCTGGCAGTTTCAACCACTCCTTGGATCAAGATGGAGTGAGTGGACCAAAACCTTTAACTCTCAGCTTCTCCTTGGGGGAAAAAGTTGAACTAAACAACTGATAATCCATATTTTCTGGAGATTGCCTGAGGAGCTAGCTTTATTCCTGTTTATCTCAGAGCACTGACAGGACCTGGGATATTCTAGATGCCTGGAATCTACCAAGAAAAAAAGAAAGCCAGTTGGACTAGCATGAAGGTTGAAGAAGACTGCAAAAATCCTTCGCCAAATAATAACTAAAAGACAACAAAAAATGCCTTTACTGATATTATAAAAAATAGACTTTAAGTCAAAAATTGTCACAAGAAAAAAAGAAGGATATTACATAATGATAAAGGCGTCAATTCACATTGGAGGATACAATAATTTTAAATATATATGCACCCAACATCAGAGTATCTAAAGGTATAAAGCAAACATTGACTGAACTTAAGGGAGAAATAGATAGCAATACAATAACAGTAGGAGATTTCAGTGCTCACTTTTAATAATGGATAGAACAACCAAACATAAAGGCAACAAAGACCCAGATGACCTGATCAACACTGCAAGTCAAGTCACCTACAGACATGTGCAGAACATTCCATCCAACAGCAGCAGAGTATACATTCTTCTCAAGTGCACATGGATCATTCTGCAGGATAGATCATATGTTAGGTCATAAAAGAAGTCTTAAGAAAATTAAGAAAATTGAAGTCATATCAAGTATCTTTTACAGCATCAAGGGAATGAAACTAGAAATCAGTTGCAAAAGGAAAACTAATAAATATGTGATAATTTAACAATACATTTTTGAACAACCAATCTGCAAAGAATAAATCAAAAGGGAAATTTAAAAACACATTAGAATAAATGAAAACAAAAATAAAGTCTAACAAAACTTATGGGATGTAGTAAAAGTAGGGCTAAAAGAAAAGTTTATAGTGATGAATATCTGCATTAAGAAAAAAGAAAGGTCTCAAACAATGCACTTTATACCTTGATATGGTTTGGCTGTGTCCCCACCCAAATCTCATCTTGAATTGTAGCTCCCATAATTCCCCCATGTTGGTGGAGGGACCCAGTGGGAGATAATTGAATCATGGGGGTGGTTTCCCCCATACTGTTCTCATGGTAGTGAATCAGTCTTATGAAATCAGATGGTTTTATAAGGGGAAACCCCCTTTGGCTTGGCTTTCATTCTCTCTTGTCTGCCGCCATGTGAGACATGTGTTTTACCTTCTGCCATGATAGTGAGGCCTCCCCAGCCACGTGGAACTGTGAGTCCATTAAACCTCTTTTTCTTTACAAATTACCCAGTCTCTCAGTTAAGTCTTTATCAACAGTGTGAAAATGGACTAATACATATCCCAAGCAACTAGAAATGTAGAAAAGAACAAACAAAGTTCAAATTTAGAAGAATAAAGAAAATAATAAAGATTAGTTCAGAAATAAAATAGTGAATGGAAAGGATATATAAAAAGTAAACAAAACTAAGAGTTAGTTTTTGGAAAATATAAATAACTTGACAAACCTTTAGCTAGACTAAGAAAAAGAAGAGAGGCCTTAAATAAATGAAATCAGAAATAAGACATTGCAACTGATGCCACAGAAATATAAAAGATGGTAAGAGACAACTAAGAACAATTATAGGCCAACAAATTGGATAACCTAGAAGAAATGAAAAAATTCACAAAGACAAGGACCTACCAAGACTGAATTATGAAGAAATAGAAAATATGAGCGTATCTATAACTAGAATGAAGATTGAATCAGTAATCAAGAAACTTACAACAAAAAAATTCCCAGGACAAGATGGCTCTTCTGGTGAAGCCACCAAATATTTAAGGAGAAATTAATGGCCATCTTTCCCAAGCTATTATATAAAAATTTAAAAAGAATAAATACTTTCAAACTAATTTTATGTGGCCAGCATTACCATTACACCAAAGCTTGTCAAAGATACCACAAGAAAACTATAAGCCAATATGTCTAGTAAACGTAGATGCAAAAATCCTCAACAAAGTAGTAGCAAAATTAATTCAACAGTACACTAAAAGGAGTATATGCCATAAGCAAGTGGCATTTATCCCTGGGGTGCAAGGATAGCCTAACATACAAAATCAATTAATGTAATATACCACATTAATAGAATGAAGGATAAATGTCACCTGTGCATCTCAATAGATTCAGAAAAAAAGTTTTCACAAAATTTAATACCCATTTTATGATGATAACTCCTGCCAACCTAGAATTTGAGAAAAATATTTCAACATTTTGAAGGCCCTATATGTAAAGTGCATAGCTAATATCATGCTATGGAAAAAGCTGAACTTTTCCTCTGACATCAGAAACATGGCAAGGATGTTTGCACTTGCCATTTCTATTTAACCCTTGTCCTACTTAAAGCTCTTAGGCAAGGAAAAGAAATTAACAACATACAGATTGTAAAAGAAGAAGTACAATGGTCCCTGTTTGCCTATGGCATGCTCTAAAGAATCCACAAAAAAGCCTCCTAAAACCAAGTAAAGTTGCAGGGTACAAAATCAACATGCAAAAATCCTCCTATATTCATTTATTAAAAGACTTCATATAGTTAAAATATTTGTATTTCACAATGTGATCTGCAGATTTAGTGCAATACCTATCAAGACCTCAATGGCATTTTAGAATTAGGAAAACAATGATACTAAAATATACATGGAACCACAAAAAGCCCTGAATAGCCAAACAAATCTTGAGCAAGAAACAGAAGGCCAGAGGCCTCAAACTTCCTGATATCAAAATATATTACAAAGCTACAATAATTGAAACAATATGGCACTGGCATAAAGATGAACATATAGACCAATTAAACAGATTGGAGAACTTGGGAATAAACTTTGCAAATATGGTTAAACGGTCTTTGGGTGGCAGGACTATTTAAGGGGAAATGACAGTTTCTTCAACAAACAGTGACGGGAAAAATGAACATCCATATTGCAAAGAAATTGCTTATCTTACACCATATGCAAAAATAAATTTCAAATGGATTAAAAGCCTAAATGTAAGTACTGAAAATGTAAAGCCCTTCAAAGAAAACATAGAGGAAAACCTTTTGACATTGGTTTTGGCAATGATATCATCAATCTGACACCAAAAGCACAGGCAACAAAAGCAAGAATAGACAAGTAGGACTATAGCAAACAAACAGCTTGTTCGCATCAAAGGTGTGAAAGGAAAATATCTTGGGCCCCCAAAATCACTCAACAAAAGGGAAAATTCAAGCTGGGAACTGCTTAGGGCAAAACTGCCTCCCATTCTATTCAAAGTCATCTCTTTGCTCACTGAGATAAATACGTATCTGATTGCCTCCTTTGGAAAGGCTAATCAGAAACAAAAAGATGCAACCATTTGTCCCTTACCTGTGACCTGGGAGCCCCCCATTCTATTCAAAGTCATCTCTTTGCTCACTGAGATAAATGCATATCTGATTGCCTCCTTTGGAAAGGCTAATCAGAAACAAAAAGGTGCAACCATTTGTCTCTTACCTGTGACCTGGAAGCCCCCTCCTTGCTTCCAGTTGTTTCACTTCTGCTTTGAATTGTCCCACCTTTCTAGACCAAACCACTGTTCATTTTACATATGTTGATTGATGTCTCATGTCTCCCTAAAATGTATAAAACCAAACTGTGCCCTGACCACCTTGGGCACATGTCAGCAGGACCTCCTGAGGTGAGGCTGTGTTATGGGCATATGTTCTCAACCTTTGCAAAATAAACTTTCTAAATTAACTGAGACCTGTCTCAAATTTTCAGGGTTCACAAAGGAAATAACCAATGGAATGAAAGGATGATCTACAGAATGGGAGAAAATAATTGCAAATCATATATCAGAAAAGGAGTCAATATCCAAAACATATAAAGAACTCCTACAACTCAATATTAAAAAAAACACAAGTAACCCAATTAAAAAATGTATCAAAGACTTGAATGGTCATTTCTTCATAAAAAACATACAAAGGGTCAATGGGCATATGAAATGATGCTCAATATCACTAATCATCAGGGAAATGCAAATTATAACCACCAAATATCATCTCTCACTTATAAGGATGGCTATTATCAAACAAATGAAAGACAAGTGTTGAGAAGTACGTGGGGTAATTAGACCCCTTGAACACTTTGGTGGGAATGAAAAATTGTGCTGCTTCTGTGGAAAACAGGATGGTGATTTCTCAAAAAATTAAAAATAGAACTACCATATGATCCACCAATCCCCTTTCTGGGTAATTATGCAAAAGAATTGAAATAAGAATCTCAAAGAAATATTAGTATACTACTGTCCATTGCTATACTAGTCACAGTAGCCAATGTGTACATACACATACAATAGAATATTATCCAGCCTTAAAAATGAAATCCTGCAATATGTAACAATGTGGATGAAACTTGAGGACATTATGCTAAATGAAATAAACAAGTCACAGGATAAATACTATATGATTCCACTTACGTGAAATATCTAAAGTGGTCAAGCTTATAAAATCAGAGAATAGAATGGTGGTTGCCAGGAATGGAGAGAGGAAAAAATGGGACGTCGTTAATCAAAGGGCATAAAGCCTCAATTATGCAAGATGAATAAATTATAGAGATCTACTATACAACATTGTACCTATTGTTAATAATACTGTACTGTAGACTTGAAAATTTGTTAAGAGGATAGATCTTATGTTGTATTTACCTCAATAAAATAAAATTTTAAAAAATTAGCAAAGCATCTGCAAAGATACGTAAAAAAGATAACATGAACAACTGAGGTTTATAACTGGGAAATAAAAACTATCTGATTTCAATCGAGGCAGAATAAAACATTTAATAAAAGCATATGTCATATGTACTCCTTATAAAAATTCTCATCAGACTAGGAATAGGAGGGAACTTTCTCAACCTAGTAAAGGTCATTTATGAAAATCCTACAGCTAAAATTAAGTATAAAGGTAAAAAAAGTGAATATTCATGCTCTAAGATCAATAGCAAAACAAGGGTGTTTACTCACCACTTGTATTCAACTTTGTGTTGAATATTCTGGCCACTGTGACAAGGTGATAAAAAGAATTAAAGGCACACAGTTTTCAAAAGAAAGAGGTAAAAACTGTCTTTATTCATCTATGCAGATAACCCAATGAAATCTACAGAAATGCTGCTAGGATAAGTGAATTTAGGCAGGTTAAACAATAAAAGATACACTTAGAATCAACTGTGTAAATGAATATATATATATATATATATATATACACACACACACATATACATATATACTTACAATTTTAAAATAAAACATTTGAAATTAGAAAATAAAATGTATAATAGCTTTAAAAACAATAGACTACTTTGGGGAAATCTCATAAAAACATAAAAGGCCTGAATATTAAAAACTACAAAACATTACTGAGTATAACTTAAGTATATTGAGACAATGGACTAGGTAAAGAAAATGTGGTACATATACACCATGGAATACTATGCAGACATAAAAAAGAAAAAAATCATGTCCTTTGCAGGAACATGGATAGAACTAGAGGCCATTATCCTAAGCAAATCAATGGAAGAACAGAAAACCAAAAACCACATATTCTCCCTTATAAGTGGGAGCTAACCATGGAGTACACAGGCACACAAAAAAAGGAAACAATAGACACTGGGGCCTACTTGGGGGGGAGAGGGAGAAGGATGAGGATAGAAAAACTGCCTGTCAGGTACTATGCTGATTACCAGGATGACAAAATTATCTGTACACCAAACCACTGCAACATGCAATGTACTCATATAAGAAGCCTACATATATACCCTGAACCTAAAACGAAAGCCAGAAGGAAAAAATTAAGCATATTGAGGTACAAGAAACATACTTTACTCAAGGATCAGAAGACTCTCAGAAGTAAAAAGGAATCGGCTGGATGTGGTGGCTCACGCCTGTAATTCCAGCACTTTGGGAGGTCAAGGCAGGTGGAGCAGTTGAGGTCAGGAGTTCAAGACAAGACTGGTCAACATGGTGAAACCCCGTCTCTACTAAAAATACAAAAATTAGCTGGGCGTGGTGGTGGGCATCTGTAATCTCGGCTACTGGGGAGGCTGAGGCATGAGAATAACTTGAACCCAGGTGGTGAAGGTTGCAGTGAGCTGAGATCACACCACTGCACTCTAATCTGGGTGACAGAGCAATACTCAGTCTCAAAAAAAAAAAAAAAGGAAAGAAATAAGAAATAAAAGGGAATTAACTATTGATACATGTATCAACATAGATGAGTATAAAAACTATTATGATGCTGAATGAAAAATCTAGAACACAGATGTACATATTATATGATTCTATCTATATAAAACATAGAAAGGCAAATCTATAGTAACAGAATATTCATCTGTGAGGGGAGGAGCAAGAGGAAGTATTTTATACATAGGGGAAAGGATACTTTTGAGGTTAGTAGGTGTTTTATATATTGCTGAGGTGATGGTTTCACAGATGCATAGATATGGAAATACATCAAATGTCATACTTTAAGCATATAAAGTATGCTTAAAGTATCTCAATTATACTGCAACAGCGCTGTTAAAAATAAATAATGGCTAAAAGCTTAAACAAGCACTACATAGAAGGGGATATAAAAATGAAAAAAAAAGATGAGGGATAAGCATCATTATTCATTTGGAAGATGGAAATTAAATGTACAATTGTATGCAAATGCATAGTATCCAGAAGGTCCTTAGACTAAAATAATTCATAATACTATGTATTGTCAAGAATACAGAGTAACACTCACATAAACTGCCAGTGAAATTATAAATAAGCTTTATGAATAAATTATCACTAGTTTTTAAAGCGTGAACTAAAGGGCCTAAATATATGACAGCTTATGACTTAGAAATTCAACTCCTAGGCGTACACTCAAAAGATATGAAGCCACATGTCCCACAAGAGCTATATTAAAATGTTTATAGCAATTTTACTCATAATAGTGAAAAGTGGAAATGACTCAAATGTTGAACAATATTAGAATAAATAAGCAAATTGTGATACATTCTTATGAATTCTACATGACAATAAAAGTGAGGAGCTACTGCTGCACGAATATATGGATGTATCTCACAGACGTAATGCTTAGCAACAGAAGCCACAAAGATCATACATGCTAAGCTTCCATTTATATGAAATTAAAGAACAGGCTAAATAAACCTATATTTTCAGAAATCAGAGTAGCAGTTTTCTTGGAACAGGGGAGACAGTATCAATTAGCAAACAGCAAGAGAGTCTTGGTGGTGGTAGGTAGTCTCTATTGCAATCTGGTAGTAATCGTGTAAGTGTAGACATAGCTTAAATGTTTACGAGTAAATTTAAGATAGGTATTCTTTATTGTGTTTTTGCTCAATTAAAATATATGAAGAGGTAAACTGTAATCAATGAAGTATTTAGTGTAAATGAGAAAATTAGTGAAGAAAAATTTCATGACGGCAGTTTGTGGAGCAGGTCTAGTAAGGTGCCAGTCCAAACAACAGCAGGTGGGTAAGAGCTCTTGGGAGGATATTTCCAATGAGAATAAAGTGACACTCATGGGTTATACAACATAATTGAGAACTAAAAAAACCAAAAAACAAAAAATTTTAATCTGGCAGAAGAGTTGTTTTTTATTGTATAAGGGTTATAACAATAGAACCTCAAAGAAGGAAATATAATCCTAGCTTACTATTGGGCTCTAAAATGTCCTCTATTTGGCCAGACACAATGGCTCATGCCTGTAATCCCAGCACTTCAGGAGGCCGAGGCAGGTGGATCACTTGAGGCCAGGAGTTGGAGACCAGCCTGGCCAACATGGCAAAACCTCATGTCTACTGAAAATACAAAAATTAGCCAGGCATGGTGGTGGGTGCCTGTAATCCCAGCTACTGGGGAGGCTGAGGCATGAGAATCGCTTGAACCAGCGAGGCAGAGGTTGCAGTGAGCCAAGACTGTGCCACTGCACTCCAGCCTGGGTGACAGAGTGAGACTCCATCTCAATAAATAAATAAATGTTCTCTATTCATGAGGTCATGATGATGAAGCATATTGTATCAGCTAACTACTATAAAGAACAAATTATCCTCAAACTCGTAAGCTTAAAACAACAAAATATTTCACTTCACAGTTTCTGAGGTCAGAAATCAAGAGCAACTGTGCTAGGTGGTTCTAGCTCAGGATCCCTCATGAGGTTGCAGTAAAAATGTAGGTTGGGTTGTATTTTCTAAGGCTTGACACTGGCTGAAGAGTTGAACCAAGGAGGCTCGTGCACAAGGCTGTCTACAAGATGGCTGCAGTTCCTTGCTAGCTGTTTATAGGAGGCCTCAGTTCTTTGCCACATGGAACGCTTAAAAGAGTTGCTCACGACAAGGTAGCTGGCTTCCACCAAATCAGATGATATGAGAAAGGGCAACGCCAAAGACATACTGTCTTTTATAATCTAGCCTCAAAAGTGATATGCGATAACTTCTGCCTTATTCTCTTGGTCACAGTGATCAACCCTTATACAATGTAATTGATTATATCAAAAGGGTTAAATTCCAAGAAACAGGGATCATTGGGAGCATATAGGAAGCTGTTTACAAGAGTCTAATCTTTGGCCCCAAATGATTTATGTCCCTCCCACATACAAAATCCACACCAACTGCCAAATCTCATTCCGTTACAATGTCAGTTCAAAGTCCGAAATTTGTCACATCCAGGTATGAGTGAGACTCATCAGGTGAAGTTCCTTAAGTTTAGCTTCTTGAGTATCATTTTTCTCCATGTGAAGGCTTGTGAAATTAACAATACTAGAGATTTCCTTCCCTTATACACTCAACATTCGAAAGAACAAACTATAGACATCCTTGTTCAAAAGAGGGAGGGGCATGAGAATTACAAAGGAGTCACTGATGCATAATAATTTAAAATCTAGCATAGCAAATGTCGGGACTCATTTGATTAGGACTCAGTCCTATTTCTGCTTATAAAATCACTCTTCATAACTCTTGGATCCACCTTACAGGCTCTTAGTTCTGTCCTTTGAATTATTCTTACTTTTGAATAAAAGGTAGCAATTCATTGTCAATTTTCTACTGACATAGTCATCTCAAAAGTGTTTTGAGGTTTTCTATGAACTCTATTTGTAAAAACCGCACACATAAATCTCTTCAATCTTCTCTCTACCTGGAGCTTCTGCTGAGATACCTGAGGGACAATACCCTGGGGCTTCCTAGAAGCCCTATTATTTGACCTTTATAGATCTTCATCTGACTGAATTGAGGCACTACTTGTGTTCTTTCTATGATATTTACAGGAAATTTCAGTCACACCCACACCTTCTTGTTTAGAATCATGCTTTCCTGAGAGCACTCTAGATTGGATCTTTGCTCAGAATCTATTTCTCAATTTTAGCATTTTTGACATGCTAACATTTGAGAGTCCAGGAATCTCAAAACTATCAAGTTCTGTCTTCTTTTGCTCAACAGCCCTTCCATTAGCTTATGTGTGTTCTATAGCATTGTAATATAAGTAGTAGGAAGAAATCAGACAAGATATTCAACACTCTAGTTGGAAATAAGTTTAGAGCATTCTCTTAAATCATTAAGTACATTTTCTACTTTCCACAATGCTACAGACAAAAGTGTTGCTAAACTTTCTGGTACTAAATAGAAAGATTTTTACTTTCTCCAGTTTCTAATATGTTTTCACTTCCCTACTATAAGCCCATACTAGAAGGTTTCAGTCTTTCCTGTCCTTTTGGCCTCCATCCACTGCCTGTTTTCAAGCACTCCAAAATTTTAGTGGTTTTTTTTTTTCTTTATAATAGTAACTTCATTCTTGGTACCAAAATATGTATTGATTATTGCTATGTGACACGTTAATATTTAGTGACTTAAAAGAATAAAAGTTATGTCTGGGCGCAGTGGCTCACGCCTGTAATCCCAGCACTTTGGGAGGGTGAGGTAGGCAGATCACCTGAGGTCAGGAGTTCAAGACCAGCCTGACCAACATGGTGAAACCCCGTCTGTACTAAAAATACAAAAAAATTAGCCAGGAGTGGTGGTGCACACCTGTAATCCCAGCTGCTCAGGAGGCTGAGGCAGGAGAATTGCTTGAATCCAGGAGGCAGAAGTTGCAGTGAGCCGACATGGCCCCACTGCACTCCAGCCCAGGTGACAGAGTGAGACTCTGTCAAAAAAAAAAAAAAAAAAAAGAATAAACACTTTACTATTTCACACAGCTTCTGAGAGTGAGGAATCCTCGAACAGCATAGCACGATGGACCTAGCTCAGGGTCTCTCATGAGGTTGCCGTCAAGGTGTTGGCTGGGGGCTGTAATCATCTGAAGGCTTGACTAAGACTGGAGCCTATACAAGCAAAGAAGGCTCATAGCATGGCTATTGGAAATAGACTTCAGTTCCTTGCTGGCTGTGTGTAAGAGTCTTCAGTTCCTTGCCGCATGGTCCTTTCAACAGGGCTGCTCATGACATTATAACTGGTTTTCCCCAGATCAAGTAATCTGGGAGAGAGGAAAAAGGAAGTCATACTATCTTTGATGACCTATTCTCAGAAATGAAATATCATCATTTCCACTTTATTTCATTGGTCACACAGA
This sequence comes from Homo sapiens, assembly GCF_000001405.40. Lineage (NCBI taxonomy): Eukaryota > Metazoa > Chordata > Mammalia > Primates > Hominidae > Homo > Homo sapiens. The sequence goes on along the minus strand of NC_000012.12, from coordinate 10,319,464 downwards.
GCAACCTTGATACAATGTGGAAAGAAATTCCACCAAGGCATGTATAGCACAAGGTGGGAATCATTGGTGAACATCTTGCAACTTGTCTATAACACATAATTTGTAGATTGTCACCCTTTAAAATGAACACAGATTGATAGTAACAGACATAACTGTTTTCATATAGCAAAATTTGTAAGTACATTTACAACTGGTAAGAAGTGACCTGGAAAAGAATAAAGCAGAGAGTAGAATTTATGGCCTTATATTCTCATCTTACATACTTGGGCACATGTTGGCAAACTATGGCCTGTGGACCAAATCTGTCTCACCATATGTTTTGTCAATAAAATTCTTTTGTAACACAGTCAAACCATTCATTTTTGTATTATTTATGTCTTCTTTAGCACCACCATGGCAAGGTTGAGAAGTTTCAACAGAGACTGGTCCACAAAGTTGAAAATATATGCTATAGAGCTTTTTGAGAAAAGTTTTTCAACCCCTGCGTTAGGATATAAAGAGAAAAGTTTCAGAAAGTCCAAAATTATAGAACTAACATTTCCAGGTGTAGATAACTGAAATGAATTATAAGGTTCTAATGAGCATACTTATGAAAAGCTTTTTTTTTTTTTTTTTTTTTGGAGACGGAGTCTCCTCTGTCACCCAGGCTGGAGTGCAGTGGCGCGATCTCAGCTCACTGTAAACTCCGTCTCCCGGGTTCTCGCCATTCTCCTGCCTCAGCCTCCCGAGTAGCTGGGACTACAGGTGCCTGTCACCACGCCTGGCTAATTTTTTTGTACTTGTAGTACACACGGGGTTTCACCGTGTTAGCCAGGATGGTCTCAATCTCCTGACCTCGTGATCCACCCGCCTCAGCCTCCCAAAGTGCTGGGATTACAGGCTTGAGCCACCGCGCCCAGCCATGAAAAACTTTTTAATAAGTGAAAGGAATATGATACCGTATGAGAAAGAGAATTCAAACAAGCAGTGTGGGACCAAGAGATATTTGCGCAAAGACACCATTCATCTCTGGATGAAACCTGATATTTGTGAGATGAAACTTGGTTTCATGAGAGCTGAAACTGAAATTTCTTGCAGTCTTTTATCTGTGTCTGGTCACACAGCAGAGACAAGATCTGTAATTATCTCATATGGAAGCTATCAATAAACAAATTGACCCTGGATTCCACTGAGGGATTTTGAACTTTAAAGAACTCACCATAAACCATTTGTTAGCTAGTTAGTTAGCCTACTACCCATATCATGGCCAAGAGTCAAAAACAGACACCTAGGCATCTCTGGAAATAAGCAAAGAGCTGTCCCAGTTCAGCTGTAAAATAACTCACTTTCTTATGCATGCAATATGAGAATACAGATGTCACTAACTGATATGGCTTGGCTGTGTCCCCACCCAAATCTCATCTTGAATTGTAGTGCCCCTAATCCTCACGTATCATGTGAGGGAACTGGTAGGAGGTAATTTAATCATGGGGGTAGTTACCTCTTTGCTGTTCTCATGATAGTGAGTGAGTTCTCACTAGATCTGATGATTTAATAAGAGGGTATTTTTCCTTTTGCTCAGCACGTCTCCTTTCTGCTGCCATGCGTAGAGGGATGTGTTTGCTTTCCCTTCTGTCATTACTGTAAGTTTCCTGAGGCTTCTCCAACCCTGCAGAACTGTGAGTCAATTAAATGTCTTTATTTTATAAATTTCCCAGTCTTGGGTATATCTTTAGTAGCAGCATAAGAACGGACTAATACACTAATGTTGTGGGTGAGCAACGGCTACCTGGGCCGGTGGCATTGAGGTAAAAGAATTTACCAAGACAGCTGTAGGTAAAGGAAGGCAGATTTATTAAAGAAAAGTAGGAAAATATGTTTCCAGGGAGGCAACAGGCAGCATCAGCAGAAGAAAAGCTGACTGCAAAGAAACAAAGGCTTGCTTAGGATTTTATGGAATAGTGTTTATGCTGTATGCTGCAGAGGGCTTTGTCCAGTACTGATAATGCCAAGGTTGCGGTGAGGTAACTTGCAGGTGTCTGGTAATAGTTTAGCACATGGCCCATATCCTGGACCATGAAGAAAGGCAGACTCATAGCTTATCTGCTTTCTCTTTCTGCTTTTCCCTGCTCCCGCCAGCCTAACTCCTTTTCCCTAATTAGGACTTCACAACTAACGGAGGAACTAATAATTAATGTATTGAGAAAAACAGAAAATAATTACTTGTCCTCACATGCACACGTATGTTTATTGCAGCACTATTTACCATAGCAAAGACTTGGAACCAACCCAAATGCCCATCAGTGATAGACTGGATAAAGAAAATATGGCACATATACACCATGGAATACTATGCAGCCATAAAAAGAATGAGTTCATGTCCTTTGCAGCGACATGGATGAAGCTGGAAACCATCATTCTCAGCAAACTAACACAGGAACAGAAAACCAAACACCACATGTTCTTACTAATAAGTGGGAGTTGAACAATGAGAACACATGGACACAGGGAGGTGAACATCACAGACCAAGGCCTGTCGGGGGGTGGGGGGCAAGGGGAGGAAGAGCATTAGGACAAATACCTAATGCATGTGGGACTTAAAACCTAGATGATGGGTCAATAGGTGCAGCAAACCACCTTGGAACATGTATACCTATGTAACAAACCTGCAGGTTCTGCACATGTAACCCAGAACTTAAAGTAAAATAAAATAAAATAATAATTACTTGTCCTAGCATATGGGAATCAAGGAACCAAAAGGCAGTGTTTAAATTATATAAACTGGCCGGGCACAGTGGCTTATGCCTGTAATTCCAGCCCTTTAGGAGGCCAAGGCGGGCAGAATCCTTGACCCCAGGAGTTCAAGATCAGCCTGGGCAACAATACAAAACCCCATTTCTACAAATGATACAAAAAATTAGCTGAGCATGATGGCTCGCACCTGAGTCCCAAGTACTCAGAAGGCTGAGGTGGGAGGATCCCTTGAGCCTGGGAAGTTGAAGCTGCAGTGAACCATGATTGCATCATTGCACTACAGCCTGGGCAATGGGAATGAAACCGTGTCTCAGAAAAAAAAATAATAAAAGTAAAAAATAAAATAAGTGGCATAAACTATGAAGTAGCAGTTGTAACATATTTTTAGGATTATGTGGGTACAGTAGGCATAACTCTAAAGTGGTTTCTAATTGGTACACCAGTGGCCTAGTGTACACCTGCATAATCCCTTCCCCTTTTGTTTGAGTAGGATTTGGGATTATGATGGGATGTTACTCCGTGGTTGGAGTACACTAAATAACAAAGGTGAGGCAGTTTTTCAGATGCAATTAAGGTTCCAAATCCTTTCATCTTTTTTTTTTTTTTTTTTTTTTGGAGAGGAGTCTGGCTCTGTCACCCAGGCTGGAGTGCAGTGGTGCAATCTCGACTCACTGCAACCTCCACCTCCTAGGTTCAAGCGATCCTCTCGACTCAGCCTCCCAAATAGCTGGGATTACAGGTGTGCACTACCACACCCAGCCAATTTTTGTATTTTTAGTAGAGACAGGGTTTCACCATGTTGGCCAGGCTGGTCTCAAACTCCTGACCTCAAGTGATCCACCCGCCTTGGCCTCCCAAAGTGCTGCGATTACAGGCATAAACCACCACACCCAGTCCAAATCCTTCCATCCTAAGTCAATCAAAATTAATTTTTTCATCACAAAAATGATGAAAATAGATCAGCTTTGATTCATAACAGAGAAAACCACTCTAAGTGTTAAAATCAAAACAGAAGATAATGCCTAATGAAAGGAGGTCAGGGGTATAGGATAGTTGGTGGAAAAAAATATTGATAATCATTACATGCTTGCCTGTATTATTTTAAATTTTTTAATTAAAAAATATATTATTTTGTAGTCACATGGACAACAAAACCAAAACATTACAAATCTCCAGAAAGTGCAATGCATAAGCTCTCTTAGTTCAAATTAAACATTTGAAAGATATTATTTTTCATCCTATATCTTTTGTCAGTTACCTGAAATGCATTTTTCCCAAATCAATCTTCATACAAGAATGTGAAGAGGGCCAGGGATGGTGGTTCACACCTATAATCCCAGCACTTTGGGAATCCAAGGTGGGAGAATCCCTTGAGGCCAGGAGTTCAAGACCAGCCTGGGCAACATAGCAAGACCTTGTCTTGACAAAAAATTAAAAATTAAAAATTAGTCGGGCATAGTGACATGGTGCCTGCAGTCCTAGCTACTTGGGAGGCTGAGTCAGGAGGATCACTTGAGCTTGCAATGAGCTATGATCTTGCCACTATGCTCCAGCCTGGGCAGTGTGAGTTAAATTTTATTTTCTAAATTTTATTTGATGTGAATTAAATCTTATTTAAATTTCTGCTGAGAATTAGCAAGAATGTAAATAAAATTACATAAATGTGTAATAAAACTACATTGAATTTAACATTAAATATATACATTAAATGAAAATACAAAATTCTTTATGTTAATTTTATAATTCTCAAATGTAGGTGAACGAATTTCATCAATTTTAAAACACATTGTTTCACATACATGACAATTGTATATGACACTGTTTAAAAACATTTTATAGACTCCAGAAGTAGACAATTAGTAATAATATAACATGCAACTGTATCATTGTTAGTAATGTTGGGTCTTTACTCTCCACCTTCTCTGCCCCAAGAAACATTTAAATGAGCTGTTGCTTACAGATATAACGATTTTTATCTTCACAGGATTCATCTAAAGCATTTCCATTTGGATTATACGCTATGCAGTTCTTTGTATTAAAAGTTTCAAATGATGGAAATCTGTAATGAAGAAGAAAATGTTCACATACACAAAAAGGAAGTAAGAATGTTCAGGGCATTTTTCAATTAAATGATATAAATTTTAAAAGCATTTGAGTGAGATACTAACATATTGAGTCCTTTTTTTTTCAGTAACCACAATTTTCATGATTTTCTAGTGTAATGCTACAAAATACCCAGTTATTTTCTCACTAATCAATAGCATTGAGGCCAGGGATTTTTTCCTTGCTGTTTTTCTGTTGTCATTAATGGTTTAAATATGTGATATGCTTTTCTTCTATTTTATTTAAGATGTATTATCTGATCTAGTCTAGGAAAACAAACCAGAGCATAAACTTTGTCCCTGTGTGATGCTGCAAATCTCATGTTTATAAATGAAAATGAGATTCAAAAAGTACACACATACAGACAATGAGTCTATAGTATATAAAACATAAGAGCATGCTGAGAATATTGGGGTCTACCAGAATAAATAAAATAATAAATATACTATTTTTTTGGACTGCCTCTGTGTATATGAGTATCTGTACATGCACATATACTTCCAAGTGCTGGTACTAAGGCAAAAATAAAGCATATGTTAAAAGTTCTTTTATGGCCACGAATACACTAAATTTCATGTCACTTGAGCATTAACTTGGATGCTCAAGCCACCATCCCTGGCCCTCTTCACATTCTTGTATGAAGATTGATTTAGGAAAAATGCACTTCAGTTAACTGACAAAAGATATAGGATGAAATATAATACCTTTCAAATGTTTAATTTGAACTAAGAGAGCTTATGCATTGCACTTTCTGGAGATTTGTAATGTTTTGGTTTTGTTGTCCATGTGACTACAAAATAATATATTTTTAATTAAAAAATTTAAAATAATACAGGCAAGCATGTAATGGTTATCAGTATTTTTTTGCACCAACTATCCTATACCCCGACCTCCTTTCATTAGGCATTATCTTCTGTTTTGATTTTAACACTTAGAGTGGTTTAGATCTGCCTAGATCTAAAATTGTTATTTTGTTGTACTTTTTCCTTTTACTGTATTCTCATGCCCTAGACAAGGTTATTTCAGCCACAGTGCTCCTGGATGTTACCTTTACTAGTCACATTTAAGGACAAATTCATAAAGAGCAAAAAACGCCATGATTGCCAGAAACTTACAGATACTGGGAGAGTGCAGAGCCATTCTCCCACAACCAGGCGGTGTGCTCCTCACTGTAAGAGAGTCCAATCCAGTAAAATTGTTGACTGGAGCTCATAAAATCCTGCTTCAAGTAAAAGACAATCACATTAATCTAATTTTAATCTATTCTGGGAATAACATATTTTGAGGGAAAGTCAGTGTTTAGAATAAGATTCAGCCTGTCCATCACACAAACGGAAATTATTTTTAACTTCCTATTTAAAAGGTATAATCACAAGACTGAAAGTTCTCATTTATCAGGCCCATTCATATATGGAGAAAAAATACCACAAAATCTCACTTCCTGAAGAATTAAAAACCTTCTAAAAGGAGATAGAGTTTTCATGGAACACTTTCTTCACGGGGGATCAAAGATTAAATTTGATTCCAAAATCATGGTATTGTGAAGGAGGAATCCCATGGGTATAATCTACTCAACCTATAATCCGCAAAGGTGCCACGTGCAGCAGGAGAAGTTTTTCGCTTTTTCTTTTTTCTTTTTGTTGAGAGGGAGTCTTGCTCTGTCGCCCAGGCTGGAGTGCAGTGGGACGATCTCAGCTCACTGCAAGCTCTGCCTCCCAGGTTCACGCCATTCTCCTGCCTCCGCCTCCCGAGTAGCTGGGACTACAGGCGCCCGCCACCACGCCCGGCTAATTTTTTGTATTTTTAGTAGAGACGTGGTTTCACCGTGTTAGCCAGGATGGTCTCGATCTCCTGACTGTGATCCGCCCTCCTCGGCCTCCCAAAGTGCTGGGATTACAGGTTTCAGCCACTGCGCCCGGCCGCACTTTTTCTTAAGAACTGGGTAATTAGGGGCCGGGCACGGTGGCTCACGCCTGTAATCCCAGCACTTTGGGAGGCAGAGGTGGGCAGATCATGAGGTCAGAAGATCGAGACCATCCTGGCTAACACGGTGAAACCGCGTCTCTACTAAAAATACACAAAATTAACTGGGCGTGGTTGTGGGCGCCTGTAGTCCCAGCTACTCGGGAGGCTGAGGCAGGAGAATGGCGTGAACCCGGGAGGAGGAGCTTGCAGTGAGCCAAGATCACGCCACTGCACTCCAGCCTGGGCGACAGAGCGAGACTCCATCTCAAACAAACAAACAAACAAACAAACAAAAAAGAATTGGGTAATTAGGGCCAGGCACGGTGGCTCATGCCTGTAATCCTAGCACTTTGGGAGGCCAAGGAGGGTAGATCACCCGAGGTCAGGAGTTCAAGACCAGCCTCGCCAATACGGTGAAACCCTGTCTCTACTAAAAATACAAAAAGTGCCAGGCCTGGTGGCAGGTGTCTGTAATCCCAGCTACTCAGGAGGCTGAGGCAGGAGAATCACTTGAACCCAGGAGGTGGAGGCTGCAGTGAGCTGAAATTGCACCAGTGCACTCCAGCCTGGGCAACAGAGTAAAACTCTGTCTCAAAAAAAAAAAAAAAAAAAGAAAAGAAAAGAATTGGGTACGTTTTCTTACCATATTTCCATACTAGCTTATATCCCAGAAAGATGACAAAAACTATAAAATTATAAAAGATATTATAAATTCAATTAAAAGAGTTAAGAATCACAGTCATTTAGTTGGTTCTTCAAATAAAATGGGTAAATATAATGACCTATTATCTTCTTTGAATTCTTCCTGAAAAGTTTCTTTCACTTTATTTGGCACCTATCTTGATTTGTATTCCCATGATATAATCATTAAGGAATTTAATAAAGATTTTACAATGACTACTTTAAGGTACACAGAACAGATAACTCAATTCCAATATAACCATCCACTTACTATGTGATTAATGACTTAAACCAAAGTATTTAACTTGTTTAGATAGTATATTTTTCTAGATCAAAGAAAATGTAGAAAATCAGACTCAGCACATGCCAGTTCATCTGTGTTTTGAAGCTGAAGCAGGCTGGATTTCTGAGAAGCACAGAGATGCCGACTTTCGTTCCAAGTTTTCTGTTCACTGGAAATGAAGTAACAGTTGCACCGGTACCCAACCCATTTTTCTTGGCAAGAACAGCAGTCAGAGTCTGACAGAAAACATAAAGCATGACTAATGACACTGGAGACTAGACATTTTTTTCAATGCTATTTAATTATTCAAAAATTATTTGCTGTGTATTCTTTTAACATTCAGAATCTACTGTATACACCACACTTCAGGGGCTACTAATGTGAACTAATTAGACATGAACATGATGCTTTTTCCTCATGGAGATTATATTCTAGAGATAGAATTACAATTATATAATTTTCAATAATTTATTAACGATATTTAGTGATGATTTAGATAAGTACAAAAAAATTAAGTATGTTAAAACAGCATGTAGCAGAGTGTAAGATGAGGGGCAGTTACAAGAACCTTTTTTTGAGGAAGTGACTCAAAACTAAGTACTGTAGCATAAATAGGAGTTAACTAGATGAAAAAGATTTAAAGGAGGAAAACATTTTAGCATACTTTCTGAGTCAGAAAAGAATATGGTACATTTGGAGAATTTTGATATATGTTTGGATATCTTATTTTTGAAAAGGGAATATAAATAAACCAATTATCTTGAGGCTTAATTATACAGTTTATCAATAATAGTGTCTTCAACGTTTGTTACCCACGGTAATAAAAACATGACACGTCATAGGCACTCAAATCTTTGCCATATAAGTAGTGCTGAAGATGTTGCACTATTATTTTTATATTTTTTAATTGTTTTTGAGACAGAGTCTTGCTGTGTTGCCCAGGCTGGAGTGCAGTGGCACCATCTCAGCTCCCTTCAACCTCCGCCTCCCAGGTTCAAGTGATTCTCATGCCTCAGCCTCCTGAGTAACTGATACTACAGGTGCGTGCCGCCATGCCTGGCTAATTTTTGTATTTTTAGTACAGACGGGGTTGGCCTGTCTTGAACTTCTGACCTCAAGTAATATGCCTACCTCAGCCTCCCAAAGAGCTGGGATTACAGACGTGAGCCACTGTGCCTGGCCAAGATGTTGCACTGTAAATAAACACTATATAATCAAGATGATGGTGAGACAACTTGGGGCGCATTCCGAAAAATACATATTTAGAAAATTGAGGCCGGGCGCAGTGGCTCTGCTGGGTACGGCATAATCCCAACACTTTGGAAGCCGAGGCAGGTGGATGACCTGAGGTCAGGAGTTCGAGACCAGCCTGGCCAACATGGCGAAACCCTGACTCTACTAATAACACAAAAATTAGCTGGGCATGGTGGCGGGCGCCTGTAGTCCCAGCTACTTGGGAGGCTGAGGCAGGAAGGTGGGAGAATCACTTGAACCAGGGAGGCTGATGTGGCAGTGAGCCAAGATCGTGCCACTGCACTCCAGCCTGGACGACAAGAGCAAAACTCCATCTCCAAAAACGAAAATTGGACTTTGAGCTGGCTTTCACTGGATAAGTAAGGTTTAGAAATCTGTGCAGTATATTCTGGAAAAGGAAAAGTAGTGAGATGCAAAAGTATAGGTTATAAGCAAATTCAGGCAGGTAATGAGGATTAACTGTAACATTTCCTGTGGTTTATTTTTTGTTACTTAATTATGAGCACTCATATAGGAAACATATCTTTCGTTTCAGGCTACTATTTTCCTGATTAGTTAAATGTACAAATGATACACATTCAGTGTAATTTAATCATTTTTACATTAGATTGAGCAATGTAAAATGAGACTATCCTACACTGGTAGGCAAATTTCTATTACTAAGTATAATATTCCATCATGCCTCTCTGTGTGAAAAACAAGAAACTGCCTATTTAATCTTTTACCAATGCTAAGTTTTCCAAAAAATGTGACCTACCTTTCTGGAGTTCTATGTTGGGTCCTGGAGTAAATGCTGGCTCAATACTCAGTTTAGTAAAAGCTATAAGAAATGATTAGAAATTTGTTTAATTAGGTATGGGTTTATGAAATACTAAAATATTACACATTAGCAAGATGAAGCCTTTATTATTAAATGATGTCTTCACAGTTTTGATTTTTATGGAGACTTGCTTAGAAAAACTTACAATTTTTCAACAAAATTCCCAACGTAGACATCAACGAAAGGCATATTATCCCTAAGGTCCCAGAAATTAACCTCCACAGAGTGGTCTTAAACACTGTAGAGAAAGACAGACAGAGTAATGACTTAAAGAGCAAACTCAGGAGCTGAGTTCTTAAAAGCAGAAACTAGTGACGGAGAATCCACAACATTCTTTCATTTGATAACGGAGTCATCTTGCCAATAAAACACTGAAGACTTTCCAATCGGGACTTCACCCAATACCAACATTTTTATGTGATGTATCTTATTCTTCAGGAAGATTATTCAAACATTTTCTTCTCTACCAGCTCTGTTGCAGTAAAGTGAATTTACCATTTATTTTAAATTGGCAGAGGTGCTTAAAGATCTGGAGGTAGAAGATATTAACAAGCACCACGTTGTGTTTTATGGACTTACATAACAGGCATTTATTTTTATTCTCTCAACAAAATCACAAGATAGATAGTATGGTTCTCATTACATAGATGAGAAAACATAAGGTCCAATAATAATGTTATTTTCTCAAGGTATCAAAGCAAGTAAGTATCCAAGTCAGAAATCACATGAAAGTGTGTCTAGCTCAAGAATCTTTCATTCAACGTAGTCTACCATTGTCACAATAATACTAGTTGAGAGTATGCCCTCTCCTCATCTCAGTGCAGGTTTTGCTCTGATAAATGTCTAGCTGCTCATTGGTTCGTAGAGATATTATAGGGAAAAGAAGACATAGGAACATTCTGGACTTGGTGTGATAACTGATAACAAATTGATGGGTAACAACTTTGAGGCCTGGCTTCATTTCACAGTATATTGAACATACATAAACAATCCTTTTTCCCCTAGAACATTCCATTTGTTCATACTCAAAATTACTTGCTTTTAGGCCTTTCACCTAAAACATTTCAACATTAGGAGATTCTGTGCTAACGTGAACACACTCTCAAAGAGTGATGTCATTAACAACAGTACAATGTGTCAAACTGTTCATTTGTGTAATTTTTGGATGTCACAACATAAATAGTCAATTAAAACCTTTTCAGCATTGTGTCATTAATATTTGGCATTTTCTATTGCTATACTAGAACACTGTTGCTCACAATTTAACCAGGCTAAAGTTCAGTTCTCACTCAGAATTTAAAGGTAGCCCTGTCAGAAACCACTCTTCAAACCTGTGGAAAAAACTTCATGAAATCATGTCTAAGTTATACAATGAAGAATCAGGAAAATATAATGAATGTGGAAAGTGCTAATGCATGAAAATCCTAAAAACATCCACTGTTAATCATGTCCTTTTCTCTTAAAGCATTACCCCAAAATCAGCCAATCCAAGAAATAGCTTTTCTGGTTATTTTTAATTTAGTGACTGAAATCACACATACCTGCCATGAGAAATTATGTTCCAAGAGCGAAGTAGAGAAGGCACGATGTGTACTTTTTCAGAAAGAACAGCGTTGAATTGTTGAAGCTGAGCTGGAGATTAAAGAATCTGAAAGTTGAGTATGAAGAAATTTAGCAAAAATAGAGAATGAAAAATTGTGTATTTAAATGATGTTCTTGAATCATCTATTGGTGAGACATGTATTATAGTGTGAATAAGAAGCAGTAGAATCACAAGCCTCTGAAGTGTTCCAGGAACCACAATACAGGAAATTCTCACAGTACTTTTGCAATATTAACACTTTGGCAAGGACTAAAGAAGGTGAGAGGAGGTCAGAGGGAGTTTTGTTGCTGTTTTGTTTTTTATTGTTTGAAAATCAAATTCATTTTAAAGGGTTATCTGGAAAATGAAGGAAATGATGGGCAAACCAAAGGTAAATTTACTTAGCATAACAAAATTACTTACAGAATTTTCCTCTTTTAATAATAAACATTTATTATTTACCTTGTACTTAACACAATTTAAAGCACTTGGCATATCTTAGCTCATTTATTTCTGTAAATGGCTTGATAGTAAAGATATATAAATATCTTCAATCTATCAAAGAGAAAACTGAGGCATACAGAGCTAAGTAATTTGCCCAAGGTCACATAAATTGGGATTTCCATGTCTCACTCTGTTCTTCTGATCTCTACCTAATTATCCTGGCCACGACAGGCAAAGTTCAAAAAAGTAGAACTGGATGGGTTTCCCACTTGGACGCCTCATTCACGTTAGCCTTAAAAGCTTTTTTCAACACCTCAATTTTCATTTTCTTAAAGTTCTTTAAGCACGACTTCAGCTTCTTTATTTTCCTTATTTTTACTAATACATTATTATATTGTTTAGTGTGTTATCTAATTCAGATACTATACTGATACTTCGATATACACTTTTTCATCTACAGAAGAGTAACCTTGTTAATAGGAATATCAAATGTGGAACAGGTCAAATTTCCAATGTGGAAGAGATTGGCTATAATAAGAATCTTGAAAGGAGAGATTTCGATCCATGATTTAGTATCTGGAAATACAATCTACCATGCACCCCCATACAAAAGCAGACACTCAAATAAACGTTTTGTGTATTATATTTTGTATATTGTTTATGTTCAAGCATTATAATATTACTATAGATAAACCCTTTTGTAAAAGATGGGCTTTCAACCAACAACAGAAAAAAATGAAAGAAAAGACTACTTTGACTTCTCAGTTTTTATGAAGTCAAAACTTTCCATCTTTTCAGTTTGCATTGTGTGCCTAGAGCTGCTTTCATTGCACCAACAAATTTGTTGAGCTATAAATCCTCACTGAAGAATATAAGCGTAAAATCTACTTCATCCAGACTGTATGCAAATCTTAGTTGAAGTGATTTATTTAAAAATCCTTTGCTTACTTGAAATCTATTCATTTTTAGTGTTAGAAAAAGCTGGTCTGGAAGAAACCTGTCTGATACTATTTTTCCCCCATGTAAAATTGCCTCAAAATATAGGAGATTAGGGGTTTGCTTTTAGTTTTTCTCTTGAGAGAGTACAAATTTATGACAGAATGTGCAATAGGGATTATTACTACACTTTCATTACTAACACAACCACCTTTATTTGGAAGTTAGAGGTTCTAAGTTTTTAGAACCCTGTTTGGTGAGAATACGTCCATCAGTCATTGTCCTTTTTTTCATCTTAGTTCACTGACTTAGAAATAAAAATCCAACAAATACAAGTTTACTTCAAGAACTCCAGGCTTAAATATTTAAGATACCTAAACACACACACACACACACACATACACACACACAGTAAACATATATGTATATACCTCTTTAACTCTTTCTGAGCTGCCAACTCTGATTGTTCTTTTTTTGTTTGTTTTTGTTTGTTTGTTTTTTGAGATGGAGTCTCTGTCACCCAGGCTGGAGTGCAGTGGCTCACTCGGCTCACTGCAAGCTCCGCCTCCCGTGTTCACGCCATTCTCCTGCCTCGGCCTACCGAGTAGCTGGGGCTACAGGCTCCCGCCACCACGCCCAGCTAATTTTTTGTATTTTTTTTTTTTAGTAGAGACGGGGTTTCACCGTGTTAGCCAGGATTGTCTCGATCTCCTGACCTCGTGATCCGCCCGCCTCGGCCTCCCAAAGTGCTGGGATTACAGGCGTGAGCCACCGTGCCCGGCCTCTGTTCTTTCTATTTATTTTTGTACGTAGACAGGTGAATGATTTCCATGTACTGTATCTCTCCCACTCATCTCCACTTGTTCCTGAAGTTATCATTGCCTCGCCTATGTCCCTTGGAATATTTGGGGAACTATGGCCAACTAGTTATCTGTATAGCTGTATCTATGGGTTCTTTTTTTCTCCAATAACTGCTGAAAGCCTTGCTGTTCTCAGACATGCTAATCCGGAAGTGCTGAATAATCATCACCAGAATGGGCGTCAACAAACGAATCTTGTGATTTGCTATACAGTCCAGCAGTCTCAGCCCTAAAGTCAGGTAATTCTGAACATTGTGTTTTGCCCAGTTCCCAGAATTACTCAATAGTGTTATGTTCCAGTCACCTCCTCTAGAAGCTAGATTAAGAAAATAACCTTTATTGCGTTCCACTTTCCCTTTCCTATTACATTTCCTTTCCTACATTTATTGCATACACAATTCCAAATAAAGTTTCTACTCAAAGTATTCTCTGAGTGTGCTGCCGAGAGAAACCAGACTAAATTCCGCTGAAATATCCAGCTTCACTTACATAAATTTGCTTTTGAAAAGTTAGGTATCCTGCCAAAAGAACGTCTCTCTTTGCAGGACTTTCCATCCCCTAGTATCCATTGCAGGAAGATGCCCTCTTCCTCCCCTGCAATTTACTAGTGCCCTTGGTAAGAGCAAGTGATGACTTCAATAGCTAAGTCAACTTTTAAACCTTAGTCAAAAGCCAGGGAAAAGAAACTAATGTTCACTTAACATATAAACAGTGAAGTCTTTTCCCTACCTAAAAATGTATAACTAAAATGTTGCAGAACAAAATAACAGTATACGTTCTAGTATCCCCAAGGGAAAAATTTATTTTGATCTCACTGCTTTTAGAAAATGCATTCTTTGAGCGGAAAGAAAATTGCTCACATCAGGCTGCAAATTATTCTTTTAACAGAGAGAGAGGGCTCCCTGAGAAAAAACAAAAGACGTTACTGACCTGGTAAAATCTCATTGTAAACATGCTAATAACAAACCTACTAGCTATAGTGGTTTCTTATATATAGTGTGTTTTGCTTGCAAAATCCTTATCAATGGAATGATTTTAGCAGGATGTATTAGATTGTCTAAAATTGTTAGTGGTAAAATCAAATAAAAAAATAAAACTAAGGCTGGGCATAGTGGCTCACGCCTGTAATCTCAGCTCTTTTGGAGGCCAAGGCAGGTGGATCACCTGAGGTCAGGAGTTCAAGGCCAGCCTGGCCAACATGGAGAAACCCTGTCTCTACTAAAAATACAAAATTAGTCGGGCATGGTGGCACTCACCTGTAACCCCTGCTACTTGGGAGGCTGAGGCATTAGAGTCTCTTGAACTTGATGAGCTGAGATCGCACCATTGCACTCCAGCCTGGGTGACAAGAGCAAAACACACTATATAAAAAAAAAGCATAAAACTAGAATCTGTGGGTTTATGGAGGCTGGCTTCCTGGAAAAATGTCACATAAGCTATGTGTAACCATAACCATGTAACCATCTGAGTATAAAATGGAGATGTGTCATAACCAAAACATCTCCTTTTGTGTAAACGGTGCAGCCACAAACACCATTAAGAGACCTCATATGTTTATCTGTTTGTCTGGGCCAGAGTGTGTCCTAAGGGGAAAGTAAGAATGAGTGGGTGCTTTTGCAGGCCTGGGTTTTCCACTGTTTTGTCTGCATCTCACAATTATTGTATAACTGAAATTATGAGTAAAGCATGATACTGGGTGAAATCTCTGAGGATGCTTGTGATACTGATTTGACAATCCAATCCTTTATGTTACCTTCTTGAAGAACTGGTTAAGTTTTGTCCACATAGATAATGAGAAATATACATACAATTACATGTATAGAAGCAAACACTCCTTGCCTTTCATCTTATAGCCCAAGTTATCATTGCCCCTCTCTTATATCTAGGAACCTTTGTTTTACTTAAACAGACTTTTGCATCTGTAGGCCTTGGGACTTCTTTTCCCCCTAGATCTGCTCAAAACTTTGCCACCCTCATACCAATGGATCTCAGGACTTGATATATAAATATCCCAAATTATTTTGCTTATCTTATATGCAGGGGCTATTTGGGGATGCATGCCAGAAAAAGAAATGTGTTGTTGGGGCTCAGGACATATCACCCCAAAATATGATAGCAGGAGACTAAAATATGTCCCCTAAAAATATTTATCTTTGTTGGCATATTTCAAGCTGGTTATTTTGAGAAACTGCAGACACAAGAGTAGGTCATGTGAAAAGCTGCCCTTTTGTAAAGGAAAATTACATCTGTAAAGGAAATCTATATTAGTAAAATTATCTATATCAGGAAAAGAGCTGCTCCTGAACAATTTCTCCCCTGAAGGACTCTCATTTACATAGCAAGAAAATCTTTATTCAACATGTATTTCCTCACCTTCACCCTCCCACAACATGTCCCTCTTTCAGAAGCCCCCTCCAATAAACCCCAGTCCCTACTCCTTTATGGAATTCAGGATGCCATTCAAGTGTCAATCATCCAGCCCTTCAATGAGTTTCATATTTTTGTGGAACCCAACACTAAGAAAAACTCCCCTAATATGAAGGAAAAGAGGATAAGCATAAAGGTGAAATGGTGAATGAGAGTAGGCAGATAAAAGAGGTCAGAGAAGCAGGACGGAGTGCTTCTGACACAAAGGTTCTCATGCTATGAGTGAAGCCACCTCTGCAAAATTATGACAGTGAGAGAAATCTGGCATAGTTGATTTAATCTTGCTTCTGACTTCCAAGCTGACTTGATCATTACTGGGTGTAGGCCAAGCTAACTTTGGGAGGAATTTAGTTTATAGTTTAACCTTAAGGCAAGCATGATAATAGCTCTTCTCAAAACTCAGCTTTTGACAAACTAATAGCTTTTGACAAACTAATAAAAAGGTCACGAGGTTAGGATTATGAGAGGGGCCTGAGCTCTGCTAAAGTGTAGGTGTAGTTTCTATAATCACTTACTGCTCAGGAGTCATGTGTCTAGTGACCTTCCCAATTGCTCCTATAGATAGCATCAATATTGTAGAAGTTAAGGTTGGTTTTTTTTTTTTGAGGTGTTTTTCAGACTAACCCCACCTGGACTCCTGGCTTATGACTCAACTAATCCTGTGGCCCCACCCAGAGGCAGACTGAGCTCGTGAGGACCATTTTCTATACCCTTATGGTTTCACTGCCCCTCAACCAATCAGCAACACCCATTCCCTAACCCCCTGCCCACCAAATTGTCCATAAAAATACTAGCCTTCAAGCCTTCATGGAGACTTTGAGTGATAACTCCAGTTCTACCAAGTAGGACAGCCTTGTGTCAATTAATTTCTTTCTCTGCTACAATACTGGTGTCTCAGTTGATGGATTTTGTCTGTGCAACGGCCAGGAAGAACCTGTTGGGTGATTGCATGAGAAGGGAGGCTGCACTGGGTGACACTTACCTGCCACTGACATCAGCACTTCCCTGCATCAATATCCTGAATTTTTATGGGAGTTGAGTAAATGTCTTGAAAACAACCCACGTTCTGTATAGATGAGAACAGTCATACCTTGTTTTATTGCAACCTACTTTATTGCATTTTGCAGAAATTGCATTTTTTACAAATTGAATGTTTATGGCAACTTTATGTCAAGTAAGTCTATCAACACCATTTTTTCCAAAAGCATGTGTTCAATTCATGTCTCTCCGTCACATTTTGCAACTGTCAAATTAATTTAAAATATTTTCATTAATATTATATATCTTATGGCAATCTGTGATCAGTGCCTGTTGATGTCAATTTTGTAATTGTTTTGGGGCACCAGGAACCATGCCCATATAAGATGGTGAACCGATTAGTAAATGTCGTGTGTGTTCTGCTCCACTGACCAGCTGTTCCCCATCTCGTTCTCCCTCTTCTCAAGCCTAACTATTACCTGAGATACAACAATGCCAAAATTTGGCTAGTTAATAACCCTACAATGGCCTCATGTGTTCAAGTGAAAGGAAGACTCTCATGTCTCTCACTTTAAATCAAAAGCTAGGAGGACATGTCCAAAACTGAGATGAGGCTGAAACCTAGGCTTCTTACACAAAAGAGTTAGCCAAGTTGTAAATGCAAAGGAAATGTCTTAGAAGGCAATTTTAAAAGTGCTACCCCAAATGAACACACAAATGCTAAGAAAGCCAAGAAGCCTTATTGTAATAGTACTACCAGGTTGCTATGCCCACCGTGCAGCAGCAGACCAATACACTGACTGCAGGTTTGCAGCAGAGAAAGAGTTTAACAATCGCAAGGCACACAACAAGAAAATGAGAAGAATTCTCAAGCCCCAAATATTTTTTGTGAAGCTGTTCTGGGCAAGAATTTTTAAAGGATTGTGGAGGGCAGGGGTTGGAACATTTGAGATCATCTACTGATCAGGGTAAGGGGGATGAAATCATCAGAATGTGGTAACTGCATTCTATCATGTGTCAGTTTCTCACCGGGCCCTCCACACTGGGTGGCATTGGTGGTTTTGTTGGTATGCAGAACCTAAAGAACAACCTCAAACAAAAGTTTATCATCTCACAATGTCTTAGATTTTATCTATGGAACAGAAAAAGAAAAAAGTCTTCTGACAAGGCCTACATTATCCTAGGGTACTAAGCTACAAATGGCTACACAGAAATGAGTCAAAGGACAAGCTGGCTTAATCATTGCTGCCATTGTGCTGCAAGCCTAGTTGGATTTTTCCCCCTTCATTCATTTTATGAAATTTGGGGGTGGGGCCATTTTCATTATTGTGGATATGGAGAAAGTTGTAGTTGTCTGCATAAGAGATCAAACCAGTCACAACATTCCCTTAAACCAAAGCCTAATCTAGAACCCTAACTCTTTTTAATTCTATGAAAGCTGAGAATGGTGAGGAAGCTGCAGAAGAAAACTTGGAAGCTAGCAGAGTTTGGGTCATGAAGTTTAAGGAAAGAGGTTGTTTCCATAACATACAAGTGCAAGGTGAGGCAGCAAGTGCTGATATAGAAGCTGTAGCAGGTTATCCAGAAGATCTAGCAAAACTAATTGATGAAAGTGGCTACACTAAACAACATATTTTTAGTGCAGACTTCTTTCTTATATTGAAAGAAGATGCCATCTAGAATTTTCATAGCTAGAACAGAGTAGGTGATGCCTAGTTTCAAAGCTTCCAAGGAGAGGCTGTCTCTCTTCAGAGGTGCTAATGCAGTTGGTAACTTTAAGTTGAAACCATTGCTCACTTATTTTTCTGAAACTTTAGGGCCTTAAGAATTATGCTATATCTATTCTGTCTGAGTTCTACAAGTGAATAAACAAAGTCTGGATGGTGGCACATCTGTTTATAACATGGTTTAGTAAATATTTTTAACCTGCTATTGAGACCTACTGCTCTGAAAACAACTTATACATTTTAAAATATTACTGCTCATTGACAATGCACCTGGTCACATAAAAGCTCTAATGGAGATGTACAAGGAGATACATGTTGTTTTCTTGCCTTCTAGCACAACATCCATTCTTCAGCCCTTGAATTGAGGAGTCATTTCAACTTTTAAGTCTTATTAATATTATTTAAGAAATACATTTTGTAAGGCTCTAACTACCAAAGATAGGGATTCCTCTGATGGTTCTGGATAAAGTAAATTAAGAACTTTCTGGGATGGAGTCACTATTCTGAATGCCATGAACAACTTTCATGATTCATGGAAGGAAGTCAAAAATACAACACTAACAGAAGTTTGGAAAGAGTTGATTCCATTTCTCATGGATGCCTTTGAGGGGTTGAAGAATTCAGTGGAGGAAGTAACTGCAGATGTGGTAGAAATAACAAGAGAACTAGAATTAGAAATGGAGACTGAAGTCGTGGCGGAATTGCAGCAATCTTGTGAGAAAACGTGAATATATGAGTAGTTGCTTCTCATGGCTAAGCAAAGAAAGTGTTTCTTGGGATGGAATCTACTCCTATGAATATACATAAACTTAGTTGATAAAGCAACGGCAAGGCTTTAGAGGACTGACTTCAATTTTGAAAGAAGTTCCACTGTCGGTAAAATGCTTCAAACATCATCACATGCTACAGAGAATCTTTCATTAAAAAAAGAGTCAACCAGTGCACAAAATTCATTTTTTTATTTTAAGAAATTGCCAAAGCCTCCTAGCCTTCAGCAACCACCACCCCAGTCAGTCAACAGCCATCAACATTAAGACAAGACCCTCCACCAACAAAAAATTAGGACTGGCTGAAAGCTTAGATGATCAATAGCATTTTTTTAGCAATAACAGATTTTGAAATTAAGGTAGATATACTGTTTTTTAAGACATAATGCTATTGCACATTTAACAGACTACAGTATAGTATAAACATAACTTTTATATACATTAGGAAACCAAAACATTTGTGTGACTTATTTTATTGTGGTGTTCTCTAATCAAACCCATAATATCTCCAAGGTTTGCTTATATTATGCATTTCCTGCACCCAAAGGATATTGTAGCTAGTTTTCTTATCATTATCTGGAAATAATTTCCTTTAAAAGAGATAGCATCCTTACTATTTAACTTCATCTAGATACCTCTGTTCCTTGTCAAGGTCAAGAATCCTTGAATGCTTTTAGCAAAAACAAAACAAAACAAAACAAAACATAATTAAAAAAAAAAAACGCAGAATGGAACCCTAATGGTAACATGGAAGAGACTGTCTCTGAACCTTGGTTTGTTTACACAGAGTAAATCCTAGATTGATTCTTTGCTGGAAAAGTAATAAAGCACCTTTCTATACCATTAGAGAGAAATCTGATAAAAATAGGAGAACCAGAATGAAAGTCATTTCCCCTTGGGGCAGGACCAGGGTAAGCTGCTGAGACCAGCTCAGTCGTGGAGACCCTAACCCAGCGGTGCTAGAGGAATTAAAGACACACACACAGAAATATGGCCTGTGGAGTGGGAAATCTGGGGTCTCACAGCCTTCAGAGCTGAGAGCCTCGAACAGAGATTTACCCACATATTTATTAACAGCAAGCCAGTGATAAGCATTGTTTCTATAGATTATAGATTAACTGAAAGTATTCCTTATGGGAAACAAAGGGATGGGCTGAAATAAAGCGATGGGTCTGGCTAGTTAACTGCAGCAGGAACATGTTCTTAAGGCACAGATCGCTCATGCTATTGTTCATGGTTTAAGAACACCTTAAAAGGTTTCCCGCCCTGGGTGGGCCAGGTATTCCTTGCTCTCATTCAGGTAAACCAACAACCTTCCAGCATAGGCGTCAAGGCCATCACGAGCATGTCACAGTGCTGCAGATATTTTGTTTATGGCCAGTTTTGGGGCCAGTTTATGGCCAGATTTGGGGGCCTGTTCCCAACAGTGAGCACAAGTGGGAAATAAAACTGTTAAATTTCATAATGAGTCCTTCTGTACTATGGATTTTTAAAGCACATGTGTGTTTTACTTTGGTTAAAAAATAATTAAGAAAAAACTTTAAATCTCCAAGAAGCATAATTACTAACTCATTTTACTTAGAGTTCGAATGTTTTGAAAGATGGTATTCTGTAATTTGTATCAATCACCACAAACTTAAGTTCATTTTCCTAATTATTTCTTTATTCAACTGTGGAAATGGTTCTGGTTTGATAGTCACATTGTCTTTGTAACTCCAGGCTTTCTTGACTCTTGGCATGTTGTGTGCTGAAATCATGAAGCCTAGTTAAGTGTTCCTCAATTATATCATTAGCACCTGAAATGTACTATTAGATGCAAAATAAGACTATCAATTTAAGTTTCTTAAGATATATATGTACCATTATCATAAAAGTGTGCTGCACAATATTAGACACATGATATTTGGAGAAAGTGTTTTCTGGATTGATCAGGGAGAAAAGAAGTTCAAGTAAGTGACTCCTTTGGTGATGAAAAAACAAAAGAAAAACACCCAGAGAAAAAGTAAAAAGTGCTAAGTGACCAGAGCATAGATTATATATTTCATCTGGGAAAGTCTAGAAGCAATCATTGGGTTGATCACTGTGTCAAAGCAAGAGGCAAAGGACTTTCACTTGGTCTGCAGAACTCCGAACCATTAAGAGTAGATCACCCTACATTACTCCCATTTGTGAATGAATAATACATAGAAACAATCTCCAGTGTTTGGTTAGAAGAGAGCAAGACAAAGACCCAGAAATAATTTGCAATTTGTCAAGGGAGAAGAAGAAAACCCCAATTTAGTAAAACATAGTGACAACCCTGAAAGAGTGTTAGGGTTGCTGAAACCGGGCTCGGGGGAAAATGCAATACTTAGTTTATAAAATATATTAAAATAAGAAAGCATATAAAATTATTTTATTGAGTTTTTAATATTCTTAGGTAAAGACAGAAATTTAACCAATAATAGTCTAAATGTTTTAAAAATATTTAAATTATAATTTTTATTTTAATGAAATATACATTGACACATTTAACTATCTTCTAGAGGTACAGAAATGAGTGTGATTTGTTAAAATTTAAGAGGTTTTGTTTTTAATCAGAACAGACTTGGCGCTTTCCTAAGAAAACAGTTATAAAAGTGTTTGCATACAAATATAATAATTTTAATTTCAACGTTTCTCTTTCCCTGTATTCCATAGAATGATCAAAAAGAGATGGTGTCCACACACCAGGATACAAATGAGCACAAGTTTACAACTTGCGTGAGCACAGGTACACTTTCATCCTTTGAGCTATCAGGATAACCTGGGTGAAGATGAATTGTGCTGTTTCCTTCCTTCTCTTGTCTCAAAATTTCACACCTTTAGATATTACCTTTAGTGCAGTTCTCTAAAATGTGAATTGCATTGGGCAGATCATAGATTAAACTTGAAAAAACAGCAGAAAAACACCATAACTACCGCACACTTAACAAGTTATGGGAGAAAGCAGAGCCATCTTCCCACAACCAAGTGCCAATTGCTCTCTGAAACAGTGTCTGACCCAGTAAAAAGAGAGTAGAGAATTTATAAACCCCTGGTTGGAAACACAGCGAAACATATGTATGAATCCCAATTCTGGCAATCCCAGTACTGCAGGGGCCGGGGGGTAAGTTTCCCTTGGCCTTCTGAAGGTTCAACTCCACATCTCCAAAATTATTTTCTTTTATAAGAGAATAGTCACATGACTCCTCTTTCTCTCTCTCTCTTTTAATCCATTTACTCATGGAGTATAAATTATTACCAAACTTCACTCATTTTAGGAGGTATCAAAACATAAATGTTCTAGGAACTTAGATGAGTAGATCTGCCTTGCACTTCCTTTGTATGTTTTTGTGTGTGTGTGTGTGGTTTTTTTTATTTTTATTTTTGAGACGGAGTCTCGCTGTGTCGCCCAGGCTGCAGTGTGGTGGTGCAATTTCGGCTCACTGCAAGCTCCACCTCCCGGGTTCACTCGATTCTCCTGCCTCAGCCTCCCGAGTAGCTGGGATTACAGGTGTCCGCCACCACGCCCGGCTAATTTTTTGTATTTTTAGTAGAGACGGGGTTTCACTGTGTTAGCCAGGATGGTCTCGATCTCCAGACCTCGTGATCCACCCGCCTCGGCCTCCCAAAGTGCTGGGATTACAGGCATGAGCCACTGTGCCCGGCCTCCTTTGTATGTTATTAGAGATTCTACCTCATGATATCTCATTTCATGGACACTGTGGATAAAACATCAGTATGTCCTACAGTCTGTAGTCAGTCAGCAAATGTTCTAAGTGCAGCTGTGGCAAGGTGCTCTTTCTTAAAATAATGGACCCATTTATAGATTATCTCTAATATTACTCTACATGTTATATGAGAAATAGGAAAAAAAGCTACATAATTTAAAAATAAATTATAGAGAGGAGTTAAAATTCTTATGATTCAAAGCAGTTTAATTGGTCATTGACTAAAACAATTGATAAGACTAAAATCTCACTCTGCATTGAAACACGGTATTAGAATTATGATTGCTTATCTCTAATCACCTAAAGGGCAAAACATGAACCTAATATGTTTCTTTAAATGACATATCTCACTGTAAGAATGTTGAATAAGTATTCAATATTCATGATTAAGACCATTTTATTTCACAGAAAAATGGGTGTCTATATTTTAATGTATTAATAATGATATATTTTGATTTATTGTAAATGTTTCTGTTTTATTTACTTTTTCTGAACTCTTGAATGTTATGCTCTTCATGTAATTTGTTAAGGTATCTTATGTCCATTTTATCACCTGTATTTTAAAGTACAAGTATTGACCAGATAATTTGTTCAAAATTCTATTCAATGTGTAAAAATTAAATTCAAATTATTTAGCATAATTTTGTTTTTTTATTTTTTTCCAAAAAAAAATGGGATACCTGGCTTAAGAAAGTATTGACTTCTCTCTACTCTCTAACTGAAAATGACTGGAATTCTGAGATTCACAGGAAAAATGGCTTTCTAGAAAATTTTTTCTTCATTAGAAATCAGATACTTGAATCTGTTCCCAATCCACTCTGGAATAGAACAGTGTCACAAGGGAGACAGAGACAACTTTAAAGAAAAATGAAGAAATAACTCAAAATAAAACTGAAATTTGAGCATGATCTCGTAGGATAAATAGGACTTGAAAAATACAGATACGTGGTTACAATAAAATGAGAAATAGGCAACAGCCATGGTTCACATCAGAATCTAAAAGGACAGAAAAAATTCAACATATTCTCTCTTCTTGCTGTTTTAAAATAAAATATGGTATACATATTGACAAATACTAAAAGCACAAAATTTAATAATTTATGAGAGGCAGCACTCTTGTAACTACCATCCAAGTCGAGAAATAGAACATTTCCAGAATCTTCAAAAGCTCTCCTCATTTAACCTTCCAATTACTACCCTCTTTCTCTTTATAGATGTTAGCGCTGTCTTGACCTCTAACCCTGTACAGTTCAGTTTTGCCTGGTTTGATAATTTATCTTACTATAACGTATATAGTCACATAATATAAATTGTTTTGTGTCAAGCTTCATCCAAGAACTCACTTTCATGACCTTGACACTAAATAGGCAGGACACAAATTACCCTGGGCAGTGGATAAGATACACTGATTGGCTCAGTTGGGACCCAATTTGGATATCAGAGTGGGTCCAACTTCAGTCAAAACAAAATGGGGGCCGGGTGCAGTGGCTCACACCTATAATCCCAGCACTTTGGGAGGCCAAAGCAGGTGGATCATGTGAGGTCAGGAGTTTTGAGACTAGCCTGGCCAATGTGGTGAAACCCTGTCTCTACTAAAAATACAAAAAATTAGCCAGGCATGGTGGCATGGGCCTGTAGTCCCAGCTACTCAGGAGGCTGAGGCAGGAGAATTGCTTGAACCTGGGAGGCAGAGGTTGCAGTGAGCCGAGATCATGCCATTGCACTCCAGACTGGGCTATAGAGTGAGACTCCTTCTCAAAAAAACGAACAAAAAAATGGGTAGGAATGATTATCTAGAGGAAATTTTGAGGTACTAAACTTCTAGGAGGATGCACTTTGACAAACTGGTAACTCCTCTTCATACTTGCTTGTTTTTATTTTGCTTTTTGTTTTTCTTAAGATGGATCTTCCTGAATGAGTCCACCATGGATTTACATGTGCAAATTCATGTTAAAATACAGTATTTGGGAAAAGACAAGAGTAAAGAACACATATTTGGGTGCGTTGTATAGAGAAATCTTCAAGTCCATATTCATCAAGAAAGAAAGAGTAGCAATGACTTTCACAAGCTTTGATTTGGAAACAGCACATCCACCATCTCTGAATTTACCATCTTTGATGTACAGCGACCATTTATTAAGTAGGAGAGGCAGAATCAACAATGTGGCTGAGACATAAGAAGAAAAGGAAAGTGAGGATAGCTAGCGTTCATACCAAGGGAATAAAAATACTGCCTGTTAACCCCTGAGATTTTTTTTCAGTTTTTATTTTCAAATGAATATAGATTAACAAAAAAAGTTACAAAAATAGCTTAGGGACCTCCCTTGTCCCTGCTGTTGGGTTTCCCCAGTGATAATACACACACACCTCATTTTACTGCACTTCACTTTATTGTGCTTCACAGGTGTGGCATTTTTTACAAATTGAGGTTTTGTGGCAACCCTACCTCTAGCAAGTCTATCAGTGCCATTTTTTTTTTAAAGCATGTGCTCACTTCCTGTCTCTGCCTCACATCTTGGTAATTCTTGCAATATTTAAAACTTTTTTACTATTATTGCAATATCTTTTATGGTGATCTGTGATCAGTGATGTTTGATGTTACTGTTGAAATGGGTTTGTGGTGCAACAAACAATGCCCATATAACATAATGAAATTAATTGATGAATGTAAGTGTTATGACGGCTTCACTGGCCAGCGATTGTCCATCTCTCTACCTTTCCTTAGGCCTCCCAATTCCCTGAAACACAACAACACTGAAATTAGGCCAGTTAATAACATTACAATGACCTCTAAGAGTAAAAGTGAAAGGAAGAGTCACACATCTCTTACTTTAAATCAAAAGCCAGAAATGAATAAGCTTAGTGAGGAAGGCATTTTGAAAGCCCACATAGGCCGAAAGGCCTGTTGAGTCAAACATTTAGCCAAATGGTGAATGCAAAGAAAGAGTACTTGAAGAAAATCAAAATTGCTATGCCAGTGAGCATGCGAATTATGTGTATATGTGTATATATATATGGAGAAAGTTTTACTGGTCTGTATCAAAGATCAAACCAGCCACACAATGTTCCTTTAAGCCAAAGCCTAAGGCGCTAACTCTTCAATTCTATGAAGGCTGTGAGAGGTGAGAAAGCTGCAGAAAAAAAAAAAATTGGAAACTAGCAGAGGTTGCTTCTTGAGATTTAAAGAAAGAAGCCATCTAAATAATAGAAATGTACAAGGTGAAGCAGTAAGTGCTGATGAAGAAGCTACAGCAAGTTATCCAGAAGATCTAACTAAGATAATTGATAAAGGTGGCTACACTAAACAACAGATTTTGAGTGTACATGAAACAGGCTTCTGGAAAAGCCATCTAGGACTTTTATAACTAGAGAGGAAAAGTCAGTGTCTTGCTTCAAAGCTTCAAAGGACAGGCTGGCTCTCTTGTTAGGGGCTAACTGGTGACTTAAGTTGAAGCCAATGCTCATTTACCATTCCAAACAATTTAGGACCCTTAAGAATTATGCTCAGTCTACTCTACCTGTGCTCTCTATATAGAGCAACAAAGTCCAGATGGCAGCATGTCTGTTTACAACATGGTTTGCTACATATTTTAAGCCCATTGTTGAGACATAGTGCTCAGAAAAAAAGATTTCTTTAAAAATGTTATGGCTCATTGAGAATGAGCCTGGTCACCCAAGAGCTCTGATGAAGACGTACAAAGAAATTCATGTCATTTTCAAGCCTGCTAACACAATATCCATTCGGCAGTCCGTGAATCAAGGAGTCATTTCAACTTTTAAGTCATATTATTTAAGATATACATTTTGTATTTATTAAATAAATAGTGATTCCTCAGATGAAACTGGGCAATGTAAATTCAAAACTTTCTGAAAGGCTTCACTATTCTAGATTCCATTTAAGAACACTTGTGGTTCATGGGAGGAGGTCAAATATAGCATTAACAAGAGTTTAGAAGAAGTTGATTCCAATCCTCATGGATGACTTTGAGGTGTTCGAGACTTCAGTGGAGAAAGTAACTGCAGAGGTAGTAGAAATAGCAAGGGAACTAGAATGAGAAGTGAAGCCTGAAGATGTGGCCGCATTCACTATTTACAATCGCAAAGACATGGAACCAACCCAAATGCCCATCAATGATAGACTGAATAAAGAAAATGTGGTACATATACACCATGGAATTCTACGCAGCCATAAAAAAGAATGAGATTATGTCCTTTGCAGGGACATGGATGAAGCTGGAAGCCATCATCCTTAGCAAACTAATACAGGAACAGAAAACCAAACACCACATGTTCTCACTCACAAGTGGGAGTGGAAGAGTGAGAACACATGGACACAGGGAGGGGAACAACACATACCGCAGCCTATCAGAAGGTGGGGGGCAAGGGGAAGGAGAGCATTAGGACAAATACCTAATGCATGTAGGGCTTAAAACCTAGACGATGGGTTGATAGGTGTAGCAAACCACCATGGCACATGTATACCTATGTAACAAACCTGCACGTTCTGCTTGTGTATCCTGGAACTTAAAATAGTATAGGATTAAAAAAAAAAAAAAAAGATGTGGCTGAATTGATGCAATCTTGTGACAGAGCTTTCATGGGTGAGGAACTGCTTTTTATAGATGAGGAAAGAGACATTTCTTGGGATGGAATCTACTCCTGGTGAAGATGTTGTGAACATTGTTGAAATGACAACAAAGAATTTAGAATATTACAAAAAATGTAGTTGATAAAGCAGTGGCAGGGTCTGAAAGGATTGATTCCAATTTTGAAAGTTCTACTGTGGGTAAAATGCAATGAAACAGCATCATAGACTACAGAGAAATCTTTTGTGAAAAGAAGAGTCAGTCAATGCAGCAAACTTCATTGTTGTCTTATTTTTAGAAATTGCCACTGTCACCCCAGCCTTCAACAACCACCACCCTGATCAGTCAGCAGCCATCAATGAGGCAAGATCCACCAGAAACAGAAACAGACTAGGACTCTCTGAAAGCTCAGCTGATTGTTAACATTTTCTGGCAATATTTTTAATCAAGGTATGTACATTGTTTTTTAGATATAATAATTTTGAACACTTAATAGACTGCAGTACAGTGTAAACATTTACATGCATTGGGAAACAAAAAAAATTCATGTGACTTGCTTTATTGCAATAATTGCTTTTTTGTGGTTGTCTGGATCAGAGTGCACAGTATCTCTGAGGTATGCCTATATTTTACATAACTAGAGTACAATGTCAAAACCAGGAAATTGACATTGGTACAATCCATAGACCTTATTCAGATTTTAGTAGTTTTATATATCCATTCATTTGCTTGTGTGTATTTGTGTATATATATATATGTCATTTTATGCAGTTTTATCATGTGTAAATTCATGTAACCATCATCACATAACCTCTGATTTTATATTCCAGAAAATACTTGCCACCAATTATTTTGTTACTCTGCAGCATGGTTATTAAAGATAAATACTGAAACTTTTCCTTTATTTACCAATTTTCATTTTAATAAGTTTGTTTATTAGGGGAGAGTTGTGAACATTTATTGAGCACACATTACACGCCAATTCTAGTGCTTGACATGTATGTCTCATTTCAATGTGTGTGTGTTTGTGCGTGCATGTATCAGGCATTCTATTATGTCCAATGCTTTCTTTAATATAAATAAGATCACACAGATTTACCTAGCAATATGAAATCATTTTAAATTCTTTCTACCTCTGATTATTCTAAATTCCTTCTACCTCTGATTATTCCTAGAGTTAAAGATCCTAACATCATTTTAAATTAAATAGCCAGCTTCCTATTGGTCATTCTATCCATGGAACTTTTCTAAGAGTGGACTTTATAGGTCTTGCTCTGGCCTTTCCCAAGGAGTAGAGATGACCATTTCGTAGCTACAATCCAAGTAAGGAAATATTTGCCATGGTAGATGTTTGCTATGTTGACTTTCAGTTCTTATTCAACATACCATTTTAATTTACGTTGTCCAATGCCTTTGCAGTTATATTTTGGGCGTTGGAAACTGCCTTGTTGTTGTTCTTACAAATATGGTATCATTTTACAGTTTCAATTTTAACTAAAAATTACAAATTCAGCTGGATGGGGTGGCTCACGCCTGTAATCCCAGCACTTTGGGAGGCCGAGGTGGGCGGATCACCTGAGTCGGGAGTTCAAGACCAGCCTGACAAGCATGGAGAAACCCCATCTCTACTAAAAATACAAAACTAGCTGGGTGTGGTGGTGCATGCCTGTAATCCCAGCTACTCGGGAGGCTGAGGCAGGAGAATCGCTTGAACCTGGGAGGCGGAGGTTGCAGTGAGCCAAGACTGCACCACTGCACTCCAGCCTGGGCAACAAGAATGAAACTCTGTCACACACACAAAAAAAATTACAAATTCAATTATGGATATGGACCAGATACATTACACAAACATTTCCCCTTTTTGCATCTGTATCAAGTTAAAAGAATCCAGAAAACTGCTTCCCACTAAAAGAAATAAGCAAATAAACAAACCAAACCAAAGCAACTACCAATTCCACATGTGGTTCGGGAATAGGCAGACTCCGAAAGAAACAAAATAATGTTCAAGTTATGCATATAAGTAAATCTACACTGCCCAGTAGCTATTTACAAAGTGACATGTTTATGTAGTAAAAGAAGTGTGCAAATAGTGGTCACAGAATTAGCAACATACATTTTGAATAAAACATTGACAGTTTCCCTGATTGTTTAGCATAGAAAGAAGTTTATGAAGCCAGAATGGAGAAAACATAACTCGTTTCAAAATTTCTTAATTAGAGTCCTTAATGTGTATCTTTTCTAAATAATAGGTTAGTCCTTTATATAGGACCTAGCAAGGTGTAAGAACCTCATGAAAGAGCTGCAAAGAGCTCAGCTGCAGCTGCAGCTTGTCAACTCCTATGTGGCTGGAAACAAGTTTCTCTGTGGTGAACTGTTGGGTGGCCTTTAGGGTTCTCATTCTGAAATAACAAACCAAAGTCAACATATTGGTCACTTCCTAAATTCCAAAGCCCGCGTAATGTCACTAAGTGTCAGTGAAGTGGAACTGAGCCCCTGTCTTAGCCTTTAGGCAAAACTGTCTACATTGCAAAGCTCTATGGTCAGTATCTGCCGATGGAACTTGGGCATAAAGAAAAAGAGACACAGGAGGTAAAAGGATGCCCTAACTCAGAATAATAAGACACATAAATACTCAAACAGGAGATGAAGAATCAGATCAGTAAAACTCTATCAGACTAACCAACTCACCTTCTAACATTTTGTGACTAGACACTCATTTGGTACGCATTAAACACTTTATACATTCTCAAGTTCCAGTAGCCTGAAGTAAATCTTAAAAAAAGAGTCTTATAAAGGATTATTGCTAATATTTTATAATTTACCTCTAATTCTTTCATAGTGATGTATGTAGTCTATAATTGATATTTAATGATTATGTATAAAACCATTAAAAATTTTTGAGTTTACTTTATGCCAGGCTCTGTGTTTGATTATTTTATAACTTTTACTTCATCTAATCTTCATAAACCCTATGATATTGATAGTAATAGTTCTTAAATTTCATAGTTGAAGACACAGGAGATTATCAAGGAAACACGCTCAAAGTCAACCAAGCAGTGGTCAAGCTGAGTCTCACTAACCTTTGTCTACCTCTACCTCTAACGGATTAAAATCTAGAGAGTCATTTTGCATAACTGTAAGAAAATTATATTTTATTTTGCCTCGATTGTGCTGGGAATTTTTAGTTTTTGTTCAAATTTAGATAGATAAATTGCCACAGATATATTGAATGTAGGTTTATTATATAATAATTACAACATATTTACATAATGTATACATATGCATATATATGCATGCACACGTACTTGACTATGTACTGACTGATCTTTCTTTTTTTTTTTTTTTGAGACGGAGTCTCGCTCTGTTGTCCAGACTGGAGTGCAGTGGCGCAATATCGGCTCACTGTAACCTCCACCTCCTGGGTTCCAGCGATTCTCCTCCATCAGCCTCCTGAGTAGCTGGGATTACAGGCACGCACCACCATGCCTGGCTAATTTTTGTACTTTTTTTTTTTTTTTTTGAGACAGAGTCTCGCTCTGTCGCCCAGACTGGAGTGCAGTGGTGCGATCTCGGCTCACTGCAAGCTCTGCCTCCCAGGTTCACGCCATTCTCCTGCCTCAGCCTCCTGAGTAGCTGGGACTACAGGCGCCCGCCACCACGCCCGGCTAATTTTTTGTATTTTAGTAGAGACAGGGTTTCACCATGTTAGCCAGAATGGTCTCGATCTCCTGACCTCATGATCCGCCTGCCTCGGCCTCCCAAAGTGCTGGGATTACAGGCATGAGCCACTGCGCCTGGCCTGATCTTTCTTACAGAGGTAAAAATCCGTATTTAGACAGATAATTAAACTAAGTTATCCCCGTAGTTTTGTATAACCTAGGGGTGGTTTTTAAAGTCCTAGCAAATTTTTAGTTACATATTTTATTTCCTCGTTTCTCCATTTCATGCTTCTGTCTTCTAAGAAGCATAATTTAATTCGTAAAAGTATCTGTTTATATATAACAATATCTATTTATAGGTTTTATAATACTTCAGTATATAAATAATTCACTTGAAAAGGATGTTGGCACCAAAATGGATGGTCTTTTTTAAAACTTAGAATTTATTTGGATTTGTTTGAAGTTAGGTTTCATGGGAGGAAATGCTCTCATTATTTGTATAACATTTTTTTGCAACCTATCTGTGAGAGGTCTGAGTGTTAAATAAAAAAAAATTCGGAGTTATTTGTATATATGCATGTATTTGTGTATGAAACAAATACCAGCAAATACTTATTGACTATACCAATCTCATACATACCCTTGCATTCTCCCATGGCTGTCTAACTTCAAACCTGTGCCTTACAATGCATATCCATCTTTGCTTTTAGGTACAGTTTCACCACGGTTTTTAATCATCAAAAAAACACAAACAGATAAACAATAAAAAAAAAGAGGGTTTTGTTTTTGTTTTGAGACAGAGTCTCACTCTGTCACCCAGGCTGGAGTGCAGTGGTACAATCTCAGCTCACTGCAACCTCTGCCTCCCGGGTTCAAGCGATTCTCCTGCCTCAGCCTCCTGAGTAGCTGGGACTACAGGCGCACCACCACGCCCGTCTAATTGTTGTATTCTTAGTAGAAATGGGGTTTTGCCACATTGGCCAGGCTGGTCTCGAACTCATGACCTCAGGTGATCCCCCTGCCTCGCCTCCCAGAGTGCTGGGATTACAGGTGTGAGCCACTGCACCTGGTGCCCAGTGAGGTTCTTTATAAGAACAAAACTGAATGTAAACAGTTACGGGACCAGATGCGGTGGCTCATGCCTGTAATTCCAACACTTTGGGAGGCCAAGATGGGAGCATGACTTGATCTCAGGAGTTTGGGACCAGCCTGGGCAACAAAGTGAGATCCCGTCTCTATAAAAAAAAAAAAAAAAAAAAAAAAAAAGCACCATAAGCGAAATAAAATGATGATTCAAAGACTATTTTGCATTCAAAACTAATTTCTAATCAATCCTTATCAGGTAATTATTCTTTCTGCTTCTTCAATCTGCTAAATACAAGATGTCAAAAGTGAGTAGTTTCAAATGTTTGATTCTGCTTTTGGTAGATCGTAAACTTGAGTAGGTTACATAACCCCTTTAAGATTCTTTTCCATCATGTGTAAAACGTAAAATGCAACTAAATAGTTTATTGGAAATATGTTCTGAGAATGGTTTAATGTATAAACATATAGGGTATTTAACACCTAATTAGTGCTCAAAACCATTAAGAAACATATTGAGGTAGATAGGACATAAGCTATTCATTATTAGTTACAGTGAGTTTGCAGACTGAACTTTAAGCTTTCACGGAAATCTCCGGACTCTGATATGACCCTGGACCCCTGTGAGACCTCAGTCATCAGTACACTTTATGTGTAACAGGTGTGGCTGACACATCACACCGTATGGTACAGAATGTTTCCAACCACAGAGTTGCTGCTGCCTAAAATAACAGTTAACACCTACACTGGTCTTGGTGTGGCCGCAGGATGTTGGGGATAAAGTGGATGGGTAATGGGTAGAGGAAATGGCGTGTCTGGCGAAAACAGTAAGATGCTGTTGCAAACAATATTGGGAGTTGAAGCAATTTACCTGGGCAAAAAGCAGAAGACACAGCTTAAGGAGGAGAGAAGAGACCAGAACTGAGGTTTACAAGCATGGATGTGGCTGATCACTAGCACTGTAGCTGCGCTATTTTTGTTATTCCAGCAAGTGTAAACATAGGAAACATTACTAAACTTAGAGCTGTGACAATATTTACCTGTTAAGAGAAGAGGAGGGAATAGGAAAGAGTCAATCACAAAGAAAAAATAACATAAGAATCATAAAGCATTGACTGGACTGTAAATACTAGTCATATTTTCTATGAGATGATTTTTAACTGGAATTTTCTTCGGATAATGTGCTTAGAGATAGCGTGTTTTGTAGGTGGAAATAATGGGCAGGTAAAGACACACAAAAAAAACAACTTTAAGGTACCATGAAGAAAGATGTTAAATAAAACCATGTGAAAAATTATCCTGGTGACTATTGATACACAAAGGACTTATTTCATATTGGAAGCTTAAAGAAAGGAATGGTTTGTCCCTGAGTTATTTCAGAACCCTTATCATGACAGAATGGTGACTGTAACAGGAATTTTTCAGACTAGACATAAAGATGGTTCACATGAGAGGAAAAGAAAACTAGCATATGGCAAAAATAATTTCTAGAATAAACGTGACTTGACTGGCTGTGGTTTTACAGACTGTTTTTAAAAGAAGGAACCCATTTTTATCAGTCACACGACTCTCTACTTAAATTTCAATTTTAGCAACAACACAATCTAAAGGTAAGAATTTATTTTATAAATAGTAGTAAAGAATTTTGAAAATACAGAAATGATATTTTACTCCAGGTTAATATGCAACATTGCTAGCATGGTACACTGGCAACATCAGTAGAGCCAGATAATGAAGAGAAATCTCACAGGAATAGGGCATAGATTGTTCTTTTATATATAGTTCTCTCACCATACATCTAAAAACTTTTAAGTGGAAACTAAATGATGTGTAGGATACAGAGACCCTAATTTCTTTTTTTTTTGAGATGGAGTTTCGCTCTTGTTGCCCAGGCTGGAGTGCAATGGCACGATCTGGGCTCACCGCAACCTCCGCCTCCCAGGTTCAAGCAATTCTCCTGCCTCAGCCTCCTGAGTAGCTGGGATTACAGGCATGCACCACCATGCCCGGCTAATTTTGTATTTTTAGTAGAGACGGGATTTCTCCACGTTGAGGCTGGTCTCGAACTTCTGACCTCAGGTGATCTGCCCGCCTTGGCCTCCCAAAGTGCTGGGATTACAGGTGTGAGCCACTGTGCCTGGCCCAGAGACCCTAATTTCTTATCTGAAATTTGTGGAGAGAAATGTACTTTAAAATTTATTAGTTTTTATTTTAAAATATATGTGTTTATACATACATGAATTAACAGCCTCATTGGCATTTGATGATTCACGCTATAACCCAGCACATTAATATTTCCACAGCAAAATGTATAAAACAAAAACTATGATTAGCTAAGTTCAGGTTTTGGAACCAAACTAATGAAAACATTTTGTTTACAGAGATTTGGTTTTTAGCCTTATGGATAAAGAAC
The DNA here is from genome assembly GCF_000001405.40 of Homo sapiens. Lineage (NCBI taxonomy): Eukaryota > Metazoa > Chordata > Mammalia > Primates > Hominidae > Homo > Homo sapiens. The sequence goes on along the minus strand of NC_000012.12, from coordinate 10,284,432 downwards.
TGGGGACTTATCTCCTGTGTCAGTATGTGGATTAAATTATACTCAATTCTTTGTTCAAAACACCTATTCCCCACTTACTGAGCCCCTCCACATGTGGTTTCATACTGATAATTTATCTGAGTGATTTTACACACATGTTATAGTAAACCTATGTATAGATTGGACAAGGTAAGTTGAATCTCTTCACAGAATATTGTGTTAACAAGTCTTTTGTTGTTGTTGTTGTTGTTGTTACTGTTGTTTTTTGAGAGAGAGTTTTACTCTTGTCACCCAGGCTGGAGTGCACTGGTGCGATCTGGGCTCACTGCAACCTCCACCTCCCAGTTCAGGTGATTCTCCTGCCTCAGCCTCCTGAGTAGCTGGGATTACAAGCGCCCACCACCATGCCCAGCTATTTTTTTTTTTTTTTTTGTATTTTTAATAGAGATGAGATTTCACCATGTTGGCCAGGCTGGTCTTGAACTCCTGACCTCAGGTGATCCGCCCACCTCGGCCTCCCAAAGTGTTGGGATTACAGGCATGAGCCACCATGCCCAGCCAACAAGTCTTACTTTTGATTGAGTATGAGAAGTATCTCTCCCAAAATATAATGGTTCTATGCATTGATAGATTTGGTTTCTTCCACTCTGTCAGTCACTTTTCTCTTTGTCCTCCCTGGTTTTCCCCTGTTCTGCTTGTTTCTTGGGGTGCTGATTCCTGCAACACATGTTTCACCACCTCCATGGCTAACCAGCTTCCAGGTAGGTGGAGTCAATGGAGCCACTGGGTTGAGATTTGGAAGGTAGGAAGAGGGGAGAAGCCTGTTATTTTGTCTTTCCCCTCTCTGCTTCAGGCTTTATCTCCTGCAGTGACCACACATGCTATGTACTGGTCTGTTTTATTTAATTTTAATATTTATTTTATTGTGATAGGAATACACCATGAGATCTACTCTATTAACAAATTTTGAAATGTACAATACAATATTGTTAAGTCTAGGCACAATGTTGTACAGCAGATCTCTAGAGCTTACTCATTTTGCATTACTAAAACCTTATCCCCACTCTCCGCTCCTCACTGTCCCTGGTAACCACTATTCTGCTCCTTGCTTCTATGAATTAGACTATTTTAGATGCCTCATACAAATGGAATCGTGTTTTTGTCCTTCCCTCATGCTATGTTGTTTGAACTGCTGCCAAATAGCAACTGCCTCGTGGCAGGCACCAGCCACTGTGGTGCCAGTCCCCATCAAGTGGTTCTGGTAAACCCACCTGCTCCCTTGTTTCCTCTAGCTCTGGGAATAGTACCAGCTTTCTGTTTTGCCCATATCTGAATTGTCTTCTTTCTCCTGACGGACTCTTAGATTTCTCCAACTGTTTGATAAATACCCTCCTCTGTTAACTTCCCTCTATGTAATGACTTGGCACAGAATTTGTTTTCCTGCCTGGACATTCACGAATACATCAACCTACCTTGAATAATATCTACTACACTCTTGTTTCCCTGACAATTTCTCTGTCTTTATTTCTACCTATTTCTGCTCAGTCCCTCCCTCTGATCTAGCCCCAATGCTACTTCTCAAACAAACCATTCAGTCTTAGGTTGTAGAGACTGTCCACTATTTGAACAGTTCCTTGCTCAAATATTTTAGAGACTCTCTACGTCAAACGTCGCTCATTTGACATTACTCAAATGACACCTCCTTTGGAATGCCTTCCTTGAACACATCTTCTAACTTTGTACCCACATCATTATGTATGCTCTACAATATTTCTTACAAAAGAGAAAGAAGCCAAAGTTCAGTCACAGGACCAATAACTTAAAGCCAAAATATAAAGTGGCATACCATTTTAAACATAATACTATATATGAACTTTATAGTAATTATATTTTTATTTGCCAGATGTGGTGGCTCACACCTGTAATCCCAGCACTTTGGGAGGCTGAGGCAGGCGGATCATCTGAGGTCAGGAGTTCGAGATCAGCCTGACCAACATGGAGAAACCCCATCTCTACTAAAAATACAAAATTAGCCGGGCATGGTAGTGCATGCCTGTAATCCCAGCTACTCAGGAAGGCTGAAGCAAGAGAATCACTTGAAGCCGGGAGGCGGAGGTTGTGGTGAGCCGAGATCATGCCATTACACCCCAGCCTGGGCAATAAGAGTGAAACTCAGTCTCAAAAAAAAAAAAAAATGTATGTATACATATGTGTATATGTTTTTATTTGATATTTGTAACTTTATGGAGAATGTATTTTATTATATAATGCTGACATTAAAAAATTATAGGCAATGTTAGAGAAATCAAATATTTATATTTTTATAAAAATAATGAATAGAAGAGTGACATATAACGATCAGAGTACTTTATTCTCAAATTCACAAAAATGATAAACCAGAAGATTAAAACTAGAAGAGATTAGTGGTTATTGGTAGTTTTAACAGAATTCAGATTAGAAGGCTACATTTGTATGAGAATTATTGTTTCTCAAGACTACAGAATTCTATTTATGTAACCAAAACAATTAGAATAATTCAAATACTGCCGTGTAAGTTTATGACCAAGGTTTCCCTCAATTTCCCTCTAAATTGGATATATAGTCTTGCTCTTCACCTGCTTCCCCGGAGTCTCCAATTATGTAAGTAATTCTCAGATAATCGTCTCTTAGTCATGTTCAGTCACGGGAATGTGTCATTTCAGGAATTCAAATTCCTAAATCTATATAATAACAAAATTTTTGAATTTTATGCAAAGCTAAAATTTTTCTTTTTCCTTTGGCTCCAACTGAACTCAGATGAGAAAATCAGCACAGAAAAAGGTAGTGTAGATGATTCCTCTCTTTGTCTCGGGAGAGAATCTCAGGGGGTTCTTGGATACATCCCTGCGGAGCCCTGCAACTACAACTCCTGACATGGGCAATGAACCTGCACTTGTGTGTTGTGTGGTTTTGATTCTTCCTCACCCTCAAACCAGGTGTCTCATATTTTCTGTTAGAGCGCTATATCCCACCTATCACTCTTCATGCATGGCAGCTGTCTTAGTATACTATTGCTGCTGTAACAAACAAGCACAAATTTAGTAAGAAAAACAACAAAAATTATTCTCTTACAGTTTTAGAGGGTTGGAGTCTGAAAAGTCTTATGGAGCTAATATCAAGGTTACAGCAGGGCTGAATCTGTTCCTCTCCTCATCCAGCTTCTCATGTCTGCCAGCGTTCCCTCACTTGTGGTTTTGTCTTTCCAGCTTCTGTTCCCATGATTGCACTGCCTCCTCCTTTTCTGTACTCAAATCTCCCTCTGCATCCCTTTTATAAGGATACTTGGGGTTACATTTTAAGCTGACTTTGATAATCCAAAATAATCCTTCAATCTCAAGATCCTCAATCTCTTCTCACTTCTCCTAAGTATCTCTCGCCCTATAAGGTAGCATTCACAGCTTCCAATGATTATGACCTGGATATACTTGGAGCCATTATTCAGCCTACTATAGAATCTAGGATGAGTCCAGGTTATTCCCTGCTCTCATCTGGACCCCTTTTACCTACAAGAAACATTCACACATAGTTTATTATATGGATGTGCAACGGGTTCCCAGTGGATCTTTCACAACTCTACCACCACAGGCTTCTGGGGGCAGGATTCTCAACACCTGGTTTTCAAACCACACCTCACCTCCATTCTCCATGCTTTTTTGCTGCATTCTGTGCAGCTGAGCTCTGACAACTGTATCACACAGTCTTCCTCACCCTCTGGCTTCTGTCTGTTTTCAACCATTGGAAAGCATTGGTAGGAGAAGAGAAGCTGGGATGAGAAAGTGGAAAAATTATATAATTCTCTAGCTCCTTCCTCATTTTCAGGTCCTGGAAATGGCTAGAATCTGTCCTGAACTCTTGGCATCTTCTGATACTCAACGATGGAGCACGGCGTGAACATCATCCTGCTGCCCTACACAATATTGTCTAGACTATGGGTAGCTAAAAAATCTATTTGCAATTAATAATAAAGAAATAAAAACAAAGTTCTGATTAAGTATTCTGCTGTATATTTTCCTAGAATATTGGCTACTTAAATGTTTTCCATATAATTATTAAATAAATATTTATTCTGAAGCGGTCCATCTCTATTCTGATCTAGCCCATGTTGAATTTTTTCTTCAGAAAGGAAAAGAGATTTTTCTCCTGCATTTAATCCAGTGATTATTTTTCATTTAAACATCAGGCATCTGGTTAATACACTCAAGGTGTGCAAAAAGTGTGGCTGACACATCATTTCACTGTACGTTCCTCTGTACAGAACACTTCCAACCACAGTGTTGCTAGCCCTGGAAAGAACATTTAGCACCTAGACCACCGATGTTATTGTAACGATTGTTGGTAATTCTAACTTGTGTCATGGGAAAGGAGAAAGACATTTCTGATGAAAAATAATAAAATTCTACTGCAAGAGATATTGAAAGTCAAATCTGTGTATCTGGCCCAGAAGCAGTAGGTTTTACTTAACAGAGGAGAAGGAAATCAAAACTGAGATTTGCAAGCCTGGATGTGGTGACCACTATTAACTATCACATTAGTGTCATTATCATTTGGACAAGTAGGACCACAGGTAACAACATTAGCTTCAGAATCATAAAAGGATTTTTTGTTGGAAGAGGAAAGAGGGAGGAATGTAGAGACAGATAATAATGTGAAATAACATGAGGCAGGAAAAATTTTGATGTAATGAGAATAAGAAATAATATAAGGATGGAAAAATTCTTGATACAAGTTATACATATGATTATGTAAGTATTATAATCATGTTCTGAACATGCATTCTTTGAGATTTTGTCTCAATTGGATGTATTTAGGTAACGTAATTTGTAAACAGAAATAATGGGCAAGTGCATGCATATAAAGAAAACCCCTGAATACCTGTCATACTGCCTATTTATATAAATCAGAATCCTTTACAATCTTGAACTCATTCTGCTTAGAAAAATAAAATGTGATTTGATAATAAGATTTCCAGAAAACACATTCAGGCATTTATACTAGAGAAACAGGAAGCTAGACCATTTTAAAAATCATTTTTCTGAAACTGTAAGTGACTAAAACAGCCATGCATATGACACAGCCACATAAAAGAATGAGATCATGTCTTTTGCAGCAACATGGATGAAGCTGGAGGACATTATCCTAAGCAAACTAACACAGAAACAGAAAACCAAATACTGCATGTTCTCACTTATAAGTGGGAGCTAAACATTGAATACATGTGGACACAAAGAAGAGAACAATAGAAACCAGGACCTGCTTGAGGGTGGAGAGTAGAAGGAGGGTGAGGATCAAAAAACTACCTGTTGGGTAGTATGCTTATTGCCTGGGTAATGAAATAACCTGTAAACCAAATCCCCAGAATACTCAATTTACCCATGTAGCAAATCTCCACAGGTACCCCCTAAACCTAAAATTAAAAAAAAAAAAAAACTGATGCTAACATGTTTTTACAAAAAAAAAAAAAAAGAATTGTAAAACACAATGAAAATAGCATACATATCTGAGAAGCCATTTATCATATTTAACATTCCCTTTAAGAAAGAGTATGCCTCTGTGCAAATTTGCTATATCTAATTCTCCCAGGGAAGAAAGTTGTTCATACAGGAAAAAACAAAACAAAACAAAACAAAAACAGCCATGATTTGCATTACATGTTAAAAGAAGTAACATTTTCTTAGCAATCAGTAGCAAATAACTTTACTTAAGTGGCAGTTTTCGGAAGGATATAATTTAAAACTAAGGACTTACTTTGCAAATAGCAGTAAGTGTTTTTAAATCAATGGTTACCATTAAACACAGCTTATATAGCATACACAAGTTAAGCAATAGGTCAGAAAATAAATAGGAATCAAGACAGCACTAGTTCAGGGACTGTTCTTGAATTCATAATATGTGGACCAAGAAGAGATGAGGAAGGTAGAGTCAGAAATTGCTTTTGTGTAATTTTGAGGAGGCCATACCAAAGCTTAACAATACCAGATGCCTACAGATGGTAGGGAGCATGGAAGTCCACCAAATACTTTAAATATTAGCCTTATAAGTGGCTTTTTTGATAAGACAGGCACCATTTTCAGACTGTAAATGGCTTGGAAACCTGAAAACCTGACATGGATTATTTTCACAGGTCAAATGGAATGGCTTGAGTTGGCTGATAAGACTGGAATAGTAATACTATCACCTAGGAAAGCGCACACAGAGTGAGGCTCAACGGACAGCTACAAGAGAGGGTCAAATATCCATTGTAGTTAATCTGCCAAAAGTGAGTAGGGGCAATACCCTGTGCAATGTGGTCTCCTCCTCCAGAAAACAATAGGATCATCTTAGGCAGGGGCCACAAGTCTGGCATGCAGTGGAAGCCTCTGCATAAGAAACAGTCCTTCACTCTCTGCCAGTCTATGATGGTCGCTGTGTTGTCATGTCCAGAATAACGATAAATCCAGGCAGCACTGGTAGAGATCAAATAGTGCACAGACTTTAAACCTTTCACAAAATTTAACCTGAAAGGAATCACAGATGTACATGTAAAATACAGATGTCCACATTCTCTGATGAGACCAGTTGGAATTAAGCTGTTGATTGAGTCTGCACTAACTGATCAATATTTTCTGTAATCTAAAACTTTTCTAAAACATAAAGTCTACTAATTTTTAAAAATCAGAGGGACTAATTGAAGTAATATCATAAAATAAATAAAAATTATAATTTCTAAATAGTATATCACAGTTAAGATTGTATTCAAATACATTTTAATTGTGATTCTCAGAATCACCTGTGAAATATTTTTATACAATTTTAGAAAAGAAATAAGTGAAGTAAAAAAATCATTTTTATATAGGCTGTTTGCATATCATAACATAATCAATCAATGGCAGAACTGAGTCCCAAATTCACAAATTCAGCTTCCAAATTCTACTCTCCTTCATTCTTTTCCACCATGAAGTGGGAAAATAATAATAAACTCAGTAAAAAAACACCACCACCTATCCAAAACCAAAATAGCAATTGATTTATTTAGGGACTAAGTTCTCCCCTATAATAAAAATTAAAATGACTATCAAATAGGGAGTTAATAACATTTGTTTATATTTTTCCCTTTTCCGCTTCCTCCTTGCTTTTCTTAGCTCAGTGAATGTATTAAAGGTCTAAATATTTCATGCAATTAGAATCAGTAGTGGGGATACAGTTAAATGGGTGAGTCTCAGTGAGTCTACAGTTCCATGTACCCTGCATGTTTGAGATAGATCAGAAACCCACCTCTACCTTTGGAATATCAAATATCTAAAAAAAAAAAAAAAAAAAAAAACTCTGTGAGGCCAACATTTGCCTTTGTATTTATTTCATTCATTCTGCTTAATTTCTTCTTCAGGCTTGACTTTTATTTTCTCATTTGTTGCTACTGCCATGCCCTAACCACACAAAACTAGACTTAATGGTGAGTCATCTGAATGATTTTGTTTCCACTTATTTCTTATTTTCCATTACATACGCCTAATTAACTGTGGCATGCAGCTAAATTAAATTTCATCATCTCTTGTCACTAAGTATGCAGAAAAGAATAATTAAAATTTTTAAAAAGAAACTTCATCTTCTCTTTTTCTGTGTCCAGATTGCATATTCTGAGGATAGAGGTCAAACTTCCTGGTGCTAATTCATATCAGGCTCTCAAATTTCACCTTGATTATCACTGGAAATTGACCATTATTTTACTTTTTTTTTTTTTTTGTCAAATTTTATGGTGGCACATGCCTGTAATCCCAGCTACTCGGGAGGCTGAGGCAGGAGAATCGCTTGAACCTGGGACGGGGAGGTTGTGGTGAGCAGAGATCATGCCATTGCACTCCAGCCTGGGCAACAAGAGCGAAACTCCGATTCAAAAGAAAAAAAGAAAAAGAAAAATTTCTTATTCTCAATACCAAGATATTTTGTTGTTATTTTCAAATTTTGATCACTGCCCTTAAACCATCTCTCTTACAGGAAGTGAGCAAAGGCCAAAAGGATAAAGATACTAAAAGGCTGTGATAAACAGAAAATGTCAAAGGCTACCCTAGAGAAATTTATAAACATTTATACCCATATACCGACCTAGTCACTAAATATCCAAACAAACAAAGCACAAGAACAGAAAACATATTATAATTTTAAATATAGATTACAAGTGTAGTGAGGTGATAATTTAAGAAATACAGAGAACATCCAAGGACTATTATTTATAATAGTCCTGAAAAGAAAGCAATTAAATGTCCATCAAAGGTAGAGTAAGTAAACTGATTGAGAGTATATCATACAAAGAAATTACATACACAAGTAAACTACAGCTGTCCACAGCAACACAGATAACTCTAATAAATACAGAATAAAACAATGCAAAAAAAGTATAGTTTCATTCTATTCACACAAATATAATTAAAATAAGCAAAAAAGCTACTAAGAATATGTGCATAAGAAGCAAGAAAATCAGAAGAATGATTAATTCTAGGAGGAAGCATTGTAATAAGGAGGATCAATGCAGGAAACACTCTGGGGTGTGGTAATATCTATCTTTACTTAACTTTTATCATTATTCATTAATCTCTACATATATGTTTTCTGTCCTTTCCTGTATGTTTGTCATATTTCAGAGGGAAAAATATTAATTGATTTATCTAATTGGTAATTTTTATTATCATAAAAGTTTATCTTAAAAAGAGTGGAGGATATACAAACGCAGTTTTGCATATTATCTCACTTGATATTAGAGGTATGACTAAAATAACATTCCATTGTAACTGTGAACTTTGAATACCTGGTTTCTCAAGTAACTCAACAATTCCCGCAACACCTAACCCTAACTACATGCTTCGGATAAGGTAAACTTAAACTAAATCAGCTTCCCCCGATGGTTGAAAGAACATTTTCTTCCTGAAATAGTATCTCTGGAGCCAGACATCATGTGGATTTGCAGGTTGCATTAACACCACCACCGGTTAAAAAGATCAGCAGGTCAAGATTTCATTTTAAAATAGTCTAAATTAGTAATATTTCTTGTCACCTAGCAGGAGAAAATACAAACTTAATTTGTAATGTTCTCTAGAACAACCCATTTCATCCCAAGCTTAATGATTTACCATGAATAAATTAGTGAGAAAGATGAGACACTCAGAGCTAGAAACAAATAAAAAACTAAGCACACAAGCAAAGTACCCGAAAAAGAACCAGTAGGAACAAAAAAGACAGAAGATACAAAATAACGGCTAGGCACGGTGGCTCACGCCTATAATCTCAGCATTTTGGGAGGCTGAGGCAGGCAGATCACCTGAGTTCAGGAGTTGGAGACCAGCCTGACCAACATGGTGAAACCCCATCTCTACTAAAAATACAAAAATTAGCTGGGTGTGGTGGCAAACGCCTGTAATCCCAGCTACTCAGGAGGCTGAGGCAGAGAATCGCTTGAACCTGGGAGGTGGAGGTTGCAGTGAGTCGAGATCACACCATTGCACTCCAGCCTGGGTGACAGAGCAACACTCCTTCTCCAAAAAAGAAAAAGATACAAAACAACCATTACCTCAATAATCAGACACATGGTATAAATTAATTATATTTACCATGGTTAAGGGAACATAAGACAAATTTGGAAATGTGTTTAGAAAACAAAAAACTCTTTAAAATACATAAATTTATGGAGTTGTAAAAGAACTAAATATAATTTTTTGAAAGACAAAATAATATATTGGATATATTTAATGTCTACTTAGACACGGATGAAGAGAGAATTAATGAATTGAATGACATTTCTGAAGTCATTTTTCAAAACACAGCCCATAGAGACAAAGAGACAGCATGAAAAAGAAATTAAACATATGGCAGTTTAGACAAACGCCTCCAGGTAGCACAATTTAATCTAATTGTGTTAAAGGGTTATATTAAAATTGTGATATACTACTGTTGAATTGAAACTTTGATTATTATTAAAAGACCCATCTTCTTACTACATTTTTCCTTAAAGTGTGTTTTGTCAGATATCAGGAGCTATGATACTTTGGTTTGATTAATGTTTGCACTACATAAATGTTGATCTTCTATTTTCAACCATTTCACATCCTTATCTACTAGATGTAATTTTTGTAAATAACCTGTAACATTTAAAAAAAAATTTTTTTTTGAAATGGAGTTTCAATCTGTCACCCAGGCTGGAGTGCAATGGCGCGATCTCAGCTCACTACAACCTCTGCCTCCCGGGTTCAAGCGATTCTCCTGCCTCAGCCTCCTGAGTAGCTGGGATTAAAGGCATGCACCACCACCCCCAGCTAATTTTGTGTTTTGTAGAGACGAGATTTCACCACATTGGTCAGGCTGGTCTCGAACTCCTGACCTCAGATGATCCACTCACCTTGGCCTCCCAAAGTGCTGGGATTACAAGCATGAGCCACCATGCCTGGCCAACATTTAAAAATTTTTAAGAACCCATTGTGATAATTTTTAATTGTTTTTCCTGGAACATTTACAGAGTTTACCTTTACTGTTGATATGTCTGATTTTTTATAATTTACATAAATTTATGCTTTCTACTTGTCCTTGCCTGATCTTACATCTCTCCCCCACTCCACCCACCCTTATAACTTCTTTTGAATGTACGTATTTTTCTCAATCTATTTTTTCTTCTGTAATTTTTGAAATTATACTTTCATCATTTTACTACTCACTCTAGAATTTAATCCATGTATATATGAATTATTAATATCTGAAGTTGATCATCATCTTTGCACTCTTCCAAAACAACTTAAGACCCAACAATGCTCCATAGTCTGCCAATGAAATTATATGCTTTTGTTATGAAGTTTATTTCTATCCATCAAAGGAGAGGGCAGTTGACCTGTGGTTACTGTGGTGTGTATGTCTCAGAGCATACATTAGACTATAAAAGAAATTTCACATATGCACACTTTAGTCCTTTCAATGATAAAAACAAATTATGCTCATCAGAAACAGTAACACAAAAATAGAAAACCACATATGAAAAATACAAATTTAACAAGTTAATGACCAAAATATTATTACATTACAATCTTTTCAGGTCAGACATATAATCTTATTCTATTACAAACACACATATAATTATAGAATTCTTTCTACCAAAATATAAAGTTATACTATGTAATACTTTTACTTTTTTCCACTTAATGTATCATGGAAAATTATCCACATAAATACCTGAAAAGCTATCTCATCTATGTTTAATGACTGTAAAAATTTTATTATAGAAATAAGTACTAATTGTTTTCATTATTTAATTTGACAGTTATTTTACTTTTTAAAGTGAAACATCCATTGGTCATTTGAAAAATTAGATAAAGCTGTGAATAATTATGTTAGAGATTATATCGAGGGAATAGGGTTGTATGTTGTGTTCAACTGAATCATCTACAATGAGCATAAATATTTACAATCACAAAAAAGGTATTTCTGAAAATCCGTATCTGTTACAATCATTCAAATGCAATGTCATTTATTTATATTACGTTATTTAGTCTATTGTTTTCTAATTTTAAAAAAATAGCAATTAAGGCAAAGAGGAAATCTTTATGGTTAATATTTAAAATTTTATCTTTAGAAATAAAAAAGTGGTTCATCATACATAAAAGAAAAAACAAATTTAATTTGTAAGAGTACATTATCTTTAATTTTCTTAAGTCAAAAACATAGTTTACATATTAGCCTTACTGTAAACATCCTCTCTGATGTCGCAATATTAAGACTTCTGTTGCCTTGGTCCCATCTCATTCTGACCCTGTGCTCATTGGCCCTTACAATTTAATCTGAACAATGGAACCAGAGACATCAGCACTGTCCAGGCTCTCTCATGATCTTCAACCTTCGCCAGTGGCATTTCATGAAATAAATACAGGTAAAACCAGATTCTGCTGTTATTGCTAAATCATCTCTTCTTTTGATGAGAAAATAATATTAAAAATAATGAGTTCATAACCAGGTACTTTTAGAGGAGGATTTGAAAATCTTTTGTCTTTATAAATGAGTTCAGGATTTTCTAATTAGAGGGGACTTAAATCTCAGAAAATTATAGTTTGGTAAGTAAATATTTACAGTTGCACTAGGTTTAATATTATTTAGGGTAATGTTATTGACTTTTGGTGAATGTCATTGACTTTTGGTGTCTATGAGTTCTGCTTCACTTGTACTGAAGGAATACATGCAATATGTTGTGGAAGGAATTTATTTAGTGAGAATTAGATAACGGCTTTTCATGCTCCTTTCATTAGGATTAAATTCAACTATAAGAGGAGGCAGAAATAGGCATTTAAATTAATTTGAATATTTCTACTCTTGCTTCTATTTCCAATTTTACTGCAGATGCTAATGCCCATTATATTCTTACAATTACTATTCTACACCACCGGTATTATTACTACTACTAAAGAAAAACACATATTGAGTGGTTAATATGTTTCAAACACTATGCTATCGACTTTATATACATTAACTTAATCTCTACAATAGATCTATAAACGATTATTGTATTGTTACCTGTATATTATAGATAAGGAACTAAGAATTTTTTTAAAAGAGTAAGAATTTACCACATTTCACAAAGCAAAAAAAAATGGAGCCAATTTTAAAACTTTCTTATGATTATAAAATGTGACAATTTGTATCACATATAATATGCCATTTAATTATATGTTTATGTATCATATAAGTATGTGTATATACATATAGCTGGATTATAGTTGTTGGATGCATTTTTTTAATCTTTTTTAGAGTTTTCTGAGGAAAGTATAATATACTCAGACCTCAAAGTTCATTGTTCTTCAAATATCCAGAACGGAAAAATAACTAAAACTTTGAAAACAAAAGGTAAAAACCATTTAAAACTCTAGATTCACTTTTTGGCTTAAATATTTTAATGAACTAATCACGAAAACAAATATTCTTGAGCTAATGTTTGAATCAGGATTGATTTCTTGTCCCTACACTTTTTAGTGGGTCATAGTAACCTACAGTGCTCTGTTAAGAGCAAATGAGAATGGTCAACCAGGCGGCGATGGCCACGATGACTTAGAATGGTGTACCAAGATCATGGAAAAAGAATGTTTCATACACAATTTCCTGGTTTTGATATTTTAATTTCGAAAAAGTTAAGTGTCTTTTTAGTGCTTCAGTATTTCTACAAATGGAGGATGTGAGATACCTCATGATGAACACGATGAAGTAACTTTTATCAAAACGGTCACAGAATACCTGTCTGGCCAACAGCAAAAGTTGGAGTTTTGTTCTTAACCTAGTTCTGTTACAAAGATGAAAGATATAGTTTAAAAAAAAAAAAAACAATTAGGGAGTGGAGGCGGCTGCGGTGGCTCACGCCTCTAATCCCAGTTCTTTGGGAGACCAAGGCAGGCGGATCACCTGAGGTCAGGAATTCGAGACCAGCCTGGCCAACATGGTGAAACCTCGTCTCTACTAAAAATACAAAAATTAGCCGGGCATGGTGGTATGCACCTGTAATCTCAGCTACTCAGGAGGCTGAGGCAGGAGAATCACTTGAAACTGGGAGGCAGAGGTTGCAATGAGCCAAGATCACGCCACTGCACTCCAGCCTGGGCGACAGAGCGAGACTCTGTCTCAAAAAAAAAAAAAAAATTACGGGAGGGAAATGAACTAAACCCACAGTAGGATTTCTGAAGTGCTCTTTTGTAGCCTTTGGAAGAGTTCTTTACTAGGGCAACTTGTTAGTTCATAAACAGCGCATATCTACATCAAAATATTAATATCTTCTCAGGATGCACCTAAATCTGCAAAATAATTTTTAGAATTACTCCCCACAAGCTGAGGTATATTTTCCCACAGCACGGTGCTCCCATGAACTTACATTTTAGACCAATTCAAGTGGGTTAAATATTCTTGGTGAAAGTTCTTTTCAGTATCAACTCCTGAATCTGGTTTCCATTGATGACATTAGCCAACTTCTCTCTTTTTGAACCGTGTCTCCATGGTGCATTGTTGCTGTGATATTTGCCTTCCTTTATTTAATCGCTCTGGTAATAGTTGCAGCTATGGTAGCTAAGAGTAAGTATTTTTTAGAGCAACTTCATTAATTTTTTAATTACTAAAATATAATTTTAAATAGCCTTTAAATTTGGTTCTAAGGTTTTCATCAAGATATTTTTCTCATTTGTTATTTTAATTATATACAAGTAATTTTATCAATTCAGTTTTTTGAGTTATCAGCAATGGCATAGGCCCCGGTGTCCTCATAAAAAGATGTTAGTGGATAGCTGAGTGGTTTGATAGAAACGGAAAATAGTACCAGTATTCTATATTTTATTATATTGTTATTGACATTAGATTCACAAGCTGTGAGATGTAATAAAATGTGAAAATGTTTATAGATGTTATTGGTTTGGCAGTTAAAAGTTAACTTATTATGGCATTAAGTTCAGATCATTTGAAAGAGCAATTTAATAGAGGCAATAGAAGATGGTAGGTACAGAATCATCAAAAAATGAAAGAATGATCAAGATATCAAACTGAATCTGCATATTGCTTGCACTAAATTTGACTTAATATTATGAAACATATAATCTTTCAAAATAATAAATTTATCAAATACTCCGTACTATAAGAAAACTAGAAACATGAAGAAGTTCTTTAAAAATAGAAAGTTAAGATGAATTTGATTCATTAAAAAAAGAAAAACAACCCAAAACATATGGAGGCATAGATAGATATAAACCAATTCTAATCTCAAAGTGAACTATTTTAGTATAGAAAAGAATATGTAACTTTTAGTAATAAACATAAACTTTTTTGAAATGTATGATTTCCTATGAAGATACGTACTATGATAAAATGACTTGGGAAAAAAGAGACAATTTGAATAAATATTACTACATACTGCAGACAAAATAAGTAAGCTAATCAAAGACGTGCCTCCAAATAGATACCTGGCTGATAATTTTTAAAGAATGAATTTGAGGCTGAGCGTGGTGGCTCACGCCTGCAATCCCAGCACTTTGGGAGGCTGAGGCAGGAAGATCATCTGAGGTCAGGAGTTTGAGACCAGTCTGGCCAACATGGTGAAACCTTGTCTCTACTAAAAATAGAAAAATTAGCTGGGCATGGTGGCAACCGCCTGTAATCCCAGCTACTCGGGAGGCTGAGGCAGGAGAATTGCTTGAACCTGGGAGGTGAAGGTTGCAGTGAGCCGAAATCACACCACTGCACTCCAGCCGGGGCGGCAAAGTGAGACTCCATCTCAAAAACAAAAAAAAAGGAAAGAAAGAACTCAAATATATCTTAATAACAGAAAATGACTACTAGATAAGCTGTTCAGTATCTACCAAAGGATGAAAGATTCTCACTCCACCCCACCTAAAATCAGTAAAATTAGTTTAGGATTATTTCTACATACAGGAAAATATTTTAGGACAATATTCCTCACAAACAGAAAAACAAAAAGAAAACAAAAGTCCTACATAAAAGAGCCAACATAATACATCACTGTTATAATGATAAAATTCTGGTTTAACTTGGGGATAAAAATTTGTTCACTTATCAAGAGATGTTTCAATAGGAGAAAAGGAAATAAATACAAACGTATTTAACTTGATTAAGAGTATTTATAAGAGCCTTCAGCAAATATTATCTTTCACAGTGAAACATTATAATCATTTTCAATCAGGAAGACAAGGATGACTGCTATAACTATTAGTATTCAACATTTTTTTGCATGTCTTCGGCAAGGAAAAGCCACAATGTAAGAAAACCTAGTTAGACATAATATAAACTGGAATTGAAATTAACGACTGAAATTATATGCAGATGACGCGCTTTCTTATCCAGATGGTTAAAAAAGAAACTACTGGAAAGAAACAATCAAAATAAAAAGAACAGTTCAATAAGTAAACTCAATCCAAAATTAAAATAGCTTTCTTATATACCAGCAAGATCTAATATCCAATTTCCAGGTCCACTTTTCAAGCCTCTTATTTGACATTTCTTCTTAGATATCTTTAAAAACGCCTGGTACATTACTTTCAAACACTTTATATTCCCAGCCCTGGTCCTTACTAGGATCAAGAAAAAAATCACATAAATCACATACTTTAATACTGTTAACTTACCCTGCATCTGTTGACCGAATGTCTAGTGAGGTGACGCTAGGGGCCACCTGTGTTATCTCACAGCCACTGAATATCTCGGCTCACTGAGCCAGTGTAATTCTCCACATCTGCACTCCTACCCATCTAATCTGAGGCAATAATCTCCCTCTCTGTCTACTCCATAAACCCCCAAGTGATATTACTATGCCTACCCTTGATTCTTTCTAATCGATTTCCAGAATTGTCTCCTCAAAATGCAAATTTTATAAACTCACTTACCTTTACTGATTAGTTTCTTAACACTGTGGATTCAGTGTAAATTTTAAAAGCCTGAACATGGTTTACAAGGCCCTTCCATACTTGGTCCACAGCTCCCTTCCCCAGCTAAAAGCACACCCTTTCTCCCGAACCAGCCTCCAGCCACAGTTGTTGTCTTTTAGTTCATTGAATGTAACGTGGTTAGTGTGACTGCATAACTATTGTGCAAACAAGGATAACTGTAAGAATGACAGTAGTTCATATTAACAATTACTCTGGGACAACAGGCATAAATCAGGATTTCTCTGGGAAAATTTGTGTGAATTGTAACTTTAGCCACGATCCTTCTAGCCATAGAGCATGTGCACAGACTCCTCTTCTTTCATTCTGTGACAGGTAAAAGGAGAAGTCTAATTATTCTCTTATAATTACGCCAAATTTCTCTGTTATGATATCTTATGTACCAGTTATTTGTAGCATTTTCCAGTCTCATGTGTATAATTATTTCTGTGATTATGTACTCAATGGCTGACTTCTGCTGGATTATCTTCATGAGAACAGAGCCTTTGTCTTTATTTGCTCAACATTTTATCTTCTGCTTTTGAATAGTATGTTGACACATTGTAAATATTTAGTGAAATTTTTTTATTAAATAAACTGATATACCTAATAATGTATATGGCATATATAGAAAAGACTATGATACTTTATTAAAAGGCATAAAGAAGGTCATTAGTGAAGACATTATAAATTGAATATATATTAAATGTACCTTGGTGGGAAGATGAACACTGAGATGATAATACTGTTCTAAATTCATTCTGCACTTATGCAATTTTAATGCAAGTGTATTTTCATGATAAATCAGTTCATTGTAAACTATACATAAAAGTAAAATTTTATGAGATTAATAAAATACATATTGAAATATATTAACACAAGAGGTAAGGATCTAGCCTTTCTAGAAATAAGGCTACTGGGAGGGGGGAGGGATAGCATTAGGAGATATACCTAATGTTAAATGACGAGTTAATGGGTGCAGCACACCAACATGGCACATGTATACATATGTAACAAACCTGCACGTTGTGCACATGTACCCTAAAACTTAAAGTATAATAAGAAAAAAAAGAAACCAAAGTGTAAAATCAAGAAAGTAATAAATGCTGGAATTATTATGTAACTCAAAAACAAAAAAAAGAAATAAGGCTGTAAGTGATTTCACATGACACTTTTATAAAGTAAATGTATCAAAATAAAAGAAAGGAACCTAATAATAAAGTCATATGCAAATATGTACAAATAATAT
This sequence comes from Homo sapiens, assembly GCF_000001405.40. NCBI lineage: Eukaryota > Metazoa > Chordata > Mammalia > Primates > Hominidae > Homo > Homo sapiens. Next base: position 10,266,756 of record NC_000012.12, on the reverse strand, counting down.
ATAATAAAGTCATATGCACCTGTGTACAAATAATGTGTGCATATATATGTGTGTACATATATATGTGTGTGCATATATATAAAATAAGATACAGTAGGCTCTTCAAAATGACAGATATCTAATAATAGGTATGAAAAAATAATTTTTTTAAGAATATAAAAACTAAAAAATAATTTCTAGGTAGATTACAGTGTTAAAAATAACAGACCAGGAAAAAAATAGTTGAAACAGTTTGAATACGTATTCAAATCCATATAATATTATCAAAAGTATAACAGTTAAATAAATACAAAGAATTTTTTTAAAAGATGAGCCAAGGATACATAAGTAGGAAAAATGTCCAACTTCAAAGGTAATCATGGAAATGAGAATGTATTTTAAAATACATCCTTTGCCCATTGAATTGACAAAAATAATACTTTTCCTCATAGGTCAATGTGTGGAGAATGGACCCTCTCATACAAATTTGATGTGTGAAACTGTCAAGTTATATTTTACTTATATTTTACATTTACTTATACTTTAAAAATAAGAAACAAGTATGTATGTACACATACAAACACATACACATGTATAAATTTACCTAATTAAGTCAGAAAGACATGCAATAATCTATTAATGTGGAAGCAAGGGTTAGTATGGAAGCAATCAATAATCTGTTGCTATGGAAACAAGAAAGAAGTAAATTTATTCATAAGCATGCAAAAAAAATTGAAAACGGTCAAAAAATATATATACACAGCATTTTACAGTGATCTTTTTTGCTGATATAAATAGTGTCAGAGGGACCATGAAGGGAGGTGTTCTTCACTTTTTACAGTATATATTCAGTTTCTTTTGTAAAGTAAATTCATGTGTTACTTGTTTAAAGGAGAAAATAATTGAAAAAGGAAATTATGCTCCATAAATGAAGAAGCTGTACAGGGACATGTTAGACACAAGGTCGTAAATATCAGATGTAGCGGTATGGCCTAGGCCTAAGAATCTTTTTCTTTTTTTTGAGAGGGATTCTCACTCTGTCACCCAGGCTACAGTGCAGTGGCATGATCTTGGCTCATTGCAACCTCTGCCTTCTGAGTTCAAGTGATTCTCCTGCCTCAGCCTCCCGAGTAGCTGGGCTTACAGGTGTGTGCCACCATGCCTGGCTAATTTTTGTATTTTTAATAGATACAGGGTTTCACCATTTTGGCCAGACTGGTCTCGAACTCCTGACTTCAGGTGATCCACCCGCATCGGCCTCCCAAAGTGCTGGGATTACAGGCGTGAGCCATCGCGCCCCACCGTATGGCCTAAGATTCTAATGGATACTCCTCTGTAATGATGTTGTGCTGTTTCAGCCCAGATATATATGTTGAAATATATTAACAAAAGAGGTAGGGATATAGCCTTTCTAGAAATAAAGCTGTGAGTAATTTCACATGATAAGTTTATGAAGTAAATATATCAAAACAAAAGGAAGGAGTCTAATAATAAAGTCATATGTCTCTGTGTACAAATAATGTGTGCATATATGTGTATGTCTATATATAATATGATAAAATAAGTTCCTCAAAATGACAGATATTTAACAATAGATTTTGAAAAAATTTTTTTAAAAGTAAAAAATAATTTCTAGGTAGATTATGGTGCTAAAAATAACAGGTAAAATATAAGTAAATATGTGTGTGTGTGTGTTTGCATGTATGTGTACATATATAGAGAGAGGGTATTATTCAGCCTTAAAAAAAGGAAATCTTGCCATTTTGAAAACATGGATGAACTTGGAAGACGTTATGCTTAGTGAAATAAGCCAGACACAGAAAGTATTGCATGATATCACTTATATGTGGAATCTTTTTTTTTAAGTTGAACTTAGAGAAACAGAGAGTAGAATGGTGGTTTCCAGAGTCTAGGCAGTAGAAGAAATGGAGAGATATCGGTCAAAGGATACAAACTTTCAGTTAAAAGACGAATAAAATCTAGAGATTTAATGTTCACCATGGTAATTATGGTTAACAATAATGTATTGGACTCTTGAAATTAGCTAAGAGAGTAGATCTTAAGTGTTCTCACTACACACACACACACACACACAGAAGGTAACTATGTGAGACGATGGACATATTAAGTTGCTTGTGGGAATTATTATGCAGGTCTACTTACACCAAAATACCACATTGTACACCCTAAATATACACAATTGTTGTCAGTCATACTTAAATAAAGCTGGAAAATAATACAATTCGATAAAATGAATTACCACTCCATATAGAAGACTATTTTATTGCTAGAGCGAAGCTGTGTTTTGTAGCAACTGGACATACTACTTTGATAATTACACCTTGGTAATGTTTGAGAACACTAGCATAGTTTAAGTGTAGTGAATACTTACTTTTAAATGAAATAAAATATAAATTGGTAAAATATCCTGATAAACAGAAGCTTTTCCCTCTGTTTTACTATTATCAAACTTTGTCCTAGTAACCAAAAGGGAGGAGAGAAGCAGTTGAACCATTAGAAGTAGTTCCCTGCATCAAATAAGCTAATCCTATCTGTGAATTACCAATTAGAAGGGAAACCTTCAGTGGATAATAATGGTTTAGCATAAATGAACCAGAAATCATCAAATATATGACAGAAATAGAGGAGGAAATGCTAAATAAACAAGAATATTCTTGGGTAGAAAAATAATTCATGCATGGCTTGCTTATGCAGTGATGACTTAAGACTTAGCTTGATTATTTGGTTTCTCATTAGTTCATTTTGAAAAAGATAGGGAAGTGGTTGTTTCACGTTCAACTAAGATCATGTCCATGACTAGCCACATCCATCCTATGAGAATATATTTAAAATACGGAATAACCCAATTTGGGAACAAAATGGAAAATTGCAAATTTGAGCAAATGGAAAACTAGTGACAATATTTTCTTCTTTTTCCATTAAATCATCATAAGAAAAATACTCAACTTCAATACTCTGGGTCTGGCGAGGGAACGACTCAGCAATACTTATGACATTTATTTCCATGAGTCTAGCAATGCATCTGGTACTCAAGCTGGAATAACATGGTTCAGATAACTTAAAATCATGGGGACATGAGTTTGTACAGGACTAAACTGAAACTTTGTGGGTAAAATATTATAAGATTTTGTTATTGGACAGGGATCAGATCTGATCTCAGTAAAGCAGAAATGCAGACAGATTTCTTCTACAATTCATGTCAAGTCTCCCAAATCTTTTATACGTGACCACGGACCATTAAGACTAAAATTAATTCAAATTAGGGATATTCATTCTTATTTTAAAAATTCAAATTGTGCCATCTCTAGTGCCAGATTCATAAAAATATTATAGAACACATCAATGCAAAATCATGTAGTTTAAAGATTTCATATATGAAGGTAGTTAAAAATATAACTGGTTAGAAAAAGTACAATTGTGTAAATGGTACAATTTTGTATAATTTTAATGTTAATGAATTAGAATTTTAGCATATAAATAGTTCATAGCCTCTGAAGATGATTGAAAGTGTACCATTATTCAAGGTATGCTTTGGGGGTGTTTACTCTGGAGGCAATTTGTGGAAAATACTGGAAAGTGAAAATTAGAGAGAGTTTGTATAATATTAAAATAGCTCAGCATAAAAATAATGACAATCTGAGTAGGAAAAAGCTATGTTACTGTGAAGAAGGAAACAGATATATGAAGCATTGTCGTGATAAACAGTACTTTGTGACTGATTAGACGTACACTACGTCTAAGGTGTTTGCTGCAAAAATAGCATAGGTTGTTTTTTCCTGACTGCCTGGGTTAACTAACTGCTTAGAATAACATCAATCATATATACAAACATGTGCTTATTAAATCACCAGTCATTGACTCATAAATATATTTCATAAGTAAAAGTTCATACCTTAATATAAATTGCAAATGATAATTTACAATTTGTTCTTCATTCAATTAAAACAATGAATGCATAAATTGTGTGTAAGAAATTTTGGATATCTGTTTTATTTGCCATCCCAAATGTTTGAAAATGATAATAGTATTCTCTTTTGCAAATATTGTGAATTTCAGTTCATTGTCTTAAAGAGATCCTGAATAAGGCAACCATTGAGACTGCACATTGCAACATAATATCACAAAACAAAGGTAAGTATTGGTTTACAATGGGAATGTTGGTATCTATCACACATAAGCTGTTTAAATCTAGATGTATTTTGTAAATATATGTAAATATGTATTAGGTAAATATTCACTTTGTAAATATAAGACCAAAGTTAGTTAACAATGGTGTACTTGTCAGAAAAACTCTCGTATATCAGGACTTCTCTTGAAGTTAGGGAGGACAATTGAAAACAATAATGCAAAAATTATAATTCACTGAATGACTGTAGGGGACAAAGTTATCTTCTAGCATGTTCTTTTTGTTTGTCAAGGTAATTGGTCTTCCTTTGAAGAAAACTGACATTTTATATCTACTGAAAATAAAATCTTGGCATCAAGGAAATTTGTTCTGAAGCATTGAGCTCCAGTCCCATCAAGACCAATAATGAAGAATTGGAAGTGTATAATGTGGTATTCATTCTTACATTTTCTTACACATCAGATAATTATCAATAGAGAATTTTTAACATATTGTGTTCACTTAAGCATGCTAAACTCAACATTTTATAAATTGGAGACATCTCAATCAAACTCAAAAGATTAAAATATGACCTTAAAATGATTTTAGATTTTAAATATATTTGCATACAGAAGTAAATGCAAATATAAGAAATTTCAAATGTTGGCTAACAATGGGGGAAAACATCACATAGACACAGAAACTAAAGGGAATCTGGTCACAAGTGGCAACTAAAAAAGAGCTAATATTTGTTGATTGCTTCAAATATTCCTGGTACTACATCAATGATTGTGGGCATTAACTCACGTGTTTTCCCATTAATCTTATGATACAAGTATTACCACTGCCATTGTTGTATTAATAAGAAAACCAAGACCCAGAGAGAATGATACTTTTTTTCTGGGTATCAGAAATAGTAAGAATTAGAAGCTTAAACTATGATTTAAGCTAAAAGAGTCTAACTCTAAAGATCAGGAACATAGTCATTATGCTTTGCTGATCCCAGAACAAAAAATCATAATGAATCAAATTGTAAGAATATTGCTTCTTTGTAAATAGTCAGAGCTGCTTATACAAGCAGATTTACGTTTTTCTACCCTGCATGTATCTTCTAAAGAGGAACAGTGAGAAAAAGAATAATAGCTCTTCATAAGGACTATTTTGATACTAATTATTGTTTGGAATGTGAATAAAAGACATTAACAGCAGTAATGTTTCCCGCAGTAGATCCTAGCAAGCCTAAAGAATATAGATGTCTTTTATATTTTAGTTCTCCTCTACTATGTGACTATTACTTCTATATTATTTCTTCTTTTTCATTGTATTGAAGTTCTGTTATTGCCTTTAATAAAGACTTCAATTCAGATCAATGATGGTAAATTTATGGCATATATGCTGAAAATTTCCATACAGTATTCTTAGAAGGTGCTCTTCATAATTGCAACATCCTTCCCTACTGAGCCAGACTTCACTTTGAATAACTTTCAACAGAGCACACCAGAAAGTCTCTTCCAATTGCATTACTCTCATCTCATCTACATACGGTGCTTCAAAGTGAACTTGTATATACACATCAGCAATGAGCTCTTTCAGCAAGAGCAAACAAAAAATGCACATAAAGAGCAATGAATTTGCTAAGGCAATTGCTCCTAATGGTCTATTACCTCAAAAAAATTTTTTTTTTTTGGTTTTTTGTTGTTGTTGTTTTTTGTGATGGAGTCTCACTCTGTGTCCCAGGCTGGAGTGCAGTAGCATGATCTCAGCTCACTGCAAGCTCCACCTCCCGGGTTCATGCCATTCTCCTGCCTCAGCCTCCCGAGTAGCTGGGACTACAGGTGCCCACCACCACACCCGGCTAATTTTTTTGTATTTTTTAGTAGAGACGGGGTTTCACCATATTAGCCAGGAAGGTCTCGATCTCCTGACCTTGTGATCTGCCCACCTCGGCCTCCCAAAGTGCTCGGATTACAGGCGTGAGCCACCACGCCCAGCCCAATTTTTTTTTGTATTTTTAGTAGAGACGGGGTTTCATCATGTTGGTCAGGCTGGTCTTGAATTCCTGACCTCGTGACCCACCCACCTCGGCCTCCCAAAGTGCTGGGATTACAAGCGTGAGCCACTGTGCCTGGCCTAAAATTTGTTTTTATAAATCACAATTTCCCCATAACCTAGAGTAGAAGAGATAATATCTGAATTTTCCACAACTGATAGAAAATATCAAACTACATACTATCAAAGGCTTATGAACTCCAGCAGGGTGAATAAAATGACAAGTTAGGTGTATCATATATAACTGTTGAAAAAAAAAGACAAACAGAAACTTACAGGTAGGAAGAGAAGCAAAGTTTACTTTCAAAGGAGCAACAATTATAATGGAAGCTAACCTACAAAAAGAAAAAGAAAATGAAGGCTATATGATTATTGATTGACAACAACTGCCATACTAAAATTCTATCCTCAGAGGCAATCATCTCATCAGATGGGAATGATATGAGCATTTAGTTATACAGATGGGAATGATATGAGCATTTAGTTATACAGATGGGAATGATATGAGCATCTAGTTATACTCCATAGGTAAAAGAAAGACCATTTAAGTAGAGCAAAAACAATTTATTATATCTTTATATCTGTATTAAGAAAGTACACTAGAAGAATATCTTTTTTTTGTTTTGTTTGTTTTGTTTTGATGGAGTCTCACTCTGTCGCCCAGGCTAGAGTGCAGTAGCATGAATTTGGCTCACTGCAACCTCCACCTCCTGGGTTCAAGCAAGTCTCCTGCCTCAGCCTCCCAAGTATCTGGGATTACAGGCATGTGCCAAAACGCCTGGCTAATTTTTGTATTTCTAGTAAAGACAGGGTTTCACCATGTTGGCCAGGCTGATCTCAAACTCCCAACTTCACGTGATCCGTCTGCCTCAACCTCCCAAAGTGCTGGGATTACAGGCTTGAGCCACCATGCCCAGCCCACAATATTCTTTGGGTTTAAGAAAATGATCTCAGATGAGACCTCAAAGACTCAGGATAAAAGACAATGAAATAGGTAAATACAGATGTAAGTCTAAATGAATAGCAATTATATGAAACCATAAATAATGTCCACTACTTTAATTGCATAAAACTAAAGTTTACTACAGTACATACACTTACATTAAAGAGTTGCATTTTAACTCAAAAGAATAATAAATAGAACTAAAAAGCTCTAAATTTCTTATAATGGCTAGGAAAATGTAAAGTAACTACATATATTGGACATTAATAAGTCAAGGATGAATATTATGACTTTCAGAAAATGACCAAAATAATAACAAAATATTCTACATAACTATGATGATGATGGAGGAATGCATCTTAAAAATGGAACAACAATAATGTGATGGAGTAATTGTCAATCACTAGAACAATATTTAATTAAGCCAATAAGAAGAATTGCATATTAGAATAATTCTTAGAATTTTACACTGAAGGCTGTGGGCATTCTAGCCAGAACTATCTACTGTGTCTTTAGTGGATATTCAGGAGGCCATGGGTTACTCAGGGTGGATATTACAGAACAGAATAAATGCTTTTGATCTCAAAAGTAGAAGCATCCCCAGGTACCTCGGAATCACAGTTTCCTAGTGTTTCTCTTTCCCATCAACTAAGTCTTGCTTGCAGACTAATTCTATTTATCTCTGCTCATTGCTCCTTTTGCTACAAATGATCTAAGTTTCTTTGGCTTCTTCGTAGGTCTTACAGATTCCCTTTTCCCAAGGTTTGGTGTATATATCTAGAGTTTGGGAAAGCATAAATATATATTTTTTCAACCTCTTTTTCTAATGAAAGATAGCCATATGCATTTGTGTGAAGAAGTCATATTAAGAGTCTCATTTTCATATTGTTCTTCACTCTCTATTTCTTTCAGTGACAAGTGAAGACATGAATTAAACATTCAAGGTCCATTTAGTTCTATTTCCTCCCCCTGAGACATATATGTCTTTGGAAGGACTACTTTGTCTGCAGGTAGACTTAGTGGTGGTTGATTCTTCCGATTTTTTCAATAGCTGAAATTTCAAACATACTCATTATCTAAATTTCTATTTTTCAATAGATCTTTTGTTCCAGGACTTTGTAGTCCACAGATATAATTCCTATGAACAACTTATCACTGGCTATTCTACTTTGGTTGAATTCCCAATTATTGTTCCCCCAAAGAGAATGCCTCCCATCCCAATGTGGCTGGAGAGAATATGTGAATATGTTCTACTTCCAAAGCCTATTATTCAGAAAGAGTAGTTTATATTGTGTTGGACACTGCCTAGTAATTAAATAATAAAAACACCACAAATGACTCATGATACAAGATAAAAAAATAGGGATAGTGCATGGTGCCACTGAAACTTGACAGAGCAGAAGGAGAGCTTGAGCTAAGCACAACTGAACACAGTATAAATTGTACTACAGAAAAGAAATTCTGTTTCCTTTGGACTCATATGTTTATAGAGGTATTGGGGTAAGTAAGGAAAAACTGACCTAAGCTAGATTCACCAGGTCATCAGCAGGCTAGCAAGTTTGTCTCCCTACAATTATACAAATACTCAGAATGTTAAGTAAAGTCAAGAAAATTTGGAATGTGACTCTCCAGGACATTAAGACACTCAAAAGTAGCCACATGTATGGGAAAACAGAAAAAGCCACACAAAGACCCAGGAAAATTCATGCTCCAAAAGACCTGAGAAGACCTTAAGCCTTTACCTAAAGCTAATCCCAAGACCTACAGTACACAGTTAATAGAGAATTGCCTTGGCAAAGAGCCAGTCTTCAAAGACTGGGAGAGGTAGCTGTTTTTTTCAAGTGCTCAATTTTCAAAAAAATCTCAAAGCATACGAAGAAACAGGAAAACACAACCCATTGGAAGAAACAAAATGAATCTTTAGAGACTGTTCATGAGGGAGCACAAATATCAGATCAGTAGACTAAGACTTCAAAATAACTGTACTAAATATGCTCAAAAAGTTAAAGAAAAAAACAGAAAAATAACTAAAGAAAAGTGGGTGATACATAGAACAAAATGAGAATATCAACAAATAGAAAATATTAATATAAAAATCAAACAAATTCTAGAGACGAAAAATTAAATAACAGAACTGAAAAATATACTGTTACTACAAAAAAAAAAAAAAAAAAAAAGAATCAGCTACCTGGAAAGTAAACCATTTGAAATTACTGAGTCAGAAGACAAGAAATTTTTTAAAAGAACAGAGAAAAGTGAACAGAGACTAAGAGATTTAATGGACGTTATTTAACAGACCAATATACCCATTATAAGTGTCATAGAATAGGAAAAGAAAGAGTATTTAAAAAATAAAGAAATTTGCCAAATTTGATTTTAAAAAAAAATCATGAATCTTACAAATCCAAAAAGCTTAATGAAGTCCAAGTAGCATAAATGAAAAGAGACCCACAATAAGATATAATCAAACTGGCAAAAGCCAAAGCCAAGCAGCAAATCTTAAAAAAAAAAAAAAAAAAAGAAAAGAAAAGAAAAAACAAAACAAAACAAGAAAATATTTGTCACAAACAAGGGCTCCTTGATAAAATTACCAGTGGAGTGTCCAGCAGAAGCTTTGGAGGCCACAAGGCAGAGAGGTGGTATATCTAAAGTTATGAATTAAAAAAAACTGTCAATCAAAATTTTAATATCTGGCAAAACCATCCTTAAAAAATGAGGGTGAAATTAAAGCATTTCAAGATAAAAAAAATCTGAGGCAGTTTATTGCACTAAACCTGCCCTAAGAGAAAAGCTAGAGAGAGTTCTATAGAGTAAAATGGAAGGATGCAAGACAATAATTCATCATCATCATATGAAGATATAAAGATCTCTGGTAAAGATAAATGCATCAGCGAAATATAATGCCCAACATCATTAAGATTTTGGTGTGTAATTTCACTTTTTATTTTTTATAACATTTAGAAGCAATTGAATAAATTAATAATAAATCTATGTTAATAGTTACAAAATAAATACAGATGTAATTTATGATATTGATATCATAAAGCAGAGGGGTGGAGCTGTGTAGGAGTAGAGTTTTAGTTTGCCACTGAAGTTGTTAGTATTGATTAAAAATAGGTTGTTAAAAATTTTAAATATTATAAATAATCTTTAAGTTAACACAAATTATAGAATATACACAAAAGGAAAGGAGAAGATAATGAAAATGTGTCTCTACAAAAAAAAAAAAAAAAACAGCTAATCACAAAGAAAGTCAATAATGGAAAAAATGAGTGGGAAAATAACTATAAGACACCCTGAAATAAATAGGAAAATGGAAAATATAAGTCCTTCCCCATCAGTAATTGCATTAAATATAAATGAATTAAAATTCCCAATTAAAAGGCATGGATGGGCAGAATTGATAGCAAAAACAGGATCTAATAAGAAGGTGTCTATAAAAGACTCACTTCAGACCTGAAAACACATATAAGTTGAAAATGAAAGAATGGAAAAGATATTCCAAGCAAAGAGTAACCAAAAGAAATTGGGATGGCCATACTAATGTCAGATAAAGTAAATGTATATATATAAAAGACAAAGAATATCATATATTAATAAAAGTGTCAATTCCTCAAGAATAAATCACAATTATAAACATATAGGCACTAAATATCAGAACCTTTAAATATATGAAACAAACTTTGACATAACTGAAGAGACAAATAGATAGCTCTCCAATAATACTTGGAGAATGTAATGCCTATGTCCAATAATGCAAAAAACAACCAGAACAATAAGAAAGTAGAGGACTTGAGCAACACTATGGACCAACTGGACCTAAAAGACATATGGAATATTCCAACCAACAGCAGCAGAATATACATTTTTTTGAAGTGCACATGGAGAATTCTTCAGGACAGACTATATGTTAGACCACAAAACTGGTCTTAATTAATTTTAAAAGAGTAAACTCATAGAAAGCATTATTTCCTATCACAATGGAATGAAACTAGAATTCAGTAACAGAAGTAAAACTAAAAATTTGAAAATTAGTTAGAATGTAAACAACACTTTTAAATAACCAATGAGTCAAAGAAAAAATACAAGGGAAATTAGAAAATATCTTAAAGCTAATGAAAATAAAAACACAACATACCAAAACATACGGGATGCAACAAAAGTAGTGCTTAGAGGCAAATTTATATCTTTAAATACATTGGAAAGAACATCTTAAACCAACAACCTAACTTCATCCCTTAAGTAACTAGAAAAAGGAAAATAAATTAAACCCAACGCCAGCCAAATGAACAATAAATACTAGAAGGTATGTACATAAAATAGAGTGGAAAATAGAGAAAATAAACAAAGCCAAAAGTTGGACCTTAGAAAAGATTAACAATATTAGTAAACCTTTAGCTACAATGAATAATTTTTAAAAGTCCTCAAATTACTAGTAGATATAAGACACTGCAGTTTAGCTCTTTGAGGAATCTCCGTACTGCTTTCCACAAGGGTTGAACTAATTTACACCCCCACTAACAGTATATAAATATTCCCTTTTCTCTGCATCCTCACCAGCATCTATTATTTTTTGACTTTTTAATAATAGGCATTCTGACTGATGTGAGACAGTGTCTCATTGTGGTTTTGATTTGCATTTTTCTAATGATCAGCGATGTTGAGCTTTTTTCATGTGCTTGTAGGCCACAAGTATGTCTTCTTTTGAGAAGTGCCTGTTCATGTCCTTTGCCTACTTTTCTTTTTTTTTTTTAATTTATTTATTTTTGAGACTGATCTCGCTCTGTTGCCTAGGCTGGAGTGCGGTAGCGCAATCTCAGCTCACTGCAATCTCCGCCTCCTGGGTTCAAGTGATTCTCCTGCCTCAGCCTCCAGAGTAGCTGGGATTACAGGCAGGCGCCACCACGCTTGGCTAATTTTTCCTTGTATTTTTACATGAGACAGGGTTTCACCATGTTGACCAGGCTGGTCTCAAACTCCTAACCTCAGGTGATCCACCAGCCTCAGTCTCTCAAAGTGCTGGGATTACAGGTGTGAGCCACCACGCCCAGCCTTTTGCCTACTTTTTAATGGGGTTGTTTGTTTTTCTCTGGTAGATTTGTTTAAGTTCCTTCGAGATGCTGGATATACATTAGTCCTTTGTCAGGTGCATAGTTTGCAAATATTTTCTCCCAGTCTGTACATTGTCTGTTTACTCTGTTGATAGGTTTTTTTTTTTTTTTTTTTTTGAGACGGAGTGTGGCTCTGTCGCCCAGCCTGGAGTGCAGTGGCGCGATCTCGGCTCACTGCAAGCAAGCTCCGCCTCCCGGGTTCACGCCATTCACCTGCCTCAGCCTCCAGAGTAGCTGGGACTACAGGCGCCCTCCACCGCGCCCTGCTAATTTTTTGTATTTTTAGTAGAGACGGGGTTTCACCACGTTACCCAGAATGGTCTCGAGCTCCTGACCTCGTGATCCACCCGTCTCGGCCTCCCAAAGTGCTGGGATTACAGGCGTGAGCCACCATGCCCTGCCCTCTGTGGATAGTTTCTTTTGCTGTCCAGAAGCTCTTAAGTTTCATTAGATCCCACTTGTCAATTTTTGCTTTTGTTGCGATTGCTTTTGGTGTCTTTGTCACGAAATCTTTGCCCATTCCTGTCTGTGTCCAAGATGGTATTGCCTAGGTTGTTTTCCAGCGTTTTTATAGTTTTAGACAGAACTACCATTCAATTCAACAATCCCATTACTGGGTATATACCCAGAAGAATATAAATCCTTCTACCACGAAGACACATGCATGTGAATGATAACTGCAGCACTTGTCGCAATAGCAAAGACTTGAATTCAACCTAAGTGCCCATCAATCACAGATTGAATAAAGAAAATGTGGTACATATACACCATGGAATACTGTGCAGCCATGAAAAAAGAATGAAATCCTGCCTTTTACAGGAACATGGATGGAGCTGGGGGCTACTATCCTTAGCAAACTAATGAAGAAACAAAACTAAACACCTCATGATCTCATTTATAAGTGGGAGCTAAATGATAAGAACTTATGAACACAGAAAAGGAAATCACAGACACCATGGTCTACTCAAGGGGATAGGGTGAGAGAAGGGAGAGGAGCAGAAAAGGTATCTATTGGGTACTGGGTATAATGCCTGAGTGATGAAATAATCTGTACAACAAACCCCCATGACACATGTTTACCCATGTAACAAACCTTCACAGGTAGCCCCAAACCTAAAATAAAAGTTAGAAAAAAAAGACACTGTGAAAGAAAAGATGCCCGAATCCGAAGACATTGCAATGAAAACTAAACAAAATGAAACACATTAAAGAGCATTTAAAAAGTGTATGAACGGAGTATCAGTGACCTGCGGGACAGCTGCAAGGGGCCCAACGTACGCCTAAAAGCAGTCTCTGGATACATAGGAGGGGGCAAAAAGTATTCAAAGAACTTACAGTTGAAAACTGAGATTTAAATACTGAAATTGAAATGTTTCCAAATTGCTAGAACTATAAGCATATAGATCTAGAAAGTCCACGAACCCCAAGCAAAAGAAACATAAGAAAATCTACTTACATGTACATTATAATTAAGTTCTTCAAAACTAGTGATAAAAAAATATTAAAAGCATTAGATAAGAAATGTTTTATGCAGAGGATTGTCAAACTTTGTTTATTAAAAGTTAAATTATTCATCTTTTTTTTTTTTTTTTTTACAACTGCCCACTGACTCACTCAGGACAGCAAAGCCAGTAATGCTATGTTCAATCAAGCATTCTAGGCCCAAGTCACAACTCACACCACTGCACTCCCAACCCTGGTTCATTCCCTTTTGTGTACACACAGCTGCGATAGTTTTACTCCCTACCACCCCCACCATTCTTCTTCAGTGTCATGTCTTGGTTCACTTGAATCACCTTCCTCTGAAAGTTATTCCTCTTTCTCAAAGATGAAGTCTTCATGTTCATATACATTCTCAAGACACATCCTCTCATGGAATCTACTGTCTTCCCTGTAATGGTCATTCATTTAGTGCCCTTGCTTGTTTAAGACAACTAATGATTCTATACAATCATGAATTCAAATCTTAAGTAACATGAGGGAAGAAGAACTAACTTCTTATAACTTGAGAATGTGGTGGGGTTTGTTTGTTTGTTTGTTTTTTGGAGACAAGTTCTCATTTTGTTGCTCAGGCTGGAGTACAGTAGCGCAATCACAGCTCACTGCAGCCTCAACCTCCAAGGCTTGAGTGATTCTTCCACCTCAGCTTCCCAAGCAGCTGGGACTACAGGTGCACATCGCCACGCCCAGCTAAGTTTTGTATTATTTATAGAAAATACGTAATACACCTGCACATCACCACACACAGCTAATTTTTGTATTATTTATAGAACATACATTTATAGAACATAAATATGTTGCTGAAGCTGGTCTCAAAATCCTGAGTTCAAGGGATTCACCTACATCAGCCTCCCAAAGTGCTGGGATTATAGGTGTAAACCACCATACCTGGCCTAGTGTCTTTTCAATGACAAAAACAAGAGTAAGATTATCCACTTCAATAAGCAAAAAGCAGTAATTTAATTTGATGTGATTTTTAAGAAAATCTTTGTTTCCTCTGAGGAACTGGTATGTTGTCTCTCCAGAATTCAGGAGAAATGTGTAATTGACCAGACCAGAGGTCCCCAAGCCCCAGGCCACAGACCGGTACTGTGGCCTGTTAGGAACCTGGAGCACAGCAGGAGGTGAACAGGGAATGAGTGAGCAAAGCTTCACCTATATTTACAACCACTCCCCATTGCTGGCATTACCACCAGAGCTCTGCTTCCTGTCAGGTCCGCAGAGGCATTTGATTCTCATAGGAGCACAAACCCTGTTGTGAACTGCACATGCGAGGGATCTAGGTTGTGTGCTTCTTATGAGAATCCAATACCTGATGATCTGTCACTGTCTCCCGTCACCCCCAGATGGGACTATCTAGTTGCACAAAAATAAGCTCAGGGCTCCCACTGATTCTACATTACGGTGAGTTGTAGAATTATTTCATTATATATTACAATGTAATAATAATAGAAATAAAGTGCACAATAAATGTAACGCACTTGAACCATCCCAAACCATCCCCCTCTTGCTCCCATCCATAGAAAAATTATCTTTCATGAAACCGGTCCCTGGGGCCAAAAAGTTTGGGGACCACTGGACCAGACCATTCCTTTTTGTGTTTGCCAAAGAAATAGCATAAAAGGGCTGGGCATGGTGGCTCATACCTGTAATCCCAGCACTTTAGGAGGCTAAGACCGGAGGATTACCTGAGGTCAGGAGTTTGAGACCAGCCTGGACAACATGGTGAAGCCCTATCTCTACTAAAAATACAAAAACTAGCCCGGCTTGGTGGTGCTTGCCTGTAATCGCAGCTACTCGGGAGGCCAAGGCAGGAGAATTGCTTGAACCTGGGAGGCGGAGGTTGCAGTAAGCCAGGATCGCACCACTGCACTCCAGCCTGGGCAACAGAGTGAGACCCCATCTCAAAAAGAAAATAGTATAATAACAAATAATCACTCACTGTCCCAAACTCCAGAGTGAAAGGTTAGTATGTTAACATCTGTAGTTAATGCTAGTGAGGCAACATATGTTAGCTCCAGTTTATGGAACTTCAGAAATCCCGATTACAAAATTATGACTACATTAAATAAGTCGTTGATAATGATGGTAAATGAACGAAACATGGCACTTGCGGCTGCTTTCAATTATCCTTTCCTTAACCAGAAAACATGCTCTTAAATACCTGAGACTTTCTCCTGGTCTGGATCTTCTCTAGCTTCACAGACCCAAGACCCTTTATATTACCTTAATACGCTATCCATTTTTAAAGTATTATGTGACTTTGAAACCACTTCGTACTGACTTGCCTCAACATATAATGGAAGTTAATAATCAAAGGGGTGTTGCAAATGTAAATTTTAAAATGTGTTTAAAAGGTAACTGATAAATTAATACCCAAGTTTTATCTAGGTCAAGCAGAAAACTTTGGGACAAATACAAAAATTAGCCTGGCATGGTGGCGGGAGCCTGTAGTCCCAGCTGCTCTGGAGGCTGAGGTAGGAGAATCAGTTGAACCCAGGAGGCAGAGGTTGCAGTGAGCGGGAGATTTTGCCACTGCACTCCAGCCTGGGCAACAGAGTGAGACCCCGTCTCAAAAAAAGAAAAGAAAAGAAAAGAAAAGTTTGGAACAATGTGACACAGAAGCAGATGTTCTTAACCTTCTCTTTGTCTAGCTACAGAACCCAAACCAAGGGGAAGGATCTTTAACAGGAATAATACATGTTACTGAAAGGGCTCTGGCGCCTTTGGGTATGCTAAAATGTTTGGGGCCAAATGACTCAGGGGAACTTTTTTCTTTGCTCATCCTTTCTTGGTTTCCAGCACTCATAACAGCCCCCCTAAAAAAAAAAAAAAAAAAAAAAAAAAGCAAAACGTTATCACCACCTTGGGAAATGGTAAGGACTTAAGAGAGAGAGTGGTTGAGGGGATGTAAATGTTTCCTTCTAGGTTGACAGCCTAACGCACCAGGATAGAAATAAAGGCAGAGACTCAGGACAGAAGTTGAATTCCTAGGAAATCTGAGCATGACGGACAACGTATGTACAACAAGTGATCCTAATGGTCTTCGAGAAAACAAAAGGACTACTATACTCCTCACTTTGTTAGAGTTGAAAACCATAAAGCTAGAGTGATGGCAGCTCCTGCGAACTCTGATGAAACCACAAAGGAAGTCATTGGGTCAAGAAATGCATTACGAGCCACCATGGGACACTACCACCCTTCTGCTTAGCAGAGCTCAGAGTAAGGGTCCCTTCCTGTGTGAAAGGCACTGACTGCTACAGCCTCCAGGAGTCCTTCTCACTGCATATGTGTGATAAATGTGAGATTCATTATTTTGTTCTTTGTAGAAAATTAAGTATGAAATAATTTCTTACTCTTTTTTCAAGTTGTTTCAAGGATGCTTCTCAATAAATTCTTTTTTAAAAAATTGACGATTTCCCCAAGAGTTTCTCCACTGGTTGCAAACCGTATATTTAATTTTCTTGGAAGCATTTTGATATATGATAAGGGCACAAGTTTGATACCAGAGAAGGCAAGATATTAGTTTGAGTTGTGTCACTTACTATATTTATAACTTTGGTCCAGTTGAATTCCCTAATCTACTTTTTCCACATCTGTAAAATGAAGGGGATAAAAGTATCCTCATCACAAGGTTTTTCTAGGGATTGAATGAGAAAGCATTGTTAACTGTTGTTATTGTTTCTTCTGTCTTCTTTGTTTGCAATTCAATACTGTTTCTCCTTTGGTGCAGTTTTACTATTTCTCTTTCTTTCATGAAATACCTTATGTATAAAATCCTCATAATGTGGCAGAATCAAGGACTGCCTCAGTAGTTTACTGTAAGGGATGTTAGCAACTCCCCTGTCCCCTGTTAAGCCTAATTTAGAATCTCCCCCACCGGTTGGCTGATGCCAATGACTCCATGTTTGGAAATACATTTACTTTGTTTATGGGTAGAATAATAGAGGACACATTATCCGTCGTATATAGTTTATTGTATGTGAGTTTAAACCTGATATAATTATAGATGCAAATGGAATTCAAAATTGATATTTTCAAGTGTGAACATGTTAAAATCTCCATTGTAACAGAATGGTAATGATGTTCTATCTAAGCATATGATTCAAAGAAAACAAAAAGTGCAATCATCAAGCGGAAAGTATACTTATGGCCAGGCATGGTGGCTCACGCCTGTAATCCCAACACATTGGGAGGCCGAGGTGGGTGGATCACCTGAGGTCAGGAGTTCAAGACCAGCCTAGACAACATGGTGAAACCCCATCTCTACTAAAAATACAAAAAGTAGCCGGGTGTGGTGGCGGGCACCTGTAATCCCAGCTACTTGGGAGGCTGAGGCAGGAGAATCACTTGAACCCAGGAGGCGGAGGTTGCAGTGAGCCGAGATCACGCCATTGCACTCCAGCCTGGGCAACAGAGAGAGACTCTGAAAAAAAAAAAAGAAAGAAAAGAAGAAAAGAAGGGAAGGAAGGAAGGAAGGAAGGAAGGAAGGAAGGAAGGAAGGAAGGAAGGAAGGAAAAGAAAATACATTTAAATAAAACTGATTTCACACAATAAAATAAACATAAAAATAAAATATTAAGAAGTTTATTAGTGTCAATAAAGCAGACAAAACATACTTATCATTACCATAATTGTTTTCAACACAATATTGTTTTCTGTGCCATAAAGAACAATAGTCATGTACCATTTTTTTAAAAAGAGTGCCCCTCTAATGTCTCCAAGATTTTCTTTGTAGCTTCTGATGCTCATTATTTAGAGTTTTTTGATGGTGATTTCTTGATCTGTAAAAGTCTCATAGATTTTTTTTTAAAACAGGATTAGAAAAATTGTGGGGAAAAAAACAGGATCAGAGAATTTCCATTCCATCCTATGACGGTGTCTAAATGATGTGATGAGTAAAACATGCAGGACCAACAATGTACATAACTTCACTGAAGCAGTGACACTAGCACCAGTGAAAATCAAGGTCACGCATGTGCACATTGCAACTGTCTCCTGGCCAGCAGTGACTGTAAGACTTCATATATTTTGAGAGGCATGCTAATTTCAGAGACATTAAAATGTAAAAAACAATATGTATTAGTCCGTACTCATGCTGCTATAGGGACATACTCGAGACTGGGTAATTTGTAAAGGAAAGAGGTTTAATTGACTCACAGCTCTGCATGGCTGCAGAGGTCTCAATCGTGGCAGAAGGGGAAGCAAATACGTCCCTCTTCACTGGGTGGCCGGGACAGAGAAATGCCAAGTAAAGGGAGAAAAGCCCCTTATAAAACCATCAGATGTTATGAGAACTCACTCACTATCATGAGAATAGCATGGGTGCAACTGCTCCCATGATTTAATTACCTTCCCACTTGGTCCCTCCCATGACATGTGGGGATTAGGGGAACTTCAATTCAAGATGAGATTTGGTTTGGGACAGAGCCAAACTATACCACAATGTATCTTAGACTCACTAAATTAGATTAAAGAAAATAAAATATGAAAGTGAAGCAAACTCTATTATAAAAATGAATAAGTCTTAAAAAACACACAAAACACTGCATCAAGCCTAAGATGGAAAGGTATTAAATTTTCTAAAAATGTTATACAAAAATTAGTACATCTACTTACACAAAAAGTGTAAGCATATAAAATTTAACACATCTACTTGGATAAGATGTTTGAAAAAAATAAATTATAAATGTTAACCAACTAACTAAATCACATTCCAATAAATTGTTCTCATGACTTAGATGATATTAGAAATATAAAAATTCAGACAGTATGATAAAGGTTAAACAAATTACAAATGCAGTTGAGCTTAGCTCAGTAGAAGTATGTGGAGAATTCAGCATCATGGAAAATATTATTGATATAAATAGAAATTCCCCCCTGAGGTCAGGAGTTCAAGACCAGTCTGGCCAACATGGTGAAACCCCATCTCTACTAAAAATACAAAAATTAGCCAGGCGTGGCAGTGCACATCTGTAATCCAAGCTACTCGAGAGGCTAAGGCAGGAGAATCACTTGAACCCAGGAGGCGGAGGTTGCAGTGAGCCGAGATCGTGCCACGGCACTCCAGACTGGGTGACAGAGCAAGACTCTATCTCAAAAAAAAAAAAAAAAAGAAAAGAAAAGAAAAGAAAAAGAAAAAAGAAATTCCCTACTCATTTAGACTAAGAAACATCTGCTGACTCTCCATTTAATGGGACTATGAAGGAAGACTTCAATGTGGTTCATTATTTGAATTCAGACTAACAGATGTGAAATATCTAAACATAGCCAAAACAAATTAAAAAACCTCACATCAACCATCCTAAAAAACAAAAATTATTTGCACATTATAGGAATGATTTGACAAATGACATGTTCTTCAATATTCCATTTGGTCAATAGTTTTATGGTATATAATTACAGAATAAAATAGAATATGCATTTTAATTTTATCCATAGAATAATATTGTATGCCAACATATATTACTATACACCATAGTGTAAATTCAAATTTTGTAGATATGTGGAAGAGTTTTCTCAGACAGGTCACAAATCATGTTTCCTACCCTATCTTGTGAAGCAGTCACTGTGTTGAAGCAAGAGGATAATTCTGAACTGTATAAGAACCTGTTATACACACTTCATCTATATCATTTATTACATTGCATTATCACTGATGTTTATTAGTATTTCCACTGGACTGAGTTCCTTAAAAATGTAGTATATATTCATAATTTTAATACCATGTAATTTTATGTTCACTAGTATATAATACACACAAAATGTGTGTATATGGGATGAAAAAAAAATCCCCACAATTTCTGCATTCAGACTATAGTGACAAGTTTGCACTTATATCTTTCCAGTCAGAGGTTTCTAAACACACAGAACCAAGAAAGGAGGGAGCAATATACAATTAAGTAGGGCAACTTAATATAAATTCAACTTTACATAAATCCTAGGGATATTATAAAATTTGCCCTCTCAATGAAAATGCTATCATGAGATGAAATGCATTGTATGTTAAAATATCATAACATTTCAAACAAACAAACAAACAAATGCTTCTTTTTAAAGTAAATTGGCCAGGCATGGTAGCTCACATCTGTAATCCCAGCACATTGGGAGGCTGAGGCAGTAGGATCACTTAAGTCTGGAGCCCGAGGTTACAGTAAGCTGTGATCATGCCACTGCACTTCAACCTGGGTGACAGGGTAAGACTTTTCCTCCAAAATAAAGTAAAATAAATGTTTCTTAAGGGAAATAAAACATGAAAAGAGAGAAACTATAATAGGAAATAAAGTACACATTGAAAGCATGGCAAAACTTCCAAAAGTACTTTGACTGTCATGGAAGTTGGCAGGTTTAATTTAATCATACGTCATTATCTATATGTTGGCTCAATGAGGACAAGTAGACAGTACACAGAAAGACAAGTACATGTACAGAAATTAATGATTAAATAATCAATATACAATAGTATGTACAGGTTTATTTATATAGTTAAATTCAAACAGAGAGTTAAAAATTACTGGAAAATTGAGCTAAAAATAAAACAGATTTTCATGTATTCACATACTGTCTTTCTGCAAGCTTATCTTTCTGAAATGGAATAAACCTTTCTTAGACTATTAGTTGTTCCAATTGCTAGCTAGGCGGAATTGAGCTTTTCTTGTTTTATTTCATTTATTTACTTATTTTTTGTTTTTGAGATGGAGTCTTGCTCTGTCGCCCAGGCTGGAGTGCAGTGGCGCAATCTTGGCTCATTGCAACCTCCACTTACCAGGTTCAAGCGATTCTCCTGCTGCAGCCTCCTGAGTAGCTGGGATTACAAGCAGGTGTCACCATGCCCTGCTAATTTTTGTATTTTTTGTAGAGGCAGAGTTTCACCATATTGGCCAGGCTGGTCTTGAACTCGTGACCTCATGTAATCCACTCACCTTGGCCTCCCAAAGTGCTGGGATTACAGGTGTGAGCCACCGCACCCAGCAGAAATTGAGCACATTAATTGATAATCCTCAGTGTCCTTATATGTAAAATGTACATAGTAACATTATATATCTTGCTGCATTATGACAATAATTATTTGAGCTAATGCACGCAAATGCTTTACACAAAGCCTGACATATAGTAAACACCAATAAATATTAACCATCAATATAGGTTATATTTAAATTAAATCAGTACTGCATTACCACTCTACAGGAAGAGTAAGAGCATGATTTCTTCAATGAAGTTTTTTTGTTTGTTTTGGTTTTTTTTTTGTTTGTTTGTTTTGTTTTTGAGACGGAGTTTCGCTCATGTTGCCCAGGCTGGAGTGCAGTGGCGTGATCTTGGCTCACTGCAACCCCTGCCTCCCAGGTTCAAGTGATTCTCCTGCCTCAGGCTCCTGAGTAGCTGGGATTACAGGCGTCCACCACCATGCCAGGCTAATTTTTTGTATTTTTAGTAGAGATGAGGTTTCACCATTTTGGCCAGGCTGGTCTTGGACTCCTGACCTCAGGGGATCCACCCACCTCAGCCTCTCAAAGTGCTGGGATTACAGGCATGAGCCACCGTGCCAGTCCCTGAAGTTTTAACAATAACTGAGTTTATTGGAAATGAAAACTTTTTCCTTTGTTTCTGGCTTTATTTCTGGTTTCTAGAGCTTGATACCCCAGACACTGACTGAAATTGAGTGAATGAGTATATTGGTCACAAATGGTAGTTTGTGAGTCCTTGAGCCTGGTGGGTAGCGACTGATTTGATGACTGTTCTCCAGTTCCCTGTCCTGAAGGTGTTCCCTGAGCTCTGTTTAGGCGTTTGCTTGTCTTCCTCTCTCTCTCTTTTCTTTTATGTTCCAGTTTCAACAACAAAATCATAGGATAGAGTTCTATGACGTAGATATTTTTTTCTAAATTCCCTTGCAAGGGGCTTCAGAACCACCTTACCAATCCTTTAAAAAATTGCCTGAGCGCTTGACCAACAACAAGTGACCTATTTGCCACTATTCTTCGACCATTTCAGAAAGAGAAACCGGAAGCCCACGAACTGCTCACCACTGAAACCACTAAACAACAGTTTCTAACCACATAGACAGGCAAGCTGTAGCAGTGAAGCCATCTGAAGCTCTCGTGTGAGGTACTGACACCTTATTTTAGTCCCGCATACCTGCAGCAATTTATTTATTAGTTATATTTATTAAAAATAAACACGGAATCATTGTATTTTTAAATCAAACTATATTTGATCTTCTCTACTCTGGTTTCTAAAACCGCTACCAATGAGAATCCCTAGTAAGATCACTATTTCACATTATAACACCTTTATTTGCACACTTCTTATCCTAGTTCGATGGCTCATTCTGTAAAATTGTTACTAGACAGTTTTAAGCACTGATAAGGTAAATATCAATAGCCAGATTTTTCACATTGTTCCATATCTTTCATTTCGGTTTTTTTTTTTTTTTTTTTTTTTTTTGGAGTCTCACTCTGTTGCCCAGGCTGGAGTGAGTGGCGTGACCTTGGCTCACTGCAACCTCCACCTCCTGGGTTCAAGCGATTCTCCTGCCTCAGCCTCCTGAGTAGCTGGGATTATAGGCACCTGCCACCACACCTGGCTAATTTTTGTATTTTCAGTAGAGATGGGGTTTTGCCATGTTGGCCAGGCTGGTCTTGAATTCCTGACCTCAGGTGATCCACCTGCCTTGGCCTCCCAAAGTGCTGGGATTACAGGCATGAGCCACTGCACCTGGCCTTCTGTTTTATTCTTTTAACCGAAAAATTATTTTATATATTTCGGGGGTTTGATGTGATGTTTTGATATATGTACACATTGTAGAATGATTAAATCAATCTAATTAACATATTCATCACTTCACATACTTTTTGTGCAATAGATCTCAAAAGCTTATTCCCATTGCCTAAACTGGAATTTTGTACCATATGACCATCATCTCCCCATTCTCTTTCCCCCAGTCTCTAGTAACAACCTACTTCTAGAAGTTTGACTTTTTTAGATTCCACATTTAAATGAGATCTTGCAGTATTTGTCTTTCTGTGCTTGGCTTATTTCACTTACCATAATGCCCCCCAGATTCATCCATATTGTCACAAGTAACAGAATTTACTTCTCTTTTAAGGGTGAATAGTATTTCACCGTGTATATATACCACATTTTTAAAATTCATCCCAATGAACACTTAGATTGCTTCCATATATTGGCTGTTGTAAATAATGCTGCAAAAGAAGACATGCAAATGGACAACAGGATATGAAAACATGCTCAACATCACTAATCATCAGGGAGATGCAAATTAAAACCACAATAAGATATTACTTCACTCCTACAGACTGGCTATTATCAAAACAACAGAAACAAAGATAAGTATTAGTGAGGCTGTGGAGAAAAGGGAACACTTTACACATTGTGGTTGCAGTTGTGAAGTAGTATAACCATTTGCAGAAGACAGTATGAAAGCTCCTCAAAAAACTAGAAATAGAATTACTATATGATCCCAGCAATCTCACTTCTGGGTATACATCCAAACGAATTGAAATCAATATGTTGAAGATATATCTGCACTCCCATATCTTTCATTTATTTTTGAGTCAACTATCCACTATCCACCAGATGGTACAGTGGGTAGCTGCTTTGGATTTTTGAGGAGAGAAGGGATTGAAAATGTTTTCCTGTTTATGTCCAACCTGGAGGTTGATACAAGTGAAGATCGCTTTGTGTAATGTGTTTTGTTAATATTTGTTAATGATTTTGTTCATATCACTATGAAAAGAAAAATTATAAATGTATCCCACATTAGTAAAATGAAATCAGCTTGACATTGACAATTCAAATGCCACTGTAAATATCATGGTCAACACTTCAGAAGACAAATCAAAATGGAGTGTTGAATGAGAAATTAAAATCAGCACATATATCCCATTTTTCTCATATTGCTCTCATTTGACTAGAAGCTGCAAGACAGTCACTCTTCTCTGAAAAAAAAAAAAAAAAAAACAGCAAGAACAGTAACAAAGAAATCCAGTCATCCAGTCAATTATGGGAGAAGTTTCTCCAGTTCAACAAGAGGAATCGAATGACCTATAAGAATACAGCAACTCAGATTGTGATGTCATGAAAGCCTGCTTTCCAACACCACAGGAAGAACTTTCAGATGCAAGCAGATTTCTGAGGAAATACTTACATACTGACGGGTTAAGAGAACATCATGTTTGCAAAGTACTTTAGTAAACAGTACAAAAATATCCATTCTATATGTGAATGTGTGCATATACATGTATGCATATATATATACATACACATATATAAACAAATATGCACATATACACACATACTATCCAATATCAGCCTTAACCTTCTCCTGATCTTAACTGAAATTTTAGACAAATTTCTTCCTAACTATAGTTCTCTGGCCTCCCTTTTCTTATAGTATTTACTTTAGAAAACTTGCAATTATAAATTATTTCTCAGCCGCTTTGAGGTGTAAATCTTTTCCAACCTATTGCCAGTTTTACAACTCAGTAATGTCATTTTCAAGGACCTAGAAGCCTTCTCTTTGAAATGTAACCAAGAAAGATTACGTAAAGCAAATGTAGCACATTAACATTTAAGAAGTCTGAGTCAAGACTAGCTATTTACACATTCTTTGTCTCTTTCTCACAACTTTTTCTGTAAGTCTGAAATTATTTTTATTTTATGAAAGTAAAAAATCGCTCCCCTCCTGAGTTTATTCATTAATTAGAAAGCTGATAAAGAAAAGAATCAAGTACTTCTCCTGCAAACTCTTATACAAACCGTAACAAAGAGTAACCTAATAATTGATGAGGTGAAGTCGCTATTTATGAAAGTACTTCAGCCAATAAATGAATAGGGAATGATTGAATTAAACTTTCAACGTTTTGTGTCATGAATTAAGGGACCTAGTTAATGACCATCAGTTGCTGCTGACATTACATAAAAGAGACACTAGATAGTAAATGCCTCTGAATGTAACTACACAACTCTTATTATGAAATAGTAGGGCTTTTTGCCCCTCATAAAATTATTCCAACTTGAATCTTACCAAGTATCTACCTTGCTACCAATACACAGGATATATATAGAAAAAAGAAGAAGATGTTGAACTACATACGGAGGTGCAATCAGCAAATCAAGACTGTGGAAAACCCTAAAAGACAAATGACTCAATTCATGCAAGCAACAAAAACAATAGCAAAAACAAAGGTAAAAGATATAACTAGTCACCATAGTGAATCCCTGTATAATTTACTTAAAAACAGAAAATGTACTGACTTAAATGTACTTAAAAATCAGGGAAATGTACTGACCGATAAAATCACATGATGTCTGATATTTCACCTTGATTGGAGAGTGAGTCGATGCTTGTTGAAGCTGGGTGATGGGCACGTGGTAGTTTACTCACTCATGGGAGATACACACTCACCTTGATTGGGGAGTGAGTTGAAGCTGGGTGATGGGCACATGGTAGTTCATTAAGTTATTATGTCTATATTACTTAATGTTTACATTTTTTCATAACAAAAATTCAAATAATATAAAAACTCTTGTCTCTACATTAGTCACTGGGAGCAGAGAACGTAAGTGAAGATCTATTCTACTAATTTCATCATGGTCAGAATAAGATCATGGCATGAAGCTGAACAATGAAAGCAAAGAAAAAAAAAAGGCATGTAGAAAATAGAAATGAGGGCTGGGCATGGTGACTCAGCCTGTAATCCCAGCACTTTGGGAGGCAGAAGCGGGCAGATCGCTTGAGCTCAGGAGCTCAAGACCAGCCTGGGCAACATGGCAAAACCCTGTGTCTACAAAAAATACAAAAATTAGCCCAGCATGATGGTGCGCACCTGTGGTCCCAGCGACTTGGGGGGCTGAGGTAAGAAGGTAGCTTGAGCCTGGGAGGTTGAGGCTGCATTGAGCTGAGATCACGCCACTGCACTCCAGCCTGGGTGACAAAGTAAGAACCTGTCTCCAAAAAAAAAAAGAAAGAAAGTAGAAATGATTATCCCGGAACACCTTGACAATCCCACCTGTGGTAATTTTCTTCTAGAGCAGATTACTATGGTGAAACCAAGCAGTAAAATTTAGCATTGGGCAAAATGTTTTAAGAAAGAGAAAAAGTGGCTCACGTCTGTAATCCCAACACTTTGGAAGGCTGAGGCGGGCGGATCACTTCAGGTCAGGAGTTCAAGTCCAGCCTGGCCAACATGGTGAAACCCCATCTCTAGTAAAAATACAAAAATTAGCTGGGCATGATGGCGGGCACCTGTAATCCCAGCTACTTAGGAGGCTGAGGCAGGAGAATCGCCTGAACCCGGGAAGTGGAGGTTACAGTGAACTGAGATCATGCCACTGCACTCCAGCCTGGGCAACAGAGTGAGACTCTGTCTCAAAAATGAACGAACAAACAAAAGACAGAGAGAAAGAGAAAAGAAGAAAGAAAGAGAGAGAAAGAAAGAAAGAAAAAGAAAGAAAGAAAGAAAGAAAGAAAGAAAGAAAGAAAGAAAGAAAGAAAGAAAGAAAGAAAGAAAGGGGAGGGAAGGAGGGAAGGAAGGAAGGAAGGAAGAAGGAAGGAAGGAAGGAAGGAAGGAAGGAAGGAAGGAAGGAAGGAAGGAAAGGAAGGAAGGATGGAAAGAAGGAAGGAAGGAAATGCTGCTGCCAAATTGGTATCATCCCCAGAGAGCAAGTCACACCTTTAGTCATGCCTTTTGCCTGGACAGAAGAAGCAATTCTCTATCTTTGTGGTACCTGGGCTTATTAGAACCCGTGCTCCTAGAGATTAATTATACAAGTTTGTTTGCTATATAATAGATTCTCTTACTTTGGAGATTTAATCTGTCCTTGATTCTTTTCCCCATCCTTGGCCACCAGCCCATTAGAAGCCTCATCTCATGATACTGTAAAAATATTTTCTCATCTTTTTTGTTAAATTAAGCTAAAACAGTTAAGTGACCACGTACAACAAAAGATAAAGGAAAAGTCTTTGGTGAAAGTTATCCCCTCATTCTGGCTTTTTAGAATTCTTGAGCTTTTCGAACATCTTAATAACAATAAGGTAAGAACCTAAGACTCCCTTCAAAGGTTTTGAAGTCTGAACGAACTGGAAAAATCCAGGGCCAAGATGTCATAAATATGATCTTCGACCTACCCATTGTTATCCTTGGTTAGGTCAGATTCACACAACTCTAAGTGAAATAATCATTATAATCATGTTCTGGATAAAAAATCTCATAAATTTAGACCCAAATGGGCTGGCTTTGTCTTATCTCACCAACTAAATTTCAACACATCATTTTGTTTGTTGAACTAAAATATGCTAGGCTGTTTTGGACAGGATGTTTCTGGTTCTGTGATATGTTCTCCACACATCATAACTCATTAGGTCAGTGAATGTACTTTTTAAAAATATGACTCTGATTGTCTCTTAATAGTCATATTTATTAAATTTCATTTTCATTGAGATTCAAATTAAATTATCTGCTAAGAATAAGTTCTAAGAATGTGGATTCTTTCTACCTGTTTCTCAATTTGTATATAGAAAAACTTTAAAGGGGAAGTTCCTTCTAGAAAGGTATGGTTATTTAACAAATATTATGTGTGTGTCTGCTAGCCTAGTGCCTGACACATATTTGTAAAGTAGTGAAATTATTCAGTGAATGAAAAAGGGCCAGATGCAATGGCTCACACTTATAGTCTCAGCACTTTGGGAGGCCGAGGCAGGCAGATCACCTGAGGTCAGGAGTTCAAGACCAGCCTGACCAACATAGAGAAACCCCATCTCTACTAAAAATACGAAATTAGCTGGGTGTGGTGGCTCATGCCTGTAATCTTAGCTACTCAGGAAGCTGAGGCAGGAGAATCACTTGAACCCAGGAGGCAGAGGTTGCGGTGAGCTGAGATCACACCATTGCACTCCAGCCTAGGCAACAAAGAGCAAAACTCCATCTCAAAAAAAAAAAAAAAAAAAATAGAAAAAAGAAAAACAGACATGTTCTCTGGCCTCATGGAAACCATATTCTAATGAAAGAAATTATAAAATTTAAGTTAAAAAGCAAATTCAAAATAATACAAGTTCCAATATGTGTTGTAAATGAAACAAAAAAGTGTTTGAGATTGACAGCAACAGCAGAGGGGCCCTAGAAACTTTAACTGGATGATCAGAGATTGTAATATTCATGCAGGATTTTTCTTGGCCCTTTTGCCGGACTCCTAGCACGAGTGCCCCATCTCCTCGGCCCACCATGCTCCGCCCCTTGAGAGAGGTAACACATAAGCAAGTGAGTATGGGATCTGGCCAGCCACTCCAAGCACCAATACAGGAGCAAGCTCCATGCAAAGCCCATGTCCAGACCAGTCATGTTGCCTTGAGGGGAACATGGCAGCCTGGTGCCCATGATCCCAAAGCCCCAGAGGGGGTGTGAGTGTGCTACTTAGCTCTTTTAGTTCCACCATCCACAGTCGATAAACGGCTGTGTGTTAGCAGCTCAGTTGGCCACTGACCCTGTAGCTGCCAGTGGGGTGGTTGCCCTCCACTTGCAAGGGCAAAGGGCCAGTGTGACAGCCTCCACCTGCACTTAGTGGGTCCCAAGCTTTTGTCCAGCGTCCAAGAAGAATGAGGTCACACTTGACAACTGAAGAATGGTAAGAGTGGAGAATTTTATTGAGCGATGAAAACAGTTCTCTAGTGGAGAGGGGAGCTGGAGAGGGTATCAGAAAAGCAGATCATGTTTCCCTGAAGTCAAGCTGTCTCCTCCCCAAAGTCAGGCTGTCTCCCCTCCACTGACAGGGGCCTTTATAGGAACAGGATGGGGGCAGGGTGGGCCATAGGTAGTATTGGAAAAAGCAACATTCAATTGGTTAAAAGGCATTATTCAGAAAGAACCAATAAGAAGAGAGCCAACAAACAGGAATGGAAGTCCTCACTCTGGTCTGTGGGTTTCAGGCTGTTTTTGACCTGAAGGTAAGGTTTCCCCAGGGACCCATCCCTGTCTGTCTAGGATTTCTCTGCCTCCTGCCTCTATTAATATTTAAGTTACGACAAAGTATGAGAAGGAGCTGGCTATACAGAGCTAAGAGAGGAGCAGTTCAGTGGAAGATACCAGGTATGTGCACAGCCCTGACTGAGACAGAAAGAATTTAATGCCATTCAAGAAACTAATAAAAGGCCAGTGTGGTTTGTGATTAGTTAGTGACAGGGCAATTGACATGTGACACTGGAGGATGAGGAGATAAACAGAGGACTGCTTGCATGCACAACCTGTAGTAAATTGGAACATTATAAACAGTATTACTTAGTTGTATATTCTATGGCAACAAAGTTCTATTATCATTCTACTTGCCTGTTTTCCCCCTAAGACAATACCAATCTAACTTCTAATCTTTTTTTATCCTCAGAAGAAACTTAATCTCCCAAATAAACAAGGAATGTTTGAGAAAAGATGCTCCAGAAATGCTGACTTCCTTTTCCTTTTCCTGCCTCACCCTCCTCTATCCACTTTTTCTTTAGACAGTGCCTTGCTCTGTCACCCAAGCTGGAGTGCAGTGGTGCAATCTCAGCTCACTACAACCTCCACCCGCCGGGTTCAAGCGATTCCCCTGCATCAACCTCCAGAGAAGCTGAGACTGCAAGCATGCTCCACCACAGCCAGCTGATTTTTGTATTTTTAGTACAGACAGGGTTTCACCATGTTGCCCTGTCTGGTTTCAAACTCCTGGCCTCAAGTAATCTGCCCACTTTGGATCCCAAAGTTCTGGGATTGCAGGTGTGAGCCACCACACCCAGCCCACTGTTACCTTTTGGAACAGAAGAAATATATCTATTTGTCTAAAACAGAAATGTTATTATTTCATCTAGATGCTGAAAGAGACACCAGAGTCAACAAAAATGTGCAATGCATCTTCCTCCTTTGGGGGAAGATTTAAAAAGAAAAATTGACAATGAACAAGCTTACTTCTTATTTTTTCTCTATTGTTAAAATTCTGTGGTTTTGTTTACAAAAAGGTGACACTATTATTAATAACAGATTGATTAAAAAGGAAAATAATTGCAGCCAGTGAGGATTAAGGCTGCAGTGTTATTAAGTGGATCTGGCCTGCCACCTGGTGGCCAGAAGTACAATGACCACACTCGTTTTGGAAATGAAGCCTCCCTGAACTGTAAAGGAGTAGGAGGGAAGAATTAGAGGTGGGAGCTGCCTTGCAAACTAGCTTAGCAATGTCTTTCAGTCAGATCAAAATAGAAGACAGATGACAGAAGACAGGTGGCTTATTTTCTTAAAGATGTACAAAGAAGCCTTATGCTATAACCTCCACTCGTAAGTAGCATGATATAGTTTGGCTTTGTGTCCCCACCTAAATCTCATCTTGAATTATAATCCCATAATCCCCACATGTAATGCGAGGGACCCATGGGGGCGGTTTCCCCCATGCTGTTCTCCTGACAGTAAGTGAGTTCTCATGAGATCTGATAGGTTTATAGCAATCCGGCATTTCCTCTCCTGGCACTCATTTTCTCTCCTGCCGGCCTGTGAAGAATGCACCTTCTGCCATGACTATAAGCTTCCTTAGGCCTCCCCAGCCATGTGGAACTATGATTCAATTAAACCTCTTTTCTTTTTAAATTAACCAGTCTCGAATATTTCTTCATAGCAGTGTGAAAATAGACTAATACAGTAAATTGGTATTGAGGAAGTGAGGCACTGCTATAAGGATACCTGGAAATGTAGAAGGGAAGCGATTTTGCAACTGGGTAGCAGGCAGAGGTTGGAACAGTTTGGAGGGTTCAGAAGAAGACAAGAAGATATGGCAAAGTTTGGAACTTCTGAGAGACTTGTTGAATGGTTTTGACCAAAATGCTGATGGTGATATGGACAATGAAGTCCAGGCTGAGGTGGCCTCAGATGGAGACGAGGAACTTGTTGGGAACTGGAGCAAAGGTGACTCTTGCTATGCTTTAGTAAAGAGATTGGTGGTGTTTTGTCCCTTCTGTAGAGATCTGTGGAACTTTGAACTTGAGAGACATGATTTAGGGTATCTAGCAGAAGAAATTTCTAAGCAGCAAACTGTTCAAAAGGAAGTAGACTATAAAAGTTTGGAAAATTTGCAGCCTGAACATGCAATAAAAAAGAAAAACTCATTTTCTGGAGAGAAATTCAAGCCAGCTGCAGAAATTTGCATAAGTAACAAGGAGACAAATGTTAATCACCAAGACAATGGGGAAAATGTCTTCAGGGCATGTCAGATACCTTCACAGCAGCCACTCCCATCACAGGCCTGGAGGCCTAGGAGGGAAAAATGGTTTCATGAGCTGGGTCTAGGGCCCCCCCTGCTCTGTGCACCCTTGGGAATTGTGCCCTGAATCCCAGTTGCTTAAACTCCAGCTGTGGCTAAAAGGGGCCAAGGTAAAGTTCAGGCCATTGCTTCTGAGGCTGCAAGCCCCAAGCCTTGTTGGCTTCTATGTGGTCTTGAGCCTGTGGGTGCACAGAAGTCAAGAATTGAGGTTTGGGAACCTCCACCTAAATTTCAGAGGATGTATGGAAATGCCTGAATGTCCAGGCAGAAGTTTGCTGCAGGGGTGGAGCCCTCATGAATAACCTCTGCTAGGGCAGTGTGGAAGGGAAATGTGGGTTGAAGCCCCCACACAGAGTCTCCACTGGAGCACTGCCTAGTCGAGCTCTGAGAAGAGGGCCACCATTCTCCAAACCCCAGAATGGTGATCCATTGACAGTTTGCAACATGTGCTTGGGAAAGCTGCAGCCACTAAGCACAGCCAGGAGTGGGGCTGTACCCTGCAAAGCCACAGGGGCAGAGATTCCCAAGGCCATGGGAGCCCACCTCATGCATCAGGCTGAACTGGATGTGAGACATGGAGTCAAAGGAAAACATTTTGTAACTTTAAGATTTAATGACTGCCCTACTGGATTTTGGACTTGCATGGGGCCTGTAGCACATTCATTTTGGCCAATTTATCCCATTTGGAATGGGCGTATTTACCCAATGCCTGTACCCTCATTGTATCTACGAAGTAACTAAGTTGCTTTTGATTTTACAGGCTCATAGGCAGAAGAGACTTGCCTTGTCTCAGATGAGACTTTGGACTTGGACTTTTGGGTTAATGCTGGAATGAGTTAAGATTTTGGGGGACTGTTGGGAGGGCATGATTGTATTTTGAAATGTGAGAACATGAGATTTGGGAGTGGACAGGAGGGGAATGATATGGTTTGGCTTTCTGTCCCCATCCAAATCTCATCTTGAATTGTAATCCAGTAATCCCCATATGTCATGGGAGGGACCCAGTGGGAGGTAATTGAATCATGGGGGTGGTTTCTCCCATGCTGTTCTTGTGATAGTGAGTGAGTTCTCATGAGATCCGATGGTTTTATAAGTGTCTGGCATTTTCCCTGCTGGCACTCATTCTGTTTCCTGCTGCTCTGTGAAGAATACACCTTCTGTTATGATTGTAAGTTTCCTGCGGCCTCCCCAGCCATGCAGAACTATGAGCCAATCAAACCCCTTTTCTTTATAAATTACCCAGTCTTGGGTATTTCTTCATAGCAGCATGAGAATAGACTAATATATAATGAAATCTGGCTGGGTGCAGTGGCTTATGCCTGTAATCCCAGCACTTTGGGAGGCCAAAGTGGGCAGATCACCTGAGGTCAGGATTTCAAGACCAGCCTGGTCAACATGGAGAAACCTTGCCTGTATTAAAAATACAAAAATTAGTCAGTCATGGTGGCAGGCACCTGTAATCCCAGCTACTCGGGAGACTGAGGCAGGAAAATCTCTTGAACCTGGGAGGTGGAGGTTGCAGCGAACCGACATTGTGCCACTGCACTCCAGCCTGGGTGACAGAGTGAGACTCCATCTTAAAACAACAACAAAAAAAAGAAATCTAATCTATCAATTAAGATTATCTTAATTTCTGCAGCACTGCAAAACAAACATTGATGGAGAAGGAAATATGGATCTGGCAAGAATTATATTCTTCTTTTTTTTTTTTTTTTTTTTTGAGACGGAGTCTCACTCTGTCACCCAGGCAGGAGTGCAGTGGTGTAATCTCAGCTCACTGCAACCTCCGCCTCCTAGGTTCAAGCAATTCTCTGCCTCAGCCTCCCGAGTAGCTGGGATTACAGGCACCCACCACCACGCCTGGCTAATTTTTGTATTTTTAGTAGAGATGGGGTTTCACCATCTTGGCCAGGCTGGTCTTGAACTCCTGACCTCATGATCCACCCACTTCGGCCTCCCAAAGTGCTGGGATTACAGGCGTGAGCCACCGCGCCCAGACTACTTATTTTATTTAAAAGTAAAATAAGGCAAATTCAGAAGAGGAGTTCTGTATTAGTGAAGATTCTCCAGAGAAATAGAACCAATGTTATATATAGCCATGTGTCACTTAAGGATGGGGAAATGTTCGGAGAAATGTGTTATTGGGGGCTTCATCATTGTGTGAACATCATAGAGTGTATTTACACAAACCTAGACGATATAACTACTACACACCTAGGCTATACGGTATAGCCTATTGCTCCTAGGCTACACACCCATTCAGCACATTACTGGAGTGAACAGCACAGGCTATTGGAACACAATGGTAAGTATTTGTGTATATAAACATATCTAAACATAGAAGAGGTACAGTAAAAACATGGTGTTATAATCTTATGGGATAACCATCATGTATACAGGCTGTCATTGACTGAAATATCTATATGTAGCACATGACTAGATATAAATGCATATAAAGACTATATGTATATAAATATCTACATATAAATAAAGAGAGAGATTTATTATTCTTATAGAAATTGGCTCATGGAGGCTTATGGAGTCTGAGAAACCTCACCATCTGTCTGCAAGCAGGAGAACCAGGAAAGTCAGTGGTATAATTCAATCCAAGTTTAAAGGTCTGAGACCAGGAGCTGTGGATGTCCCAGCTCATGGACAGAAAGAGGGACTCTCTACCCTCTAACTTTTGTTCGATGGAGGCCCTCAATGGATTGAGTGACACCTGCCTACATTGGTGGGAGAGGATCTTCTTTACTAGGTCTACTGATTCAAACGCTAACCGCTTCCGGAAACACCCTTACAGAAACAGCCACGGATAATGTTTCGCTACCTATCTGGGCATCCCTATAGCTCAGTCAAGTTGACACATAAACTTAACCATCACAAGCGGCTATTTCCAGAACTGTTCCCAATGTGTTGTTAAACAAAGAGCACCCAGTTGAGTCGACCACAACCCTGGCTATACATATCACTTAAGAGGCTTGTAAAAAGTAAAGATGCCATGAATTTTACATTATGTGAATTTTACCTCAATAAAAAGGAGCCTATAGCATAGGGAGGGGGCGGTGGGGGGAAAAATTAAAAAAACTAAAAGTATGGATGCCAAACCCTCCGGTGTCCTCCCCAAGAGTGATGCAGAAGTGGGGCTCTGCCATCAGACGTTTTTGGGAGCTCACCACTGATGGTCATGTGCAGTCAGGGTTGGAAAGCACTGCAGAGATTGATTTTGTTCAGTAGGATGGATAGGGATTTTAATTGAATGTAGCAATAAAGACCCAGGGTTTTTGTTTTTGTTTTTGAAGAACAAACAAACAAAACTCCCAACATTAGAGCAGTCATAAGCCGATTGTAAAAAACCAATATTATCCAACTTCAAAAAATAACAATTAAAAGAGGTCAGACGCGGTGGCTCACGCCTGTAATCCCAGCACTTTAGGAGGCCGAGGTGGGTGGAGTTTGAGGCTGGTAGTTCGAGACCAGCCTGGCCAACATGGTGAAATCCCATCTCTACTAAAAATACAAAAATTAGCCAGGTATGGTGGCAGGCGCCTGTAATCCTGGCTACTGGGGAGGCTGAGGCAGGAAAATCGCTTGACCCCAGGAGGCGGAGGTTGCAGTGAGCTGACATTGTGCCACTGCACTCCAGCCTGGGTGACAGAGTGAGACTTCATCTAAAAAAAAAAAAAAAAAAAAAACGAAAAAACCAGCCTGGCCAATATGGCAAAACCATCTCTTCTAATAATACAAAAATTAGCCAGGTATGGTGACATACGTGCCTGTAATTCCAGCTACTAGGAAGGCTGAGGCACAAGAATCACTTGAACCCCAGAGGCGGAGGTTGCAGTGAGCCAATATTGTGCCACTGCACTCCAGCTTGGGCGACAGAGTGAAACTGTGTCTCAGAAAATACATACATACATAGATAAATAAAATTTTAAAAACTCAAAGGATCATTTTTAACTTTTCCTTGGATAGGCCCCAATAAATCTGTTACAAACAAAATACCCGAATCATGGTCCCCAGGTCTTCATTCCTTGTTAGGCTGAGATATGCTGGATTGTAGACTTATTTTTATACTGATTGTTAATTTCTCTCATTCATAACACTTTATCTAGTAGTCTCAAGATTCCATTTGCATAGATAAAACTGTGTTTAAAATGCTGTTTTCTGTACAGTAAGTCCTCACTTAACATCAATAGATTCTTGGTAACTATGACTTTAGGCAAAATAACATGTAATGAGACTAATTTGATCATAGGCTAATTGATATAAACAAGAGTTACTTTCCCACAGCATGTTTCTGGTCAGAAAAGACACAACCATTTCTTTTTTCTTTTTTTTTTTTTTTTTTTTTTTGAGACAGAGTCTTACTCTGTTGCTCAGGCTAGAGTGCAGTGGCATGATCTCAGCTCACTGCAACTTCTGCCTCCCAAGTCCAAGCGATTCTCCTGCCTCGGCCTCCCAAGTAGCTGGGATTACAGGCACCCGCCACCATGCCTCGCTAATTTTTGTATTTTTAGTAGAGATGGGAGTTCACCATGTTGGCCAGGCTGGTCTCGAACTCCTGACCTCAGGTGACCCACCCGCCTCAGCCTCCCAAAGTACTGGGATTACAGGCGTGAGCCACGACACCCAGCCAAGACCCAAACATTTCTAATATTTAACATTTAAATAAATGTGAGTTATACATACATTTAAGAAAGATTAATAAAAACAAGGTAACTGTTTACCCAATTTATGGTGAATTAGTGAGTGCCACTGGTCCTAGTAGTGGCAGTGGGTTAAATCAAGGAGTAAATATTTGGCCGGGCACAGTGGCTCACGCCTGTAATCCCAGCACTTTGGGAGGCCGAGGCGGGCGGATCATGAGATCAGGAGATCGTAGACCATCCTGGCTAACACGGTGAAACCCCGTCTCTACTAAAAATACAAAAAATTAGCCGGGCGTGGTGGCGGGCGCCTGTAGTCCCAGCTACTTGGGAGGCTGAGACAGGAGAATCACTTGAATCTGGGAGTTGGAGTTTGCAGTGAGCTGAGATCACACCACTGAACTCCAGCCTGGGCAATAAAGACTCTGTCTCAAAAAAAAAAAAAAAAAAAAAAAAAAAGAAAGAAAATCAGTGCTAAAGGAGACTCTAACAGAAAGGAAGAGACCCCCTCAGTGTCAGAGCCGTCTTTTGAGCTATCCAGTTGGGCATATTCTGCTTTGTTTTCCTTGATCCATGCCACATCCTGCATTTGCTGTGACCAATAAACAAAAAAGAGAAACAATCAGAAAGATTTCTGCCATCTAGCCTAAGTTATTGCCTTTTTTTCCTTTTTTTTTTTTTTTTTTGAAATGGAGTTTTGCTCTTGTCGCCCAGGCTGGAGTGCAATGGCACAATCTCTGCCTCCCCAGTTCAAGCGATTCTCCTGCCTCAGCCTACCAAGTAGCTGGGATTACAGATTCTCCTGCCTCAGCCTACCAAGTAGCTGGGATTACAGGCACCCATCACTATGCCCCGTGCCCAGCTAATTTTTGTATTTTTAGTACAGACGGGTTTTCACCATGTTGGCCAGGCTGATATCGAACTCCTGACTTCAGGTGATCCTTCCACCTCGGCCTCCCAAAGTGCTGGGATTACAGGCGTGAGCCACCTTGCCTGGCCAGTTATTGCAATTTCAGTTTCAAGTAAAATAAATCTTAATATGTGAGAATGCTATTTAATGGTTTGCAAAGGATTTACTTGTGTTCGCAACAATGTATGATGTAATTATCTTATCTACTTGAAAAGGAAATGCAGAATTTTTTTTTTTGAGATGGAATCTCGCTTTGTTGCCTCGGCTGGAGTGCAGTGGCACAATCTTGGCTCGCTGCAACCTCCGCCTCTGAGATTCAAGCGGTTCTCCTTCCTCAGACTCCCAAATAGCTGGGACTACAGGTGTATTTTGTATTTTTAGTAGAGACAGAGTTTCACCATGTTGGCCAGTCTGGTCTTGAACTCCTAACCTCAGGTGATCCGACTGCCTCAACCTCCCAAAGTGCTGGGATTACAAGTATGAGCCACTGCGCCCAGCCTGGAAATGCAAATTTCATTTGTACAGATGACAGACTAGCCCAAGTCCTAGCTCTAGTCAAGCAGCAGAGCTGGGATTCAAGTTGTTTCCTGCCTCCAGGACATCTTTCTAGTAAGCTCCAAGTGTTTCCCAAAGTTCCTTGACTGGCCTGTTTGTAACATGTCTTTCTGGATAATTTAAGTTGCCTAGTGGTTCAGTCCTATCAAAAACTACTATTTCAATATTTTTGAATGCCAACCATATGCCATTCACTGTTCTGACCAATTGTTGTATATCACTACACAAAAAGTTTCTGCCTTCCTGCACCTCAGGATCTAGAGAGAGAAGACATAATAAACTAGAAAATTATGTTACATGATCACTACGAAGCAAAAAAGACAAAGACCAAGGTTGAGAATGACTAGGAGAAAGGGAAGTAGGGGGAAGGTGTTGAATATTAGAGATGTTCAGAGTTGGTCTCCTTGACATAGTATCTAAGACTTGAAGGAGGTTAGGAACTAGCCAATTTTAGCACGTAAAATATGGCTTATTGTTACTTTTATCCTTTGAATACCATGTGCATATTGCTTAAAGAAGCAATAAAGCCATCATCATTCTTTTACTGAATGGTATGAAGCAACTTTGAGCCTACTAAAAGTGTAAAAATAGAAAACATGTTTCAACTTCTCACCCAAAAGTTCAGGATCACTTTATTCAAGTTTTAGGAGCTAAGTACTTCTAAACAGAAGTCCTAAGGGTCTTAAATACACTGCTTTTGAAAACAGAACTACTGAAATAGATGGCCCCACCGTGATGAAAACACACCAGGAGAATGACTTGTCTTTTGTTAGTCACTGTTGAAAACATGCACACCTGCACAATGGCATAGTGAAATGTCATTTGACTACTTTTAAGGGTGATAACTTCCTGTTATTTCAAACTCTGAAAATAATCTAGCCATGGGTACATATACTTAAGAAGTGCCCACAACCAGGAGGAAAAAAAAAAAAAAGGAAAAGAAAATGAGGCAGGGCCCTACACAGGGTAACCAAGCTGAGATCATCAGTCACAGCTTTTGGAACAGGGATTCTAGTATTTGTGTGTGTGGACTTTTTGTTGTTGTTGTTCAGCTACTTATCAAAGGTAAACAAAGGGGTGGGTCGCTGGGCAGTGGGCATAGGTGAGGAGGGAATTCTCCATTACTCAGACAGCCTGGACTCAGAACCACCAAAGGCAAAATGGACTTGTTTCTGAAATATTTGGTAGTTTCATGCAGCTAAAAATAACTAAAGTTAAATAAATGTTTGTAGCTTGTTTAAATCTGGCAAAGCAAAAACATCCAAAAGAAACCACAGCTAGAAATAGTTAATTACAAATTTTGTATAAGAACTAATATGAATTTATCAACTAGTTCATTTTCCAAAATGACTGAATTTGTCATTATTACAGCTGACTTGATGCTGTACCCACGGGCAGGTGGATATGCATGGCCCCCCTCCACACACCACTTCAAAATTACAACACACCTGTTCTATCTGATGGTACCAGTACCAATAGAATGCAGAATTGTAAGCTTAATAAGTGTAACACTCTCAAGACAACTGTAACTGACAAGACTTGTGTCCAAAGGGCCACTGCAGTGACCAGGGGACTGCACTGCACCACTCTGGGGGGGCTCTATTCATATTTTATAGTGATGAGGCAGTGCATGAGGCAGTGATCTTGTCTGCCTGGTTACTACTGTACATTAATCATAATTTGCTTTGTTCTTTTGCGATCTTAACTTCTGATTGCACAATACAGTAAAAAAATTTAACAATGCTTTGAAAGCACAATGCTTTGAAAGAGGAAAACAAGTCAGGGTTGGGGGAAAAATCAAGAAAAGCAGAATAGACTGCCATTCACAAGTAGAATGATTTGTCTAGTCTCCCTCCACCTGACAGGGTAAGACCCATACTGGGGAGCACTAAACCTGGATGGCACAGGCATTGTGTCTCTCTTGATGGAAGAGGCTTCAATGTTTATACTACATAGAGAGTGACCACATATTTCGTCCAATGGGGGGGGGGGGGTCATGTGACAGTGAAATAAGGAACCACTAATAAATCAATCAGGACAACCGGCATAATTCAAGACTATCTTTGGCAAACTTAAGATGTATGCTTACCCTACATATATTTGAAATCTTTCTACCGAAGTGTATGGAAGAGCTAAGGACTCACTCATCTTTGATGTTCATGTCATACTGGCCTCCCTAATCTCATTTGACACATCATTCAACCTTTATCCCCAGAGAGAAGCAAGTCAATCAGAGTAAGCCAATCTAACTAACAATCTAACTAATCTTAACATGGAACACTGGGCCAGGTTAACGAAGGGCTTCTTAAACTACTTTTAGCTCATGACAAGCCTCACAATGGCCTGACGGCACAAAGAAGCATTAAAAGCTTGACTAGCAGAAAACATGGAAGCGGCGCTGAGAAGAACTGACCTTCAGTAAAGAAGTGCCAAATCCAATCCAGCCTGCTGAGAAGTGACAGCATGCTGGCAGTCCTCAGAGCCCTCGCTTGCTCTCGGCACCTCCCCTGCCTGGGCTCCCACTTTGGTGGCATTTGAGGAGCCCTTCAGCCCCCCCACTGCACTGTGGGAGCCCCTTTCTGGGCTGGCCAAGGCTGGAGCCCACTCCCTCAGCTTGGAGGGAGGTGTGGAGGGAGAGGCACGAGCGGAACCGGGGCTGCGTGGGGCGCTTGCGCGCCAGCTGGAGTTCCGGGTGGGCGTGGACTTGGCGGGCCCCGCACTCGGAGCAGCCAGCCAGCCAGCCCTGCTGGCCCGGGGCAATGGGGGACTTAGCACCCGGGCCAGTGGCTGCGGAGGGTGTACTGGGTCCCCCAGCAGTGCTGGCCCACCGGCGCTGCGCTCGATTTCTCGCCGGGCCTTAGCTGCCTTCCCGCGGGGCAGGGCTCGGGACCTGCAGCCCGCCATGCCTGAGCCTCCCACCCACTCCATGGGCACCTGTGCGGCCCGAGCCTCCCCGACGAGCACCACCCCCTGCTCCACGGCGCCCAGTCCCATCGACCGGGAAGGAACAAACAACCCAAGGGCTGAGGAATGCGAGCGCACGGCGCGGGACTGGCAGGCAGCTCCACCTGCAGCCCCGGTGTGGGATCCACTGGGTGAAGCCAGCTGGGCTCCCGAGTCTAGTGGGAATGTGGAGAGTATATCTAGCTCAGGGATTGTAAATATACCAATCAGCACCCTGTGTTTAGCTCAAGGTTTGTGAGTGCACCAATCGACACTCTGTATCCAGCTGCTCCGGTGAGGACGTGGAGAGTCTTTATGTCTAGCTCAGGGATTGTAAATACACCAATCAGCACCCTGTGTTTAGCTCAAGGTTTGTGAATGCACCAATCGACACTCTGTATCTAGCTGCTCTGGTGGGGCCTTGGAGAACCTTTATGTCTAGCTCAGGGATTGTAAATACACCAATCGGCACTCTGTATCTAGCTCAAGGTTTGTAAACACACCAATCAGCACCCTGTGTTTAGCTCAAGGTTTGTGAATGCACCAATGGACACTCTGTATCTAGCTCCTCTGGTGGGGCCTTGGAGAACCTGTGTGTGGAAACTCTGTATCTAACTAATCTGATGGGTACGTGGAGAACCTTTGTATCTAGCTCAGGGATTGTAAATGCACCAATCAGCGCCCTGACAAAACAGGCCACTCGGCTCTACCAATCAGCAGGATGTGGTTGGGGCCAGATAAGAGAATAAAAGCAGGCAGCCCCAGCCAGCATTGGCAACCTGCTTGGGTCCCCTTCCAAAAGGTGGAAGCTTTGTTCTTTTGCTCTGCAATAAATCTTGCTACTGCTCACTCTTTGGGTCCACGCTGCTTTTATGAGCTGTAACACTCACTGGGAAGGTCTGCAGCTTCACTCCTGAAGCCAGCGAGACCACGAGCCCACCGGGAGAAACGAACAACTCCAGACGCGCTACCTTAAAAGCTGTTAACACTCACCGCGAAGGTCTACAGCTTCACTCCTGAGCCAGCGAGACCACGAACCCACCAGAAGGAAGAAACTCCGAACACATCTGAACATCAGAAGGGACAGACTCCAGACACGCCACCTTAAGAGCTGTAACACTCACCGCGAGGGTCCGCGGCTTCATTCTTGAAGTCAGTGAGACCAAAAACCCACCAATTCCGGACACACTTCCACAACAGCTGGTGTGACTTTGCCTCTGAACTTGGCTGTTATTTAAAAACTCCACTGTTTCGTAAAATCAGACAGCTTGTCGAAAATGATATGTAATGTCCTATCCAAGGACAAAATTTGTTCCTTAGGAAAATCCAGGAAGTAGGCCTACAATAAGCAAAGCCTACCTGGGAGAGACACAGCCCCTAAATTCAAACGATCTCTTTGGTTTAGCAATGGCCTACAGTCTCTTGCCCTACAGGGACTGT
The DNA here is from genome assembly GCF_000001405.40 of Homo sapiens. Classification (NCBI taxonomy): domain Eukaryota; kingdom Metazoa; phylum Chordata; class Mammalia; order Primates; family Hominidae; genus Homo; species Homo sapiens. The sequence continues at coordinate 10,224,263 of NC_000012.12, read as the reverse complement.
TTCAGATGTGTACAGAGGGTTAGGATCTGCCGCCATGTGTTTTTTGCTTTCTTTCAAATATTCATCCAGTCTCATTCCTAGGTCATGGATAAATCTGTTAGTTTCAAAATACAGTTCACATCTTAAACTCAAATATTAGCTTCCTTTTGGCTTTATCAGGGAACAGCACCTTGATATTTTTGTCATTAGGGACAAGTGTCCATTTTCAATGCCTTCATCAAAATTCCGTAATCTTACATAATTTTCTGCATGTGGTGCTGCTTGGCATGGATCTTTTATAACTTCCTACTTCCTTTTTGGTGACCTTGATATATTCCCTAACTCTCTACAGAGGTAGACATCACTTGGGGATATGACTGCAAGAGATTAGAGAGGGTTAGAGATGGGTCTTAAGGTTTTTCATGAAAGAAGTTTTCACTAATCTGTTTTCCATTCTCTCATTTAACTTGCATGCTCAAAGCCCACCCACATATTCGTTCCTGAATAACTGAACAAGACTTTCATATGGTCAGAAGACACCAAGCTTGTTCTGATGCCGGGAGCCTTGCCTAGGTGCTATTTGCTGCTTTGGGAGATGGTGGCTTCAGACTGACCAAGTTGTGATGGAGAGAGTAAGGTGTGGTTGGGACCTACAGCAAAACCTGGTGCAAAAAGCAATGACGCTCAAACTTCAGTGTGCAGCAGTCATATCAGGAGCTTGTTAAAAATTAGACACCTAACGCTGAGATTCTGAGTCAGCTAAATCTGGGAGATGGCCTAGACATCTGCATTTGTAATTAGCACAGCCCACCCCTTACCTCTACGTAGGCAGTCTTCCACCTTCAGCTTTCAGAAACACATAGAACAGTGACGATGCACTTATCTTTGGAGGAGAAAAAGCTCTCTCTCTCTCTCACACACACACACACACACACACACACACCACCAACGCAGCAGGCACACTGCCCCAGCATAACATTCACCCTTGAACAGCAACTCCTGCTCACTAAAGAACTGAGTAAACATATATGGGTCTGACCATATGTGAACATTCATCACTAACAGCTTTCCCCACTTAGTTCTTTTGTTCAGAGAGTCCACATATCATCTATTCTAATACATACAAAATAAAGGCAACATTGCTGAACTCAGTGGATTTTTAAGGTAAGCAATTATTTTATTTCCTTGGCCTGATGGCATTGACTTCATTATACAAGAACTTGCAGCTGACAGAACTGACACACACATTTCCCCCAAGAGAAAGAACCCTTTTCATTAGCAGAGATGAATTGAAATGTCATGTCTGAGTGCAATTCCTGCTCCCCACTCCCACCCCACAAAATCCCAAAAGTGAAAATAAATCAATAAAATCCCCATGATTTACTAAAAGTCATCCCTCCAAACCTTTCTAACTAGCAGCTGCAGTGGATGATAACCAAGGAGGGAAGCAGCTGGCCATCATGTAGCATTCCTGTGCATGTGAGCCTGAAGGGACAGCAGCATGGGAGCAAGAATCCTGAATGAGAGTAGTATATAATTACCTTACTTCATACTTGCCCCCTCCCTACATAAGACACCTCTGTCCTGATACATGGAAAATACTAGAGGAGATGCTAAGAGTGGTTTTAGTCTACAATTGGAAATGCCTGAGACTTATTAAATTCCAAGGAAGGGGTGAGATAAGGGGCACCAAAGAGAAAGAGCAGGTTAGACAGGGATGCTCAACACTCTTGTCAATTCCAGTTTAATGCTATTTAATAACAAAACCATCTTCTTAATCACAACCACCTTCATGCCTAACCCCTATTTTCCAAAGGTAAGAGATCCCTGTCTAAATTTCTGGGTTGTTGTCTACTGCCACCCCTGGGGTGGTACTGTGATGTCTGAGTGAGATTGCAACCGGGATGGGAGAAAAGAAGTGTGAGACAGGGAAGATCAGGGGCCACAATGCATCAATTACAGTGGGTCTCTTTTGGTCCCCAGGTATGGTCCACTACCACAAGTCCCCTTTCCCTACCTGTCTTGTGCAAATGTCAAAAATAGAATCTCTGCCCAAAGAGAAGGGAGCACAGGGAGTTGCTGCTGGACTGCCATCATCTCTGGCCCCAACTTGTCCACCTCCTGACCCATCTATGAAACTGCACAACAATTAAACCCCAGGAATACTGTAAACTTACATCATCCCCATTCCTCTATCAAAGCCAATCCAACAGCTCTGTCCTGACATGCTTTCTCCCTGGGCCGAGGAAGCAGCAAAAAATATCAATTGAGCATGTGAAAATGTGATGACGGTGTGTGTGGTGTAATGTTTCTAGATGTCTTCACCTTCTGTCTCCTTGCGGTGGGAGCCACCCTCTTTCCCCATGTCGCGCACACACACCCCTCCCCTACCCCCAAGTCCAGGTGCTCCCATCTGCTGGGCTTCCAACCACTCATTTCCCATAGACACTCTCATCACTGTAGGCCACATACAGAAAATAGTCTTCCTCATGATTGTCCTAGGGGAAGAGATAAGACAACAGTTTAGAAAACATATTCATTCATTAGCTCTAAGATGCTGAGCCTCACACAACCTTGTAAAGCAGGTATGGAAGGTATCATTAGTCCCCATTTAAAAGAGGAGCAAAGGATAGGGAGAAGTGGTTGGAATTACACTTTGAGCTCTGAGTTCACAAACAAAAATCCTTCATTGAAAACATATTACACATAGGTATCAGGGATATGAAGATGACTAGGGCACAGTCCTCACTCTTAAAGAGCTCACTCCTAGCAAGGGGAACATAGATACCACAGATGGATATATAATGGGACATATACTAACAGGGAATATATGCTATGCAAAAAAAGATTCAGGATTATTAGAAGTTTACGTAATTCATTAACGGAGCACAATGAGAAGGAAGCATCTTATGCAAAATACTGCAAAAAACAATAGTTATAATCCCAGGTTATATTTTCAGTAATAATAAAGTCCTTCACTATAGTTTCCTCAGATTCTGACACTTCCAATTAAACCACATCACATAAAAATTATTCCTCCTGAGTTTATCTGTTAAGACATGAATCCATTTACAGACTTTGCCTTAATTTTATATTTCATTTTATCTGATTCATTGTGCCCAGATAATGTGGAATCTGTTTCACAGTTTTAGTTTTGTTCTAAGAAAAGTTTCCCCTTGTTTAGTATCAATGTGGTTGTCTTAAGCCAAAACTTCAGAGTTCATAGAAGAAGCTGACTGTGGGGAGAATCCTTCAGTTGGCAGAGGCTGGCCTCAGAGTTAGAAGGAGCTGGCTTTACTATTACGTGCTTTCTCAATCTGTTGCTAAATGGGAGTAAAATAATGAACTGGATTCTGAATGCATTACAAATTACATGCTACCAACCAGAATAGCAGGAACTGCGATGGGCTGACGCTTTGGAACTTTTGCTATCAGGAATCACTTCCTGCTGTTTCAATAAACAGTCCAGCATTAAAACACTATAGTCAGACAAGACTATAGTCAGACAAGATTTCAGAAGGATTAAATCTAGTAGAGTGGCTAATCCCTAAAAAACAAGAGGTATCTAATCTCTCAGAGCCTTACACTGCCATATGTAAGAGGATCCGGATAAATAACACCTTCTGCCCCACTTCTCAGATGTGTTATCAACGCATCTAGAACAAGGGCTAGAGGATGCCAGACTGCACTGGACGGCATCCAGTATTGTGCAACCAGAACCATTACCTCATACAGTTGGCCCATGGTAGCACTGGTGGGAGGGATGGTGTTGTTGACAAAGAAGAATAAGGCGTCCTCAGGTCTCAGGTGGATTCTCTTCCGGATTAAGAAGTAGAACTGGCCAACTGGATGATGGAAGAAGAAAAGGGCAGAAAAGAAAGTAAGAAAACAAGGAATTAGTAGAAGGGTAAGTCCTGGAAAAAAATTCAATTGCATTTTTTCACCTTAGAGTCAGTACCAGCTTTATATACCATCTGAGAAGAGCCAAATACCGGCCTGGAGCTTTCAAAATAAAAAGGGAAACTCGGAAGCCCACACAGTCCCTGACTTGCCATAGTGGAATTTATTCCTCCTTTCCCCTCTTATTCAATCTCAGACCTCATGTTAGCATATCCACTCAAAGCCTGAGGACTACGTTGAAGGAATACCATGTGCATCCAGACCAAAACATTCCCATCACTGTCTAAACCTGACTTGAAACTCTTTCCATCCCCAGACCCTCCCTAAGAAAAACTTAGCAATGGAAAGGGGTCCACTGGACTCTGGTCATCTTAGCACAGTCAGTCACCTCAGTGTTGGGGCATTAAACAAGGTTCAATGCTTTGCCTTTACTTGAGAATACTGAAAATTTTCTAGATGGCTGATATTCAAACCTATTAACTCTGGAGCAAATCAACAAAATCTTTCCAGTGTGTCCTGGATGCAGTGTGTATTCCATTAAGGATCACGATGAAGACTGAATATATGTATTTTTTTTTTTTCCGAGACAGAGTTCTACTCTGTCACCCAGGCTGAAAGCGCAATGGCGAAATCTCGGCTCACTGCAATCTCCACCTCCCCAGGTTCAAGCAATTCTCCTGCCTCAGCCTCCCGAGTAGCTGGGATTACAGGCACGCGCCACCATGCCCAGCTAACTTTTGTATTTTTAGTAGAGACGGGGTTTCACCACGTTGGCCAGGCTGGTCTCAAACTCCTGACCTTGTGATCCACCCGCCTCAGCCTCCCAAAGTGCTGGGATTACAGGCATGAGCCACCACACCCAACAATGAATATATGTCTTATAATCTCAAACAAAATCTACAAAACTTAGTTTAAAAAAATGTAGCTTAAGAAGATGTATTTAATCAGGAAACTCTAAAATATAATCCTCTCAAGAAGCCAGACTGGTTTTCTTTTTGGAACAAATTGATATCACAATTAACAAAGCCGAATTTTGGGGTTTTTTTTTTTTGTTTTTTGTTTTTTTGAGGCGGAGTCTCACTGTGTCACTCAGCCTGGAGTGCAGTGGTGCGATCTCGGCTCACTGCAACCTCTGCCTCCCAGGTTCAAGCCATTCTCCAGCCTTGGCCTCCTGAGTAGCTGGGATTACAGGTGCCCAACAACACACCCAGCTAATTTTTGTATTTTTAATGAAGACATGGTTTCACCATGTTGGCCAGCCTGGTCTCAAACTCCTGACCTCAGGTGATCTGCCCACATCCCCGTCCCAAAGTGCTGGGATTACAGGCGTGAGCCACCACCCCCAGCCAAAGCTGAATTTTAAAATTGGTTTAGGTGGGGCATGGTGGCTCACGCCTGTAATCCCAGCAATTTGGGAGGCCAAGGCGGGTGGATCACCTGAGTTCAGCAGTTCAAGACCAGCCTGGCCAACATGGTGAAACCCTGTCTCTACTAAAAATACCAAAAAAAGTAGCCGGGTATGGTGGCAGGTGCCTGCAATCCCAGCTACTCGGCAGGCTGAGGCAGGAGAATCGCTTGAATCCAGGAGACGGAGGTTGCAGTGAGCCAAGATGATGCCACTGCACTCCAGCCTGGGCTACAAGAGTGAAACTCCATCTCAAATAATAATATTAATTAATTAATTAATTAATTAAAATAAAAGTGGTTTAAATAATGGGCATCTGATCCTTTCTTTCAATGTCTTATGCTTTGCTGTGTCAAAATCCAACAAGACATGGTGATGGGAAAGAACTATTGAGTCTTCTTGTTTTTGAGACCGAGTCTCGCTCTGTTGCCCAGGGTGGAGTGCAGTGGCATGATCTCGGCTCACTGCAAGCTCTGCCTCCCGGGTTCACACCATTCTTCTGCCTCAGCCTCCCAAGTAGCTGGGACTACAGGCACCCGCCACCAAGCCCAGCTAATTTTTTGTATTTTTTTTAGTAGAAACGGGGTTTCACTGTGTTAGCCAGGATGGTCTCGATCTGACCTCATGATCCACCCGCCTCAGTCTCCCAAAGTGCTGGGATTACAGGCGTGAGCCAGGGCGCCCAGCCTGAGTCATTTTTTAATCAGATAACTCCAGAGCATCCCACTCACTTCCTTCAAGTATGTACTGCCTCTCAATCTCACAATCTCATGCATGTAATGAGGATCTAGAGAGTTTTTTCACCGGAGGAAGGGTCAGGGAAGGCAAAGAGCATTACCAGTAAGGTCAGAGGGCACTAGGTACTTCCTCTTGTCCAGATCAGGCACCCTGGCTTTTGGAGCCTTCTCTACAATCACCTGGAAGAAGAGGAGGAGAGTAGGAATGAAAACTACAGAAGGCAATCTAGTATTTTTCCTTCTACACCCTAGAGTTGCCTAGTTACTACTGGAAATGAATCTGTCTAGGCCCAGGACACCTGTTTCATTTCTTATCCCCCCACCCCTTATAAAATTATACAAAAAAAATAGGCTTCATGAGGTTATAGCTGCATTACTAAAATAAAAATAAACTAGAGATTGTATATGATGAAAAGTAAAAAGAACTTTGATTTTAAGTAATTACAGGTTACCTGTAAGATCTACTATAGGACATATACCTATTGGTATTTATTTATTTATTATTTATCTTTGAGATGAAGTCTCACTGTCACCAAGGCTGGAGTGCAATGGCTCCCTCTCAGCTCACTGCAATCTCCACCTCCCGGATTCAAGCAATTCTCCTGCCTCAGCCTCCTGAGTAACTGGGATTACAGGCACATGCCACAACGCCTGGCTAAGTATTTGTATTTTTAAGAGAGATGCGGTTTCACCATGTTGGGCAGGCTGGTCTCAAACTCCTGACTTCAAGTGATCTGCCTGCCTTGGCCTCCCAAAGTGCTGGGATTACAGATGTGAGCTACCGTGCCTGGCCACCTTCTGGTATTTAATTAGAGCATCAAGAAAACTGGGTTTTCTCATATGGTCCTGATCACCTGTAAGTTATTATTTCTCATAAATACCATTTATTAAAGGTACCAATAACGTGGTTTAAATCTTTGTCAAAATTTCCAAGAACTGTAAAGATTGTTCAAACATTATTAAATGGAAAAGAAACAGTGTTAAAACAAGTCTGACAATGATATCCTATAATATGATGTCAGCACAACAAGCCATTTATAGATATTGATTATGTTAGGACTTTAAGGGATTTTCAATGTCCACATTATATACTTCTAATAAAGATCATGTATTTCTGTACTAGATCTATAAAAATATAAAAGATTTTTTTATACACTAAAACTTCCCAAACAGAAAATATCTGTTATAAAATCATGAGCTTTAGGCTTTCGATTGTTAGGATTTTAAGGGATTTATGTCTACGTTATATACTTCTATAGTTCAAGTTGTAAAAAAATCATGTATTTCTGTACTAGATTTATCAAAATTTAAAAGATATTTTTAATACACTAAAACTTACCAAACAGAAAATATCTATTGTAAAATCATGAGCTTTAGACTTTTAGTTTAGAAAATATAATCATTGCCGGGCGCAATGGCTCATGCCTGTAATCCCAGCACTTTGGGAGGTCGAGGCGGGCGGATCATCTGAGGTCGGGAGTTCGAGACCAGCCTGACCAACATAGAGAAACCCCATCTCTACTAAAAATACAAAATTAGCCAGGCATTGTGATGCATGCCTATAATCCCAGCTACTCAGGAAGGCTGAGGCAGGAGAATCGCATGAACCTGGGAGGCAGAGGTTGCGGTGAGCCAAGATCGTGCCACTACACTCCAGCCTGGGCAACAAGAGCAAAACTCGGTCTCAAAAAAAAAAAAAAAAAAAGAAAAGAAAATATAGTCATTTTAGTTAGAACATATGGGAAATGCAGAAAAAAAAGTGAAGACGCAGAAAAAAAAAAAACTGTATGAGTACTTCTAGTGGCTGTGTGATCTTCAACAGGTCACGTAACCTCTCTCTCAGCTTCAGTATTCCAGTAACTTTTTTTTTTGAGGTCGAGTGTCACATGTGTCGCCCGGGCTGGCGTGCAGTGGCCTGATCTCGGATCACTGCAACCTCCACCTCCTGGGCTCAAGCGATTCTCCTGCCTCAGCCTCCGGAGTAGCAGGGATTACAGGCGCATGCCACCACGCCCGGCTAATTTTTGTATTTTTTAGTAGAGATGGGGTTTCACCATGATGCCAGGCTGGTTTCGAACTCCTGACCTCAAGTGCTCCACCCGCCTCAGCCTCCGGAAGTACTGCGATTACAGGTGTGAGCCACCGTGCCCAGCTTGAAAAGAAAACTTTCTAACACGTCTTTAACAAAGTCATGGTATTGATATGATGTGAATGTGAGTAATAAATAACATTTTACAGGAAAATGCTTCATAAATTATAAAGAATTATCTAACATAATTAACTTGGGGGGGAGTTTGAACTTTTTAAATTAAAAGGAACAAATTAAAATTAGTAAAAAAAAAAACAACAAAAACAAAAACAAAACAAAACAAAAAGTTGTTTTGTGTTCTTGTAGAAAAAATCCTGAACCAGGAAGACCAGAGGGACATGATCACATTTTAAATTTAAAAATAAAAACTGAAATAGGGTAACGTAAGCCAGGAATTAAAAGGAAAAGGCAGAAAGAGGCTAGCATTGTGCCCCAAAGGAACTCGGACACCTAGCAGTAAGAGATAAAAACCACAAAGGAAGACAGATAAAGAAAGTGATAAAGCAGAGGGCAATACCTGGAGGGAAGGGAGGGGTTTGGAGAGGAAGAGAAGGGGGAGGGGTAATCATTAAAATATTGGTTTCCCAGTACCAAGGTTAAGTTTCCAGGAATCCCAGCTCTACTCCTCACTATGGTAGACCCCTGGGCTAGATGCTTTGCCTCTTTGGGTCTCAGTTTTCCTCATTTGTAAAATGTGACTAATACTCAGTAGGGTTATGAATTTTTAAAATAGACAATCTGTTCCTAACAGTTTTTTTGATATGTTGTATCTTTGAAGATAATTTCAAGATCCCACCAACCCTTCCTCTCTGAAGGCACAAGCACACCTCTTCTTTTCAACGCTGGCTCTGAAGAAATATTGGTGGGGCTAAGTTCTGGTTATGCGAGCAGTCAGGGTACGCCATTGCTTTAATAACACCAATGGTCAAGCTGGAATGGGCTTCAGGAATCATTACTCTAACCCTCTTTTCTGTAAACAAGACACTCTAGCACAGCACGATTAAGAGTTCTGCCCAAGGATGCAATGAATTCCCAGAACTAGAACCAAATCAAGGAACCTGCGTCATAACTAGAAAGAAGGTCACAGACTGGTCACCTTGGGAGCAGCTCACCACTGGTTAAAACATAACCCTAGGAAAGCTGAAATCTGAGTGACAGGCTTAATGGCTTAAAAATTATCACAGGAGTAAAACATTTAACACCAAACTATGAGCAGGAAAAGAACAGAATGCTCTAAAATATTCAGAGTGAATGCACATAAATATTTATCTATTTCCAATACTTAACAGTGTAAAGTCCACAGCACGTCATTAATTCTGGTTAATACAACTATATTAGAAACTGAGAAACAATATGGCATGGAGGTTAAGATACCCGAGAGCTCCACAGTCCTTCAGACAGGGTTGGAATTCCAGCTCAACCACAGATCAGCAATGTGAAACCTTTAGGAAGTTACTGCATTTCTTTGTGCTTTGAATACTCCATCTGTAGAACGGGTAATCGTGTAAGGAAGTAAGTCAATGATTACAGACTGAGTACTTATAATACCGCTAGGGTAAACTATCAATAAAACTTGATTGTATTTTTTAAATATCATTGCTCAAAAGATTGGTATCACCAGAACTGGGCAAAATTTTCAGGTATCCAAGGTCCAGAAACCAGGAAAGTAATTTGTAAAGGATCCTTTCCCGAGTAAGGGATTAGCTCACCCCTCTATAAGCTGAAAACCTTTTTGTAATTCCTGGGGAATGAAGAGCCCTAATGACTTTTTTTTCTTTTTAAAGGAAAAGGGTTACAAGAGGTTTCTACTGCTGGGCTAAGGCCCTGGTGGCTTCTGGTAGCTATAAAACCACGAACGTTAGGTAAGGATTAGAGAAGAAACCCAGAGTGGCTGTGAGTCAAGAAAAGACATCAGATAACAGCAATTATTTTACCATTATGTGACACGTAATACTAATGTTCCTACCTGAAGATAAAGAGCACAATTTTAAAATCTCCGCTCCTCCATTTCCAAAATCCAACAGCTGCTGGTCCCCCTACCACTTAAGCCATATTCTGCCCTCCAATTCGGCTGCGCAGCCTGCATTAGAGAAACACCAGGCAAGTGGGCGGGGGAGGGGGTAATGGGGAAAACGCCCGGATGCTGAAAGATACCTAATACTTTTCTGTTCCTACTCACTGCCTGCGGTAGTTTTAACTACTTAAGCCGGTGTCCAAAACGGAGAAAAAACGTCTCAGTCCTGCCTTATCGCGACCAGGTACCAGGTGATCAGAAATCAACACGAGGAGGCTGGCTGTCCCCACACAAGCCCCGGAGCCTAGAACGATGAGGCAAGAGGGCTGTTGGGCAGAGAACGTGACCTTGTTTTCCAGGCCAGGACTGTCTTGTGCTCCCCTAACCCCCTGTAATGCAAGAAAATTACTGAATAGCTTCTGAACCTTTTCGTCCCAAGACCAATGATATGAGAGCCAAAGTCAACTTCATTAAAGGAGAACCAGCCAAGGCAGAAATCGACTGGGTTTGCGCAAACCTCACCGCACAGCACAATGTCCCTGCGTTCTTAAAGGCAGCCAATCCATGGCCCCGATCTAACCAGTCTCGCCCACAGGGGCCCTATTTTGTGCACCGCAACCCACACACGGTCTCAGCTGCTGAGACCGTGTGTGGGTTGCTGAGTCACTGAAGACGGCGGCTCGGCCCCCAAAACGCCGTCAGCCCTGAAGTGGGGTTCGGGGCCCAGGCATACGGGGTTTTAAAAGCTCTACAGTCTGGACGTCCATTGGCTCTGGCACTGAAGGGCGTTCAGGATTAAGTAATTCTCGGAACCTCCCTTCTCCAGAGCCGCCTGGGCGCCCCAGGGAAGCCATCTCGACTACCCGCCCCCGCCCCCGCGGGCCCTTCCCCTCCCATCCCCTCCGCTCCTCTACACTCACGGGGACCCTGTCCGGATATTTCTTCCGGATCTTTTCTCCTTCCTTTTTCCGATACTCAAAGGGATGGTCCTCCTTGTACTGGAACTTCATGATGCACCGCAGGGCTTCCGAGATCCCCGCGCGGGGCCTGCCTCCTTCGCCGCTGACCCTGTCCCGCTCCCTCAGCCGACGTCAAGGTGTGCTCAGAATAGCTGCAGAAACGTCCGCTCCGGGGGCAACAGCGCTGGGCCGAGTGTGCAGGGGGGGTTCGGGGCGGGGATCTCGGGTGAGCCTGCCTGGAGGTAGAGGAGAGCCAGATGGAGAAATACCGGCGGCTTTTCGCTAGAGCTGGGAGCACAAAAACAGCTGGGTGGCGCGTCGGGCTGTGACGTCACCCCGCGAGCCCCGCCCCGCCCCCCATGCGCCAGGCGCCCAGGGCAGGGGGTGGCCGAGCGCTCTGTCTCACTGCGTTTCCTTTCTGGCTAACCTTTTTCACAATCGATGTCACTGCAAACATCAAAACATTCGAGTTATGTTTTATTTTGTGACTGTGAAATTAAAGATGGTTTTAAGACAAAAAAAAGATTTAAACATGTTTTATTCCCCCTCCACTGTTTTTCTTGGTTGGGCCCCAAAACAAATACAAAAGGCGAAAATCCAGCCTTTTCCTGCTGGTTGGGATCCAGCCTCAGGAGAAAAGAGGGCCAGGCCTCCTGGGATCCCTTTGGCCAATGCAGAGCTGTCCCGTGCTTGCACCGTGCCCTCTGCGCGTTCCGCTGCCCCTCCCGCGGCCCTCCTCCCGCGCTGGCGTCACAGTGTTTGGGCGGTGCCGCAGTTCGCTCCTGAACAGCAACATAAACAGAGCGTGACTCAGGAATCTGAAGAGAGGAGTCAGATGAAGGACACGGAGTGTAATCAAAGTCTAAAGGAGACATGATGTCAGTAAGGACTACCGAGGGCTTCACGTACAATCAAATATAGAAATGATTCACTTTCTAGCCGGGCGCGGTGGCTCACGCCTGTAATCCCAGGAGGCCGAGGCGGGCGGATCACCTGAGGTCAGGAGTTCGAGACCAGCCTGACCAACATGGAGAAACCCTGTCTCTACTAAAAATACAAAATTAGCTGGGCGTGGTGGCGCATGGCTGTAATCCCAGCTACTCTGGAGGCTGAGGCAGGAGAACCGCTCTAACCCGGGAGGCGGAGGTTGCGGCGAGCGGAGATCACGGCGTCGCACTCCAGCCTGGGCAACAAGAGCGAAACACCGTCTTACAGAAAAAGAAAGGAAGGGAGGGAGGGAGGGATTCACTTTCTGCCATAAACTCAGAAAGGGGGCTCGTCTTCTGGAAAAGAGAGTATCAAGCAATTTAGGTGATGACCTCAGTTGTTCCCCCACATCTTATTTAGTTCCAGTGGTTAGGTATCCCTCACGTGACTAGAAAGCGCTGCCTGGAATGCTAGTAGAAGATTGGGCATTAGGGCAGGTGAGGCGAAGCCTCGTTCTGGATTTCCCCACCTAGAGTCAAAGAAGAAAGACCTTCCAACCAGTACTGTAGGGCAGCGACAGGGAGGACTGTGGAGTTTGCAAAGAAAAAGAACAGTGAAAAGGGGCTGCGTTGCCCATACAAGTCGGGTGAGTTCTGATAAATATTAGATAACAGCAGCCCCGTGGCCTATCTTCTTCAGTCGGGGTCTCAGTGTCTCTAATTTTAAAAACACCCACAGGGGGCCAGGCGCGGTGGCTCACGTCTGTTCTCCCAGCACTTTGGGAGGCCCAGGCCGAGGATCGCTTGAGCTCAGGAGTTCAAGACCAGCCTGGGTAACATGGCAAAACCCTGTCTCTACAGAAAAAACAAAAATTAACAAGGCATGGTGGCGCGCTCCTACAGTCTCAGCTACTGTGGAGGCTAAGGCAGGAGAATCGCTTGAATCCGGGAGGCAGTGGCTGCAGTGAGCTGAGATCGCCCACTGTACTCCAGCCTGGGAGAGAGAGCAAGACTCTGTCTCAAAAAGAATAAATAAATAAAAATAGGCCGGGCGCGTTGGCTCATGCTTGTAATCCCAGCACTTTGGGAGGCCAAGGTGGGTGGATCACGAGGTCAAGAGATAGAGACCATCCTGGCCAACATGAGACGAGTGAAACCCCGTCTCTACTAATAATACAGAAAAAATTAGCTGAGCCTGGTGGCGCTCGCCTGTAGTCCCCAGCTACTCGAGAGCCTGAGGCAGGAGAATCACTTGAACCCGGAAGGGAGAACCCGGGAGGGTTTAACTATATTTGCATCAAAACTAAAATGAGGCCGGGCGCAGTGGCTCACGACTGTAATCCCAGCACTTTGGGAGGCGGAGGTGGGTGGATCACGAGGTCAGGAGATCGAGACCATCCTGGCTAGCACGTGAAACCCCGCCTCTACTAAAAATACAAAAAAATTAGCCGGGCGTGGTAGCGGGAGCTTGCAGTGAGCCAAGATCGTGTCACTGCATTCCAGCCTGGGCGACAGAGCTAGACTCTGTCTAAAAAAAAAAAAAAAAACCTAACATGAGCGACTGAAAATTAAACTGTTTTCAATTTGAAAGTAAGACTTAAAATTATAAACATATAATGTGATAAAATAACTCATGGATTTTATTTATTTTATTTATTTATTTGATATGGAGTTTCTCTCTTGTCGCCCAGGCTGGAGTGCAATGGCTCCATCTAGGCTCTCTGCAACCTCTGCCTCCTGGATTCAAGCAATTTTCTCCGGCCTCGTCCTCCTGAGTAGCTGGGATTACAAGGCGCCCGCCACCGCGCCCAGCTAATTTTTTTGTATTTTTAGTAGAGACGAGGTTTTGCCATGCTGCCAGGCTGGTCTCGAACTCCTGACCTCAGGTGATTCGCCCGTCTCGGCCTCCCAAAGTGCTAGGGTTACAGGTACTAGCCACCGCGCCCTGCCCTCATGAATTTTTATACATAAAGATTGAAAGATGCCATGAAGAAAAATACATGAAGAAGTGGGACTATGTGATTCGTTTTCTGGTGCCAGTAATGAAACTTAGTTTCTTTAATTTTGTGGGTGAGTTTTGTATTTATTTTTATTTATTTATTTATTTTTGAGACAGAATCTCACTCTTTCGCCAGGCTGGAGTGTAGGGGCGCAATCTCGGCTGACTAAAACCTCCTCCTCCCGGATTCAAGGGATTCTCCTGCCTCAGCCTCCCGAATAGCTGGGACTATGGGCGCCTGCCACCGCTCCCGGCTAATTTTTGTATTTTTAGTAGAGACGGGGTTTCACCATGTTGGCCAGGATGGTCTCGAACTCCTGACCTCAAGTGATCCACCTTCCTCGGCCTCCCAAAGTGCTGGGATTACAGATGTAATCCGGCCTATGAAAGTAAATTTTAAATTAACACAATCGAGTAAAACATTTCAAAATGTCTTATTTAACCAAAATCAAAATACTACATTAAAAAGCTCACATTTTCTCAAATACATTTTTGATGTTTCTTGTACTTTTTAAAATGATTTCAAGGGTTAGAAGTTTTTTCAATCTTTTATGAATATTTTCAAACATGTAGAGAATTTTGACAAATAGTATGATGAACACCAC